>NC_000004.12:13072916-13697916 GCF_000001405.40 Homo sapiens
AGGAAGAATATAAATAGAGGTGTGGGGAGACAGAGGAAGGAATTTGGAAAAGCAAATGTGATTTAAGAAAGAAATATCAGATAATGATTGGATTATCCTCATAATCCAATTTCCAGATTAGATTTTTTTCCTGAACTCCAATCCTGAATGTTCAACTAACTCCTAAAAACCTCTACCTAGGCCAGACGTGGTGGTTCACTCTTGTAATCCCAGCACTTTCAGAGGCCGAGGCAGGCAGATCACTTGAGGTCAAAAGTTCAATGTCAGTCGCCAACATGGTGAAACCCCATCTCTACTAAAAATACAAAAATTAACTGGGCATGGCGGCACGTGTCTGTACTGCCAGCTATTCTAAAGGCCGAGGCAGGAGAATCACTTGAACCCAGAAGGTAGAGGTTGCAGTGAGCCAAGATCTTGCCATTGCACTGCAGCCTCGGTGACAGAGCAAGACTTCATCTCAAAGAAGAAAAGGAAAGAAAAAGAAAAAATCCTACCTGAGGCTCCTCAAGAACCCAACTATGACTTCATGCCTTCCAAAACCAAACATCCCACTCAATTTTTGAAACCAGTTCTTCCTCCTATGTTACTGAGTTAATGAACTATACCACAATGAAACCATCTACACCAGCAAATTCAGAGTCATATTTGCATTCTTCCTTTTTGTCCTCTCACTTGCAGGAGTAATAAGAAGACAAAGAAGAATTAAAATCTGTGACTTGTGAGCCATTTTGGGAAACAGTTTGGCATTTCCTTAAAACATTAAACATAGAATTAACATATGACCTAGCAATTCTACTCCTTAGTAATCACCTAAGAGAAATAAAAACGTATATCCACACAAAAACCTGTGTATAAATGTTTATAGCAGCACTATTCACAATAGCTAAAAAATAAAATGGCGGCTGGGCGCGGTGGCTCACGCCTGTAATTCCAGCACTTTGGGAGGACAAGGTGGGCGGATCACGAGGTCAGGAAATCGAGACCATCCTGGCTAACACGGTGAAACCCCGTCTCTACTAAAAATACAAAAAAATTAGCCGAGCATGGTGTTGGGCACCTGTAGTCCCAGCTACTCGGAAGGCTGAAGCAGGAGAACGGCGTGAACCCGACAGGCGGAGCTTGCAGTGAGCCGAGATTGCGCCACTGCACTCTAGCCTGGGCAACAGAGCGAGACTCCGTCTCAAAAAAATAAAAAATAAAAATAAAAAAATAAATAATAAAATAAAATGGAAACAACCCAATGCCCCTCAACTGATGAATGGATAAAGAAAATGTGTTATAGACACACAATAGAATATTGTTGAGAAATAATATTGAGTAATTGAGTTACTGACACACACTACAACTTGGATGAATGAAACATGCTAAGTAAAAGAAGCCAGGCACAAAAGCCCATATGTCATATGATTCTATTCATATAAAATGTCCAGAATCTATATAAATTCATAGGAAATCTATAGAAATGGAAAATAGATTAGTGGTGGCCAGAAGTTGGGAAAGGAGGAAATGGGAAGTGATTGCTAATGGGTATCATGTTTTTTTTGGGAGTGATGAAAATGTTCTGAAATTAGATAATGGTGATGGTTGCAGTACTCTATGAACGTACTAAAAACCACTAAATTGTACACCTTTAAAAGGGTGAATTTTATGGTATGTGATTATATCTCAATAAAGCTGTTATTTTTAAAAATCTGTTACATGTGTATAGTGTTCCACAGTTCCCAATGCTCCTTCCTAAGTTTTGTCAAGTGCATATTAGGAAAAGTGCCTAAAATTCAAGAAATCTACTTCCTTCTCTGCACTTGCCTTAAAAGCAGAGCATTCTGAGGAATTAATAGCTGGATTTCAGAAACTGTATGACTTCTTGCCCACAGTTCTAGAAATCACTCACATGTTTAGGGTAAAGAAATAAAGGCATAGAAAATCTTCTTAAAGTTAAATAGTAACACAGGATTTTGAGAAAAGAAAAGATTCCATTACAAACTGTGATAACTTATCAAGAATGAGGATAAATCCTGAAAATTTTCTAAATGTAATAATGGGCCTATTAATGGTGCACAGATTAAAAACTGAGGTCAGAGGCAACACAACAATCTTCAAATTTGAGCTTAGAATTAAAAGCACTTGTGCACAAAATTGCTGTAACTTCAAATTAATTTCGCACCATTAATTTCCAAGTGCCCTGAGCCACACCGACGCTAGGAGACAGACTTTTGTTTGCAGCTGAGCCAGCTGGACTCAATTACTAGTTTCACTTTTGTTTTAAAGCCACCAATATTTTCTTTTAAAAAGAAGGAGGAAGACTTTTTTTTATTTTTTTATTTTTTGAGATGGAGTCTCGCTCTGTCACCCAGGCTGGAGTGCAGTGGCGCGATCTCGGCTCACTGCAAGCTCCGCCTCCCGGGTTCATGTCATTCTCCTGCCTCACCCTCCTGAGTAGCTGGGACTACAGGCGCCCGCCACCACGCCCAGCTAATTTTTTGTAGAGACGGGGTTTCACCGTGTTAGCCAGGATGGTCTCGATCTTCTGACCTCGTGATCCGCCTGCCTCGGCCTCCCAAAGTGCTGGGATTACAGGCTTGAGCCACTGCGCCCGGCCAGAAGGAGGAAGATTTTTAATCAGTTATCTTAACATCTTTTTCATCTAAGACACTGACATTCTGCTTGGTAATGTCTACTTTTATTTGTAGTGGAGTTCCATCCTTGCTCTGTGGGAATATTTGTTGGGGGGTGGGGTGCTGGGGGGGTGGGGTGCTGAGGGCCCCGGGGGATATGGGAAACTAGATCATATTTCAAAAACCTATGCCGGTCAGAATCATGGGGAGGAACTTTGAGAAGAGACAATAGAACTAAAGCACATAATTCCTCTTCTTCCAGGTTTATTGACAAAGATAGAAATGAAAAACAAAAATGAAAATATACAGGGGCAAAAACGACACGGAATATCTTCGGTATGCTAAATAATTGTGGCAACACTACGTAATGATATATTTATATATTTTATTATAAATATACCTTATATAATTATGATTATAATGTTAAAATATGATAATAATATGGTAAGAATAACTTATATTTATTGAGAATGTACTATGTGCCCAGCACTGTTCCAAGCACTTTCCAAATATTAATGCATTTAGCCTGTGTAGTAGATATTTTATGATTCCCACTGTGCAGATATGGAAACTAAGGCACGGAGAGTTTGCATATCTAACCACACTCACAGAATTAGAAAGTGCTTTTCTAATGTTTGCAGAAGTTGCCAAAGCTCATTTCCTTTTTCCTTGTTTGAAATAATAGTTTATGGACGAATTAATTGCAAGGTGTTTTTTCAGTTCAAAAGGCAAGACTTTTGTGATTTAGAAGTGGTCTTCTAATTAATGACATTTAATAGGGAATTTCTGAAGCTCTAGAAACTATTAAAAAGAGAGAGAGAAATAACCTAATCAGACTGATAAGTCAAACGTTTATCTGGTCATCTGGTAGGGTGTCTACATTCATCCGTTCACTTATTTGTTTGATAACAATTATAAGCCCCTACCACAGGCCAACAGTGGTAATGGGCATAAAATATGCTGAAAATGATGGTCCTGTGGGGGATATAAACTGAACTTTTAAATAGAAAATCCCAAACAGTTAAAAAACAAATGCTTAACATATACATGAAAAGTATTTTAACATGTTATATGTTTATTGTATTGTAAGTACTTTCAAACGAGGGAAAAACCTCAAATGCTTCTTAAATATTTACCTAACATATCCAGAACACATCATAATTTTTTTTTTTTTTTTTTTTGAGACAGAGTCTCACTCTGTCACCCAGGCTGGAGTATAGTGGTGCAATCTTGGCTCACTGCAACCTCCGCCTCCTGGGCTCAAGCAATTCTCCTGCCCCAGTCTCCCACGTAGCTGGGATTATAGGCGTGTGCCACCACACCCAGCTAATTTTTGTATTTTTAGTAGAGACGGGGTTTCACCATATTGGCCAGGCTGGTCTTAAACTCCTGACCTCAGGTGATCCACCTGCCTCAGCCTCCCAAACACATCATAAATTTTAAGCACAAAGTGTACATGTTAAGTGTTTAACTAACACTTTGTACTGGGACCTATTCTAAGCACATTACAGATTTTAACTCATTTAATCTCCACAATAATCCAACGAACTAAGTTCTATGATCACCTCCCTTTTACAAAAGAAGAACTTGGGCCACAGGGAGGTTAATGAGTAACTTGCCCAAGGTCACACAGTAGTAACAAAAGAGTTGCCAAAAAATTGATGATGTCTAACAATATGATAAAATAAATGGCATATAATGGCATGGAGGTTGGCATAAGGTGCAGAAAAGAGATGTTCCTAAACTTTTCTGAAAGCAGTCAGGAAGGGCTTCAAAGAGGAGGTGACATCCTAAAGAAAAGTTCCATTTCAGATGCCCTTAAAAACAGACAGCTTGGAGGGAAAATGGATCCAGGCACGAATCAGACAAGAGTATTCACAAGATCACAACTCTGAGCCAATCAAGAGTCTCTCCGTAGTTTCACCTTAATTAGAAAGAATTGTGTGTGAAACTGTGCTATGTCATCTCACATGACATTTTTATCGCCTGCTTAACATTTCAAATGAAACATTTTATTGCATTTGATGTTAAACACTTAACGTGTACTCTTCATGCTCACAATTCCCAACGTGTTCTGACTATATTAAGCAAATATTGAAGAAACATTTCGGCTGTTTTTTATATTTAAGTATTTAATCTGTAATAAACCTATAGCATGTTAAAAATACACTTCATGTACAGTATGTGTTAAGTGTTAAGAATATATTTTTGAACTGCCCTCTTTGAGCCTGTCAAACTTTCCATTACAACCCCTAATTTAAGAGGTTTTTTACCCAACCATAAAAATATCTTCATGTTGATATTACAGGTAAAATATCTCTCTTTCCCCATGCCTTTTTCGGTTGTTGGTGGTTTATTTTTTAGTATTAATACATTTAAAGAATTGACTTTGTGAAATTGATTATAAAACAAAGATTTTTCTCATAGGATGTTAGTGCAACCCTCTCTATGTTTTTTAAATAATTCACATATTAAAAGCATCTTCTTAAAAATCATAGATCTTACCCCAAGATTTAGGACAGAAAATGAAACTGGTTGATGTGAATATTATCTGTATATTTCCAGATTGTATTAAAATTCAGAATCAAGGATATTAAATAAGGCTGTGGCTACTTTTCAGATAGTCCCAGAACACTTCATGAGCATATAATGATGTAATTATATTAGTTTAGCATATCATTAACACAGTTGCAGATGAATTTCACATCCCTTTTTCCACCTGCCCTTCAGGGTGCTAGAAGGTAAGAAAACTGTCGTCATAGTGTCATCTTGCCAATGGACAAGCAAAGTTTTGGAAAGGGTGAATGGTTTGCCAAAGTTCCTGCAGCCACTTATTTGTGACGATGAGTTTTGAACGCATATCCCTTTGTTGACTCTACATGACTGAGGCCCACAGGTTGCAAAAGGTTTGACCTGATGTGACTTGGTGTTTCCACTTACTTACATTTTAATCTGGTAAAAATCTGAAGTAAGTAAAATTCGACTGTCTGGTACAGCTAAATAACTGGATTTTTTTTCTATCACTTTCCATTCTTAGACTTGAGATCATATCAAGAAACAAACTCAAAAACCCCTTGTTCAAGCCACCTAGCCAATGACCAATGCATCCTTCACAATATGCTGTTGTAACATGTTATCTAACTACATCCACAAGTGGTCGTAAAAATGCATGTAGCCATCATACCTATAGGTTCTTTGAAAGCAAGGACTTATCTTACTTATCTTTGTCTCTCTTGTCTGTTCTTAGCCATCCAATGTCTTGCACATTGACTGGCATATTATAGGGGTTTATTAAATGTATGCCAATGAAAGGAGCCAGTAGAACTTCACAAAGAGAACTGATACTTGTGTAATTTTGTGCAATATTAGAGGTGAAAGGCATCTCAATTATCGATGCCAGCATTTCTCAAAGTGACTTTCTCCAGTCCCGCAAGACCCTACATGACAAAGATTCCATGAACAGATAAGTTTGGGAAATACTCTCTTCACAAGAAAAAAACATCATATGAGCTCCTTGACTATAGTTCCGCCCTTCCCAATTTTCCCTCTTTGGAGCAGGCTGGCTGTGAGGAGCCAATGCTGTCTGCTGGAGACAGTACTACCCCTGCTGACTGAGTCAAAACCAGCTCTGCCCACAGTAGTGGCAGAGTAGTAGCGTCTGCCTTGTCCTGGACACAGGACCCTTTGGCCCTCACCCTGAGCCATCTCTTCATCTTTAGCGTTAATTAAAATGATATTTTGGCCCACATGAGTCATATTCTTTATTTTTTTTATTCTCCATTTGTTCAGAACCCAAATGGGGATAAGAAATGCTATTTATTTTTGGTACCCCTAAACTTCAACAGAGAAAAATACCTAAAGTCTTCTGCAGTCAATTGCTTTTCTTTCAAATCCATCTTCCTTCCAAGTGTACCAAAAATATCCTCAGGCCTTCAGAGTAATTATATTTATGATCATTCATTTTTTCATTAGTCTAGAGCAAATATTGTGGGAACTCAAGAAAGACGATGTTCCAAAGTCAACCTCAAGTTTGGAATTGCAAGAAAGAACCACAGATTAAAATGGAACTGGAATCAACTGAACCCTGGATACTCTCTCTAATGAGAGCTCTGTACAGGAACCACATATTATACTGTCCTAATATACAGCCTTAAGAAATTAGGTGGGCTGGACCTAAAATCATACCTAGAAGACTTAGCCGCAAAGTCAAGGGAAACTTCAGGACCCAAGTAGAGAAACCAAAATTCAACGGAGGCATTGACAACAGTGCGAAATGTTTGAATGTTGATTTCTAATTCAGACATAATGTCAAATAGTAAAAATGTTCTGACTTCATTCATTGGCTCAACAAATATTTACTGAGTGCCTGTTATCCTCCAAGGTCTTTAAGAGGCATTAGAGACATAGCAGTGAGCCAAAGACAAAAATCTCTACCCTCGTAAGGTTTACAATCTAATGGGGAGAGAGACAATAAAAATTAAATAAGTAAGGTATACAGAACATTAAAAAGTTTACATGGTATGATGAAAATAAGGCAGGTAAGGGAGGCAGAGAATATGGGGGTGTTATACAGTGAAGGGACTGAAACTTTAAATAGGTTTAAAGTTTCAACTAGCAAAGACCTTAATTGAAAATGTGACATTTGAGCACACACTTGAAGATGCAGATACTAGTTAGAAGTATTCTCAAGCACAGGAGCAAGAAAATACAGATGTCATGAGAGGGAGTGTATTCAACATGTTTGGTAAATAAGAGGGGGATGTCTCTATCATCTTGCACAGCTATAGCAAACTATTATAGCCTGAGTAGCTTAAACAAGAAACATTTATTTTCTCAACAGTTCTAGAGACTGGGAAGTCCAAGATCAAAATCCTGCCAGACTTGGTTTCTGGTAAGGGTCATCCTCATGCCTTCTCCCATGTCCTCGCATGGCCTTTTCTCCATGTGCCGGAGGAAGTTCTCTGCTGTCTCTTCCTATAAGGGCACTAATTCCTTCAGGAGAACCCCACCTCCATGACCTAATGTAATCCTAATTACCTCCAAAGGCCTCATCTTCAAATATTATCATACTGGGGATTAGGGGTTTAATATTAATTTGGGGGACACGATTCAGTCCATAGCAAGGGATTTTTCCAGTTGGAACTAATGAGGCCAGCGGAGTCATTAAAATCATCTTCTCAAAGCTACTTTCCCCATCTTGTCATTCTCACCATCTGTTGTACTCTCATGACAAAACCAATCCAAGGTATCTTTTTCTCTGAAGCTGAAGGAAACCATAGATTCATGTTCTCTGAATGCACTTTAACTCATAGTTCCAGTATCTTAGGATCACACTACATTTGCTGATATCCATCTCACACCCTTCAAGGCAACTGTTTCCTACCTTCTCTTTTCTCCTCACAGTTCAATACCTTCTGGCTTCCTCTCTCTGGCTTTCTGTTTCATTGAGAAAATAAAATCAGTCAGAAGAGAACCTGTACGTGCTCCCTCCACCCACCTACCTGTACCCAACCACCAGCATTTATTTTTACGGTTGATCTAGCTATGCTCTTCTTTAAGGCCAGCCTCCTCCTGGACCCTGCACCACACCCCCTCCAGCATACTGAAGGACATTCCATTTCTCTAGCAAGTCTTCCTTCTCTCCATCACATCATTACTCTCTCCACTATATTAGATAATTCCCATTACCCTGGAATTCTTCCATAGCCTTCCTTTATCTAATTTTAAAAAATAATATCTAGTTTATTTTCAAGCTTTGACTCCGTATCTCTGCTCACCTTTAGAACAAATCCCCTTAGGGAGGCACTGTTGTCAATGCCTCTGTTGAATTTTGGTTTCTCTACTTGGGTCCTGAAGTTTCCCTTGACTTTGCGGCTAAGTCTTCTAGGTATGATCACTGTCTCCAGGTCTTCTCCAACTATATATATACCTACCATTCACATAATCTCTTATTAATAATTCACATACAATACAATTCACCCTTTTTGCTGTATTTTGTTGTGAGTTTTGACATATAGTCACTTTTTAGTCAATTTTTACACTGCTGTAAAGAACTAGCTGAGACTGGGTAATTTATAAAGAAGAGAAGTTTAATTGACTCACAGTTCTGCATGGCTGGGAAGGCCTTAGGAAACTTACAATCATGGCAGAAGGTGAAGGGCAAGCAAGGCACATTCTTCACAAGGTGGCAGGCCATCGGATCTCATGAGAACTCCCTCACTATCACTAGAAGAGTGTGGGGGAAATCGCCCCATGATGCAATCACCTCCCACCGGTCCTTCCTCAACATAAAGGGATTGCAATTCAAGATGAAATTTGGGTGGGGACACAAAGCCTTGCACAGTGCAAGCTGTCAGTAGATCTACCATTCTGGGGTCTGGAGGATGGTGGCCCTCTTCCCAGAGCTCCACTGGGCAGTGCCCCAGTGAGGACTCTGTGTGGAGCACCAACCCCACATTTCCCCTCTGCATTGCCCTACTAGAGTTTCTCCATGAGGGCTCCACCCCTGCAGCAGCCTTCTGCCTGGACATCCAAGTGTTTCCATACATCCTCTGAAATCTAGGTGGAGGTTCCCAAAGCTCATCTCTTGTCTTCTGCACACCTGCAGACCCAACACTACATGGAGGCTGCTAAGGCTTGTGGCTTGCACCCTCTGAAGCCATAGCCTGAGCTCCACATTGGCCCCTTTTACCATGGCTGGAGCTAGAGTGGCTAGGAAACAGGGTGCCAAGTCCTAAGGCTGCACAGAGCAGCAGGGCCCTGAGCCTGGCCCAGGAAACCATTTTTTCCTTCTCGGCCTCTGGGCCTGTGATGAAAGGGGCTACCATAAAGATCTCCAAAGTGACGTGGAGTCAGTTTCCCTGTTGTCTTGGCTATTAACATTCAGCTCCTCATTACTTATGCTAATTTCTGCGGCAGACTTGAATTTTTCCCCAGAAAAAATTGTTTTTTCTTTTCTACCTCACGGTCAGGCTGCAAATTTTCCAAATTTTTATGCTCTACTTCCCATTCAAATAAAAGTTCCAGTTTCAGATAATCTCTTTGTAAATGCATATGACTGAACACTTTGAGAATCAGCCAGCTCTTGAATGCTTTTCTGCTTAGAAATCTCTTCCACCAGATACTCTAAATCATTTTTCTCAAGTTCAAAGTTCCACAGATCTCTAGGGCAGGGGCAAAATGCCACCAGTCTCTTTGCTGGAGCATAGCATGAGTGACCTTTACTCCAGTTCCCAAGAAGTTCCTCATCTCTGTCTGAGACCGCCTCAGCCTGGACTTCATTGTCTATATCACAATCAGCATTTTGGTCAAAATAATTCAACAAGTCTTTAGGAAGTTCCAAACTTTCCCACATCTTGCTGTCTTCTGTGCCCTCCAAACTGTTCCAACCTCTGCCGGTTACCCAGTTCCAAAGTCACTTCTACATTTTCAGGTTATCTTTATAACACCCCACTCTCAGTACCCATTTACTATATTAGTCTGTTTTCACACTGCTATAAAGAACATTGCTGAGACTGGGTAATTTATAAAGGATAGAGGTTTAGTTGATTCATAGTTCTGCATGGCTGTGGAGGCCTCCAGAAACTTACAATCACAGCAGAAGGCAAAAGGGAAGCAAGGCATATTCTTCACAAGGTGGACGGAAAGACACAGAGAGCACAGGAGAAACTGCCACTTTTAAACCATCAGTTCTCATGAGAACTTCCTCACTATCACGAGAACACCATGGGGGAAACCACCCCCATGATTCAATCATCTCCCACCAGGTCCCTCCCTTGACATGTGGGGGTTACAATTTGAGATGAGATTTGGGCAGGGACAGAGAAACAAACCATATCAGTCACAGTCTGCTAGTACAAACTGCTAACACAACCAAGACATAGACATAACTTATTGAACTCCCCCAAAAAAGGAAGAGAAATCTTGACAGTGTGGTGGCAGCATGTGAAGGTGAGGGTGTCATTCTTTAGGAAGTCTCTTCCTCTTTTGGCATATTTTCTTCATGTACTTTAATGTTTCAACATTCCAGTGCTCTTGAACTTAAACTGCTCTTGAAAATAAACTTATAGGCTAGGCATGGTAGCTCATGCCTGTGATCTCAGCACTTTGGGAGGCCAACCCAGGAGGATCACTTGAGTCCAGAAGTTCAAGACCAGCTTGGACAACACAGTGAGACCCCATCTCCATTTTTGTTAAATAAAAAAAAAAAATAAACTTAGAATGAGGGAACATTTTCAGAGCAAATTAAGGCTAAATTTGAAGTTTCTTAGAAACACTTGCACATAAAGTGTGCACACAAGAGACTAAGAAGCCTAAAAGATACCAACCTCTTCATTTCACTCAAAAACATTTTTGGTCCCTGCAAACAGGCAGTGCAATTCTAATTTTTTCATATGATATTCTCTGATTAGAAGCTGTTAGGTTGAGTAAACTGTGGAACATATATTTGCATAAAAGTGTAACATTGCAATAAACTATTTACAGCATGTTTATTTAGTTTGTTTTTTAAGTAAGAGTTGTTATATACCTAAGAAAAGGAACCATGTAAAAAACGAGATTCTTTTTGAAGAGGTTTTATGGTGAAAACTTGTAAACTGAATAGTCCTATTGTGAGGAAAAATTGAGTATTCACCTCCACCACTGACAGCATTATATCTCACATGAATTGTTGCAAAGGCCACCAAATTCATCTACACAGACTCTTCTCAACGCAGTAGCTACATCATATCCCCCTCTGCTCAAAGCTCTCTGGCTTCTTCTGTTATTCAGTACATGCCAAAGTCCTTACAGTGTGCTGGAGGACCTATAGCACCTTGCCTTTCATTTCTATGACTTTTTGAAACTCTGTCTTTCTCACTTACCCACCTGGTACCACTGCCCTTCCTTCAGCATCTGAAATGCACCAGGTGTACTCTGACCACAGGCCATTTGCATCAGCTATTCGTGCAATGAATGAGCATGTGCAATGAGCATATCAGCAATCAGTGTCTGTATGGCTCATTTCTTCACCCTCTTTCAGTCTTTATTCAAATAAAACCTCTTTGGTGAGGATATCACTGATCACCCATGTAAAATTTGGTAAGTTCTCAACCCTAATACTTTCTATCTTTTATTTTTCTTCACCACATCTCTCATTTTCTAATATCTTGTAAGATCTATTTATTCAATTTGCTTCCTGTCTCTCTCTCTTCTCACTAGATAATGAGTTCATTGACTTTTGTCAGTTTCATTCCATTATCACATCAGTGTCAAATAGGGACCTTCTTTATCCAAGACTTACAGCACTCAGGAGAAGTTACTGACCAGATTTTCCAAGACTTTGACACTAACCTTTAGGAAAGTCTGTGTCTTAATCAAAGTATGAGATCAAATACGTCCTAGCTCAATACCTCTCTTGACCCAATTCACATTTTCCAGCATTTAGCATATACACATCCACCTACATTTCTATTATTTCTCTCTGTTTTACCTTCTTTTATTGTTTTCCAGTGGGTATTGAGGAAAGTGATAAAGACAGAAATGCTCTTTTAGCTATTGAACTTACCAGGTAGCCACATCTCTGTTTTAAAAGTATTTATATAAGTTTTACTTATAAGCCCTTAGCAGGAAGAAATGGATGACTTTCTGGATACACTGGTCATTGCAATACGCTAGCACAGCAGATTTTCACATTTCGTTGTGCATCAGAATCACCTGGAGGCCTTGCTAAAATAAATTTCTGGGACCCATCACCCCCACAGTTTCTGATTCAGTAGTTCTGAGGTGGAGTCTGATCATTTTAATTTCTAACATATACGCAAGTGATGCCAATTCTGCTGGTCTGGGGACTACATTGTGAGTACTACCATGATAATAAAGTGTTTTCATTTTAGGTATGTCTAGAATTCTCTAAGGAGTAAAACTAGGAAAACATACTATAAAACATTGTAAGTATTCATAAAATCTTATAAGAATGATAGAAAACCTGCCACAACCAAAATGAGCATGTACACATTTCAGATGAGAAGATTCCCAGCCCCCTGCTTCCTGCCTCATCATCTGAGTCTAATCTTGGAGTCACTGTGAACTAGCTTTGTAACCTAGAACTAGGCATGCCAACAGCTTTCATGGCTGTGCAATGATGTTCATGGATCATAAGGTCTCATTGCATTTATGTGTTGTCTAGATGTGTATTTTCAAACACATGTGGATTTTAATGTGTATGTTAAGACCCTTATCTCTTCCACTAAATATATGCATAGCACATTTTATTGTACTTTGCACAGATACTGCATTTTTAAAAAATTGAAGGTTAATGGCAATGCTGCATCAAGCAAGCCTATCAACACCATTTTCCTAGCAGAATGTGCTCACTTCGTGTCTCTGTGTCAGCAATTTTTTTTGGAATGATGTATTCTAAAATTAACATATGTAAATTGTTTTTAAGGCTTTATGTTATTGCACAATTAATAGACTACAGTATAGTGTAAACATAACTTTTATGTACACTGAGGAATCAAAAATGTGTGTGACTTGCTTCACAGAGATACTTTATTGTGGTGGTCTGGAGCCAAACCTGTAATATCTCCAAGGCATGCCTGCACAATATTTTTTAAAAAGTGTGCCACAAATGATAACCAATTAATGAATGTAAGACAATCATCACATACGCAAACTTGGACTTTTCAAGGTAAATGTTCAGTTTTTAGTGCTTCTCCCCAGAGCCCTCCCATTTCCATCTCTACACATAGTTGGACCATAGGGGAAAGCTTATCTCAGTATGGAAACAGGAGTGGGGATCTGGGCTGTGTGTTAGCTTCTTTGCTGGTTCCCACCAACTTCTGGCCTAAGGGTAGCTCATGCTTCCTGGTCTAGGCTACTATAAAGTCTAAACCTTGGACTCTACTCTCAGAGCTGCTGCGTGGGAGGTATCTGCTGCTCCTTGCTGTGACTTCTCCCAGAAGCTCAGCCATCTTCCCCTGATGAGTGGACCCTCCGTCTCTGCTCTTGCTTCCTTTATGAACTCTCTGACATTCCTGCATTGTTCATCTGACTGGATTCTTTGGGCTTTTCCATCCTGTAGCCTCCTCTACAGAGGGCCCTTGCCCCATGCTCCTTGAACACGGAGTCCAGTCTCTCACTTCTCACTACCTTCCTTGTCCCAAACAGGGTCACCTCCGAACTTGGAGATTCCTTCCATGTCACCCACCGTCTTTGAGGAAAATTGGAGGTGACCTTGTAGATACCCTTTTTAGCCTCAACTGAACTCCACTTTTACTTGACTACTGTCTCCTTTTATGCATTTTAGACACTCAGTCATTCTCTTTCTAAAATTTCAAAAAGAAATTGAGGCAAGCTGTTTTTCTTTCAGCTTCTCTCTCAGCCTATCAATAATATGTCTAACATGTTACCCAACTTGATTAGAAATTCAAGGAGTGAATATTGCTTTAGAAAGCCCTAGGCAGCATCTTCATCCCCATCTCCTGGCTCTCTTCCCCGTGTTAGCATGGTTCTTCCTTTCCTATTGGAAATAAACATACATATTCTTTCTTATCATCCCTACACAATGGCTAAAGGCAAATATAGCTCAGAAATTCAGCCTCGTCTTTTATACATAAAATTGGGAAATTTAAGAAAAATAATCTCTCTTTATGAAAAGGAGACTGTCAAGACTATTATCTCACTATGCACTTTAAAAAATCTACTATGAAACTCAAAATTGAGCAATGAATTCTTTGTTCTGGTTGGTAGCCACAATCTCCTGAAAGGAATGAATGGCATTGATTCATTGAGCAGGGGAAACTGCTAGGCAACACAGTTTATGGGGAAGGAAAATACCTTGTTTTAATATTTTTTTGAAAATATTATCCCTGCTGCAAACATAGGAAAGTATACCTGAAAAGGGGAACAGCAAAATTCCAGTGAGACAGCAGTAGAAAGTTTTAACTGTGGCTAATGCCAGTGGGGAGGCTGCAAAAAAATAAAGAAAATATAAAATTGGGGGAGGAAAAGTCGTCGACAAAGACTCCAAAAAGTGGAATTCAGAATGGAATCTGTCCTACTCTCACCAAAAAAAAATTAAAGCTAGAAATTCTGGAAGATTTCTTCTACTACAGTGTTAAAAGAGCATTTGACACTTTTGTAGATGCAATAAAATAGAAGGTGTTATGGTATGAAAAGCATTTTCTCAAGGAACCCAGAGGGCTTGAGCAGTAAGTACAATTACAAAGAATCAAAAATTAAGGAAGTTCCAATATCAAATAGAAGCTCGGGAATAGCCTAAGCAACATGCCACCTCTGGGGCCAGATGACATCCTTTTTTCTTGCTTAACTATGCAGTTTATAAATGTCTGCACATATGCAATGGGAAAGGGAATTTGGGAGGCATTTCATCATGATATTTGTATACATTACTCTGTATATTTAATGTCAATTTTATATTTCCTCAGCTTATATTTAATCTTTTAACACGAGTGCTTTTCACTGTCTTTGGTGCATGGCAGGCCTTCTCAGGAAAGCTAGCAGACATGTTTTGTAAATCTCTACAAGCAACACAATAGATGTGAAAACAGCATTATGCATTTGAAAGCGTGAAATTTTGAAAACCAGGAAATTTGAAAGCAGGAAATTTTTCTTAGCCATCTTTGGATTCCTAGTGCCTAGCTCAATGCTTGTCAAATAGCAGGTACTCAGTAAATGCTTCATGAAAATATCACATTATTTGAAAGTCTCTATCATAAACCTCCTATCTACCTGCTAAAAGACTAAATTCATAGAATTTGAACATTTAAAGACATTTTAGGATTCATCTAGAGAAATCCAGTTGCCTCACTTCAGAGACAAGGAAATTGAGACCCAGAGAAATTAGGAAATTTGATCAAGGTCTCCCAGGAAAGCAATGACACAATCAGGACTGGAACCCATGTCCTCAATTCTTATTTTCATGCTCTTTCATTTCACTGTTTTAAAACGTAGGTCTTATTATTATTCAGGGATGACAAGGCCAACAGTTAAGGAGACAGCTGCCATTGAAAAGAGAGTTTGTTGTGCTCATAGATCCCAAGAGGAAGGGGTGCGTCGTAGCATGAGGGAGCCATATGGGAAGGCAACAGTATGGGTCGGGATACCGAGGGAGTAGAGGGAAATGTGGACAAGAACCTTTACTGTGGTTTCTGCAGGAAGAAATGAGTTAGGGAGGGAAAGCAGGATTAAAATTGGCTATTTTGAATAATTTCAGTGGTCCTGGGGCATAGAGGATGTCCCTAATTGTCTGGTACCTAGCCCTGGGGTGATGAGAGCAGGTCAATAGTGGCCCAGAGTGTGACAGCTGGATAGAAGAGGTGGTTGGGGAGGTGGACTCTAGATTGGTTGGTTTGTGTTTTAAGAACAGGCTCTCAGGCAAGTTGTTTACCATCTCTAGGAATTAGCTAATCCTGGGAGGAGCTGCCCCTCCAGTGTCAGTGAGCCTCAGATGTCACAGCATCAAAATATGAAAAATAAAAAGACAGGCTCAATACACTCACCACCCTGAGTTTCATAAGTCTTCACTGTATTAAAATTTTGGTTTGGATTTTGTGAATTTACCTGCCATTGCTTCAGTACTGTACAATAAAATAATTAGAAATAGGGGGCTTCCACATGAAGTTCTTAAGGATTCTGGGTCTTCAGAGTTATGAAAAATGTCTTTTGGATCATAATCTAGACAATCTTTTCTGATTATTTATCTAAAACTAAAAGCAGGAAATGATTCATTTGATTTCTGCCAATCCTGGAGTGTTGCCACTTTCGGCTCAGGAAGAGCTGGCTTCCCTTGGCAGTCCTCACTTGTAGGATGATGAATGAAGTTCTATGTTTGGTGCTAGCTAAAATTTTATAGGGTCTAAAAAAGCAATTTATACATGCTTCAGGAGGTGGCTATATTTTTTTCTTTTTTAGATAGCTCTTAGTCACAGTAGGGCACTCAACATACATATATCACATTGAGAGGTCATTATACAGGAAGCTTGAAACTTTGCTCTGTGTGTTGATAAACATGTTCTTGGCTTCTACAAGCCTGATGTGTGCTCAGAATTCGGCACATAGGTATTAGCTGAATTCTGAATTTTCCCAGTTATTTTCACACCTCAGGAACCCATGACCCTCAATGGGATATTGTGAGAAAATGAAATAGCCTAACAAAACATTTTCTTGGTTCCAAGAGTCAATGTTGGTATTCACAAACAGGAGAGGCTAGTTCTCTTCTCTTGTAAATGTCAGGCTTGGGTTGAATGGCCTGGCATGCTAGCCAGTCAGTCAACTAAGTTGTTAAGGGTCAAAGCTAACTCAAAGAACAATGGCCATGGGCCAAACCAACCACTTACTTAAAGTGATGAGCTCTTTAAACACTTGCAACCCACCAAGCCTCATCCATATTGCATTTTTGTTGAGAGTTTTTGTTTATCTTTTTTCATTTTGAAATATCTGAGCAGTGGTCTCTCTTAATCAAGTTTTAAGACGCTCTCTAGATTATCTTCCTGGTTTCTCTCATGACAGCAGTTTTGTTTTCTTTGTTTTTTTCTTCCCTTTGCAATTCCAAATGCCTGTTGTCGCAGCACTGCAAAAGAAGTCAGGGCTGAGGAACAGCTCTGCCAGGCATTGGCTGAAGAGCCTCAGGGAAGTTATTACACCACTTAGTCTGCATTTGTAATATTAGGACCCAAATTTTATCTGCTGTTTAGAAGAATTATGTAGTAATATGGACAAAAACTTGTGATAATTTTTAATAAAAAACATAACCTATAAATAATGTACACAGAGAATTATTTTATGTTGTGGAAGGGCTGCGAGAAGTTCATCAAACCTGTGTCCTTTTTCTTCTTTGCTCTCAGTTACCTGATATGGCTCAGTCTTTCTTGGAGTTAGTGGTGATCACGTTACCAACTTATTACTTAATGTACTACCAACTTACTACTAAGTTCTAGGCAATGGACTATGAAAGAAAGCACTGTGCCTACTTCCAGCTCCACCAATAAAATGTTCCTTGAAGATCCCCCAGCCGTTTTCCTTACACCTGCAATCTTGGAAGCCCTGGATTAAAGATGCCAGAATCGCAAGGTGGCAAAATCCTGGGTCTATGAACTATTGCTGAGAGGAGAGACACCCTGTAATCAGAGTCATCCATTTGAACTTCATTTGAGGGAAGTGTAAATTCTATTGGTTAACCTGTTTATATTTGGGTGCTACTCTATTACAGCACATAGCAATACATGAATATGTAATAGCTTTTAAAAGGCATGCATAAAAATATAGAGAGAAGGGTATGTTATCAGTCTGTTTGGGTGGTGGGATTGCAAATAGATTTTAATTTTCTTGATCTGTTCTTTATAGGGATATTTAAAAATCTTCTTTAAGAAACATGTATGGATTTTTTTAATTTCAAAAATTATTTAGAGGAGAAAAAAGAAAGAAGAAAAGTGGGATGCCATAAAGATAAAAGAATATGACCTCCCTAATCTGGGCATTGTCTGACCAGGTGTAATCTCATTTCACATTCAATCTAAACATACTAGTCGTACATTGACCCTGCATGCTAGCTGCTGAGATACTAAGCATAATAAAAGATTATCCCACTGGATCACAAAATATCCACAGTATATCAAGGACTATAGCCTGTAATTTAGATAAGACTTTCTAGAAGGAATGATGCCTGCACTAAGTTGTTAGCAAAGTAAAATGGAAAAAATAAAAGCATAAAACAGGCTCAGCTCTGAGAAAAAAGCACACTGTGTCCAGGGCACTAGCTAAAGCCCCAGTCTAGCCAGAATTTTAGACCTACAGGTCTTCTTTATTTTTTCCACAGTACTAAATACAAGTCCTGGTATACAGTTAGTATACAGTAAATATTTGTCAAATAAATCATTTAAAATGGACATTACTCAAATCAATAAGAAGAAAAAAAAAACAAGCCCATCAAAAAACAGGCTAAGGACATGAATAGACAATTCTCAAAAGAAGATATATAAATGACCAACAAACACAAGAAAAAATGCTCAACATCACTAATGACCAGGAAAATGCAAATCAAAACCACAATGTGATACCACCTTACTCCTGCAAGAATGGCCATAATCAAAAAATCAAAAAATTGTAGATGTTGGCGTGGATGCAGCAAACAGGGAACACTTCTACCCTGCTGGTGGAAATGTAAATTATTATAACAACTGTGCAAAACAGTGTGGAAATTTCTTAAAGAATTAAAAGTAGAACTACCATTTGATCCAGCAATTCCACTGCTAGGTATCCACCCAGACAGAAAGAAGTCATTATATGAAAAAGATACTTGCACATGCATATTTATAGCAGCACAATTTGCAATTGCAAAATGGTGGAACCAACCCAAATGCTAATCAATCAATGAGCGGATAAAGAAACTGTGATATACATATATGATGGAAAACTACTCAGCCATAGAAAGGATGAATTAATGGCATTCACAGTGACCTGGATGAGACTGAAGACTATCATTCTAAGTGAAGTAACTCAGGATTGGAAAACAAAACATCGTATGTTCTTACTCATAAGTGAGAGCTAAGCTATGAGGATGCAAAGGCATAAGAATGACACAATGGACGCTGGGGACTCAGGGGGAAAGGGTGGGAAGGGGGTGAGGGATAAAAAGCTTACAAATAGGGTGCAGTGTAAACTGCTCAGGTGATGGGTGCAACAAAATCTCACAAATCACCACTAAAGAGCTTACTCACGTAACCAAACACAACTTGTTCCCCAATAACCTACGGAAATAAAAATAATAAAATAATAAATAAAATGGACATTTCTGACAAGTGGTTATCCAGGCTCTTGCTTACACCCCTCTTATAATAGTGGGTATCTTGTGAGGCAACCCACTCCATCTCTAAGCAGCTCTGGCCACAGAACAGTCTACCTTGTATTAAGCCAATTGAAAACCCAGTTTCACCAGAGAGCAAATTTGCGTAAGAGAAGAGGGTCAGCTAACAGCAGAGTGATGATCTGCAATGGTGAGGAAGAAAGGGAGTTAGAAATGGGGAAAATAATTCAGGACAACAGGACACACTTCTGCTTTGTTCTTATTAAAAATTACTAACATATTGCTTTTCAAACATAGTTCCGTAGGCAATTAAACTCGTGTGTGTGCGCATGTTTGTGTGTGTGTGTGTGTGTGCCAGACACCATACAAGCACCTTGTAGTACTTGTGCTTTATCTCCTTTTCTCCTTTCACTACTTGCTGAGCACCACTGAAGTCAGGAAATCTCTATTTTATGACAAGGAAGCCAAGGTAAGGGCCAAGATGACTCAGTAAGTGAAACAGCCAAGATCTGAAGCTGTTTTCCCACCCAATTCCATGTGCTGTCAGAGAACCTTTTCCCCTGGAGAGCATTTTAGTTACTGCTCTTGGAAAAATTTGGACAAAGCTTGCGGCATCATACAAATGTTGCCTGATTCAGCAGCTGAAGTGAGCAAGGGATGGACTCAGTCACTGATATGTCATATTCTGTCTTGCTGTTTGACATGTGAGCTTGAAGCTTTAACTTGAGTGTGAGTAATGGTGGAACTCAGGCACCACAGCCAGGCTAACAGGGGAGGAAATTTTGGAAAGAAGTATAGCAAGAGGGTTCTGAGTGCAGGAGACCTGTTTACTGAGAGCCTGCAAAGCACACTGCCTTCCAACAGCAATGAGGCAGGGCTTATCGCAGGTACAGTCAGGAAGGCTATCTTGATGTGGGTTCCTGAGCAGATACCCTAAAGCACTTCTAATTTGACTATCCAAAGGCCTGACTCTCCCAGGGACCAGAACAAAGACTGGCTGACCAAAGTTGTCCAACTATGAGACAAGCAGTTAGAGTGGGAAGGGAGCCCAGCAAATGCTGCACTTTGTCATGGGCCCTGGCTCTCAGGCCCACTAAGGAAAGCCCTGGTCCCTCTGCTCCCCTTTCTGCTGTTCCTCCAATATGCTCTTCCATTCTGCATGAAATCTCATCTTGTTTCACAGCTCAGTAGTACCTGCTGGCTTGGAAAACGTGGAGTTGAGAAACCTGGAGCTGCCAAGGCATTTTGGAGAAAACAACGCCTTGGTGTACACTGCGATCCCTGGCCAGTACCTTTCACATCTTGAATGGAAAGCTCAGTGTCTCTGAGAGTGCACAGCCCAGCACTTGTGAAGAAATGAAAGGGATCATGTTCATAATCACGATAAATATATTTGCATTATTTGCAAAGTGTACTGGAGTTCTTGATGACCTCCTGTTCAGTTTGATCTTTAATACGTGTTGTTAGCAGAGCAAGCATTATTATATCCATTGTGTAGATAAATAAATTGAAGCTATAGAAATTAAATCACATGTATTTTATTATCAAGATTATTTTAATTTTACAATGTGTTATGGCTTCAACTGTGTCCTCCTAAAAACAATATGTTGACATCTTAACCTCCAGGACCTCAGAATGTGACTTTATTTAGAAATAGAGTCACTTCAGATGTAATTAATTAAGGTAAGATGAGATCATATTGGAGTAGGTTGTGTGCCTAATCCAACATGACAGGTGTCCTGGTCAAAAGAAGCTATATGAAGAGACAGGGGCACATGCAGGGAGGGTGACCAAGGGAAGATGGAGGCAGAAATGAGCATTATGCTGCCACAAGCCAAATAATGCCCAAGCCACCAAAAACCAGAAGAGTTGAGGAAGGAAGCAAGGTCATACTGGCTCCTTGTTTTAGACTTCTGGCCTGCAGACCTGTGAGAGAATGAATGTCTGTTGTTTTAAGTCACCAGCTTAAGGTACTCTGCTCCAGCAGCCCTAAGGAACTAATACACAATGTTACTTTCACTGTTTGCCCACTTTACAAACAACCTCCACATGTGATTTCATAACTATCTTGACACAAGGGAAGTATCTTATATGCCTGTTTTCCAGATGGAAAAAATTGAGTCTCAGAGACTTTGTGTTACTTGCCAGTTGAGTGGGTTGTCTTAGTCCATTCAGGTTGCTACAGTGAAATCCTGTAAATTATGTAATTTATAAGCAACAGAAATATATTGCTCACAGTCCTGGAAGCTGGGAAGTTCCATATCAAGGTTCCAGCAGATGTGGTGTCTGGTAAGGGCCTGTTCCTCACAGATGGCAATTTCTGGCTGCATCGTCACAGGGTAGAAGGGGCAAACACACTCCCTCAGGCCCCCTTTATAATGGCACTAATCCCATTGATGGGGACTCCACTCTTTTGATCTAATCACCTTCGAAGGGCCCCACCTCTCAATACTATTGCAATGGGGATTAGGTTTCAACATATGACTTTGGAGGAGATAAATATTCATACTATAGAAATGGCAGAGCAAAGACCCCCAAATGGAGCTTCTACAGCAAACAGCTAAAATTCTAAAGGGGGAAAAACATAAAATGTCACATGTAAACCATGTTTTTTATACATGTATATAGGGGTGTGTATGTTACAAATGGGCTGCGGATGAGAAAATATATTAGCCTGAACTTGCATTGCTACAAAGAAATACATGAGACTGGGTAATTTACAAGAAAATAGGTTTAATTAGCTCAAAGTTCTGCAGGCTGTACAGGAAGCATGGTGCTGGTATCTGCTTGGCTTCTGGGGAGGCCTCAGGAAACTTATAATCATACCAAAAGGTGAAGGGGGAGCAGGCACATCACATGGCCAGAGCAGGAGGAAGAGAGCAAAGGGGAAGGTGCCACACACCTTTAAATGACCAGAACTCACTTACAAGAACTCACTATTGCAAGAACTGTACCAAGGGATTTCATGAGAAATCCACCCCCATGATCCAATGACCTCCCACTAGGCTCCACTTCTAACATTGGGGATTACAACTGAACATGAGATTTGGATGGGACACAGATCCAAACCATGGCAGAAGGACTCTCAACTTTTGTAGTAACCTTTTTTTTCTGGGAAAACTGTCATTTACAAGTTGCAAACATCCTAGCTACTCGGGAGGCTGAGGCATAAAAATTGTTTGAGCTTAGGAGTTCAAATCCAGTCTGAGCAACATAGGGAGACCTCATCTCAAATAAAGTGCAAATAATTTCCTTCCCTCTTAGAACTACAAACTCAACTTTATTTTTGAGGCAAATTCCCTCTATGTTCTGAGATTTAAAAAACCATTTGATACAGCCCCACTTAGTTATGCAAATAGACTTGTTTTCCCTTGAATGTCTTCCACCTCCAAACCTTAAAAGCAGAATAATAACCTCAGGGCACATGATCCTCATACTTACAGTGGAGGGTTAACTGTGTGCATACAGTGAAGCACTGGAGGCTCCCAAAGATCATCTTTTTGGAAGTCTGGGTTCACTGCCCTTTGCTGGCATTTGTGGAGACAGCCTGTAGGGCAGCTTAAGAGTACCTTCCACTCAGCCCTAGGAACTCCCTGCCACATGTAAGGGAGGCTCCTCCCCAGTAGGGTGGATGGGGTTATATTATGTTAAAGATTAGATTAGGGTGAAAAAGATGAAAAGTTTTCAGTGTGTGTGTGAGAATTTTCCTCTGAAGGAGTTTTTCTCACTTTGGGAGCTACAGGTCTCGACCATACTCAGCATTTGGAGTATATTTCAGCTCAAAATACATGCATCGAAAGGAAACTTTGTACTGGTCCACAAGATCCAGAGAGGCTATCCTCAAAATTTTTTTTTACTTCTTCTTTTAAATAAGATAAAGTCATGGTGCCCACTTAATGCCAGTCTTGGATTTTATTCTCAACTTTTTATTGCTTCAAAAAGATTCACTGCTATGAATCCCTGAATAAAAGCAATATAGCATTATTATTAGTTTGGTACAAAACTAATTGCAATTTTTGCCATCGCTTTTTATGCCAAAAACTGCAATCACTTTTTCACCAACCTAATAGAAGATATTGAAGTATTATAAAATTACTAGCTGCCAATAGATGAATTTGCACAATATCCCAAGAACCAAGCCCCAGATGCTCTTCCTGACATTCGAACTCCTTCACATTCCAGCTCCTACTGACCGGTAACCCTCCTCTTTCTATCCTCAACATTGCTGCAACTAGCTTATCTGCAGTTTCATGACCAGGCCAGCATCCTTGGTCCCTGTTGGGCCTTTTCTCTCCCTGCCTTGAATATCTCATATCACCAAAAACTATTTGTCCTCTGTATTAGTCCGTTTTCACGTGACTAGTAAAGACATATCCAAGACTGGGTAATTTGTAAAGAACAGAGGTTTAATTGACTCAGAGTTCCACATGGCACGGGAGGCCTCACAGTCATGGCGGAAGGCAAAAGGCATGTCTTACATGGCATCAGGCAAAGAAAGAATGTGAGCCAAGTGAAAGGGGTTTCTCTTTATAAAACCATCAGATATCCTCTTGTGAGAGTTATTCACTACCATGAGAACAGTGTGGGGGAAACCGTCTTCATGATTCAATGATCTCCCACTGGGTCCCTCTCACAACACATGGGAATAATGGGAGCTACGATTCAAGATGGGATTTGGGTGGGGACACAGCCAAACCATGTCACTCCTCTTTGGGGAGTTCTATCATTTGGGGTGCTCTGTCATTGCGTCTTCCCTCAACACTGAAATTACCTGCTTGACTCTGCCTCCATTAGATGGAAAGTCCTTAAGAACCGGGACCCTTACGCGACATACTCATGTAACAAACCTTGTACGTGTTACTCCCTAAATCAAAATAAAATAAAATAAAATAAAGCAAAATGATAAAATAAAGTAAAAAACACGGACCACATCTAAGTATGTTTGCTGAAGAGATGAGTAGTATTCAAATTGTTTCTTGTGTGTCCTTTGACTTTTACAAACTGCTGCTGATCTAACTTATACAAAGGGCTTTCATACAAGACCTTAACCTCTTTTCAGTGTGGTACCTCAGGAGTCACAAAGCCTCAAACCTGGCCTGAGAATGGTTGATATCTCTTCCTACTCAGCTTTGTTAAATGCCTGCTGAGAATGCTGACTGTCCTACTGAGAGGATTTTCTCTCAGTTATTTAAAGTTAAATAAAACTTTAAAAATCAGTGGTTCCTATACTTCCTTAAAAGAGAATTTTGGTTTTTGCTTAAAATGCCTTTCTTTCCTTCACACACCTCTGTTTTAGACCCAAGAGATGACTGCCCCAATAGGGCTTGGATAGCTTGTGTCAATTAAACCTCTTTTTGTGTGTTTTTTCTTTAAACTGAGACAGAGTCTTGCTCTGCCACCCAGGCTGGAGTGCACTGGCATTATCTGGGCTCACTGCAGCCTTGACCTCCTGGGCTCAAGCAATCCTCCCACCTCAGCCTCCCAAGTAGCTGGAGATATAAGTGTCTACCACCACACCCAACTAATTTTTGTATTTTTTGGTAAAGACAGGGTTTCACCATGTTGTCCAGGCTGAGCTCAAACTCCTGGACTCAGGCGATCCACCTGCCTCTGCCTCCCAAAGTGCTGGGATTACAGGTGTGAGCCACTGTGCCTAGCCTTGAATAAGCCTCTTTTGAATGTAAGGGGCAGAAATGCCAACTCAAATTTGTCTAAACATATGGGAACATACTGCCTTCCTAAGAGAAAGGTGCAGGGACTTGGGCACAGCTGGATGTGGGCTGAAACTGACGTGCAGGACACATTTCTCTCCATCGCAGCCCTGCCTTCTACTCAGCTGGCTTCATTCTGAGCACCATATGGAGCCTCCAGGCCCACATTATCATGCCAAGTTCATCAGAAAAAAAATAAAAAGTGCTTCCCTGAGGGCCTAAAGATCCTGGAATGGAGACTTCAGCTGTGATTGGCCTAAATTAGGCAAGGATTCACCCCTGAAGCCAACAGGAGCAAGAGGGGATACAACAACAACGTGCTGACTGTCCAGTCTGGGTACTGTACAGTCTCAGAGCCCATATTGCAGTCAGGCCTCAGAAATCTTTAGGACTGTGTCGGAAAATGTGGGGCTCCAAGTGGCCGTCGCAGCACGCTTGTCAAAATAGCATTTGTCCAGTAAGGAGATTTCTTTCCATCTATTTGCAGCAATTTCTTGCTGTTTTAAAATCCAGATTTTGTTCCCCATTTCAAGTGTGAGATGAATCCCATACTTGAAACCAACATTCGAGGTATTCCATGAGCTTATTGAAGCTGACATTCCCACTGCTGATCCTGTAGCCCAAGGAAAGCCAAAGTGAGCTGTTTGGTGTTTTCCACATATCTCCATACTTTTCTGCATTGTTTTTTGGCCTAAATGTCTTCCCACTAATATCAATATAAATTTTGATAGTTACATGGTATACCCATACTTCAATCTTAAGCCCAAATACCACCTTCTTGATGATGAGTTCTATGATCCTTCCCAATTTAAACAATAAAAAATTGACTTCTGCCTCTGGATTCCATTAGTATTCTTCGCCAATACCTCTTTTACATAACTGAGTACTTTCTTCTTTGTATGCTAGTTATTTGTATTTTTGACCCTTATTTCCCCTACTTGACTTTGAATATGGGCTGATTATAATGAAATTTTTATTGATTTCTTAGCTTCTAAATCACTCACCCTGGAGGAATGAGAGGAGGTAAAAACAAACCAGAGATGGAAGCCAGATGATCAATAACCTTATGTAATGTATTAGTCCCATCTCACATCACTCTAAACAACTATCTGAGACTGGGTAATTTATAAAGAAATTGCCACACGGTTCTGCAGGCTTTACAGGAAGCATCACTGGGGAGGCTTCAGAAAACTTACAATCATGGCAGAAGGTGAAGGGGAAACTAGCACATCCTACACGGCTGAAGCAGGAGGAAGGGAATGAGGGGGAAGGTGCAAAACATTTTTAAACAACCAGATCTCATGAGAACTCACAATCACAAGAACAGCAAGGGGGAAGTCCCCTCCCAGGATTCAATCACCTCCAACCGGGCCCCACCTCCAACAGTGTGGATTACAATTTGACATGAGATCTGAGTGGGGACACAGAGCCAAACCATAACATATGTCATAACAAGACATTTGGACTCGATCTCAGAATCAGCGGTTTTGAACTAGTAAACCGGAATCATGAGCACCAGGGATGCTACAGTTATTTCCAAAGGCTCAAGCAGCCATCTATTCACCAAGCATTGGCATTTCGACCTTAATTTTTCAAAGGTAAATGAATCAGTAGAAGACAAGTGAAGCATATCAGGTAAACAGTGAAGTCTTCAATGTCGACTGTAGCAAAGGGAGGGAGAGAAAATGGCAGCTTTAAGAGATATTTATAAAGTAGGATTTCCTGGATTTGGTAACTGATTGGATGTAAGTGATAAGAGAACAAACTATCTAGAACACTTCATATACTTAAGAAAAGACTCAGAGACATGGAAACGAAGAACATAGTCTCAACTCCAACAGTACTTTTTGCTATGTGACCTTGGATACATTTCTCATCATTCCTGTGCTTCAGTTTTCTTATCTGTAAAAGAAATATAATATAATATCTATCCCATAGGGTTGTTTTGATTACATATTGAAATAATCACATAGAATTATTGCAGAAATTTTGTGAATTAGTGTACGTTAAGTGCTTAGGACAATATCTGTCTCATGGTAAATGCTTAGAAAGAAGTTTGCTAAATAAAGCAAATATTCTATATCAGTTCCTGGTACAATCAACCTTCAGTAAATGTTTGTTAATACTATTATTAACAATAATAGTAGTAAATTAAGCAACATGATTTATAAAGGAATCGCAAACAGCAAATGATTTTTCAAAAGTGAAAACAAACGTGGGAAATTGATGAATTCTACTTTGGACATCTAGCATTTAAGGTGACTCTTTGACCTGAAGGTATTCCTAGATAGTTGAATATTTGAGCTTGATGTTGATGGCCAAGTAAGAAATGCAAATTTAGGATTGCTATCACAGCCAAATGTGTAGATAGAATCAACAGAATGGAGTTCAGAAAGTGAGAAAATTCCCAGGAGATGAAAATCTGAAGAGTAAACTGAGGAGAAGGGAACAGAAGAGAGATGAAGAGAGATGTCCATGATAAGGAGTTTGATGATGATCTTTGCAAGGGGCTCCTTAGTGGAGTAAGAGGTGGGCTTGTCTCATTGGAAGCAACTAAAGGTGACTGAGACATGCAGCAGAGCACTCACTAAATGCTGACTCCTCTTTCAATAATTCTACCAACAAAGAGTCAGAGCAACTTCGAAAGGGAAATGGAGAGAAAAGTAGATGAGAGGCTAAAGAAAAGGGAGAAAGTTACCATGTATTCTAAGGATGAAGAATCAGTGGAGAGCGATGAAGTGAGGTCCAGGAAAGGGAGGGTACTATGGACACAGTGACCCCTTGAGGAATATGTGAGTGGATAGTTTCCAGAGGAGAGGTACGGTCAGGACTGGCTTCATGGGCATGCGACCCACGCAGTCTCACAGAGACCTTCGCTCAGAAGAGCCATGTACTTGGTTTAAAGATTTGTGATTACTGTCTCAAAATATTTAATAATTTTATCTTTGATTTTTTTCTTGCAAGTAAAGTCCAGTGGGGCAATGGAGCATGGGATGGGGACAAGGAGCATTGGCAAATAACTGGTCCCACCTCCCCACTCCTTGGTATAGGTTCTTAGCTACGTACCAGGGCCCTAGAGCCCTCCTGGTGTTCCCTATCCATTCGACAACCACTTTCACCCTCTGACAAGGCAGGGGCCAGGTTGTGTTGATAGAGGAAGCCCTGTTTGCTATCACCCTCTTGTCTCACTGGGAGCCAGAGCATGGAAAAGTTCAGGGTTGGGTGTCTGCCCTACAGCATCTTGGGGCAGGGCACGGCAGCGCAGGGGCTCAGTGGGCAATGCAGTGAAGGCCTCTCACTCATCTTTGACCCAGGTACCAAGTGCATTCCACCGTGCAGGTTGCAGTCACTAGAGAGTCTCCTGTCCATTGTGGATTGTGGCACCAGGCCATAGGAGAAAGACTGACTTCCTCTACTGGCACTTTCGTTTCTCCAGGGGCCCTGCAAAATATGTCACCAGCCCTGAGTAGAGTTAGGCTTGGCAAGAAGGTAGAACACTTTCTTTACTTCAGACGGAAAAGACCAAGGGATTCGCTGAAAATGAGTTCACAGGATGAGCAGGGCATACCTGCCAGCCTCTATCTTGTCTTTGTGGTACAAGCTTGGACAAACATTGAGGCAGGGGAGTTTGATGCCAGCAGGGCCATGCAGTTCAGTGGGGTTTAGAGGTAAGAGATCAAGATGGTACTGATGAAGCCACTGCACCCAACTCAGTCACTACTCATAGTAAGTGTTCTATAAATACCTGAATAAATAAATTAAAATGCTACCTCAGGAAAACAAACAACAAACAAAAAAACAAGGTGTAAGATATTGCTTGACCACACTAAACATAAGCACATTTCCAACCAATTTTAAATTCTCAATTTTGCTAGTTTTTAAAGTAGCCAAATTCTTTTCTTTTCCCCTCTGAATGTTTGAAAGAATATTTTAAAATAATGAATCATAATGTGTATTGGTTTCCCTCATTCTTTTATCAGATGTTCAATAAATATCCCATTGATTTGTTGACAGATTGATTGATCTTGAATTTCCATGGGCTGAGACCCCTTTTATGTCTAACATGCCATGTGCCTACCCCAGAGCCCCAGGAGAGAGTGAGTGTGGGATAGTCTCCTTCTTGCTCTAAGCGTGGAGAAGAAAGCTTGCACCACTCAGCAATTGGTGTTATGCAGCCAAGTTCTCCTAATTCCCTTACCCCTGCTTTGCCTGGTGGACTCCTCTATGAGATCACTAAACTGCCTTCTGTCTGCACTATTTGAATTATTATTCCCTTTGCAATAATTTTCAGGAGTGGAGGACATTCATGGACACAGGGGAATTCTCACTTCAAATAAAGCATATCTTCTCTCAGTTAGAAACGGAAAGAAAAAAAAGGTGAGTGTATGTGTGAGGAAACCTGATGGCAAGGACTCAAGTCTCCAAGTGACAACCCCCAACTCCATGGGGGGATGAGTCATGCTTACTGAGCTCAGAAGCTGAACAGACTCCAACCCTGTGGGCAGCCCCTCTGTCTTAATTAAAGTCTCCTATGCCCCCACATCAATGGAGTGTGGGCGCCACTCTATAGAGGCAACCAGAGTGAGTGCGTGCTGGGCAAATGGCAGCTCGATTACACAAATCCCTGTGCTTGCAATGTGGTCCTGACCCAGGTTCTGAACTTGCACCTCCTGCTGCTGGCACCTGTTCGTGCTCCTCTCAGGTCTCCCTCTTGCTCCCTACTTCAGGCTGAGCCAAAGAATTAAGCCTCTCCTAAGACAGGCTTGGCCATAAGGCAGCCCGGACATGAAGTCACATTCTACAGACTCCCAGTGGCACCGCTAGTGTGAGAGTTTCTTCGTGAAGGAAATTTCGATGATAAGTTAATTCTATTGACAGACGGCCAGGAAATTGGTCAGGCCTACTATGGTCTTTAGATTCACTCTACTGGTGGCACTGCCTACATTTCCTCATAAATCAGAGGGTCTCAGAGTCCAAAGGAAACTTGGAAGAAGTGATGCTTTATGTTTGGAAAATTGAAGCACAGAGAGGTTGTATGACTTGCCTAAGTCACATAGCTAGTAACTGCGGAAGTCTAAATTCAAATTCAGGTACATCTGATTCCAACATAGGCTCTTTCTAATACACCAGAGTCTCAAAATCTTGCCCCTTTAAAGATGTTTCAGGAATTCCAGAAACAATAGTGTTTTCCACCAAATAATAAAAAATGTTTTAAAATCAGTCATAAATAGTTCATCTCCTTTATCTATTTTTAATTGGAATTTATCAGGTTTCTATTCAAAGAAGTTTAAACAATATTACACTGACATGTGCTCAATGAAAATGAAATGATCCATGTTTTTGGAGTTAGTTGGCTGACTTAGAATTGGCCAACAGTACAACAGAATATAAAAAGAGCCTTGTTGGTTAAAGCATATGAACTGGGAATGCGCCGCACTCAGAAGTGGAGAGGGCCATGTGCTGCTAGATGCTGCCCTCAGGTTGGAGAAGAATTAACTCTGAGATCCCGCAGCCTTTGTGGAAGAGCGCCCCCTCCACCAAGGGTACACCTCCTCCCCATGGACAGCTCTCTTCCAGCGTCTCATCACTGGGTTCTGCCAGGGTACAGTGGCCTTAAGGGAACAACTCATCTCAGCCTCCCAGCTCCAGAGCCCCTGTGAGACGAGCTGAGAACTTTTTTGCAACTGCATTTCAGCCTAATTTTCCCTTCTGCTCAATTCTTCCTCCCCTACCCCCTCACACTCCCCAGGGAAGCACCTGCATGCGAACCACAGAGTCTCAGTGTCTACTTCCTGCAGAATCTGACCTAAGTCAGGTGGGTGAAACTGTGCCACTTAGAACTGTAAGATCTGTTATTACTATTTTTAAACAGAAAATATTAAATCCAATATGCAGTGATTTAGAAAAGTAAAATATGTAGTCAAGCAGATTACTTAATAAATATATATATATATTTATTATATATAAAAAGATGTTTATTTTTCTTTAAATTATAGGTCATATCCTTCAACTATGTGTATATTCTAGTTTTTTAAACTGAAAAAGATATTTTTAATAGAACTAAGCTTCATTAACTGGATTATGTCTTCTACGATCAGTAATCACACCTGATAAAACATTGTTTTTTGGTCCCCTATTAGCCAAGCTACTCCCAGTCACCATGTGGTACCTACAAGGTGCTGAGAGTGAGATAAACTCTATTTCAGTGTGACTAGCCCTCATCACTGGTAAAGATTCAACACTCGAAAAGGAAAAGGGACAGATAAGGTGATGGTACTTCCATTTCCTATGAAGACAAAAGACATATCTGAGGCAAATATGGCAATATCTAAAAAAATTGAGTAGTATCAGATGACAGATTTCGGCCTTCTCTGTGTTTGAGATATCTTATTACCAAAATGATTAATTTTTAATAGTATTTATTCACTTCCAGGCTGGATATCAGCATATGATTAGTAACCATGAAACAAATAATACCTGATTGTTATTCTGCCATTGACATGATGTCCATCACTCAGGTCACTTGCCACCACCTCTTTGTCATCCCTGTGTTTTGTAGATTACAAAAAATATGGACTCACAAGCTGGTTCTATATAAGTGCCCCTGTGAAAAACACTGCTCTTTATTTCCTAAGATCTCGTCGTTTTTTCTTCCTTATAAATACAAAATCTGAGAGTTACTCAGTGCATTGCTGACATAGATGCATTTTCCACCAGTTCTTGCAAGTAATTATGACCATGTGACCAACTATTAACCAATGAATAAAAGTATCCCCAATATGGGCAGCTTCTTGGAAGTGTCCCCAACATGAAGAGGTAGCCCTTTCTTTTTCCCTTTTTCTTTACTGTTGTCTGGAATAAAGAAATAGTGCCTGGAGCTGTTCTTGTCATCATGGACAGTAAGGTGGCATTCTAAGCATGAAGAGGTAAGACAGGAGGATCCTGGTGCCAGATAATTATGGCACCATGCATCCTGGACCAGACACTTTGTTTACCTAAATAAGAAAGTCTGGTCTATTGCAATACAATCGCCATGTTTAGGAAATTTGAGGTTATTTGTCACATGCAGATGAACCTAATCATAATAAAAATTGTCACTAAAAAATCCCGTCACTTCTAGATTGGGCCACACTTTACTCATTTCTGAGAGATGACACAGTTTTAATTTAAAGAGTTCCAAAGAGGTAGAAATCACAAATACACACTAAACAAGTATTTAATCATTGTCAAGTATCCTTTCTTCCAGGCTGGTGAGTGAATCAGAATCTGAGAAGGTTATCACGTGGTTTCATAAAGGACATTTTGTTTACATTTTGGTATGTTGAATGTAGTAATGCAGAAATTAATAAAATTACTTATATTATTAAATTGATTACTAACTTCTTTTTACTTTACAGACCAGTTTGTCACAGCAGATCACAAAATGCTTGAGAATATAGCTAGATAACCAAGTTTTGTTCATGAAGAATTTTTAGGAAATGGTTTTGGGTTAATTATAAAAGTTCTGATTACATTGTAGAGTTTTATTGTAGAGTTCATTATTTAATAAGGAAACCTACATGTTTTTTCTAATAAACATCCAGTTCAAATGATGGGGTTATTTAAGTAGGTGATAAAAAGCAAAAATTATTCATTTTGATTAGGAGAAAGACAATAATTCTGAATTTTAGCAACATCACACTACCAGGTAATTTTATCCCACTTCCCATGCACTGGCCAGAGAGTAAGGAAAGAAGCAAGCTCTAGCTTTCAAACGAAGATGCAGACTGAACAAATAAATTAGCATCTCTCCATCTGAAGACCTCACTGAAATACCAGTAAAGGAATGTTTTAAGGCATGAAACACAGTTCTAGAGGCTGGGAAGTCCACGAGCATGTTGCTGGCATCTGGTGAGGGTCTTCTTGCTGTGCTATCCTATGGCAGAAAACAGAAGTGAGCACATGAGGCCAGGTGTGGTGGCTCACATCTGTAATCCCAGCACTTCGGGAACCCAAGGCAGGCAGATCACCTGAGATCAAGAGTTCGAGACCAGACTGGCCAACATGGTAAAACCCTGTCTCTACTAAAAAATACAAAAAAAATTATCTGGGCCTGGTGGTGCATACTCACAGTCTGAGCTACTTAGGAGGTTAAGGCAGGAGAATCGTTTGAACCTGGGAGGTAGAGGTTGCAGTGAGCTGAGATCGATCCACTTCACTCCAGCCTAGGCAACAGAGTGAGACTCCAACTCAAACAAACAAACAAACAACAGCAGCAAAAAAAAAAAAAAAAAATGAGCCCATGAGACAGAGAGAGAATATCGGGCCAAGCCCACTTCTGCAATAACTAACCCTCTCCTATAAAAATGGCCTTAATCCATTCATGAAAACAATGTTCTCATGGCCTAATCACTTCTTAATACTGTTATAATGAGGATTAATTTTCCAATATAAGAAATGTGGAAGACACATTCAAACCATACATTCTGCCTCTGGATCCCAAACTTTATGTCCTGCTCACGATGCACAAATATATTTTTTCCATCCTGATGGCCCCAAAGTCTTAACTTATTCCAGCATCAATTTAAAAGTCCAAAGCCTGAAGTCTGATCTAAATAAGATATAGGTGAGAGTCAAGGCATGACTTCTCCAGAGGCAAATCCTTCCAGCTGTAAGCCTGCAAAATCGAAACTAGTTGACTACTTCCAAAATACAATGGTGGGCATAAGATAAACATTCCCATTTCAAAGGGAGAAATAGACAAATATAAAGAGGTAACTTGTCCTAAGTAAGTCTAAAACTCAATAGAATAAAACATTAAATGTTAAAGCTGGAAAATAATCTCCTTTGACTCCATGTCCTGCAACCTGAGCAACCTGGGGAGTGGGAGTGGGGGCAAATCCTTGGGCATCCCAGTTCCTATATCTTTGCTGAGCTCAGTCCAAGCTTTGGCTATCTAGGGCTGGGGGCACTCTGGTGGCCCTATGGTTCTGTGGTCTTGGGGGTGGCCCCCACTCCCACAGCCCTGCTAGGCATTACCCCAGTGAGGACTCTGAGTCAACACTGCCTCTGTGCCAGGTTTCTCCCTGGGCTTCCAGGTGGTCCAAGGCATCTTTTGAAGGCTAAGTGGATGAAGCCATGTCCCCACAACTTGGCATTCTGCATGCCTGCAGAATTAGCACCACATAGGTGCTATCAATGTTTATCACTTGTACTTTAGAAATGGTAGGTTGAGTAGCACTTGGGGTTGCTTGAGCCATAGCTGGGGCAGCTGAGGCATGCTGCACTAAAATGCAGGGAGCAGAGTCCTGAGGCAGACCTCGGCAGTGGGTCCATGGAGGACACTCTTGGCCCATCCCCTGAAACCATTCTGCCCTCCTAGAGCTCTAGGCCTGTGATGACCATGGTGGCCTCAAGGATCTCTGAAATACCTTTGGGGATTTTCCTCATTGTTTTGATAAATAGCATCTGGATCCCTCCCATTCATCATAATTTCTATCAAATGGTCACTTGGTTACACTCATAATATTCTCTCTCAAACACACTTTTACTTCTTCTTTTCACATGACCAGGCTGCATTTTTTTCCAATCTGCTTTTCTTTTAATTGTAAATTATATCTTTAAGTCTATCCTTTGCTCTTGCATCTCACTGTACATGGTTAAAAGTAGCCCATGCAGCAGTTGAATGCCTTGCTACTTAGATATTTTTTCCACCATATGTCATATTTCAATGCTTTTAAGTTCTGTATTTCATTAAACCCTAGGATATGAACACAATTCAGCCAAGGTATTTGCCACTTTATAACAAGGATGACTGACAATCTAATTTTCAAGACCTTGCTCTTCACATCCATCTGAGATTTCATCAGGATGACCCTTACTATCCATATTTCCACCAACATTTTGGTCACAGCAACTTGGGTAATCTCTAAGAAGATTTAGATGTTCTTCACAGCTCTCTTCTTCTGAGCCCTCAGCAGAATAATCCTTAATGCTCTGTTCATGGCAATACAGGCTTCTGCTTATTTGCTCCTCCAAATTCTTTCAGCTTCTGCCCTTTATCCAATTCCAAAACTGCTTCCACATTTTCAGGTATTTATTGTAGCAACAACTCCCTCTCAATATCAATTTTCTATCTTAGTCTATGTTCTGCTACTATAATACTACACACTGGGTAATTTATAAAGAAGAAAAACATTTCTCACAGTTCTGGGGACTGAGAAGTCCAAAAGCATGGTGTCAGCATCTGATGAGGGCCTTCTTGCTGCATTATCCCATGGCAGACAGCAGAAGGTGCAAGTGAGCAGTTGAAACAGAGAGAAGATCAGGCCAAGCTCATTTTTTTTATTAGGAACCCACTCCTGCAAAAACTAACCAACTTTCTCAATAACATTATTAACCCATTCATGAGAGCAGCAATCTCACGGTCTAATTGCCTCTTAAAGGCTTCACCTCTTAAAGCTGTTATAATGGAGATTAAGTTTCTAACACATAAACTTTAGGGGACATATTAAACCAGAGCAAACACTAAGTACAAAAATATTGAAAAGGAGAGAGTAACAACACAATATTTAAAGCTAGGAAGCAGAAAGACAAGTGTAATTGACCTGCAAGGCACCAAAGAGATAAGAGCTTTCCATCTTGCACTGTGGTACCTCCCTAAGGTTCAGACATTAGCATCCTCAGGACCTCATGGAGATGGACATAAATGTGGAGATGAAAATGGGTATGCAGGTAGATGATCTCCTTACAAAGTCATTGGATATCCATATTCTGTCCATCACTCCAACGCTGGCTGCAAATGCAGATGTGCTGTATAAGAAAGGTAGAATAGAGGATGTATGGACTAGAGGACACTGAATAAAGCTTATGTCTGGTGTGCTAAACACAAGAAGTTGAAGTAAAGATTATGTTCTAAGTGTTTATATCTCCTTGATTCCCAAGTCTGTACAAACCAATACACTAGGAAATCATTCCCCAGGAAATCTGGCCACTTGATGAAAAATAACCTAAAGACACTCATATCAGGATCCTCTTACAATTTATTCTAGCTACAGCACCTGACAATGAGGCCCAGGGCCAAACATTCCAGCCATATGCCTAAAATTGCATCCAAGTATGAACTAGGCATCAGACTTCTCAAGAGGGGCTCCTAAAGCTGAAAGACAATGAAGAAATGGCTTCAAATTACTCAGCGAAAGTTATTTCTAACTTTCCTTTAGAAATTTTCTGTCTTAGTTTATTAGTGATTATTAATTTTATGTGTTGACTTGATTAGGTCACAGAGTGCCCAGATGTTTGATCAAACATTATTCTGGGTATGTTTTGGAGGTGTTTCTGAATGAGATTAACATTTGAATCAGTAGACTGAGTAAAGAGGATTGCTCTCACAAATGTGGGTGTACCTCAGCCACTCAGTTGAAGGCCTGAATAGAACAAAAAGGCTGACTGTTAATCTGAGTAAGAGAAAATACTTTGCCTAACTGCTTTTGAATTGTTAACATTGGAGCTTTTCTCGCCTCAGACCTGAAAAGGACCATTGGTTCTTCATGGGTCTTAAACCTGCAGATTTTTGAATGAAAACTACACCATAGACTCTCTTGGTTCTTAGGCATTCAGACTCAAACAGGAGGTAAACCTTTGGCTTTTCTGGTTCTCCAGTTTGCCAACTCAACCTGCAGAACTTGGGACTTGCCAAACTCTATAACTGTGTGAGCCAATTCCTATAAATAAATAAGTACTATTAGTTCTGTTTCTCTGGAGAACCCTGACTAATACACCAACTAAGCTAGCAAAATGTCAACTCAGTGTGAAGAGGGAATAATGACATGTCAGGTCACAAAAAAATACCTCATTTTCTCCCTTTGTTAGAAAACTAAAAGAGTGAGGGCTCCACCAAGAAGAATGGACCAATAATGCAAAAGCAATAGAATCTAGAAAACAGATTCCTACACAAGAGACAAGAGTATCCCTAGCATGATGGTTTAGGGGGATCCCAGCCGCCATTCTAAAGAATAACTAGTCTTCTAGATCCAATCAGAAGTTTCCAAGAGAGATGGCTCCAATAGGCGATAAAAATCCAATTCTAGATTTGTTTGTATTGAGAGGATGTTTCAACAAATTGGGAGAGAACTCATAAAAAAATGCAGTAACAAAGTATATTTTAAAACCATACAAACGCATGAAAGTATACAACTCACAGGTTTTATATAGCAATTATATAATTGAGACTACAAAGCACATAGATAACAATTAACATTATAACATATCAATATTATGTGAGGTTTGTTCCTGTCATAATGTTAATTGAATCTATAGATCTATCCGTAAAGATGTGGGAAAGTCCATTTGAACACAAATGGATTAAAAACTCAACCTAAAATATATAGATTGGTAGAATGGATTTTAACAAGAGGATCCAACCATATGCTGCTTATAAGAAATCCCCGACTGATATGACACAGTCTCAAAGTAAAAGGGTGGAAAAAGATTCCTTGCAAATGAAAACCAAAAGTTAAAGGAGTAGCTATATTAATATCAGATAAAACAGACTTTAAATCAACAACAGTAAAAACAAGGTGAAAAAGGTTATTATATAATGATAATGGGATCAATTCAATAACAAGATATAACAAGCCTAAATATATATGCATCAACACTAGAACACCCAGATGCATGAAACAAATATTACTACAACTAAGAGAAAAGATAGATAGCAATGTAATAATAGTAGGGGACATCAACACCCCACTGAGCTCTAGACAGATCACTGAGGCAGAAAATCAACATAGAAACACTGAACTTAAATTAGATTCTAGACCAAATGGACCTAACATATATTTATAGAACACTTTACCCAACAATCACAGAATATACATTATTCTTACCAGCACATAGAACATCCTCCAAAATGGACCATATTTAGGCCACAAAACAAGTCTTAATAAATTTTTAAAAACAGAACATATTAAGTATCTTCTTTGACCACAGTGGAATAAAACTAGAAATCAATACCAAGATGAGCTCTCAAAGCTGTGCAAATACATAGAAATTTTAAAACCACTCCTGAATGGTCTTTGGGTTAATGATGAAATTAAGATGGAAATTTAAGAATTTTTCGAATTGCATGAAAATAGAAAAAAAAAGCAAAATATCTGGGATACAGCAAAAGCAGTGCAAAGAAGGAAGTTTATAGCATTAAATGCCTACATAAAAAAGGAAAGGTCACAAATTAACAACCTAATGTGATAAACTAGATAAACAAGAATAAACTAAGCCCAAATCTAGCAGAAGAAAAGAAATAACAAAGATCAGAGCTAAACTAAATGCAATTGAGAATAGAAAAACAATGTAAAGGAACAACAAAATGAAAAGTTGGTTCTTTAAAAAAATAAACAAATTGATAGAAAAATAAAATTGATATTAGAATAACCAGGAAAAAAACCAGAAAAGATTCAAATAAGCACACACAGAAATGACAAAGGAGGCATTAAAACTGATATCACAGAAATACAAAAGAGTCAGACTATTATGAATGCATCTATGCTCACAAACTAGAAAACTGAGAGGAAATGGATAAATTCCTGGAAACATGCAGCCTCCTAAGATTGAACCACAAAGAGATGGAAATCCTGAACAGACAAATAATGAATAGTGAGATTGAATGAGTAATAAGAAAAAAGCTCCCCACCCCAGAAAAAAAGCCCAGGATCAGATAGGTTCAAAGCCAAATTCTACCAGACATCCAAAGAATACTGGTAACAATATACTGAAACTGTTCCCAAATATGAAGAAAAGAATCCTTCCTAACTCATTCTACAAAGCGAGCATAACCCTGATACCAAAGCCAGGCAAAGACACAATAAAATAATGAAATTACAGACCAATATCTCTGACAAATATAGATGCAAAAATCTTCAATAAAATACTAGCAAAAAGCATATCAAAAAGATAATACCCTGTAATCAAGTGGATTTTATTGCAGGGATACAAGGATGGTTCAATATTCACAAATCAAAAAATGTAATTCACCAAACAGAATTAAAAGGAAAAACTGTATGATCATCTTGATAAATGCAGAAAAAGCATTTCATAAAGTTGAGCATCTCCTCATGATAAAAGTCCTCGATAAACTAGGCATAGAAGGAACATACTTCAAAATAATGTACAATAAACAATATATATCAGGTCGGTGCAAAAGTAATTGCGGTTTTTGCCATTACTTTTAATGAAAATGAAAACCAAAGTTAACAGGAGTAGCTATATTGATATCAGATAAAACAAGACTTAAATCAACAACAGTAAAAACAAGGTGAAAAAGGTTATTATGTAATGATAATGGGACCAATTCAACAACAAGATATAACAAGACTAAATATATATGCACCAACACTAGAGCACTCAGATGCATGAAACAAATATTACTTTTACCATTACTTTTAATGGCAAAAACCGCAATTGCTTTTGCACCGACCTAATACAATAAACCTACAGCCAACATCATAATAAATGGGAAAAAGTTGAAAGTGTTCCTCCTAAGAACTGGAACAAGATAGGGATTCCCACTTTCATTACTCCTATTCAACATAGTACTGGAAGTTCCAGCTAGAGCAATCAGACAAGAGAAATAATAAAAGGCATTCAAATAAGAAAAGAGAAAATCAAATTATTGTTTGCTGAGAACATAATCTTATACCTAGAAACCCTCAAGACTCCAAAAAACTCCTGGATTTAATAAATGACTTCAGTAAAGTTTCAGGATACAAAATCGACATACAAAAATCAGTAGCATGTCTATATACCAATAATAATCAAGCTAAGAATCAAATTTAGAACTCATTCTCATTTACAATACCTACAAAAAAATAAGTAAAATAGCAAGGAATTCATTTAAACAAGGAGGTGAAAGATCTCTACCAGGAGAACTACAAAACACTGATGAAAAAAGATCATAGATAACACAAACAAATGGAAAAAACATCCCATACTCATGGATTGGAAGAATCAATATTGTTAAAATGACCATACTACCCAAAGTAATCTATAGGTTCAGGGTTCTTCCTATCAAATTACTAATGTCATTCTTCACAGATTACAAAATCCAATCCTAAAATTCATGTGGAACCAAAAAAGAGCCTGAATAGCTAAAGCAATCCTAAATAAAAGGAACAAAGCAGAAGGCATCACATTACCTGGCTGCAAATTATACTACAAACCTAAACAGCATGGTTTTGGTATAAAAATAGACACATAGATCGGTGATACAGAATAGATGATTAAGAAACAAAGCCCTGTACCTACAACTAACTTATCTTCCAAAAAGTCAACAAAGACATACACGGGGGATAGGACATCCTATTTAATAAATGCTGCTGGGAAAGTTTGACAGCCACATGTGGAAGAATGAAACTGGATCTCTACCTCTCACTGTATACAAAAACTAACTCGAGATGGCTCAAAAACTTAAATATACAACCTGAAACTATAAAAATCCTAGAAGAAGACCTGCGAAAAATTTTTCTGGACATTGGCCTAGAAAATGAATGTATAACGAAGACCACAAAAGAAAATGCAACAAAAACAAAAATAGATTAATGAGACATAATTAAACTAAAAAACTTCTGCATAGCAAAAGAATAATCGACAGAGTAAACAGACAATCTACAAAATGGGAAAAATATTTTCAACCTATGCATCTGATGAAGGACTCATATTCAGAATCTCCAAGGAACTCACACAACAACTCAACAAGAAACCAAGTAACCCCATTAAAAAGTGGGCAAAGAACTTGAACAGACATTTTTCCAAAGAAGACATATGAGCAGCCAACAAACATATGAAAAAGTGCTTAATATCGCTAATCATCAGAGAAATGCAAATTAAAACCTCAGTGAGATACTATCTTACACTAGTCAGAATGGCTATTATGGGAAAGGAACAACACCACATATATTGTTAAGAATGCAGAGAAAGGGAACACTTATAAACTGTCAGTGGGAATGTAAATTAGTAGAAGCTCTATGGAAGAGAGTGTGGAAATTTCTCAGAGAGCTAAAAAATTAGAATACTATTCAACCCAGCAATCTCACTACTGAGTATCTACCCAAAGACAAGAAATTATTATATAAAATTATTATATTAAAAAGAAACCTGTACTTGTATGGGAGCACTATTCACAGTAGCAATGTTATTCAATCAACCTAAGTGTCCATCAATGAATGATTGGATAAAGAAAATGCAGTGTGTGTATGTGTGTGTGTGTATATATGCATATACATATATATGTATGTATATACACAGTGTGTGTATATGCAGTGTGTCTGCGTATATATATACACACACATACACTGCATTTTCTTTATGTGTATACACACACACACACACACACACCATGGAATACTACTCAGCCATATAAAAGAATGAAATCATGTATTTTGTGAAACAAAAATGAAAGTGGTGGCCATTATCCTAAGTGAAACAACTTGAAACAGAAAGTCAAATACCACATGCTCTCATTTATAAGCGGGAGCTATACAATTGTACACATGGACACATAAATGGAATAGTAGATGTCAGAGACCCTGAAAGGTGATAGGGTGAGAGTGGGGTGAGGGATGAGAAATTACCTATTGGGTATAATGTACACTATTTGAGTGATGGGTACACTAAAAGCCTGCACTTCATCACTATGCAAAATATCCATGTAACAAAACTGCCCTTGTACCCCCTTAATCTATAAAAATTTTAAAATTTTTAAAAAGTTTACATTTTTTAAAAAATTTAAAAATTGAAAGCCAAATATCCAACCAATCAAACAAAATTAAAAGTTCTGCAATAGAGAGATAGTACTGATAACATGCTACATAGTTCAGCTATGATAAATACCAAATTATTTTAACAAAAAAATGTGACGTAACTATACATTATAAAATTGCTAACATTCAAACACTTTTGACTAAGAACAATGGCAATTTCATAGAGTTCTACCTAACATAACAGTAAGTTGGGGTTAGGGGTTGGTGAGCCCTATACATGTTGGCCAAGGATGTGATAAAAGACAGCTAATTCCTCATCTTCCATAGAAGGAAATCAGTCAGTAATGCCTGAAACTGAGAAGTCCAGAAACAGCAGGGAAAACATGTCAACTCAACATATACAGGGAAATGTCAAAAGGAACAACAAAAGTAATGAGAGCTACTGCTTTTGGATGAGTCCAGTAAACATGGGCAGTGGATGGGGTCAGGGAGAGAGAATATATTGTTCTTGTCCTATTGAGCTACTTGCATCTTCAAATGGTATTGGCCACATAACTGTCATAAAGACAAAAACTAAGTTAAAAATAAAAACAAGTAAGAACCACAGTTTGAAGGAAAACTGAGAGCCTTCCTCCAAATGCTGTATGGAAGCAGTTAGAGCTCTTATGTTTGCTAGATCCAAGGAGGGCTGAAATAAATAGCCTAGATTAACTGGAGAGTCAACAAGATGAGTTCACAGACAATTTCTCCTCATGACCTTTTGCTGTACACTCGAAAAGTCTTGCCTATAAAGGGGCACATGTTTATATATCCAAGCAGAGCTTTTCACTAAGAAGTATAAATAGTCTGTGATAGTTGAAGGAAACATTCATAGTAAATAATTAATTAAGTCAACCTGAAAACCTGAGCTAGACTAAACAATGATGGAGAATGTTAAACGATCAGTGAAAACAACTCATTATTCTACAAAAGTGTGTTTTCTTTATATTTTGATTTTAGTTTGGTGTCCTACTTAAATATATTGTTTGCGCTAATGTTATATGATTAGTGCTTAGATCTTTTAATATGCTATTCTTATTTTTTATAAAAAGTGCAGGTGAGTGTTGAAGCAGGCTTATTTATTTCCCATTCACCATGATTCTGATACTCCCACAGGTTCATATTCCAGAACAATAACTAGTGGCCCATCTAAGACAAGAGAGCTTACCCACGTTACATGCAGAATATCCAGCAAAAAAAAAAATGTTTCCTCCCAAGAACTGAACTAGCAATACAAAACCGTAAATAAGTAAAAAATACTATCTAGTCAAAGGTGCCTCAGTAAGTGCAACATCATAGTTAATAGATTTACAGGAAATATTTTCACTAGGAGAATATTCCCATTTTGATGAGAGAATTTTCAGTGAAATAATAAGGACTGGAGGCAAGCTGCAGAAGGCTAAAGAATGCATGGGAAATTAGGAATTATAGACACCAAATATGGATAACTTTTTAAGAAATTTGACTATCATAGCAAAAGCAAAATGAGATAGCAGCAGTAAGACATGGTATCAAAAAATTTTTTCGGTTTTTGTTTTAAGATGAATGTTCTTGTGCATGCATTTAAAAGCTCATAAAAGTGACCAAAAAGAAAAAGAAAGATTCAACATACATTGGAAGGGAAAAAAGAGAGAAGGAAAGAAGGGAGAGAGAAAGTAAAGGAGGAAGGATTTAATTAAGTGCTAAGCATTTACACCACGTGCTGGTAGTTATCTCATTTTTTCTTCGTGTGACAAACCCCAAGTGTCAGATAAGGAAACTAAGGTTGAGAAAGAAAAGCTACTGGAAGAAACTGAATTCGAAATCCAGTCTGTTTGGGTTCACCGTATACCATGCTCTTAAATTCTGTGCCTTAGCACATCACAGGTAATAATTACCCAGGAGTGGCACTCAGTTCTTGTGAGAGCAAAGGGAAATTAGAAAAGGGTACCCATACCATTTGTCATTTGTTCAAATAAATTATTTGTTTCTCTTTTTTTATGGAGACAGTCTAGCTCTGTTGCCCAGGCTGAGTGCAGTGGCGCGATCCCAGCTCACTGAAACCTGTGCAACCTCTGCCTCCCAGGTTCGAGCAATTCTCCTGCCTCAGCCTCCCAAGTAGCTGGGACTACAGGTGTGCGCCACCATGCTCAGCTAATTTTTTTATTTTTAGTGAAGATGGGGCTTCACCATGTTGGCCAGGCTGTTCTTGAACTCCTGACCTCAAGTGATCTACCTGCCTTGGCCTCCCAAAGTGTTGGGATTACAGGTGTGAGCCACCGCACTAGGCCTAAATAAGGCATTTCTAAAAAGCTGAGTATAGATAAGGGATGAGTTAGGTCAGGACTGACCATAGTTGCATACAAAAGTGTATAAAAACAAATAAGTGCACAGAGAAATACTCTGCAGGCCCTCCAAGCATCACACATCGTCACAGTGAGAATGCACACAAACATTTACTTAACATAGCAGAGCCCCTTGGTATTTGTTACATTCCTTCAACAGAGGGGAAGTCAACACAGACAAAAACTATTAACGCATCCAGCAGACTCATTTACTTCTGCATTTCTGAACTGTTTCTCAGCCCCTGCTGAAGGTGCCCCTGAGACATCTCAACCAGCACAATGAAAGGCAAAACTACACACAGCAGATTTGTTAAACCAGGCTAGCACATTCAGAAGGAAATATCACCCCCAAATAGCATTGCCATTAGCAAACAATATAATATTTATTAAGCACTCCACTGCTTGGAATACCCTCTCGTAACCAGTAAAGATTAGGAGTTAAAGGCCATAGGAAACATGAATTTTCCTTTCACGAATACAGACAGGGAGTTCTTTGCAGTTTGCATAAGATGAAGTAGTGCATGCTCTCTCAGAGAGGGATCATTTTCCACATCACCTCAACACCGTGTCATTCAAGCCTCAGGGCCCTTGAGAGGTGTCATTCCAGCTTTCCCACCCTTCAGTTCTTCCTCTAAGTCTAAACACAATCCCTCTTTCAGGAAGTGAAGACAATTGGAAGTGAGTGAAGTTGAGGTTCTTAAAAAATGTGTATATGGAAGGTTCCATTGCCAACACTTCCAGAGACAGCACCTAGTCCTGCCTGGCATGTGGGAGGTACCTATTACATGCTTGTTAAGGTTACGAATGAATGACTGGAAGGAGAAATGGATGGGCAGTGTACAACTGAGAATGGAGTGGAGATGAATGCAAAGGAAAAATAACTAAAATAAAAATTAGTAGAGCTGGGTTCTAAACAAGTCAACTCAGTAAAATAAAGGAATGTGAACTTGTTATTTTCTTGTGGCTATCTAACTATAAAGGTAGGCCAGATGTGTGTAAAACACTCCACTTCCAGGACCCCTCATCAATGACCACTGAAAGTTGGTACAAAATTACTAGAAATTTCTCACCCCTTGTGTGAGATAACTCTGAGGTGTTCCATCCACTTTTATGCTTTTAACCAGAATCCACCTAGATGCCCCAATTCTTTCTTGAGCTTCAAATTCACATGGCCACCATGTTGTAGGCATCTCCACTTGAATGGCTTCCAGGCACTTTAAATTTAGCCTTCAAAACTAAATTAATATTTTTCTGTTTCTTAATATTTTCAGTCCTAATCATTGGATGTACCATTCCCTCAACCACCCAAGTCAGAAAATCGGGTTTCATTTTTGGCCTTCCCCTTTGCCTCAGCTCTGAGCTCAGCCATTCCATTTTTAAAAGCTTCTGACCCTCTAATGCTACTCTAAACTAGTGCCTTCTTCATTTTTACAACCAGTGACTTCAGCTCATTTTATCTGTGTTACTCCAGTGCTCCTAACTTCTTTTCCTGCTTACAGTGTTGCCCGCTCCTACCACCCTCCTACCCATCCTTTGCCTAATATTTCCAACTGCTTCAGTGGTTCCTCCTTCCCTACAGCAAAGCATCCACCCTCTTTACCCATTATTCTGTCCCTCCATAAGCCAGCATTCAAGACTCGTCACTATCCACTTGACTTTACAATGTATGCTTCAGTAAATTCTGAATGATTTATAGCTTGTGTCACTCCTCCTTTATGCTTGCATAGCATTTTAAGCATCATACTGAAATTATCTGTTTCCTCAACCTGATTTTTCAAGGGTAGTGACCATAATGTGCTTATTCTAACATGTGCAACATCTATCATAATGCACTCAGCATATTATAGGGAGCCAATAAATACTTCTTGAATGGAAATAAACTTTATCTAGCCATGTCATGAAAGTACATTTCTGTCCTGCTAATAGTCTTTGGGTTTATCCTGCCAGACATGTAAAATCAGTGGCATGATCCAAGCTGTACTCCAAGATTTCATTTTGGTGGCACTGTAGAAGATGGTGGATTGAAGGGAAAAACACCATCTTAAAAATCCCATTTTATTCTGCTTTTTCTTTCATGATTCTGATCATAATGTGTGATTGTGTATATACTTGTCTTAATTATTTCTTATCTCCCAAATGGCCAGTAACTTTTATGGACTGGTCATTTGGGAGATAGCAAGGTAAAGAATAACAATTCCTGCTGTAATCTCTAGGGCAGATCTTTGCAATAAAGAAAAGAGAGTCTAAAATAACAGGTTTTATTTTGGATGACAGTAGATGGTCAAGGCATTCATGACTGCCTGCAATATGATTTAAAATGCATCAAAAAATAATGTGGGTTGATTAAAGGCTATAAGAGGAGATAGATTGATAGACATGATATAGCAAGTAGAGTAAAATGCTCGTGATAAATTCTACGTGGTAGGTATATTGGTGTTGTGCTCACTCTAAAATTCATTCAACTTTTCTGCATGTCTACGAATTTTCATAATAAATGTTGAGGAGAAAAAAAAACATTCATGACAAGTATTGGCGCTCTCAAATGGAAATGAATGATAAGGAGAAACAAGATCAGAGAATGATTTATTTTCTCTTTTAGTGCTAGCAACAATGCCCACTCTTGCCTCACGCCACAAACCCAGCTGCCACCTCACTCAAGATGGCCAACGGACCAATGGACTGCGTTTATTTATCTACATGCCATTGGTGGCTCCACCTTACTCTGTCTCAGATCCAAATGCTTAACGAACCCAATCAGTCTGTTTCTAATGACATCAGTAACGTAGAGGTTATTGTTTGAGCAAAGCAAGACAGAGTTTATCCCTGTTGAACCCTCTTGTTATTTTGAAACAGGAAGTTGAACTTTCCTGCCTGCAAATGAAACTAGAAACTTCTTCCCTCCAAACCTCCAAAAGGACTGGATGGAATAAAGGCTTTTTGATTAGAATAGCTTTTTTTTCAAGTGTGCAAAATATAAAATACATTTCTTCTTTCTTAGCTGTGTGGCAAGCATCCCAACTTTCTCTAAAATGCTGAAAAGTTACCTGGGAAAACTTCAGGATTGCTCATTAAGAGAAAAATCACATTAGTTGTAAAAGGAGGCTGTTCTGTTTTGTTTTCCAATCTTCTTGATATTTTGGATTTTAAGAGTCTTCTTCCAAAAATACTACTTAATTCAATGTACCTATTCTCCAGGTTCTCAAACATGGGGACTTCTTGTAACTTCGCAAAGAGAAGGCAGTTGTTTGCCTGGTCCAAGGTGTACACTGACTCTTTCATGCAAATACATCTTTCTACCCCTGTGGCCAAGTACCTTGCTGTTATTGCCACATGTTTATTCAAGTGGTGAGGAAATATTAAATATCACACATTCTCAGCAGAGACTGGACAGTAATTATCAACAGATGGCAGCAGTAGGGGACTGAGAGAGCAAAAGAGTCCTCCCTGCAGGAGGGCTTGTGTGGATCCTCAGTGACTCCTTGGTCACTGACCTGAGTAGATAAGATGAGGTTAATTACCAATTGTCCTCCCCACTTTTCACATTATCTTAACCTTTCCTAGGCATCTATCTTAAATGACTAATTCCAGGCTCCCTCAGATGCACCAAATGATTTAACTGTGTGCTGGGATCCCTTTGCCATCTCTTAGAGACAGGAAGTGCCATCAGGTGGATTTTGAGTATTTCAGGGAATGTGTAGACCACTGCTTATAAATGGATATAATTCAATTCGGCTAGTAAATTTAGAAGGCTTGCGCTGTTCTGCACAACGGACAAGCAACATAGGACTATGGAGATAAAAATATATAAAACTGGTACTTGAAGAATTAATATCCAGTGAGGGAGACAATTACTTAAAATACAATCTACTAATTGCAGCCATGGAAATATACACTAAGTATATATCATTTTAAAAATTGTCATAATTAACTCCATCTGGGATAGAAAGCATGGAGGTAAAGGAAACTGTGTCAAGAAAGGCTTTAAGAACAGGTGATGTCTACTCTGGGCTCATAAATAAGAAAACGTTTTTTCTACATATGCAACAGGTGATCAACATTCAGCACTGGAGAAAGACAAGATTTCTGCCTTAATAGAGCTTCTAGTCTACTAGGAACAGAAATAATAGGAAGGGAAACTTTCCTAGTGAACTAGGAGGTAAAAGTCATTTCTAGATGGTAGAAAGAATAGCTGGTGAAAAAGCACAAAGTCATGGAAGAGTTGGGCATAGTAGAGAACTGGTTATTGGGTAAATCCAGCAATTCTTCCTTTTGTCCATATATTTATTAAACCAGTATTCACGTCAGGTCACCATCTCCGATAATGCAAAGTTAAACAAACCTGGCAGAGTCTCAACCTTCACGGAGTTTATTGGCCATTAAAAATGATAGACATTGAGGACCGTATTTAGTATATAAGGTCTTCTTTAGTTGCTTATAGAAAGTAAGGTCTTATCTAGAAGTTGGTTAATTTGATGCATGAAAATAACATCTTTTAAATTTTTTTTTTCTCTTTTAGGTGACTGAGACCTAACAGAGAAGTGAATGAGGAAGACTGGCATAGATGAAGGATTCTACAGACATTCCACCATGGCTTAAAAATCACATCTAGGGAACAGTGAAAAGAGACATTTGCCACATGGTCCTCACACCAATGAAATACTCTGTATGAAATATTTAAACAAATGTTAAAATACAGAAAATAATTATACCTTTGTACCCATCACCCAGATTGAACATATTTCATGGGCTATTGTAAAAAAAGTAAAGCATTACAGACAGGATTGAACCCCCCTTTATACTCCTCCCTCACCCTAATAATTTGCTTGCAATCTTAAACTGTGTTTCAATTTTAGTGCCTAACATTAAACTTTATAATTTTCTAAAAAATCTAAAATTACTACTTTTAGCCCCCTCCACACAAGTCAAGAAAGTTATCAAGTTTCAACTACCCATTTAAAGCCCAGTGTCTTCTTTTTTGTTGTTACCTTGACATTTAGTTTTGTATTTTTCTTTTTTTGATGTTTTTCATCTTTAATAAGACCAAGATATTCTGTTCATTTCTGTGCTCACTATTTTTACTTACAACTATCTCTTTGTACTGTGTTTACTTTTCTTCTTTTTTGAGTACATTCCTCATTAGCTATTTTAGTGAGAGCTGTGGAAGGTAAATTCCCTTAATATTTGCTTGTCTAAAATTTTCTTTAGTTCACCCTCTCTCAAATGATAATTTACCTGGCTATAAAATTATAAATTGGCAGTTATTTTCTTGTATTATTTTGAAGACATTGTCCTACTGCCTTCTAGCATCTATTCTGATAAGGAGAAATTATTGTACTTCTGTAATAACTTTGTTGTTAATCTATCTCTTCTCTCTTTTAGCTTTAAGGGTTTTTATTTTAATTTTTAGATTTAATATTCTACCATTTTACTATGATGGTTTGCTATGATGGTTAGCTTTCTTTTTATTTACCTGACTCAGTTCTCTTATCTTCAACTCTGTGAAATTTACAGCCATTGTACTTTCAAAAACCTCTTTTCTACCATTTTCATAATTTTTACTTTTATAGCTCTTTCTATATTTATGTAAATTAGTATTATCTTCCAATTTATTAAATGTTTCTGCCTTATTCAGTTCAGAGTGTATTCCATCAATTACTTGTTTTTCTTTCTATGATTAAATCTTTAATTTCCAATTTAACTTTTCAATTTTTAAAATATACACATGCTCCTGTTTAACTAGTCACCTGTTTTGGTTCATGATATATTTCTTTATAGATTCTTGATTATCCCCTATTAATTTTTTAATTTTTTTCAGACAGTTTTATTATTTTTATTTCATTTGCCATGACACACTGAACCATGAATTTTATTGACTGCCTTTAATTTTTTTTCTGTGTTTTGTAACTTTTGTTTATAGGTATATTTTGGATGGGAGGTGTTGTTGTTTCTCTCTGTGGGAGGGAAGGCATCTGCTGCATTTTCATTTTTCCCTCCATGTCCAGGTTTGTCTGCTTTCATTTGCGATCCCGGGAGCCTCCGCCCAGAACTATTCTTATATGGGAGCTAGGAGCCCGTGCCTCCAGAAACACTCACAGATGTAGTCACTGAGACAGGAGATGTGCTTGGCCCATAATTAAAAGGTGTATAACTTCATACAAACTAAAAGGCAGCAGTTCCATCAGCAAGAAGAACCACATCCCAGCACTGTTGAGGAGCAGTGATCCTGGACCATTCAGGTGATTTAGTCCCAGTTACCCACCAGAGTCTGACTCCAAGCTCTCCTGCCTTTTTGGGAATTCAGAGACCATCAGGGCTCCCTGACCCTCTCAGCTTCATATTTCTTTTCATTTTCTGAACCACAGAAATGTTTATTCTATTTTTGAATCACTGTGGGTTTCTTCCCATTTATTATATTTTATCTACCATTTCTACATCTGGGAAGCAGAAAAGTCAAGTGGTCTCAAAGCAAAAACTTAGCATCTCTAACAGGTCACCCATCCTTCAAAAATCAGATGGTGGCCTAGTCTCTCCTCTCTGTCTTAGGCCATGATTACTCCTCTGCCTGGAATGTTGCTCCCAGCTTCTGCGCTCCAGTTCTTTAAAACTTAGCATATCACTCTTCTTTTTCAAGATTTTTTTTTTCACAACAACCTCGACTATCTCTGCCAGTCCCATTGTTTGCTCTTTTCCCCCAACAGATTGTGAACTTTGTGAGAGCAGAGATTGGGTTGATTTCATCCCATGCCCTCTCTTAAGTCTCAATCAACATGTAGTGAATGAAAAATTAATGAAGGCTTATTTGCTTGAATTTTAAAAAGCCCAAAAACACAGGGCCTTATTTCCACTTTTCCGAAATCTACTAGCAAAGCTAAAAATAAAAAGTGAAACTCAAAGAACTTTTCTCTTAAAGACATCTCAAGCTTCTAAACCTGTACTCAGATGTCCCCAAAATATGTAGAGATTTTGCAATGTCTTCCAGTACCATGAAATCCAAAGCAGTTTGTTTTCCTTGCCATTTCAAAAGATAAATAGGATTTGTGGAGAAATTACGCTTTCTCTGGAAAATTAAATGATTTTTTAAAAACCCACAGGCAAACTTCTGAAAAGCCAAAATCAACTAGTTTCATTTTACATGCAGAACTTTCTACACCTCACTATAAGATAATGTGGATGATTAAATCTCATTAAAATGTAAGAAAATCAAGGTACCACATTTCACCAAGGAATATTAAATATATGCATGTGTGTCTACAAACACACACACATGAATGAGAACTGCATCTTCATGCAACTGAATGAATAAGGGAATGAATGAGAGAATTCAAGCAATAATTACTTTTTAGGTAACCAGCACTTATTCTCCGAGTGTAGAAACAACTTACAGTTCTCCCCAAGCACATTTTGCTCCCAAGACCCCATAAATTTGCAATACAATTTTTCATTTTAGAATGGTCTCCCCTGTCTTGATTAACTGGATAAGGCTCAGCTTAAATTCTGCCTTCTCTGGGAAGCCTCTGACTTCACATTGCCCTTTTCATACTTCCCTCGGAGCAAGCATTGAAATCATTTTTTCATATGTCCACCCTTCATCAGGCTATGGGCCATCTGAGGACCACATGTATTCAAGCACCAAGTATATTCATCTCTCAATCAATCACACCATAGCCCTGTGCTTGATAAGTGATAGGTAAGAAATAAATTTTGGGTAAATCAATGAATAAAACCCATGAGCAGAACTATTCTGCAATTTATTTTCCATTGAAGAATGAAGCAATAAACATGTCCTACTTTATTGAAAGAGTCCTCTACTAAACACAATCTAAAAGGACTTCTGCAAGAGCATTGCCAACATTCTGTGTGAATAACATGGACCTCCAAAAATTAAAATAGGCAACCTCCCCCCATTAAAAATCACCCATTTTACACCAGCAAATAAACACTCAAATGACATGTTTTTCTACTAAAAACTCATGGGTCTTAAATTTCTTTTTAATCACAGGCTTTAGTATTATTACACGTGTTCCATTAACAGGCATATCCAATGAATTCCCTTTCATAAACACTAGTAAGTTCAGTGCAAACCAGCCAGGTGATTAATTTATAATTCTTGACACATTAGGGAGGTGGGCTGGAGGTAAGAAACAGCAAGTAAGTCCTAGGATGGACTGCTTTTCACGCCAACACCACGGACACACACGGAGAAAGGCACACGCAAACACCTGAGCACATGGACACACACACATAAACACACCACCCATGAACACCCACTGTGCTGACTTGGCATTGGATCCAAATTTGACAAACCAATGCCTGAAGGCACATAGCCGAGCCTAAACTGTTGCAGGTTCCTTTTCCCATAAAAATAATAATAACGAATGAAAATATTTGGAACATGGCCAGAGCCTAATGCAACACAATTTCTAAATTCAGTATCCTCCTTCCCCCACACACATACTCCCCATTTGCGCCACCACCTCCTTCTTGCCTTTCTATGCAGGCTGCTTATCCTACCTCGAATAAAAAGTCATTTAATAGCTGCTTCAATCTCAGTGTCTAATGCATTAGGTTTCCTCCCTAAACTTCACAGATAGAGGTCCACTCTGCAGAAGGCAAAAGAACTTCAGACTGGAATCAAGCAGCCATTAACATGCTGTGTGATGTTAGAAGCGTTAACTCCCCTGTCTGTGCTACATGAGTAAATTTCCACATGAGTGAACAAGAGGGTTGGCTGTGATGATTCCTTTCCCTTCTAATTTTTTAGATAATGGTTTAGAGCATGGGCTCTGGAGCCAGGCTGTTCAAATCCCAACCATTTACTTACTAGAGTGTGATCTTAGGTTTGTCAGTGCACCCTTATGTGCTTTAGTGTATTGGTTTATTTCTTTGTTAAATAACAACAACAATAATGAGGAAGACTTTGAGGATGATGATAGACACTGCCTCGTAGGGTTGTAGTGAAGACTAAATGATATGTTATATACAAAGTGCTTAGAAGAGGGCCTGCTCCATGTAAGCCTCACGTAAAGCTTACTTGCTGTTACATTATAAAAATTAAGAAATGATTTGTGGAGGTCATACTATTAACTCTTTCTGTCTTATTTCTGTATTTAAAAATAAAAGAGTGATTTCAAAAAAAAACAACTTTAACACATACTTCTGGTCACATGAGGGGACAGTTGTTCTGCCTAATTGCTAAAACCCATGACTCTTGGACCTTGCAAATCAATTAGGCCTTGTTGAGCATTGCTGGTGCTGCTTGGGAAGGCTGAGGACAAGAGAGGGAGGAAAGCCCAAAGTTAGGAATAAAGTGCGCTGGCAAACCGAGGGGAACTCACACGGAGCCTTCGCCACACAGTCTTTGGCAGCAGGCAAGCCTCTTCATCTCTCAATTTCATGGTCACCAAAAATCACACATAAAAAGCCCAGTGACTAAACGAATATGGAAACTGAATGGCTCAAAAAACCCCGAGATGTGGTCAGTCTGGGTCACCTTCAAGTCATGCTGTGGCATCTCAGGGTGATGGAAGGTCAGTCCCTGCGACCTTCACTGGGGAATATAAAGGAAAGAAAATAATATTTCAATCTCCTGAGCTATTGATGCAGAAAACTTCACAAGAGCTAAATCCAGGTCAGAAAAACAAACATCGTTCAAATTATTCAATCTTCCAATATCCTGGTTCATAAGCAGATTTCCTCCTAAATGAGTCATTGGAAACTGCTCTTTCAAAAGCAGGTATTTCTTTGCCTTTTATAAAAGTTTGAATACACTGCTTAGCAAGAATAACAAGGAAAAAATAATGTAAACTGAGGCAGGAGGATGGGAGAACAGAATTATTATCTCTGATCTGTGCATTCAACTGAAACCCAGACAGCATGCTCTATCTCTATTAATTTCCCACCCTAACAAAGCTCTGTACTAGAAGCCTGAAAGTCTAGGATCTTAGCCTCGGAATATTTGCTGAAGAGCTGTGTGACCCTGAGAAATCAGTTGACCTCTCTGTGCCTGTGTCATCGTGTATTCAGTGAAAACATCAGCTCCACTTCAGCTCATGTGTTCTATGGTTTGAGGCATCTACCAGACCTGGCTGTTCCGCTTCTCAATCACATAACCTTGACCAAGTCATTTCCCTAAGCTGGTTTTCAGTTTCATTGTCTGCAAAATAGGGATAATTATTATTATCTATTTCACAGGGTTAATATGAGGCTAAAATAAAATAATGTGTATGGACAGGCTCCACAAACAACAACACATATACAAATATAATGGATTCTCATCATGATAACTAATATTTAATGAAGGCTTACTATGAGCCTGGCACTGTTCTAAATTTACCTAAACAAACAGTGCTTTGTCCTACGAGCGAAGTGTAATCATTGCTTCCACTTCATAGATAAGAAATGGAGCTGACTTGGCACAAGTCCTCCAGAAAGCAGAACCTGAAACAAGGGCTTCCTTGGAGGCAGTTTATTTGGATAAGTGATCACAAGAAATGTGCCTGGCTAGTGGGGCTGTAAGGAGAGCAACAGAGATAAAAGCACCTGGGTAGACTCTGCTAGGTCCCCTCTGAGCAGCTGTGTAGAAAGCACCTCAGAGTTGTGACCCAAGGGACAGAAGAGGGGGCTGTTATCCACCAACTTTCACCCTCCATCGGTGGAGAGTTTCCCTGTGAGATGCTAGAAATTAATCCCCTTGCACATCCAGGTTTGCACGTGCCCTCATCAGAATGTCTGAGTGGTGCCCTCCAGGTACCTCAGGCAGCAGGCAGAGAAGCTGCAGCTTAATTAAGGGGGAACAGAAAGGGGACTTGAGATAATGCCAGGCAGGCACAGGAGGTGTCTGTTACATCACCCTTTAAAAAACTCTGATTGGCCGGGCATGGTGGCTCACACCTGTAATCCCAGCACTTTGGGAAGCCAAGGAGGGCGGATCATGAGGTCAAGAGATCGAGACCATCCTGGCCAACATGGTGAAACCCCATTTCTACTAAAAATACAAAAATTAGCTGGGTGTGGTGGCACGTGCCTGTAGTCCCAGCTACTCAGGAGGCTGAGGCAGGAGAATTGCTTGAACCCAGGAGGCAAAGGTTGTAGTGAGCCGAGATCGCACCACTGCACTCCAGCCTGGGTGACAGAGCGACACTCAGTCTCAAAACAAAACAAAACAAAACAAAACACTACTCATCACCCATACAACTGTACACAGTGAACCCTAACTTTAATTATGGGCTTTAATTAATAATAATATATCAGTATTGATTCATCAGTTGTAACACATGTACTACACTAATGCAAGATGTTAATAATAGGAAAAACTGTTTAGAGATATATGGAAACTCTCATACTCTACTCAGTTTATCAATAAAACTAAAACTGCCCTCAGAAAAGTCAATTTTTTCTAAACTACAGCTCCCCACATCTTTGGCACATCTAACAGATTTTACCCAGTTTGTTTTTGTTTTTACTGTGGCATTCATAGCTATCTGAGGTAGCATGATTATATTTGTATTTATGTTTGTCAGTCCCCACCCCATTCCTGACACAGCCACAACGTTAGAATGCAAGACTCATCAGGAGGAAGACTTGTGTATCTTTTGTTCACTGATACATTCCGTAGCAACGCCTAGTACACAGCAGACACTCAATAAGTGCTTTTTTGATGATCGTGAGTGAATGAATGGATGAATGAAGAATTCGAGTAGCCTAAGAAATTTTGGCAGACTAACTGGAGAATAGAGAACCCAACAGAGATTGAAAATAACCCTCAAACAAAAGAAAGGAACGGAAAAGGTTAAAATTGGTGACTTCTCCTCAAAAGCTAATTAACGTCTCCTTCTTGCTCTCCCCACCCATAAAATCAGCAAGAAGTTAGCCTGGAACTACCAGTTGCCTAAGGCCAACTGAACAGCCTAAGCCAATGGCAAGGGGTACAAATTCCCAGAAGATGGCAACTTGAGTGAATTTTATCCACATCCCCAAGAGATGATCTGGCAGGAGCCCTTAGATGGTGACTCCAAGAAGAGTTTTACCAACTTTCTCTGAGATTCCCTGCAATGAGTATGCACAGGTCATGAGACCATTCTGATGGTAATGCTAATGATGAGAGTGAGCATAAGAGTAATGGATTCATGCCAAGGGCTTGCTATGCACAGGAGTGCTCTGAATGCTTTATGTGGATTTACTCATTAATTATCGAAGCCTCAGCAGAAGGTAGAACGGCATCCCCACTGCAGTCGAGACCGTGTCATGAGTTCAAAGCACAGCTGCATCTTTTTTTTCCCAACACACAAGACTTTTTTCACGACCAGCCTCCCTTCATTCAAAATAAGACCCTATGCCTGGATAATGGCTAATGGGACATAGCTTAATCCACTATTAATGTGTGCTCTGGACAGATCAAAGTCCCTTCATTCAGCAGCATTCTCTGATAACATGCAAACCACAAAGCCAACATCAGGAAATATCTCATGCTTCCAAGAGTCTTGGACAGGCAGAGAAAACAGGTTTGACAGAACAAGATTGCCCAGGAATTGTGTCTATATTCAAGCTACATACTTAATTTTAATACAGAAAGTATATGGCATTTTCTGTTCATTAAATTCCTCAATATAACTTTATGGTAAGAATGCATGTCTTGTATTTCATATATTCTCAGGAGTGCTAGGAAAGGGTATTAAGCCACCCAGCAACACTGTATGAAACTAATTAACTAGCAGAATTTACAAATGCTTACAAGGATTATGGTACTACATGTGGAGGAAAAGAAGGTGACAGAAACAGACAGCTGAAGATGTCTATGCAAATAAGGAAGTAAACATTCATTCGTATAATTCTGTGGCAAGTTCTTGGGAGGGATGTCCCTATACTTTACTTCATCTCATCATCCCTATGTTATAGACGAGGAAACTGAGGGTCAGGGAGACAAGTAACTTTCTAAGACTCCCCATCCCATGTGAGGTAGCGAAGAAAATCAAGATCAACATTGACTGACTGAGAGTCCAAGCTTTTTCTCAACAATTTATGGCCCTTCAGCTAGATTGCTTTTAAGTGAAAGAAGGATAGAAAAAAAAAAAAAAACCTTATGAAATGAGCTAAGGTATCTCCCTTTCTGAAATAGAAGTGTTCCAACAAAACTGATTCTAAAAGCAATTTCTACACAGCAAATTCAAATTTTCTAGTGACCCTGAGATAGAGACATGAGCTAAATGCTTTTATGGAACAAGACAGAAAGACCACAGCAGAAGATTGCCATGAAATGCTTACTAGGTGCTTACCTAGTTGTCCCATTCACAAAAAACTTATCAGAGATGCTGTTGTTATTCCCATGTTTACACGTGAGGAAACTGGGAACAGTGAAGGATAACTTATTTCCTATAGCCACTCAGCTGGCCCCAGCCAGAAATGAAATGCAGGTAGCCTGATGGTAAAAATATGAATATCAACAATGCTTATTAAAAGTTTACTACAGGGGCAGGGCCAAGAGAGCCGACTAGAAGAAACAGAGGCTTTCCGAGGCTCCCATCAAAAAAAAAAATTAAAAAAAACATAATAAGCAAGTGAATCCTTCACCGGCAACCAAGGTATCCAGGTTATCTCATCAAAATTGAATAGAAGGCTGGCGTGACCCAGGGAGAGAAGGATGAGTAGTATGGTGCAGCGGTCTACCTCAGAGCCACACAAGAAGAGGAACCTCCCCCGAGCCAAGGGAGGCAGTGAGTGAGCACACTACTGTGCATTTTCCATGGAACTGTGCAACCCCACAGATCAGAAGATCCCACTTCTGAACCCACACCACCAGGGCCTATCCTCCCAACCCCAGAATGTGCAGATTCTTACAGCCTCTCAGCTGGAATCTGCTTAAGGCTAGGGAACTCCTGGGGAGGAGGTGGCGGGGTGGGGTGCAACCAGCAAGGGCTGCGGCTGCTTGCTGTCTAAGCCATTTGAGCTCCTTGTGGGAGGGGTAGCAGCCAGCACTGGGATTGGCAACTGCCTAACACGCTAAGCTCTCTGGGCTGGGAAAAGGCAGCACCCATTTCTTTTTTTTTTTTTTTTTTATCATTATTTACTTTCAGTTTTAGGGAACATGTGTACAATATGCAGGTTAGTTACATATGTATACATGTGCCATGCTGGTGCGCTGCACCCACTAACTCGTCATCTAGCATTAGGTATATCTCCCGATGCTATCCCTCCCCCCTCCCCCAACCCCACAACAGTCCCCAGAGTGTGATGTTCCCCTTCCTGTGTCCATGTGTTCTCATTGTTCAATTCCCACCTGTGAGTGAGAATATGCGGTGTTTGGTTTTTTGTTCTTGCGATAGTTTACTGAAAATGATGATTTCCAATTTCATCCATGTCCCTACAAAGGACATCAACTCATCATTTTTTATGGCTGCATAGTATTCCATGGTGTATATGTGACACATTTTCTTAATCCAGTCTATCATTGTTGGACATTTGGGTTGGTTCCAAGTCTTTGCTATTGTGAATAGTGCCGCAATAAACATACGTGTGCATGTGTCTTTATAGCAGCATGATTTATAGTCCTTTGGGTATATACCCAGTAATGGGATGGCTGGGTCAAATGGTATTTCTAGTTCTAGATCCCTGAGGAATCGCCACACTGACTTCCACAATGGTTGAACTAGTTTACAGTCCCACCAACAGTGTAAAAGTGTTCCTATTTCTCCACATCCTCTCCAGCACCTGTTGTTTCCTGACTTTTTAATGATTGCCATTCTAACTGGTGTGAGATGGTATCTCATTGTGGTTTTGATTTGCATTTCTCTGATGGCCAGTGATGATGAGCATTTTTTCATGTGTTTTTTGGCTGCATAAATGTCTTCTTTTGAGAAGTGTCTGTTCATGTCCTTTGCCCACTTTTTGATGGGGTTGTTTGTTTTTTTCTTGTAAATTTGGTTGAGTTCATTGTAGATTCTGGATATTAGCCCTTTGTCAGATGAGTAGGTTGCGAAAATTTTCTCCCATTTTGTAGGTTGCCTGTTCACTCTGATGGTAGTTTCTTTTGCTGTGCAGAAACTCTTTAGTTTAATGAGATCCCATTTGTCAATTTTGGCTTTTGTTGCCATTGCTTTTGGTGTTTTAGACATGAAGTCCTTGCCCATGCCTATGTCCTGAATGGTAATGCCTAGGTTTTCTTCTAGGGTTTTTATGGTTTTAGGTCTAACGTTTAAGTCTTTAATCCATCTTGAATTGATTTTTGTATAAGGTGTAAGGAAGGGATCCAGTTTCAGCTTTCTACATATGGCTAGCCAGTTTTCCCAGCACCATTTATTAAATAGGGAATCCTTTCCCCATTGCTTGTTTTTGTCAGGTTTGTCAAAGATCAGATAGTTGTAGATATGTGGCGTTATTTCTGAGGGCTCTGTTCTGTTCCATTGATCTATATCTCTGTTTTGGTACCAGTACCATGCTGTTTTGGTTACTGTAGCCTTGTAGTATAGTTTGAAGTCAGGTAGTGTGATGCCTCCAGCTTTGTTCTTTTGGCTTAGGATTGACTTGGCGATGCGGGCTCTTTTTTGGTGCCATATGAACTTGAAAGTAGTTTTTTCCAGTTCTGTGAAGAAAGTCATTGGTAACTTGATGGGGATGGCATTGAATCTGTAAATTACCTTGGGCAGTATGGCCATTTTCACGATATTGATTCTTCCTACCCATGAGCATGGAATGTTCTTCCATTTGTTTGTATCCTCTTTTATTTCCTTGAGCAGTGGTTTGTAGTTCTCCTTGAAGAGGTCCTTCACATCCCTTGTAAGTTGGATTCCTAGGTATTTTATTCTCTTTGAAGCAATTGTGAATGGAAGTTCACTCATGATTTGGCTCTCTATTTGTCTGTTGTTGGTGTATAAGAATGCTTGTGATTTTTGTACATTGATTTTGTATCCTGAGACTTTGCTGAAGTTGCTTATCAGCTTAAGGAGATTTTGGGCTGAGACGATGGGGTTTTCTAGATATACAATCATGTCTTCTGCAAACAGGGACAATTTGACTTCCTCTTTTCCTAATTGAATACCCTTTATTTCCTTCTCCTGCCTAATTGCCCTGGCCAGAACTTCCAAAACTATGTTGAATAGGAGTGGTGAGGGAGGACATCCCTATCTTTTGCCAGTTTTCAAAGGGAATGCTTCCAGTTTTTGCCCATTCAGTATGATATTGGCTGTGGGTTTTTCATAGATAGCTCTTATTATTTTGAAATACGTCCCATCAATACCTAATTTATTGAGAGTTTTTAGCATGAAGGTTGTTGAATTTTGTCAAAGGCCTTTTCTGCAACTATTGGGATAATCATGTGGTTTTTGTCTTTGGTTCTGTTTATATGCTGGATTACATTTATTGATTTGCGTATATTGAACCAGCCTTGCATCCCAGGGATGAAGCCCACTTGATCAGGGTGGATAAGCTTTTTGATGTGCTGCTGGATTCGGTTTGCCAGTAGGCAGCACCCATTTCTATGGCTCCAGGCTGCACTTTTTCCCTGCTGGAGCCAGAGAGGTGGGACGGCTTGATCCCAAGACTTGTCCCCATAGTCCAACAAACCAGCTGTGGCAGTCTTCGGCCAGAGTGCCTTTTCAGGCCTAACTCTGACCCATCCTTCCTCAGTGGGAAGGGCTTCCTCACAGGATCTCCAATAACTCCAGCCAGAAGCTCAGGGACAGAATTCGGACCTCCCTGGGCCTGAGCCCATAGTGGGAGGGGGGCCTCAGTCTCTGCGGACCAGCAAACTTACCCTTTCCTCCAGGTAGTTCTGAGGACAGCCCAGGCAAGTGGGTCCCCCCGCCAGTGAAACACACCATGTCTACCAAGGGACAAAGTGGTTTGTTATACAGGTCCTGTTCCCCATGCCACCCAACTGGGTGAGAACCTCCAACAGAGATTGTCAGACATCCTATACAGGAGCAATCCTGCTGGCATCAGGTTGGTGCCCCTAGAGGTCAGAGGTCCCAGAAGAAAGTGGAGGCATGCATTTTTGGTACTCTCCAGTCTCCTTGAGTGACATCTCCAGGCATGGGAGCGAATCAGATGAACAGGGCCTGAAGTGAACCCCCAGCAAACTGCAGCAGCCCTACAGAAGAGGTATTCACTATTGAAAGAAAAACAAATAAGCAGAAAGCGACAAAACCAGCATCAACAACAACAACAAAAAGGCCCCCACAGCAGCCTCAAAGACCAAAACTAGACAAACTCATGAAGATGAGAAAGAATAAATGAAAATATGCTGAAAACCCAAAAGGCCAGAGTGCCTCTTCTCCTCCAAATGATCGCAACATCTCTCCATCAAGGGCACAGAACTGGACGGAGAATCAGATGGACAAATTGACAGAAGTAGGCTTCAGAAGACAGGTAATGAAAAACTATGCTGAGCTAAAGGAGCATGTTCTAACCCAATGCAAAGAAGCTAAGAACCTTGATAAAAGGTTAAGGAATTGCTCACTAGAATAACCAGTTTAGAGAGGAACACAAATGACCTGATGGAGCTGAAAAACACAGCATGAGAATTTTGTGAGGCATACACAAGTATCAACAGCCAAATCGACCAAGTGGAAGAAAGGATATCAGAGTTTGAAGACCACCTTACTGAAATAAGACATGCAGATAAAAATAGAGAAAAGAGATTAAAAGGGAATGAACTAAGCCTCCAAGAAATATGAGACTTCATAAAAAGAAAGAACCTATGATTGACTGGAGTACCAGAAGCAGATGGGAGGAGAATGGAAACAAGCTGGAAAACACACTTCACGATATTATCCAGGAGAACTTCCCCAACCTAGGAAGACAGGCCAACATGCAAATTCCAGAAATATGGAGAAAAAAATTAAGATACTCCATGAGAAGATCATCCCCAAGATACATAATCATCAGATTCTCCAAGGTCAAAATGAAGGAAAAACTATTAAGGGCAGCCAGAGAGAAAGGCCAGGTCACCTAAAAAGGGAAGCCCATCAGACTAACAGCAGACCTCTCAGCAGAAACTCTACAAGCCAGAAAAGATTGGGGGCCAATATTCAACATTTTTAAAGCAAAGAATTTTCAACCCAGAATTTCATATCCAGCCAAACTAAGCTTCATAAGCAAAGGAGAAATAAAATCCTTTCCAGACAAGCAAATGCTGAAGGATTTTGTTACCACCAGGCCTGCCTGGCAAGAGCTCCTGAAAGAAGAACTAAATATGGAAAGGAAAAACTGGTACCAGCCACTGCAAAAACACAAAATATAAAGGTCAATGATACCACAAAGAAACTGCATCAACTAGTGTACAAAATAAACAAACAGCATCACGATGACAGGATCAAATTCAAGCATAACAATACTAACCTTAAGTGTAAATGGGCTAAATGCCCCAGTTAAAAGACATAGACTGGCAAATTGGATAAGGAGTCAAGACCCATTGGTATACTGTATTCAGGAGACACATGTTACGTGCAAAGACACACACAGGCTCAACATAAAGGGATGTAACAAAATTTACCAAACAAATGGAAAGAAAAAAAAAAGCAGGGGTTGCAATCCTGGTCTCTGACAAAACAGACTTTAAACCAACAAAGATCAAAAAAGACAAAGAAGGGCATTACGTAATGCTAAAGAGAATAATTCAACAAGAACAGTTAACTATTCTAAATATATATGCACCAATACAGGAGCACCCAGATTCATAAAACAAGTTATTTGAGACCTACAAAGAGACTTAGACTTTCACACAATAATAGCGGGAGACTTTAACACCTCACTGTCAATATTAGACAGATCAACGAGACAGATAATTAACAAGGATATTCAGGACATGAACTCAGCTCTGGATCAAGTGGACCTAGTAGATGCCTACAGAAGTCTGTACCCCAAATCAACAGAATATACATTCTTCTCAGTGCCGCATGGCACTTTTTCTAAAATTGACCACATAATTGGAAGTAAAACACTCCTCAGGAAACACAAAAGAACTGAAATAATAACAAACAGTTTCTCAGACCACAGAGCAATCAAATTAAAACTCAGGATTAAGAAACTCACTCAAAACTGTAAAACTACATGGAAATTGAACAACTTGCTCCTAAATGACTCCTGGGTAAGTAATGAAATTAAGGCACAAATCAAGAAGTTCTTTGAAACCAATGAGAACAAAGAGACAACGTACCAGAATATCTGGGACACAGCTAAATCAGTGTTAAAAGGAAAATGTGTAGAACTAAGTGTTCTCATCAGAAAGCTAGAAGATCTCAAATCAACACCATAACAGCACAATTAAAAGAGCTAGAGGGGTAAAAGCAAACTAATCTAAAAGCTAGCAGAAGACAAGAAATAACTAAGATCAGAGCAGAATTGAAGGAGACAGAGATATGAAAAACCCTCCAAAAAAATCAACGAACTCAGGAGTTGGTTTTTTGAAAAAAAAATAACAAAAATAGACCACTAGCTAGACTAATAAAGAAGAGAGAGAAGAATCAAATAGACACAATAAGAAATGATAAAGCGGATATCACCACTGACCCCACAGAAATACAAACTACCTCCAGGGAGTACTATAAACACCTCTCCTTGAGGCCAGGAGCTATATTTGATGTGTACTTTCAACACCTAGCACCATGCCTGACACAGAGTAGAATGTCAAGAAATAAATAAATCTGGGGAAAATTCCTAGTCAGGAAAGTGGTAAAAAAGTAAAATAAAACATAGGAATAAATTTGGGGAAAGCATCTGTCCTATCCCATACCCAATCCCTTGCTATTACATTCAATATTCACTTACCAGACCCTCAGGTTCCCAGTGTCACCTTCATGGTTTCAAGTTTCCTTCTAGAAAACTAGGGGCCTCAACATGAAGTATAGCAACTGAACCAGAACAAGGTAATTATATCCACCAATTTAGTGAAGGCTGTCTCTGTGCCACACACTGCATTCAAACGTTTACTAAATTATTTTCTCATTTATTCTCACAACAACCCAATGAGGGCTGTGTAATTATCAGCCCCACTGAACATATAGGAAAGCTGATCTCAAACATGTGAAATAGGATAGCTAAAGCTTCGAACCTCAAGAGTTAACGTGAGAGCCAGGATGGCTAACCACTCTATCGTGATGTCTCCGTAGGGCTAGTTTCCGCTTGGTCAAGGGTCTGCAGGTTGAGGAAGGGTGAAAGCAAGTATGGGGAAAGAAGGTTTTATTAACAGACTGAGAGTCTTAGAATAGAAAACCAAAACTTCTAGAGTGGAGAGTAATAGAAATAGAGTGTATTCCACCTGCAAAAAGAAAGATAAGATAGGAAGTTACTGCTCTAATAAGAAAGAGAGAAAGGTTGAAGCAGATGGAGTTAGGGAGGAAGGAATCCAAGAAGGTCCCCAGGAGAGGAAGCAATGGTATTTTCTTTAGAGGTCAGATGAGTAGAAACAGCTGACAGTTAAGCCTCTGTGGGTGGCTTCCCCATCATTAGGACTTTTGGAGCATTTGCTAACTGCTCAGCTCCCTCACACATGTTGCTGCATGAGACGTTTACACCCACCTGTGGCCTGTGCAGGTATTATTGTCTGGTGTTTATGTGCTTGTGTGTGAGTTTCTGTTTATGTCCGTGTGTATGTATGTGTGTGTGTGTTTGTCTGTGTGTATTTTGCAATGAAGAAACACAGGTTCTTAGAGAAGTTTAAAAAGTGTACAAGATTGGATGAAACATAAATTAATTGCAAGAAAAAAGAAAGACATCAAATCTGGTAAGGTGCTGTCCTGAATAGTGTAATCTGAACGTTTGTATTTCAACACCTAAGCCTGATAATTCTTATCTGACAATTTGGGGAGACAGAGTCCATCAGTACCTACTCACATCTCAGATTAATCAGCTATCTTGAGCCAGATCCTGTTGGACATGGGTGCTGAACGGCTGCAGTTTCCTGGGGCTGGGTCCTCTTGACAGCCTGGGTGTCAGAGCAGGAACCAAAAGGGGTAAAACAGCACCAGGGGTAAACCAGGAAGGCAGTGTGGTAGTGTGGTATGATGGCCAGAGAAGAGTGTTAGCTTCAAGGACAGAGAGATCTGGGTCCAGATCCTGACTCCTCTAGGAACTGGCTGTGTGGCCCAGGCAGGTTGCTTAATGTTCAGCATCTCAGCATCCTCAACTGTGATGTGGCTCATGACACCTTCCTCATGGGATTAGTGTGAGGACCATCAGTCCCATGTGTGAATGCTCAGGCACATAAAAGGTGCTCACAGTGCTGCTCACCATCTTAGCATAGGTCTTATCGTTGTCCACTTTATCAGCTTTGCCATGAAATTGGAAGGGCCAGAATTCCTGAAAACAATGATGGCACGTCATCTGTGTGCTTGTGTCTGTGTGTTTTATTGTGTGTGTGTGTGTCTGTTTTTGTGTGTTTGCCTATGTATATCTGAGTGTGTGTTTATCTGAGGGCATGTCTTTGCCTGCATGTGAGTTTGTGTATGTCTGTGTGTGTGTCTGTGTGTGTTCGTATGTGTGTGTTTGTGTGTGTCTGTGTTTGTGTTTGCCTATGTATATCTGTGTGTGTTTTTCTGAGTGTGTGTCTGTGCCTATGTGTGTTTGTGTATGTCTCTATGTGTTTGTGTACATGTATGCTTGTATGTGAGTGTGTATATGTCTCTGTTGTGTTTGTATGTTTGTATATTTGTGTATGAGTTTGTGTGTGTCTGTTTGTGTATGTGTCTGTGTGTTTCTGTGTATCTGTGTCTGAGTTTGAGTATGTCTCTGTGTATGTCTGTGTGTATGTTTGTCTGTGTGTATTTGTGTCTACACCTGTATGTCTGTGTATGTGTTTGCGTATGTATCACTGTGTGTATGTGTGCACAGTGCCACTCAATAAAGAACATTGTTGTGGTTTGGATATGTTCCCCAGATTTCACGTGTTGGAAACTTAATCCACAATGCAACAGTGTCGAGACGTAGGGCCTTCACCCAGTGATAAGGTCATAGGACCTCTGCTCTCATGGCTGAATTCATGTTTTTATTATAGAAGTAGGTTAGTTATCAACACTGGGTTCCTGATGAGAAGATTCCTTTTCCTCTGTCATGTGCACTTTCTCACCCTATGCCTCCTGCTGTGGGATGATGCTGCAAGAAGGACCTCACCAGATGCAGGCCCCTTGACCTTGGACTTTCCAGCCTCTAGAATCATGAGAAATACATTTCTTTTTGTTATAAATTACTCAGACTGTGGTATTAGGTTATAGCAACACAGAATGAGCTAAAATAACCATCTCCCTCTGTTATCTGACTATCTTGCAAGGCCCAGTTTGAAAGTGTATGAGGATTCAAGATAGAGATTATTACTGCAGTTTTTGGAAACAGAACAAAGGCTGACCTCAGGCAGAGGGGGTGGTCCAAGGGCTCTCAGATAGGAAGTGTCAGAGCTAAAACCGCAAACTCCTTCCAGCTTCTCATTCCAAGATCTTTTCTGAGGCCAGAACCTGAGAAGGTGGTGAGGTTTTGCTTCCAAAGAGGCAGCACTGGAAGTGGAGAGACAGAAGATGGTGGTAAAGACATCATTGGAAAAATGTTACAGTTACCAACTCAGCCAAGAGCCACCTGTCTCTGCTGAAGTGAATTCTTTTTTGCTTAAGTGCTTAAGGGGATTTGAATGTTAGCCCAGCTCCATCAGTGAATAGAGCTAATTTGTGCCTAAAAAACAAATGATGCTGCCTCCTTCACAGGAGCACAAGGGACCCCAATACTGCCTCCTCCCCTTCTCTGGGAAAGCAAGACTCAGCCTCGGTGTTCCAACCTGGAAAATGGGAGAAGGAAGGTAAAGAGGTGGAAATAAATGAGAAAATTTAACATATGTTTAATCACATATTTGCTAAAATGCCACGCACTACTCTGGTGTCCAAGAATATAGCAGAAAACAGGACAGTTTACACTCCGATGGGAAATGTGTGTACCCTGTCTATACTGTAAGCACCTTATAAATGCTCCACAAATTTTACCTACGGGAAGAAAGAGCCATGGAATCAACTAGGGCACAATTATTTGTTTTCTCACATTGTATCTCCTCCCCCTGTTTGAGTCACTATTTCTGCCTCCCACTAAGTAAAGCTAGAATCACTTTTGATTTATATTTACAGAACAGGGGTAGCATAAAGAAATGACAGAGACCAGCCAATATGCTCAGCATATAAATATATCTTTTCAACTTTGTATTTGAGTTTAAAACCCCACAATCCTCTGTTCCCTGCCCTCAACACACATACTAATAACTAATTCCCCCAAAAGGAAATGTCATCTGCTAACTAGACAGGAGACTTCCCTGTAGTAGGGGCAGCCAACTCTTTCTGTAAAAGGCCAAACAGTAAATATTCTAGGTTTTGCCAGCAACGGGATAAAATCAAAGATATTATGTAGGTACACTTATCACAAGTGAGAAAAAGTTTTTCACAAGTTGTTTGTGGATGAAATTCAAAACAATAATAATTGAGCATGTTTTTATATCAATGTATGAGAAAAATGTAATTCTTTTTTGAGGGATAACATTTTGTTTAATTGGGGATTAAGCACTAAAGTTGACCCCAATGCCTGTACCCCCATCGTATCTTGAAAGGAACTAACTTGTTTTTGATTTTACAGGCTCATAAATGGAAGGGACTTGCCTTGTCTCAGATGAGACCTTGGACTTGGACTTTTGAGTTAATGCTGAAATGAGTTAAGACTTTGGAGGACAATTGGGAATGCATGATTGTGTTTTGAAATGTGAAAAGACATGATATTTGGAAGGGGCCAGGGGCAGAATGATATGGATTGGCTCTGTGTCCCCAACCAAATCTCATCTCCAATTATAATCCCCATGTGTTGAGGGAAGGACCTGTAATCCCCAGGTGTCTAGAAAGGGAGGTGATTAGATCATGGGGGCAGTTTCCCCCATGCTGTTCTCATAATAGTGAGTGACTTCTCACGAGATCTGATGGTTTTATGTGTTTGAAAGTTCCTTGTTTGTGCTTCTCTCTCCTGTTCTGCCATGGTAAGACATGCTTGCTTCCCCCTTTACCTTCTGCCACAATTGTAAGTTTCCTGAGGCTTCCCCAGCCATGTGGAACTTTGAGTCAGTTAAATCTCTTTCCTTTATAAATTACCCAGTCTCAGGTAGTATCTGTATAGCTGTGTGAAAATGGACTAATACAAGGCCAAACTTAAAATATATAAGGAGGCAACTTTAGGCTAAACTTAATTTAATAGTGTGATCCATTAGCTAATCCTATGAACTTAATATTTGTGTACCCCCAAAATTCATATGTGGGAACCATAACCCCCAGTGTGATAGGATTAGGAGGTGGGCCTTTCAGAAGTGATTAGATCATGAGGGTGGAGACTTTATGTATTAGTCAGTTCTCACACTGCTAATAAAGGCATACCCGAGACTGGGTAATTTATAAAGAAAAAGAAGTTTAATGAACTCACAGTCCCACGTGGGTGAGGAGGTCTCACAATCATAGTAGAAGGCAAAGGAGGAGAAAGGCATGTCTTACACGGTGGCAGGTAAGACAGCATGTGCAGGGGAACTCCCCTTTATAAAACCATCAGATCTCGTGAGACTTCTTCACTATCACGAGAACAGCATGGAAAAATCCCTTCCTCATGATTCAATTACCTCCCACCAGGTCCCTCCCATGACACATGGGGATTATTACAATTCAAGGTGAGATTTGGGTGGGGACACAGCCAAACCATATATCACCTTGTGAATGGGATGAGTGCCATTAAGAGAAGAGACACCAGAGAGCTTGCTGTCCCTCTCTCTTCTCCCTGCCATCTGAGAATAAGAGAAGATGGCCATCTGTAAGCCAGAAAGTAGGACTTTACCAGAACCTGACCATGCTGGTACCATAATATTGGGCTTCTCAGCCTCCAGAGCTGTGTGAAACAAATATCTGTGTTTAAGCTACTCAGCTTATGGTATTCTGTTATAGCAGCTCAAAATAAAACAGCAAAGAATGCTCTTCATATGTTTAAATGGTTGAAAAAAATCAAAAAAAGAATACATTTTTGAAGATGAAATATATAAAATGTCAGCACAAATAAGCATTCACAGATGAACATTTCAAATCAATTTTGATGGGAGGGAGTAAGGGAGGGAGAGAAGGAAGGAAGGGAGGGAGGGAGGGAGAGAGGGAGAGAGGGAGGGGAGAAGGGAGGGAGGAGAGAAGAGAGGATGTAGGAGAAGGGAAGAGGGAGAAGGGGGAAAGAGGAAAGTCAGGCTTTTAAGGACCTTCCATGTGCCAGGCCCTATGCTAATGTTTTACACATACTATTTTATTTAATCCTAATAATCCCATAAAATAAGTGTTATCCCCATTGTACCGATGAGGAGAGCACAGCTCCAAGAGGTTACAAGGTAGGTCCCACATCAGAGCCAGGGAGTGGCAGAGACCAGCTTCCCACTGAGGAAAGTTTAATTCTGAAGCCCATGTTCTTCCCCCTCTGTCTGCTTCCTCAACCTGTCAAATCCACAGCTCTGAGTGTGAGTCCTTGTCAACATCATATTTTTGTTTGCTTGTTTGTTTGTTTTGGAGATCTTCATAGATAACCCCATTTCTGTGGAAGTCACACCTGAGCTCATCCAATATTTTTCTGGAAAACCAGGGAAAGAGAACATTTTAAAATTCAGGCAGTGACCTGGCACTGGAAAGTGTTTGAAAAGAAAGAGCTCTTTGTCACCAGGGTTGCACCATGGACGTAATCTCATTTTCAGCTAATCAATTCATATACAGTAAAAAGCCTAATGTGATTCCTCATTAGCCAAGGGCTATAAAGAAGCTGGTTCCGAGGCTGCATTAAATCCCAAAATGGCTGGCACCTTCCGCTCAGCGATTATCAAATTGGCTGGCATTAATCATTTTTAATGGCCAATCTGTGTTGTTTTTTTTTTATTTTAAAAAGAAAAAAAAAAAAAGGTGGGCATGTGGGGGAGGAAAGAGAGCCTCATCTGATTACTGGTGTAAAAGAAAACAAGCAGGTTTAGTAAAATCTCATTTAAAAAAAAAAGTGAGAGTTAAGAGAAAGGCAAAAATTTTAAAAAGCCTGAATCACTTTTGTCAGGTATTTAGCTGTGACCAGCAAAACAGACCATCAAGAGGGGGCCTTTCAGCAGAGGTCTGCAGTTGGGGGACCATCAATGGCCCCTTTATTTGTGAAAGATGGATTATTTTAAATAAATTACAGAGCACTTTCGCTGAATAAACAGCGCCTCGGTGGCTGTGGGGCGCTGCACACGCTTAATTGCACCACAGAAAATCCTAAATGACTCTTGAGCTGGGGGCTGGCCTTTGATTTCGCTGATAGGACCTGAGTCTTCAGGCCGGCCTGGACAGTTTCTGGCTGAAAGGCAATGCATGGAGAGGAAAACAGCGAGCTTAATCGGGAATATATACTTTCAATATTTCGGAAAACCGCAGTGATGGAGGATTCCCAAAACTGCACAAGGCTGCCTCAGAAGTGAGCCATCTGCGTGTCATTTTTATTTGCGTTTGATATGTTAAATGCCCTCAATGTTTATGGCGTGGAGGCCCACTCAAACACTGCAAAGATTCCTCAGCCAAAGCAAGAGGATATTCCTTCCCCTCCCTTCCCTGCACACTCATTTCTCCCAATACACACACACGTGCACATCTCCCCCCCCTAGAAATCCTCTCACTGTCCTTTTTCTGGACATAAAGTCTACCATGAGAATTGCACCTAAATCGAGATTTTTAGATGCCTTTTTAAAAGTTACAGCACAATCTGACCTTGTTTTAGAAACACGTTAAAGTGATTTATTATGTGCTGACCAGGAGTGACTACAGGCGGGAGTCAAGCTAAGGCTGGAAGCAGGAAAGGGCATTTGAAACCTTCCCGAGGAGACCAGGATCAGGCAAGGATCCTGGATGTGAGAGAGGATGAAGAGTTCTAAGCATGAGCAAATGACATCAGGAGAACAGGTACCACTATGTTTTGAGGGAGGCAAGGGGTATTAATTTTGACAGCCATTATTACAGAAAGTAACATGACTTGCAGCTTGCTAATATTCCCAAAATTGAATTGCAACAAGCAAGCAGCTACCAGTTGCCTTGATAAAGAGCCATAAAAAATAAATAAAAAAGATGGATACAGTCAAGCCTCACAAAAATCATAGAATCTGGGTTTTCTCGGGAGAGTTTCAACACATACTACTTTAATAAGGAGCTTACCACCCTCCCCCAAAGGTAGCTGTGAAATTCTTCCCCAAAGGTGACACAATTAATTGCATTTGCAGTTAACACAATTAAACTGTAGCTGAAAGACTGGCCGGCACCTAATAAATCTCAAATGTTCAGAGGGATAATCAGGTGGATCAGTCATCAGGTTGCACCACCTGAGAAAGTATACAAAAGCCCAGGATCGTGGGAAATGATGAGTAATTAATGATGGTGAACAAGGCAGCCCAGCAATTTTCATTTAGCTATCACAATTATTTCAAGATCTCTTTTTTGAGAATGAGTTTCCCTCATGTTGCCCAGGCTGGAGTGCAATGGCATGATCTCGGCTCACTGCAACCTCTGCCTCCTGGGTTCAAGCAATTCTCCTGCCTCGGCCTCCCTAGTAGCAGGATTACAGGCATGTGTCACCACACCCAGCTAATTTTGTATTTTTAGTAGAGAGAGGTTTTCATCATGTTAGTCAGGCTGGTCTCGAACTCCTGACCTCAGATGATCCACCCGCCTCGGCCTCCCAAAGTGCTGGGATTACAGGCGTGAGCCACCGCGGCCGGCCCAAGATCTCTTCTTATCGTTTAATTTTGCATATCATTTAATTTTATACAGAATTGTAAAGACGGCTTTAAGGATGTTCATTTTGAACTTGTAGTTAGCTAATGCCCCCAGAGGCTGGCCTACTAGCTCCTCACAGTACATCAGCCATGAGTGCCTAATCTTTCTACCATAAATCAGTGGGACTGAGTTAGTTAATAATGATGCTTATACTCAAAGAACTCGAGGTGGACAAGTAAGACACATGCATAAGAAAATTTAACCTCTCCAAAAGGGTGCCAGTCGGGAACTGTAAAATCCATAAAGTGGGTACAATCTTGGACAAGTTACTTAAATTTTCTGAGAATTAGATTCCTCATGTAAAACATTAGGGAGAATACTATCCAATTCAAAATGTTGGTTTTTTTTTTTTTTTTTGAGACGGAGTCTTGCTCTGTCGCCCAGGCTGGAGTGCAGTGGCATGATCTTGGCTCACTGCAAGCTCCACCTCCCAGGTTCACGCCATTCTCCTGCCTCAGCCTCCCGAGTAGCTGGGACTACAGGCGCCTGCCACCACACCCAGCTAATTTTTTGTATTTTTAGTAGAGATGGGGTTTCACCGTGTCAGCCAGGATGGTCTCGATCTCCTGACCTTGTGATCCACCCGCCTCGGCCTTCCAAAGTGCTGGGATTACAGGCGTGAGCCACCACGCCTGGCCCAAAATGTTGTTTTTAAGATTAAGAAAAAAACATGGTAAAATCTCCAATGGTATACGCCCAATAAATATCTAGATTTAAAAAAAAAAATTGCTGTAGAGTAAAGGAAGTATTTTTGAGACACAAGTCTTATTCAAGAGTTCTAGGGTGCTAGAGGAGCAGTTAGCTTCCAAATCATGGAATTTGTTCTATGAGAAAAGGGGAGCTACAGGTGGATTTTGTGTTTAGCAGCGAGTGGCCTTAGCAAAGCTGGTACTATCTCTGGAATCTGCTGTGCACAGAAAAAGAAAGCAGAATGGGAAGTGGAAGCAGAGATATGGATATTTTGTTTTTATTATAATTGTCTAGACATGAAGACAAGGAACTGGATGGAGAATTTTCAGTCTGATTTAAAATCAAAGAGCCGGAGGCAACAGGAGACAAAGGATAGGAGAAAGTCAAATCTGAACCTGGAGTTTGAAGGCTGGGAGCTGGAAGAATGTACAATTGACCGTTGATCAACATGGGTTTGAACTGCATGTTCCACTTATATGCGGGTTTTTTTCAATACGTATGTTGAAAAATATTTTGGAGATTTGCCACAATTTTTTAAAAGTCACAATAAACCACAGACTAGAAATGCTGAAAAAAATAAGAAAAATTAACTATATCATGAATGTATAAAATATATGTAGACACTAGTTTATCATTTACTACCTTAAAATATACACAAATCTATTATCAAAAGTCAAAATTTATTAAAATTTATACACACAGAGCCAGTATATGGTACTATTTGCAGTCAAGAGAAATGTAAACAAATGTAAAGATGCAGTATTAAAACATAACTCCATAAAATTAACTGTAGTCTGCATAAAAATAACTGCATAATTATAACTGTAGTATACTACGGTGATAATTTTGCAGCCACCTCCTGTTGCTATTGTGATGAGCTCAAGTGTTTAAGTACCCACCTGAAACCCCATGTGACACTAATCATCTCCACGTGAGCAGTTCATCTCTCCAGTAAGTTGCATATGGCAGTAAAAAGTGATGTCTCTGTTCCCATGTATTTTTCATCGTGTTGAGTGCAATACCATAAACCTTGAAAAACACCACAGGACACATACTAAGTGCTACTAGGGATGCTGGAAGTGCTCCCAAAAAGCAGAGAAAAGTCATGACATTACAAGAAAAAGTTGAATTGCTTGATATATACCATAGATTGAGGTCTGTAGCTAAGGTTGCCTGCCATTCCAGACAGATGATTCATCTTGTAAATTTAAATTATATATAATTTGTAAATTTAAATTATATATAAACTTTATGATATCAGTAAATACAGTACAGTATTGTAAATGTAAGTTCTTTTCTTTATGCTTTTCTTAATAGCATTTTATCTAGCTTACTTTATTATAATAATACAGTATATAATACATATAACATACAAAGTATGTGTTAATCAATGGTTTATGTTATCCATAAGGCTTCCAGTCAACAGTAGGCTACTATTATAGTAGTTAAGTTTTTAGGGAGTAAAAAGTTATAGATGAATTTTTAACCATGTGGGAAGTGGTTAGTGCCACTAACCCCAGTGTTGTTCAAGAGTCAACTGTATTCATTTGCTCATTTATTCAAAGTACATTTAATGAGCAGTTATTATTGCCAGATACTATGCTGCAGGATATAAACAAAGAGCTCATATTCCATGAAGCCTAGTAACAGCACACAAAGCAACTGTGAATATGGCAGTGTGAAATTCTGGAAAATGGGACCTAGTGCCCCAGAGGTAAGGCAAAGTTGGAGCTGAAACTAAAAGTTTCCCTAGGTGGAGATGGAAGGAACGTCATCTAGGCATAAGGAACAGTATGTACCAGAACATGAAGACATGAACTTGAATGTCATATTTGGGAAACTTGGAGAAGTTCAAGTGTAGTTGAGTTCTAAGTTGTATGGTCAGGAAAGTGAAGCTGGAGAGAGACAAATGGGGACCAAATCATGACGATTCTTATGCATCTTGACAAAGAATGTAAATTTTGCCCCATAGGTTGTAAGAAACCTAACAGAGGTTTCCAGTGTTGTAAGCAGGCCAGCATCTTTAATAGAAATAAAAGCCTTGGGATAAAGAACTAATACCAAAAATATATACATGTATATATCCAAATGTATATACATATATGTCTATATATACACACATATATACATATATACACACATATATTTATATATTTGTATACATGTATATAAAAATATTAAATTTATATTCTAACATAACTGTATAATATAAATTTATATATTACATGTATATATAAAATAAATAATATATATTTATATGTATATACGTGCTTAAAATAAAACTATATATATTTATATAAATTTAAATTTATATATAAATATATGAATATTATAGAGAGTTTGATTTTAAGTGTGTTGAATTGGAGGAGTCACCCAGGCCATCCATGTGGAAATGTTCATTCAGTTCATAGTTACAGAAGTAACTGGTCTGTTGAAAGATGATTTCTGAAGTTGCTGCATAAAGGTAACTGATAAAGATTTCAGAATGGCTATGACATTCTGGGGAAGGTACAAAGCGAGAAAAGAAAAGGATCCTGAACTAAGCTATGTAAACCCTATATTCAAGAAGGCAGACCAGCCAGCCAAAAAAAGGTAGAAGGAGAACCAGCACACTGTAATGGTAAGGAAGCCAAGGCAAAGAGGATATCGGTAGCCTTAGGTTAATCAGAGGATGAAGATGGAGCTAATAGAAGCTGCTCAAACAACTCACGGTTAAGAGAGTCTGCAGGATGCTGAGCTTGGCAAAGGGAAAGAGACTGCAAGAAAGGAAGTGCCCAAAGCAGAAGACACACTCCCTCCCTTAAGAAACACAGTGTGTACCTGGAAAAGCATGGTTAATCTTCTTTCCAAAATAACAATTAATAAAAGACAAGACATAGTTCACTCTGTGGTATGTGGTACATTTTATAAGAGCTGCAGAAAATCTGAGAAGGGCAGGTTTTCACATCAAGGAAGGTTTCATGGGTGAGTTTGACTTGCCACGGCCTTGAAGGACAGCAAAGAGCTGGCTGGGGAAACGAGACTACAATAGGCTACTCTAGCAGAAGGAAATTCCTAAGCTAAGGCTGAGAGTCAGGAATGAGTATGGTGTTTTAATGGGACAGCCAGGAACCCAAACTGTCTGGTAGGTCATCTGAATTTGGAAATGATAGGAAACAAGAAAGGATAGGTTGGAACGGGCTAGAATATAAAGAACCTTGAACAAGTCAGGTAGGAAAAATTGTGTTTGACAACCCCACCTTAAGTAGAAGCAGACAGACTATCACTTGTCTTTAGCTCCACCTGAGCCAGCTCATAGGCCTCCATTTACTCATTTATTCACTCATCCATCCAGTAAGTGATGAGCCAGAGGTTGAAGATATGAAGTTCAGGGAAGCTCAAGGGTCTGAAATCCTCCCCACTCTTCCTTCCACCATAATTTGAGTGCCAGCCCAGGTCAGACACCGTACTAGAATTTAGTTCTACAAAGCCCAACACAAGCCACAGTCTGTCATCAGCAGGATCCCCTATAACTGTGCTTCTTCTCTGAACATTCCATACGTCTTTTGCTCTAACTAAGGCCTGGCTCTTCCCTAAGGACACCGCATTGCTTTCCCTGCAGTCTGCTCAATGGTGGCTGTTTCTCTACTAAACCCTCTAGGGCTAAAGGAGGAGTAGGTGTCCTATTTGTTCCTTATTGCTACTTCAAATCATTGTCTCCTTCTCTTCCCCTACACCCCACCATTGCCTGGAAATGTACGCCATCAGCACACACCAACCCCATCCCATCGTTTGGAGACCCTTGGGACTACTCTCTCCCACTCCTAACCATTTCTTGATGAGATTGGCTTCTGGCTTGCTGTTTTCCTAGCATTACTGTCATAATTCTTGTCAGTTATCCCCAAAAATAGTCCTTCTAATAATGTCTCTCCATTCCCTAGCCTCTTCTCCTCCAAGATCTTGTCTTCCATCTACCTCAAACATCTTGAGACCCTATCCTGATCAATTGCCGTAGCCCCTTTCTAGTCTCAATTTCCTCCTGCCCTCTGCCTCCCAATGGCTCACCTCACTGTCTCTAGTGTCCATTCTCCAGTGATTCTTTGCAGTTTCCTCAGTTCCCATCTAGCCTTCTAGCCTAACTTAACCTCCATAGGCTAAGTCAGAAGTCTTCAGCTTCTTTGCTCTCCTGGCCTCTGTTATAGTCACCTGGAAAAACCCAAGCCCCAGTTAGACTGAATTCTGCCTTGCACCTGGGAAGTTGAATGTGGCTAGAGAAAAACACAAACCATGGTGATGGGTCCCACTCGAAGTATATGACAGCCATTCCCAAGCATGTCTGTGATGCTGCCTGGCACATGTACCACATTTCTCTCTGGTGTCCATTCTTCTACTGTCCTGAACAACCTACCATGCCTGCTTCTCCCTTCTGAAAACCCCAAACCTTCCATCTCTCTCATTATGCTCAAATGATATACTTAACACCTTATTTCACTGAGAAAATAGAAACAATCAAAAAAGCACTTCCACACACACTCATCATCACATCTACTGATCTGTCGGCAGATGTACCCAAATATTCTGCCTCTCCCATTCTCTGAAAGAATACCTCGGCCGTATTCCTAGCTAGGGTCAAGCTAGTCTTGGGATAATCACCCAGGGCTCTGGTGATCCTGGAACATTTCCACCAGGAGGTGGGATGGGAAGAATGGGAGGCTCTGTCAGGCAGAGGGAAAAGAGTGTGCAAGTGTAGAGACATGCTGGGGAGTGTCTGGGGGTCAGTGTGACTGGACCGTGCATGGGTGGCTTCCAGTCCAGTGGTGCACAAGCAGGTCTGTGTTGCACAGTGTTGAAGTATTCCAGGCAAAATGGGGAACACACAAACATGGGAGTCAAGCTGCCTTCATTTTAAAATGAAGCCTCAGCTTTGCCACCTAGAAGTTGGCTACTTCAGCAGAGTTTTTCATCTTGAAGGACAGGAGCTGTGTTAGTCTTGTTTACTCTGCATCCTTTATTCCCAGTGCCTGGAATATAGCAATATTGCTACAGAACATAGAATGGCATCCAAAGTCACATCACCAGATTGGACTTCTGGTGCCAGCCTTTCCTATCTGTGTGACTTGAGGCAAACTATTTACTTTTCTGAGCTTTTATATCCTCATTCATAATATGGGGCTAATAACAGTACTTTTCCCTTACAGCATTGAAGGGTGAAATTCGGTATGTGCGTAAGGCATAAGCACAGTGGCTGACACTTGGTGTTCAATAAGTGCTACAATATGATTGTTTCAGGGCTCTATAATGGTGTTTTTTCACTAAATGATCATCAATTTCTTCCTGTAACGCAGATTTCTTAAGCCCTACCTCTAGCAGTTTTGAGGATAAACACTTTATAAGTAGCTGAGCTAAGCTTGTCACATAGTAGGTTCCTTTTCATTCTTCTTCTCCTATTTGTTTTACCACTTAGCCAAAGACCAGCAGCTATCACTACCCTTGTGTGGGTGACAGGCTTTTATTGTGGGCTTCTGAGAAAAAACAAATTTCTCTATCTCTCCTTTCAGACGGTCCCTGCTGCTCTTGCTCTCTTTCTTCCTCTTCTTTGATGCCTTGTCTGAGCCTCTGGGTGGGGGCAGTGGGGAGGGTCTTGCCTTCTGCTCCGCTCTAGACTCTAAGATTACTGTTTTCATTTCCCTGACTGCTCAGTGACCGCGATGTGGCCCTCGGGGTGTGGGAGCCTGGGAGAGGGTGTGACCAGCAGGGATCCCATTAAAATACAGAGCAGTCATGCAGGCAAGCCTGCTTGGCTCCTTCCTGCCTGCTCTCGCCACCCCGCCCCCCAAAATATGATCATAACAGCACAGAGCTATAAAGTTTCTTTTCATAGCTCACATTGCCCGGATCCCTAACAAGGTGCTGACTGTCAAGAAGAAAAGGAGGACATTGTAAGGAGGGGAGCCAGGGAGGGAGTGGCAAGGAGAGGCAGTGTGGTACAGTGGAAAGATCCCCACCCAGCCTGTGAGCCAGAACCCAGGGATTCTTGCTAATTTGAGGCTACTTTCTTCCTCTTGAACCTCAGTTTCCCCATTTGTAAAATGAGGGCCTCGGTCTAGGTTGTTTTCATGTCCTTTCCAGCCTCTGTTTGCACCAAGTAGATCAGGAGGATGTGAATGCTCACTCCACAATCTGCCGCTTGTAAGTAATTTAGCTTTAACCAGCCCCAGGGTTTGGGATCTGGAATGAGGACACCAAGCCAAGGATTTTGAACCAAAGACACCTGCATCATCTTGGTCTGCTTTGGTTGTCAGTGAAACACTCAGATTGTTTCTGTGGCTTACTTCTTGCATAGCTCCTCAAAGACATTAGTTAGCAAGTATCAACTACACAGTAGTTGCTTGATAAATATCTGCCGAATTAATGAGTACACACACAGAGCAAGATGGAGCTAGGTTCTTTTTTGTCATCCATTATTCATTTACTCACCATTTATTGGGTGATTATTATGTGGGTCTGGAGATGCATTAAGGAACAAACCAGACCAAGACCCTGGCCTCATGAAGTTTGTTATAATGGGAAGACAAGAAAATATATAAATGAAAAAAATAATCACTTGCTGGAAGGTGATAAGTGCTAGAGGAGAAATAAAAGAAGGTTAGGTGATAAGGGATAGGGAGAGAGTAGGGCATCAGTTTCTATGTAGTGTTATCAGGGAAGGACTCCTGGATATGGTGACATTTGAGCAGAGACTTAAAAGAAATCAAAGAGCAGCCAAGGAGATATCTAGAGAAATAGCCTGCCAGGTAGAAATGGTAGTGAGTACAAAGTCCCTGAGGCAGGAGGCTGCTTGGTGCATTGAAGAAGCAGCAGGGAGGTCTGTGGAGCTGGAGCAAAATGAGTAAGATAGAGGCCAACAGATGACATCAGAAGGTCAGTGCTGGGTGCAGATCACAGCGAGGATTTGACTTGTACTGTGATCAAGACTGGCATCCATGGGGGGTGTTTTGGGCATGTATTAGTCCATTTTCATGCTGCTGATAAAGACATAACTGAGACCGGGTAGTTTACAAAAGAAAGAGCTTTAGTTGGACTCACAGTTCCACGTGGCTGGAGAGGCTTCACAATCATGCCAGAAGGCAAGGGGGGAGCAAGTCACATCTTACACAGAGCCAAACCATATCCTTCAGCCCCTGGTGCCTCCCGAATCTTATATCTTCACATTCTAAAACCAATCATGCCTTCCTAACAGTCCCCTAAAGTCTCAACTCATTTCAGCATTAACTCAAAAGTCCACAGTTCAAAGGCTCATCCAAGACAAGGCAAGTGCCTTCCACCTATGAGCCTATAAAATCAAAAGCAAGTTAGTTACTTCCTAGATACAAGAGGTACAGACAGTGGGTAAATGCAGTCATTCCAAATGGGAGAAATTGGCCAAAACAAAGGGGTTACAGGCCCCACGCAAGTCTGAAATACAGCGGGGCAGTCAAATCTTAAAGCTCCAAAATGATCTCCTTTGACTCCATGTCTCAGATCCAGGTCATGCTGATGCAGGAGGTGGGTTTCCATGGTCTTGGGCAGCTCTGCCCATGTGGGTTTGCAGGGTATACTCCCCCTCCTGACTGCTTTCCTGGGCTGGCATTGTCTGCGGCTTTTCCAGTCACATGGTGCAAACTGTTGGTGGATCTGCTATTCTGGGGTCTGGAGGACGGTGGCCCTCTTCTCGCAGCTCTACTTTGCAGTGCCCCAATAGGGACTCTGTGTGGGAGCTCCAACCCCACATTTCCCTTCTGCACTGCCCTAGCAGAGGTTCTCCATGAGTACCCACCCCCTGCAGCAAACTTCTGCCTGGCCATCCAGGCATTTCCATACATCTTCTGAAATCTGGGAGGAGGTTCCCAAACCTCAATTCTTGAGATCTGTGCACTCGCAGGCTCAACACCATGTGGAAGCTGCCAAGACTTGGGGCTTCCACCCTCTAAAGTAACAGCCTGAGCTCTACGTTGGCCCCTTTCAGCCATGGCTGGAGTGGCTGGGACACAGGTCACCAAGTCCCAAGGCTGCACATAGCACAGGAACCCTGGGCGCAGCCCACGAAACCACTTTCTCCTCCTGGGCCTCCAGATCTGTGATGGGAGGGACTGCCATCAAGGTCTCTGACATGGCCTAGCGACATTTTCCCCATGGACTTGGGGATTCACATTGGGCTCCTTGCTAATTATGCAAATTTATGCAGCTGGCTTGAATTTTCTCAAAAAAAAATGGATTTTTCTCTTCTGCATCATCAGGCTGCAAATTTTCTGAAATTTTGTGCTGTTTCCCTTTTAAAACTACATGCTTTTAACAGCACCCAAGTCACCTCTTGAATGCTTTGCTGCTTAAAAATTTCTTCCACCAGATACTCTAAATCATCTCTCTCAAGTTCAAAGTTCCACAAATCTCTAAGGTAGGGGCAAAATGCCTCCAGTCTCTTTGCTAACACATGGCAAGAGTCACCTTTGCTCCAGTTCCCAACAAGTTCCTCATCTCCGTCTGAGACCACCTCAGCCTGGATTTCATTGTCCATATCATTATCAGCATTTTGGTCAAAGCCATTCAACAAGCCTCTGTGGAATTCCAAACTTTCCCACATTTTCCTGTCTTCTTCTGTGCCCTCCAAACTGTTCCAACCTCTGCCTGTTACCCAGTCCCAATGTCGCTTCCACATTTTCAGGTATCTTTTACTGGTACCAATTTACTGTATTAGTCCTTTTCACACTGCTGATAAAGACATACCTGAGACTGAGAAATTTACAAAAGAAAGAGCTTTAATTGGACTCACAGTTCCACGTGGCTGGGGAGACCTCACAATCATGGCAGAAGGCAAGGAGGAGCAAGTCACATTGTACATGGATGGTGGCAGACAAAGAGAGAGCTTGTGCAGAGAAACTCCTATTTTTAAAACCATCATATCTCACAAGACCCATTTTCTGTCACAAGAACAGCACAGGAAAGACCCACCCCCATGATTCAGTTATCTCCCACCGGGTCCCTCCCATAACATGTGGGAATTATGGGACCTACAAGATGAGATTTGGGTGGGGACACAGAGCCAAACCATATCAGAGCAGATCAGAGACAGGACCTGATATACAGTCATGCACTGTATAACAATGTTTTGGAAAATGATGGAGCACATATATGATGGTCTCAAAAGTTTATAATGGAATTGAAAAATTCCTATTGCCTAGTGACATTGTAGCCTTCGTAATGTCATCACTCGGGTGTCTGTGGTGATGCTGGTATAAAAAAACCTACAGAGCTGCCAGTCACATAAAAGTATAGCACATACAAATATGGGCCAGGTGCAGTGGCTCATGCCTGTAATCTCAGCACTTTGGGAGGCTGAGGCAGGTGGATCGCCTGAGGTCAGGAGTTCAAGACCAGCCTGGCCAACATGGTAAAATCCCGTCTGTACTAAAAATACAAATAAAAATTAGCCAGGCATGATGGCAGGTGCTTGTAATCCCAGCTACTCTGGAGGCTGAGGCACGAGAATTGCTTGAACCCCGGAGGCAGAGGTTGCAGTGAGCCGAGATCATGCCACTGCACTCCAGCCTGGGCGACAAGAGTAAAACTCTGTCTTGGAAAAATAAAAAATATAAAAATATGTACAGTACATAATACTTGAATAATAAGCAACCAAGTTTCTGGTTTCTATATTTACTATATTATAGTTTTTATTGTTACTTTAAAATATACTCCTTCTACTTTCAAAAAAAAAAAAAGTTATGTGTAAAACAGCCTCAGACAGGTCCTGGAGGAGGTATTCCAGAAGAAGGCCTTGTTATCATAGGAGATGACACTCCCATGCATGTTGCTAACCCAAAGACCTTCTAGCGGGACAAGATGTGGAGGTGGAATACAGTAATATGAATGATCTTGACCCTGTGTAGGCCTAGGCTAATGTGTGTGTTAGTGTCTTACTTTTTAACCAAAACAATTTTTTAAAGTAACTTTAAAAAATTAAAAAAAGAAAAAAGCTTATTTAATAAGAATATAAAAAATAAAATATTTTTATACAGCTATACAATGTTTTTCAATTATAAGCTAAGTGTTATAAGTGTCAAAAAGTTTTTTTAAGAAATTAAAAATTTATAAAGTAACAAGTTACAATAAGCTAAGATTAATTTATTATTGAAGAAATTAAAAAAAAAATTTTTTTTGAGACGGCATCTCACTCTGTCACCCAGGCTGGAATGCAGCTGCATGATCTCGGCTCACTGCACTCTAGCCTTTACTTCTCAGGTTCAAGCAATTCTCCTGCCTCAGCCTCCTGAGTAGCCAGGATTACAGGCATGAACCACCATGCCCAGCTAATTTTTGAATTTTTAGTAGAGATGGGGTTTCACCATATTGGCCAGGCTGGTCTCAAACTCCTGACCTCAAGTGATCTGCCTGCCTCAGCCTCCCAAAGTGCTGGGATTACAGGCGTGAGCCACTGTGTCTGGCCAGAAAATATTTTTAATAAATTTAGCATAGCCTAAATGTCAGTATTTATAAAGTCTATAGTAGTGTATAGTAATATCCTAGGCCTTCACATTCACTCACCACTCACTCACTGACTCACTCAGTGCAACTTCTAGCCCTGTAAGCTCAATTCATGGTAAATGTCCTATATAGGTATATCATTTTTAAAATTTTTTTTCATTTGTTCTTTTTTGTAAGATTTTACTAAATTGCATGCCTCTCAATAATTTGAAAACACAAAATTTTCAAAGCTGATGATTTCCTACAGAATTAACATCACCCTTAAGTTTAACCCTTTGGTGTTACAGTGGTTCATCATGTACATAACTCTCTTTTTATTTTAAGGGCGGGTTAGTCTAATCGACGTTTATAATTTATACAGTAAAATTAAATTTGTTAACAAAATTAACAATTTTAGGATACTTTAATGAGTGACTCATTTATAAAAGAAAATAATAAAAATTACAGTATCTCATTGATAATTTAGCAGATATTTTAACTGACTTATTTTTTCTTATATTGTAACACTATGAATTACATAAAAACAGGCCGGGCGCGGTGGCTCATGCCTGTAATCCCACCATTTTGGTAGGCCGAGGCAGGCGGCTCATGAGGTCAGGAGATCAAGACCATCCTGGCTAACACAGTGAACCCTCGTCTCTTACTAAAAAAATACAAAAAATTAGCCAGGCATGGCAGCGTGTGCCCAAGTAATCCCAGCTACTTGGGAGGCTGAGGCAGGAGAATGGCTATATATACACATATACATATACATATATGTACATATACATATACATATATACATATACATATATACATATACGTATGTGTGCATATACATATATACATATACGTATATGTGCATATACATATACATATATACATATATAGTAGTCATTGCTAAACAATGTAAACAACTGTAAAACAAAATGTTTCTTTGACTGTATTCACATCTACTTTGCTATTTTAGTAATGAAAATTCCCTCAACAATTTTTTTCCAACTTTTAAGTTCAGGGGTACCTGTGCAGGATATGCAGCTTTGTCAAATAGGTAAATGTGTGCCATGGTTGTTTGCTACACAGGTTATCCTGTCACCCAGTTATTAAGCCCAGCATCCACTAGGATTTAAAATCCTTTATACCATATTTTTACTGTACTGTTTCTATATTTAGATATATTAAGATATAAAAATCACACGCTGTGCAGGTTTGTAGCCTAGGTGTGTGGTAGGCTATATGTATTAGTCTGTTCTCACGTTGCTATGAAGAAATACCCAAGACTGCGTAATTTATAAAGAAAAGAGGTTTAATTGACCTCAGTTCCATGTGGCTGGGGAGGCCTCGGGAAACTTACAAACGTGGCGGAAGGGGACACAAACACGTCCTTCTTTACATGGTGGCAGGAGAGATAAGTGCCTAGCAAAAGGGGAAAAGCCCATTATAAAATCATCAGATGTTGTGAGAACTCACTCACTATCATGAGAACAGCATGGGAGTAACCAACCCCATGATTCAATTACTTCCCACTGGGTCCCTCTCACGACATGTGGGGATTATGGGGACTGCAATTCAAGATGAGATTTGGGTGGGGACACATCCAAACCATATCACTATATCATCTAGGTGTGTGTAAGTACACTCTGTGATGTTTGAACAATAATGAAATCTCCTAATGACACACTTCTCAGAAGGTATCTCAGTGGTTAAGTGACACATGATTGTATTTTAAAAGCCAAATTTGCAAAGTGAGGAAAGAATATCAGCAGGAAAATCAACTAGGGGAGCTAATAAAATAATGCAGGGAAGGAAGATACTGAATTAAACAACATAGTGAGAGAGAGGTAGTAAGAAAGGATCAGATCCAGGATACATATTCAAAATTGAGTCAGGTCAGTTTGCATCTCCCCTGTGCTGCCACCTTTTCAAGGGTTGATAACTCCTTTCTCCAACTAGATGATCTGTTCTTTGAAAGCAATTATGCTGTCATATTTCTGGGTAGCTACCAAATATTTGGCATATTTACTCAACAAAATGTTGGCCCCTTATAAACCTCTGTTCATTTAATGCAGTTTAACTGATGTTTACTAAGCATCGTTCTCCACCCTCCACCCCAGCATCACATGCTCAATTCAAATGGAACTTCCTCCAGTTCCTCCAGGTTCTGATTCCATATCCTTGACAGATGGGATGAGGGTGGTAGGTAGAGAGACACACAGAGTTAAGGAAGTATAAGAAAATATTTGTTGACTTTTTAAATAATGGGAAATAAATGAATATTTTTACATGCTGATAGGAAGCACCAATCAAGAAAACAGGTTGTCGACAAAAGCATCAGAGAAGAAATACATGAAACAGGAAGGTCATGAGAGGGTCAGAAAAGCTGGATGAGAACTTTTTTTTTTTTGAGACGGAGTCTTACTCTGTCGCCCAGGCTGGAGTGCAGTGGTGTGATCTCGGCTCACTGCAAGCTCCGCTTCCCAGGTTCACGCCATTCTCCTGCCTCAGCCTCCCAAGTAGCTGTGACTACAGGCATCCGCCATGACGCCCGGCTAATTTTTTGTATTTCTTTAGTAGAGACGGGGTTTCACCATGTTAGCCAGGATGGTCTCGATCTCCTGACCTTGTGATCCGCCTGCCTCGGCCTCCCAAAGTGCTGGGATTACAGGCGTGAGCCACTGCGCCCTGCCGAGAACATTTTAAAGAGGAAAGGCAAGGCAAGGATGCATGCCAGTTTTTAGGTTTCATAACCAAAAATGGAGATGATTACTTTTTTATGTGATAAGCATTACTACAGGTGGAAGTGGAGGTTTAAAAAGAGAGAAGAATGTTAGAAATATCTACTGGAGAACAAACAAGAAACCTGAAAAGTGAAGCAGCATGTAGTTTCTGGGCAGCATTGAGGCATCTCTTGAGGTGCCTTAATTTAAATGCATTAATTTATAGTGATCTTGACCTGCAGGCTGGAGTAGATTTTCCCTTGATGGAATTCAACATCCTGGCTAGGGGTGCAGATAAAGCAGATGATTGGAATTTCCTGTGGTTAGTTTGTGATATATATGTGACAGGAAGACTGCAGAGCCACGGCATTAAAGTGAAGAGAATTGCTGAAGTGACAAACAATGGGATCTGTGTAAATAGGGACTAGAGTAAAGATAACAGCAGCAGATAGTGTAGGTCAAAGTAGAAGGTCCAGGAACCTGAGGTTCCAACTGAAGAACCAGAAAGTTGGGAGTAAGCGAGGAAAGGAGTTGGAAGGAGAGGAAGGTTGTGGTCAGAGAGTGGGAGGTGTGAATTTTATGACTTCCAAGGTGGACAAGTTCCAGAATATGACCAAGCCTAGGGTGTAGCCACCAAAGTGGGTGAATGAAGTGGCTTGGATGGGAAGCCACTAGAAGTGAGAAGAGCAAGGAAATGAGAGAACAAGGAGTGCAACAGCACACATGTGTAAACACGGAAGGCCCAAAGCATGGTGGCAGCAGGTGGGGAGCGGAGGGATGTGGAAATGGACACCAGGTGCAATGAGTGAAGGAGCATGCCCAGGACACAGCTTGATGGCAATAAATGAGAAAGAGCCGAAGAGACTGCCAGTGAATTCAGAAGAGCCTCAAGGGACAGAAATTGTGCTTTCTTTTTCTTTTTCTTTTTTTTTTTATTTTGAGACAGAGTTTCACTCTTGTTGCCCAGGCTGGAGTGCAATGGCACGATCTTGGCTCACCACAACCTCTGCCTCCTGGACTCAAGCGATTCTTCTGCCTCAGCCTCCCGAGTAGCTGGAATTACAGGCATGCGCCACTATGCCTGGCTAATTTTGTATTTCTAGTAGAGACGGGGTTTCTCCATGTTGGTCAGGCTGGTCTCGAACTCCCGAGCTCTGGTGATCTGCCCACCTCAGCCTCCCAAAGTGCTGAGATTACAGGCATGAGCCACCATGCCCGGCCTGAAACAGTGTTTCCAAATGCCTAGTTCAGCCTGTAGGGTAGTCCAGCTCCAGACTGTGCGTGTAGCCAGAGTTTGGATGAGCTGGTGGAGATGTGTGAGGGTCTGAGCCTTATGTGCTTGCACAGGCATCCCTTGATCAGGCTCAGGCCAGAGGAAGTAAAGCTTTGCTGAGATACCTGCTTCACCGACCATAATCTTTTACTGGTCTCTAGCCTATAAGGGTCTAGGTGGAAAAGTTTATGTCAGCTTTAAGTATAAAGTAGCCAGTTTATAATCTGAAGTCAAGTTTGACAGTCAGACCAACTGAAGAGATAGTGTATTTGGTAGATTTTGTGGCTCATGGATGAAATGATCAGAAACCAGTTAGCTGGTAAACATCACTGCAGCCACAAAGAAGAATGACACAGAGATGTGGAGGTGGCCTGGGGAAGATGGGTGTGCACCAGCTGGAGGGGATGGGATTGAGCAGAGTCTTGAAGGACACCAAGGCTCTGGACAGATGTAGGAAAAGAGGAAAAATATCCTAGGCAGAGAGAATACCATAACCATATTGGCAAGAAGCTACCAGTTAAGGAAACTACTTCTTAGAAGACTTGATCTTCCCAGATGTTCTGCTTGACTTAGAGACTAACAAGGTCTCACAGAAAGCTCAAGGTTGAACTGAGGACCTATATAAAAATCTGGACATTATGTTGTAAGGAATGGGAAGTCATGAGTGGTTTCTGAGCAGATATGTGATAGGATCAGAGTTGTGCTTCCAGAAGATTCACCTTGCATAAATGGGTGAGATGGAGGGACACAGGGTAAGAATTGCAGCTAGATCATTTATAAGGCCACAGTAGTTGCCTGAGAGAGGCACAGAATCCTGAATGGGGAGAGGAATTGTGGGGATGGAGAGAAGAGAGCAGACACAAAAGATTTTGACAGAGGTAGGCACAATAGGACTTGAATGCCAAAATAAATATGAGCCATCACTGCAAAACATGCTTACCAAATTATTGGTCAAGCATTATTGAGCATGATTCAGAGGCTCTGAGAGCTTAGGTCAACACAAAGATATCTGACTCCAACTAAACCAAGCCAGCTATTTATGTCTTTGAAGAAAATCAGACACCAAGAAGGGAAATTAACCTTTCCCTCACAGAAGCCATAAACAGCATCCAAATGTGGAAGAGAATGAAAACACCGGCCATGTGTTTAAAAGAAACATGATATCATTGGCTAGCTGAGACAAGACCCAACCGGGAAACAGGCTCCAGTATTAAAATTCTAGCACATACAGCTTTTGGAAAATAAAAAATAGACACAGTGGGATAGAAAGACTCTATCTCAATGGATAAGGCTGGGAGAGAAATGATCTATTGAGCCACAGCCGAGAAGGCAGCTGGAATAGAGGAGATCAAAACGGAAACAGTCACCAGAAAAAAGGGTTATTGGCCACCAAAGAGAGATGACTCTAAAGAGATTCAGAATTGCTCCTGAGGATAGAAGTGGGAAAACAAGAATACGATCAGTCAGGGAGTATCATTTTCTCTAAGTGAGGCTGTAAGAGGCCAGGCTCCTCCTGGAAGCCCCTGAATTGCTGCTGCCAGTGCCCCCGCCTCGATCCTCAGCTCTGCCAAGAAAGCTCAGTGCTACTTGGGGCAAGTGACATAAAATCCCTGTGAGCTTCAGGTTCTTCATCGATGTAATTGAGGACAGTCTTCTCCATTTTATGGAACTGGAAATGAAGTCAGATAAGAAACATGGGTGACTAGTGGGCCTGCTGAATTTGGCTTTGTTTAATGTATTTAAAACAAAATTTGAATGAGAGTTAGTCTCATTTGAAATTTACTAGTCTTTTGTATTTCTGATATTACAGCTGTCAAGTCAGCCTTGGAAACAGCCTTTTTATGCAGAAGGACCACTTGTGAGGACCAAATGGGTCATACAAGCATAAAGCCTGAATCAGGAGAGCTCTCCATGAGCTGCTAGTAGTGCTGTAACTATTGCTGCTGCAAATTACTCCTTCTCTTAGCAGGATATAAGTTTCTTGAGAGCAAAGACCCAATCTTTTTTTTCTTTCAATCTCTAGCAACATCTAGAACAATCCCAGACGTAAAATAGACATTGAATAAGTGTTTGTTGGATGAAGGGGCGGATAAGCATTCATCCAGTTGTTCCAGTCATCTCCACTAAGTTATGAATCTTGTGTGCATCCTCAGCAGTTGGCATGATGGCTGACATGGAGAAGACATGCAAGGATTCCTTAAATAAATAAATGAGCAGAGCTTGGCATGTCCTGACTGCAAGGATTTTCTTATCTCTTTGTCACAGTTGGAAAAGACACAACACTATACAGCCTAAATTCAAACATATCTATTTCTATGATTCCTATGTAATATCTGAGCACATAGGACATACACCAGCATGCACACACACTTCACATATAGCCACTGTCCTCAAGCACAAAAGCCAGTGACACCTTCACTTATTGTCTTTATCACCATTTTAATTGAATAAAGAGTGAAGTCCCAGAGAACCAAATAATGGAGGAAAAGAAAAACTGCTTTTCTTTATAGCAGGCTCTACGCTAAGTGCCACGTCAGTTTTCTATCATGTAAAATTTGAAACCGTCTTGTGAAGTGCATACAATTGTTCTTGTTTTATAATGAAGAATTGGAAACTCAGAAGAGTTTAGTAGTTTGTCTAGAGTCACACAGCCCAGTCACTGAGCTATATTCAGTGATACTGCTTTACATGGAGTTTAGCATAGCATTTTCCAGACTTCCATCTGTCAGAGAGAAAAACCACAAAGGACATCTTTCTTTGGGTCTATCCTTTCTTCTTTGATGCCCTCAGACTCTGGCCCACCCAATGTGTAGTTGTCCCAGCAATCTGGGATGCATGGAGACCTTGAAGCTTTTGAGTCACAACAGACTGCGGAGGGGCTGGCTTGGAGCCATCGGAGGAGAAGCTACAGGTAGGATCCTATTTCAACCATCCGTCATGCAAATAAGCCAATGCTGGCCACAGATCACGAACTGCTCACCAGTCGTTTCCTTAATGACTTGCTAAATTTCCTCCACATCTTTCCAGAAAGTCACTCTCTGGAAGGCCCTGTGGCTCCAACCCCAGCCCACACTGATAGCACCAGGATTCCTGATCCAAAGCCAAATCCCAGTTCTCAGCACTTTGTGAGCAGGCCTGCACATCTCTAAAATAACTGAAGTGACTCTAAAGTAAAGGGTAGTGCAAAGGCCTTAGCCAAACACAGAGTTAGTGGAAGAAACCTTGGAGGTACCATAGTGCCTGGAGCCCAGTGCATCCCTTTTAAAGAACTGGAACCTTTGTTCAAATGAAATTTTAAGCAGGATGCCAATGGAGAAGGCACCTAAGAGCAGAACTGTTTGGATTAAAGCAGGCATTGGGGAAACAGATCTTCTCCACCTCAGCATCCCCCTCAGACTTCACATTGCTCCACAAGGCATTTTCCCAGAATCACTGTAGCTTCTCGTAGCATAGTCGAAATCCTCTGATTTGGTCTACCCCATTTACTTTGGGGATAAGGAGCAAAGACACAGAAAAATTATTGAACATGAAAAAGTGCTATGGACTGAACGTTTGTATTCCCCAAAAATTGATATGGTCAAAACCTGCCCCCCAAGGTGATGGTATTAGGAGGTGGGATCTTCAGGAAATGATTAGGTCATGAGGGCTCAGCCTTCATGAATGGGATTAATGTCCTTACAAATGAGGTCCCAGAGCACTGCCTTCTCCCTTCTGCCACTACAGTGACAAGGTGCTATCTATAAACCAAGAAGCTGGCCCTCACCAGACACGGAGCCTCCTCGCATCTTAATCTTGGACTTTCCAGCATCCAGACACCAAGAAATAAATGTCTGATGTTTATAAGCCACTCCATTCATGGTATTTTGTTATAGCAGCTTAAACAAACTAAGACACACAGATCCGGCAGCTAGGACACATTGGTGCCAGAACCCAGAGCTCCTCACACTCAACCCATGCTTAGGCTGCCACACAACCCCATTTGGGCTTCAATGGTGAAAAAATTATCTAATTGTTGGCTAGTTTTTTTGTCCGGTTTTCAATCATGATAGGTAACAGTTGTCTAAATGCACTTTACCCTCTTCTAAAATGTTCTTCATGTGCAGCCAGAGGGAATATTATCATTCAGTATTGTCACCAAAGTGGGGATGAGGAAAGATATGGTGAATGTTCAGTATAGCATCAAAAAGCAACACAGAACCCTTTCTTCTTCAAAATAAAAGGTTTATATGTTTATTTTTCTTTGCCTGGAAAGCTCTCTCTCCTTAGTCCCCACCCATCTGTGGGTCTTCTGTTTCCTATCAGGGTATGTCCATGTGACCCCTACATGAAGCCATCTGAGGGACGCATCCCAGCTATAGCATGCCTGCATTTCTTCCCATCTACAGAGATACCTCCTTAAATGTAGAAGTTGGGTTCTGTGCATCAATGCAGCACCTTAAAAGGCAAATTTTGCACAAATACCTGAACAGGTTTCTTTATTAACTCTCAAAGTTACAGAAACATGCTACCCACTCTGAAGTTGCACTTTGTTTTATTTTCGTGGAATTCTAAAATCACTATTAGTCAAGGCCTAGCTCTGCTACCTTCTAGCTGCCTGATCTTATCCAGGTCACTTAACCTCCCTGAGTCTGTTTTCTCACTCACAGCAACATTATAAAAACCTACAGGATCATTGTGAAGACCATCGATAATGCATCAACACTGTCTGACTCACGAAAGGTACTTGGTACATGGCAGTTAGTATTTTTTTCTACTAGATGATCAGCTCTTATTCACAATTATGCCACCAGCAACTAGGACAGTGTTCAGTAAATGCTTGTGGCAGTAATGATTGCCTAACAGAGTGACTGAACGAATAAACAAATAAACTGATGAACAAATGTTCACATTGTAAGGGACCTTAACATTCATCAAACATGACCTCCCGTCCAATTCAGAGTGTGTCTTTTAGAAGACTCCTGCAGAACAGTCTTTGGCGTTCAATGAAGCATGCTTACTGTCTCACTACCACCCACTGCAGGGAAAGTATATAATTAGAAAGCTCTGGTGTTGCGTGGAAATGTTACTATCTTTCATCATCTACTCATCTTCCCTTATTCTGACCTCCCCCACTGTGGGACACAAAGTAGGTGCTCATTCTTTCATTCTTTTAACAAACACTTTTTGTGGGGCTAGTTTACTGGACTAGGAGAACTCTATTCAGGCTGAATATACAGAGATATCCCTGTGATTGCAGGGCTTACATTTTAGCCAGGGGCAGACATTAAACAACTAGGTGAATAATTAATTATTGAAGTACAATTATAACAAGTACATCGAAGGAGAAGTATAAGGTACCATAGTCGGAAAGTAAGCTGAGAACCTTGCCACTCAGTAAAGTAGAGAAGCCAGACAGGATTTGAAGGAGTTCTAGGGGAAAAAGAAAGGAGAGGAGGAAAGGAGGAAGGGCGGGAAGAAGTGAAGGAGGGAGGGGAGGAGGTACTTTTTTAATATATTAGGAAAGTCACCTCTTAATCCTTCCTGAAAAACCCCATTCATGTTAAGGCTCTTTGTCACCAATCAATGATTATTCATAGGTTCATGAAATATAAACAAGCCTGGGCTCCAATCCTGAGCCTGTTATTTACACCTTTGGCAAATGTCTGCACTCCTGTAGACTCATATTCCCCACTTGTAACACAAGGAGGGTAAACGAAGCTACTGTTGGGGACTGTTACGGCAAGTAAATGCAAGAGTGCTGCTAATGCAAGGGTGCTTCTGACTTAGCACAGTGCCATCACATGGCGAGCGTTCAAAACAGTGCCCATTATCACGATGAATCGCTAACTGCTTCACGTTCAGCCGACGAAGTGGAAGTTCAGAGCAATCAAGGGCGTGACTGGGGTCACTCAACTCATTGAAGGCAGAGATGGTATCCAGTCACAGGTCTCCCTAAGCAATTCTCTTAAAAAAAAAAAAAAGTTGTTTCATTTTTTTTAAATCTCATAATCAAAAATAAAAAGTATAAATAAATGATTGATAATGCTTTCCTTAGGGTCCAGAGATGATCACATGAAAATTTCAGAGGGTGAGTTTTAGGCTAGGAAGATGAAAACACTTCACTTTTTTAAACGATTAATGTACAGGTCTTTATTGGTCAAGGCAATAGGCCCAGAATTGTTCGGGAAGTTAAACGGGATACAAGAAAATAAGACAGGCCTCTTTCTCAGAGGTTTAACCATAGAGTTGAATTTCCTCCTCAAAAGGCCAGCAGCATAAATTCTTTTAGAATAGAAGAATTAAGACTTGAAGAGAATGTTTTCAAACATTCCCCAGAGACCACAGCCAGATATTTCTGGTCACTGCTTTATAGGAAAACCTCTACTTTTAACCAACTACTCACCTTAGAACTCATCCATATTACTAAAACCCACAAAATAATTTCCACTTTGATGTTAGAAGCATCAGTAGCTTTAACATGCAGTATTTTAGGGCATTGACCATCATAGGAAAGTAATTCCTCTCAACTTAATAATAACCTAGCAATAGAAACTAATTATAGGTAGGTCAAGAAACAGGCATTCCGAACCAAATAAACACCTTCATGTTAGCCAGACTTCCTGAAACTATCGCACACTAAAATCTATTCATTGGCCTTTCAATAAACAGTTCTTGAGCACCTACTAATAATAGCCAATCTTGATGAGGGCTTACCACGGCCAGGCTCTTATGTAAACCTCATAACATCTTGATGAGGCAGGAACTATTATTATCCCCATTTGACAGATGAGAAGACCAGTCACAGAGAAAGCAAAAAATTTCCCCAAGTCCACAAAGCTAGCAAATGGTAGCATCTGGCATCGCCCAGGCAGTCTAGTGTCAGCATCCCTGATCCTGGCCACAATGCTGTATTGCTTCTCGGAAGCAAGTATGTGCTGGATGCCAACAGAAATGCAAACATGGTCATCAGTGGTCTCTGTCCTCCAGGCAGTTGCAGCACCATAATGGAACCAGAGACACCAAGACTAACAATGGGAGGCCAGGTGAGCAGGAGCATTCACATGGGCAAGGCAGAGGCCTGCTTCTCTCTTCACAACACCTCCGTTATCCCCACAGTAACTCAGTGGGGCATTACTGGTTACCTACTCTACAGATCAGAAAGGCAAGAATTTAGAGACAAAGGATAATCAGACCTAGGTCAAGCAGTCTGTGAGGTCGGAGCCAGGATTCAGGGTCAAATCTATCATCCTTGGAATCACACATGCTTCCCATTTCACCCCAAGTCTGCTATTTTATGTGATGCTCAGGGGAACCTCTAAAGTTCTCTTGAATGCATATGAGATAAGGGCTTGTTCTACCTGGGAAGGACCAGGAAGGCTTCTGAGAGAAAATGGTATGATAATGGGATTGGGAAGGAGTAGTAAAATGAGGAGAGGAATTTTCCAGACTGAGAATACATAGGTAGCATGTTCACAAAAGCACAGAGGTGAGAAAATGTTAGCATGGTCAAGAGCAAAAGCTGGTTCAGGAAAACTTGAATGTGGATTACACAGTGGTGAGGAGCAGCAGGAGGAGAGGAATGTATTGGGGACCAAATGTTGAGGAGCCTTACACACAATATCCGACTTGGAGGCCTATGTAAGCTGGCTCATGGCTATCCATTGTGCTCAAAAACTCTAGACAAGAGATACCCATGAATATTCTTATTGTTTCACTCTTTCATCTTGTTAACTCTACACAGAAAATATTTTGCAAAGTATTCGAAGAGGTCTGTTTTCAAGCACAATCTTCCATTGAGACCCTCAAGAATAGAGACTACATCACAGTCACTTCTATAATCCCAATGCCTGGCACTGCGCAAGATGCATGCTTGGTAAAATATTGCTGAATAAGTGGATGGATGGGTGGATGGATGGATGGATGAAAAGATGATTGAATAAATTAATGAGCAACTAAGCAAAGTGATAAATGTATGTTGGGGTGAGTTATATGTAGACAGAGTTATTGACAATTTACATATCCAATGTTAGCACGAAATGTGCGCCTCTTCCCACAGTCCCTATTGCTTGGAATTCCTGTCACATAAAATAATGTATTTCATTCTATAGTAAACAATGAGATCCAAAATGCAGATACTTCAAATAAATCTTTAATGGGTTTTTGATAATTATTGAAAATAGGAATGAGTAGATTTGAATTCACACTGACATGCAAATGACTGATCCTGGATTATTTCCTGACAAGGTGTTGGGATACAAAGGGATGCAGAGAATGAGATCTGAGTTTGTTGACTCCCTCCATTCCATCAGAAAGCTTCAGAGGCTTCTGTCTTCTGCCAAGAATTACCTTACCACATAAATATTCTCTTCGCTTGAGGATGTTTCCTTTAAAATATGGATACAGACAAAGAACTTTAGAATCTTGCCCACCTCAACTATTGCACCACTCTCTAACATAAACAACCCTCTCTACTAATTAAGCCAGCTCATTCCTTTCCCCACAACCCATACAGATTCCTGCCTCATTCACCGGGCTGGGCCAACCCTCCTTCCTACAACTTTCTCTGCACACCACTCCCCATCCTCCCAAATCCTTTCAAATCCTGCCCCATCTTCTTGGCAAATTGTCCCTCCTAAAATTCCCACTGCAGTTGTGAGAGACATCAAAGCCCATTTTCTTCCACTCATCCTGAGCTATTTGTCAGAGTTTTGGCTCCTGGACTGGATTATCCATGTAGTAAACTTTGCTAATAATAATATCTCCATTCATTGAGAATGCCCTTCATGCTCAGACCCTGGATTTTGCACACGTATCTCATCCTAGGACATAAAAATCTTCCTGCCCATTTTGTAGATGAAAAATACAAGGATAAGGAAGGTAAAAAATACAAGCCAAAAAATGCCCTCACCCATTGAATTCAGCTCTTCTAACTCAGCCCTCCTTCCTCTAGTCAGTATAGCTACTTAATGATGAAAATATTCTGCTGCCTTATCATTAGACATTATAGTTAAAACTACAGTTCAATTTATACAAAACCTCCATAAATGCTTTTTTTGAGACAAGATCTCATTCTATTGCCCAGGCTGCTGGAGGGCAGTGACACAATCATAGCTCACTGCAGTCTGGAACTCCAGGCTCAAGCCATCCTCCTGCCTCAACTTCCTGAGTAGCTAGGACTACATGCATGGGCTACCACGTCAGGCAATCCTTTAAAAAATTTTTAGATATAGGATCTTCCTATGTTGCCCAGGCTAGTGCTGAACTCTTGGCCTTAAACAACTCTCCTGCCTCAGCCTCCCAAAGTGCTGGAATTACAAGTGTGAGCCACTGTGCCTGGCCCCATAAGGGTTGTATAGTATTCCACAGAATATATATGTATCAGATTTTATCTGACCCTTTGTTATTGGATATGGAGTTTGCAGCTTCGTTTTTAAGATTGTAAAAAGCAGAGCCATTTAAAAAACTGTAGTTTTTCTCCTTATTTTTTATTTTATTGTTGTAAATTCCCAGATGCAAGATTATTGTGTCAAAACATGTGAATGTTTTATGACATAATACACACCACCAACATGCAATCACAAGCACCAGTGTATGCTGCTGCCAGCATTGCATGCATAATTTCAAGCAAAAGGCATGTTCATTTTACTTTATTATAACTAGTAAAGCCACAGATTGCTTACTAATCTAATGGCTTTGAATTACTTCATCTTGTCTTTTATACATGCACCTCTTGGTATGCTGATAGCATTTTGGTTTCTTTGTACTAGCTCTTCATAACAGTGATAAATCCTGTGCCGGACATACCATCTGTACTAGACCTAAATTCACTTAGCTCATTATACTCATGTTGGCAGCATATACTTGAGGATCACCCATGATGTGTCACCATGCTGGCACTGGGAACACCCAAAAGAAAATGACATAGCTTCAAGAAACAATGACTAGGGTAAAGGTCTGATGGTTGGTCATGCAAGATAAACTCGGAATTCCCACTATAAGATACTTTCACCCAAGAGAGGGAGAGGGAACATGAAAAGGACCATACTGTGAGTTCAAAGTGGTGGGTGTAGCCAGGGACTGCTCCAGGGCTTCTGAAGAGGCAGGGAAGGGAGATATCTGAGGCATCTTCATGGAAGGTAGAAGGGTTAGCTGAGCCTGAAGGACAGTGGGGTTTGCTGACAGCAGAGAGGAGAGACTCCTGGCTGAGAAGCCTTGTGAATCAAAGCCCACAGCTGACATCACAGCTGCAAAAGCAACCTCAGGGAGCAGAGGGATGGCTGTGCATCTGGGAAACATTTTCTGCATGAGAAGCCACGAGACATTTGTTTGTTCACTAGGCAGTCTAGCCTCTATCATGGGGGTCCATGAGAACAAGACCACTCAGATGAAAGTGGACACCTCTTTTCCAGAAGTTTGTCTTTGTGAAGGGTAGCTAAGATGACCCTATGTTTAACCAGCCAGTGAGGGGCCTATTAAATTCTGATCTTTAGTGTTCTTAATGCAACAAACAATACTTTTTCCCCAATGCCTGCTTATTTGGGTCCAGGAATTAAGAGGGATCTTTTCCTGGGGCTGGGAAGGGTCTTAACAAAGATATGAGGATAAACTGCCACACCCTCGGAGTCATTTGTGAAGTGGAGAAACTCATGGAACTGCTCAACCTACTTCCCAGTTCAATAGGCACCATTCAGTTATCCACCATCACAAGCTGCTAGAGTCCATAATTACATTGGATCGGTTGGATCAATTCAGTTAAGTAAACTTGACACACATTTCTCAGTGGATTTCAGTGTCCAAGTGACTACTTGAGTGTTCCTTAAATCCAGTGTGAGCATCTGCACTGGGTGGGAAAAGGGAATATGTCTTCATTGCCCCAATGCTGATTTGAAGAGACCTGAAACCCAGGAAATGGCCCTATGTCCATAGTGACAGCCAACAGTAATGATGGTGAATTCTCTGTAATTGAGGGGGAGATTGCTCCCCAAATACCAAAACAAGATTCCAGTGAAGCTAACACAGACTATTAAGATCATATATGATCCATCTTCAATACAATGCTCAATGACTGGCCTAAGGGACTCAGAGGATCCAGAGTTATAAGATCCATCAACTCTTACCCAGTCACCAGGCTTTAGGGTCAAGTATTAAATGTGCAGGAGAAATAACTGGGGTACCTCTTTAGCTTCCAGACTCTAGCCCAACTCTAGGCCTGTGGACACAGTCACAGATGTGGTAGTAGAGCCCCGGAGTCCCACCCTCTCTGCACCAGCCACACTGGTCTTGTTTGCTATTCCTCAGACTTACCTGTGACCTCAAGGCCTTTGCACTAGCTGTTCTCCCAACCTGGAATGCTCCTTCCCTACACAGTAACAAGGATCTCTCCTCTTCATTTGGTTCTCTGTTCCAATGCCGCCTCCTAAAGGAGACCTTCTCTAACCACATTATATAAAGCAATCGCATCTTACTCCCTTTAACATGCTTGACTTTCTTCTTAGCACTACCACTCCCTAAAATATTAATTACCTGAAATACTCTTTACTTATGAATATTAATCCTTGTGTCCCATGACACCAGGGAGGTGTCTTTTCTGTTTGCTGCTATGTGCCAAGCACCTAGGACAGAGCCTGGCACATAGTAAGTATCCCATAGTCATTGACTGAGTGAATTGATAGATGTTTCACAAAAGCTCCAAGGAGCCCCATAGAGCTAGTCCCTGAACCACACTTTATAAGCCACTGGCCTTAGATCATCAGGGTACATTTTACCCCTTGGAGTTTCAGTTCCATTTAATCACGACTGTGTCCTGCTCAGCTCCATTCTTGCTGCACTCTCTTACTTCCCTATTCTACATTCTTGGAGCCCAAGGGAGAGTTTGGCTATGTTATATGTCTCAGAAGAACATCCCATTCAGAAAACTGAACATCAGAGGGTTCAGTGGCTTCACCGACATCCCACAGGCACTCTGTGAGTGGCAGAACAAAGACACCGGTATTCTGATTCCCATTCCTTTGCTCTTTCCAAAACATCATCCTTCCTCCCTTAGCTGTAAATTTGACCCGATTTAAAAAGAAAAGTGTGTGTACTGCTTATGGGAAAGGAGACTTTTTTAAAGGAGGCAAAAAATATGAAGGTGGATGTCCACAAATTCAACTGGGAAGAAAGGCAAGGCCTTGCCATCACAGTCAATTATAGAATGGATACCCTCATAACACAGAGATTCAGGTGGCCTCAATCTTTGCAGGCCCTGGACAGTCTTTTCAAGACCCTGCCAATCCCAGGGCGCCACAGGCAAACCACAGTGACTCCGGCCAGCGGAACCAACCACATCTGACCCTGCCATAGGCCTGAACACGTGCTGCAGGACTGAAAGAAAGGACGCCAGGGGAAGAGGGGAAGGAAAAAGAAAGGCCTCATAGCTTGAGGGAGGCCAGCTAGGAAATTAGCCAAGAGCATGATGGACACAAGAAAACATAATGGACACAAAAAGCTGGCAGGAGAAAAGGGCAAAGAAAAGCAAGTTGGTGGAAAATAAACGCTATCCAAAAACACAACAAAATGTTTTCTAGAAGTTTATTTTACCTAGAATTAATGACAGGAAAACCCCATAAACGTGGTGCAAAATGTTTAATGCCCCATTGAATGTCAACATTATGCCATCCATCTGTCCTTGCAGGTGTATTATTTCTAGTCCCCAGGATGAAAAGAAAAGTTGCTTTTCACGTCTTTTATAGTACTTAAAAATACATATTTCCAAGGCTTTATTGCCAAAGGTCCTGCTTTCTTCCAGAACCCACAATAACTAATCATGTCACTGCCACCAAGTCTAGGAATTGGAATTAATAGTTGGTTGGGGGGGTTGCTCCCATCCTATGAGTGATCTTTGCTTTAACGACCCTTAGAGTTAGTGATTTCTCCTAAATATTTATTTCTCCCTAAGGGAAAGATTTCTCTAAGAACATTCTCTCTGCCCTAAATATTCACAATTCTCAATCTGTTTTTCTTCTATTTGTCCACTTAGAGTTTTTGCTGGAATCAATTTTATTAATTTCCTTCTGAAAATTAACAAGTCAAAGTAAATCACAGGGAGCTTTTTCCTCTCCACCATATGACTCTCTTCACTTTCTCGGTTTTTCTCTCAATGCTAGGTCACCATGGCCTGGATTTACTCTAATTTCTGTCCAGAACTTTCCTTCAAATTAAAAAAAAAATGTGGGAAGAAAAAGAGAAAAAGAGGAAAGAAGGAAGGAGGGAGGGAGGAAACGGAGGGAAGAAGGGAGGAAGGAAATAATGGAAAAATTTAGATTAAACTTAAACATTATTGCAATTTAAACATTGCAGTCAACATCTGTGCCCTCCTCGCTTTTCTAAAAGATGCTTCCTTTAAGATTTAAACACTTCTTTTATAATGAAAGACATTATCCAATATTGTGTAGGGATCTCTCTGGCTCATATCAAATTGACTGTTCTTTTAAAAATTCCAGGATTATCAGCCTTCTTGGAAGATTCTCCGTCAACTTATTGGAGCAATTAAATCACAGTCACAATTATGTTTCAAAGCTGACAGTATCCATTGGATCTATAGCTCCAGAAGCTCGGGTAGGTCATTTAAACTTTCTGCATCTACAATTTCCTCCCCTGCAAAGTGAAAGTCTAGACCAGATTATCCCCAAGATCCTTCGGACTTTACTATTGTACATGTATACTGTTTCTCACCTCAATGATTTTCATTTTACTTTATGAGAACACAATATTCACCAATTATCCAGGGACTGTATGACCCAATTTAAAAAGTAATTTTAAAAAATAAAATAAAATAAAGGCTTTACTAGTTGTAGAATCTATTTCCAGAACCCCGAACCTGGAGATTCACTTTGAGGCACTCTGTGGACTTGCGTTTTCTCATTGGCTGTTCTGGTGGCAGTCGGCTTGTTAACTGACTTTTATCGTTTGTTTTCACAACAACCTTCTGACTCCTTAGAGCAAATTGCAAGGCAAAACATGTTATCCAATTGGCAGTTAGGAAATCCAGATCCCGGGCCCCAGAGGGAAGGCCAACTCCTTAATTCCAGCCTGATGATGGGAAAGAAGTCATCAGGAGGTTAAGTGACTTATGCAATTGGATGGAGCAAGCCAGCGTCCACAACAGGATCCTGGACACTCAGTCCCTGCCTCTTCGGACAGCGTTCAACTCTCCCAGCCGCACTTCTTCCCTGAATGCTTTTTAATCTGGCATGATCCACAAATAAAGGAAATTGTGGTTTTCACATCATGATGGAGGTTATTTTTCCACTGTGAATAATAAAAGCAGAGTATCCCATTTGTAGCTTCGAAAGGTTCCCATTCCAACCCGCATTATTTATTCCTCAGGCTTTCAACAGTTTTTATTTCAAGATGTCAGTTTTTAACGTGTTTGCATAATTCTGCATTTTATTTCAGGATTCACTGTCATAACCATTCATTTCCCCCCACCAGCTAAGTTGCTGAAAAAGAAAACTGTGTTTCCAGGCCAGTCCAGTCCTACAATTTAAAAGCTGGCAGGACCCGTCTTCCTTTTCCCCCCTGGGAGGATTAATTTGCTTCTTTTTTATTCTCAAAGTTTTATGATTCCAAATAAAGGATATAATGGTGCCATTGAGAGTTGGGAAAATGTGGAAGATAAATAGTCTATGTGGGAACTGCTTAAAATGAGAATTGAAGTTTGGAGAAGGAGGTGGGAGAAGTGGAGACATTTTTTATCATGTGAGCTTGGCCTACTCATGATAAAGGAAATTTCCTCCTTCTAATGAGTCTTGCCTTTAAAGACTGAAGTGAGGGCGAATGGCTCCATTTGTGTCATAAATGTAAAGAAGCTGAAATCGTACTCCCAAGAATGCAATATGTTTAATTTTGAAGTTGGGGAAGCAGCCATTAAAATGTACGTTATTTCTGGGACCTACAACACGGAGTCTGGGCTTTTAATCTTGAATTCATTGCCTGAACACTGACACATTTAAGAAACATGCTAAAATCATCTGCAGGAAACTAATTGACCAAGGGAAGTAATTTGAATAAATTCTTTTGGTTGAGTTAACACTAATTAGCTCCCGATTTGGTAGGAGCCACCTGTGTGAAGACCCATTAATAACGCTGCTTCAAGAGCCCAATTCACCATCAAAGAACTTTTATTAAGGGCCCTTTGGAATTTTACAATATAAATTGGGCAACATGACTAACCTCCAGGAGCTTGTAATTAAGGTCAATGCAGTAGACATTTATTGACTGGGTAATATGTGCAAAGCACTACGGAGAAGCAGAGCTAATCAGGGCATGATCCCCACCCTGCCAGGGCTCACAGGCAGTGGGATGGGAAGACCAGGTCCTCCAACCAGGCAACAGTCACTCCAGGAGTTATTCAGTTTGCCTATAAATGTTTCACAGCGCAGGCTACATTTGAATTGGGCCCTAAAAAGATCAGAGACACAGTATTGATTTGATGTACATCTGATCATACCATGCCATTGCTTAAACCTGTTAAATGGCTTCCCTTTGTATCTTCGATAAAATTCAGTCCCTTAACCATGACTTTTCCAGCCCTGAGCAACCTTGGCTCCCCCTAGTTCCTTGACCTTACCTCCTCCACACCCCCTAGGCTCACACCTTCCCTGACTCCCAGGCCTCCAGTGTTTCTCAACCAATCTAAGCCCTTTCCTGCCTGAGGTATTCGCTCCACTCCAAATGGACCATCTACCTCCAAGCCACATGGCTCCCTCTTACCATTCCCATCTCAGCTCAGTGTCACCTCCTAAGAGAGGCCTTCCCTGACTACCCAACTTAAATCAGGCATCCTCTCTACCACTACTCCCTTCCATATCACTGTTTGATTTTCTCCACAGCATTCATCACTCTTAAAATTCTTCTTCATTGACTACTTATTTATACATGACCCGTCTCTCTTCCTGCCCTGCCTCAGAATTTCAACTCCACAAAAGCAAGGAATTTTCTGGGTTGTTTACTGCAGTATCCCCTGTACCAGGGCAGGTACATGGGTAATATTAGGTAAATTAATGAAAAGAAAAACAAAGATAGCAGGATAGGAGACTGGGACAATGAATAAAGGCATGATGATGACATTAGGGTGGGGAAAGCATTGGGAAGCTCGGAGGGAACCAACAGGAATACAACTTAGGAAGAAGGCCTTTAAAACCACAATTTACTCTTCAAAGCTTCAGATCCTTGACTCCTAAGAATCAAAGTTTAAGATGGTAAGAATTTGGGGTCTCCACCTCACCTCCATATCCCTCAAAGTTTACACTATTAATAAATTCCGTGCATTTTATCATCTGATTTTTTCTTACACATTCAATAAATGTTTGCCAAAACCCTGCTCCCTTCAACCCCCAGTCCCTAGCATCAAGTTTTACAATACTATCACAGGAGAAAGAGACCTGCCACATAAATGAACGCCCTAAGAATGAGCTAGAGGGGCTATAACTTCAGAATGTGTGGTTTCTGTCCTCTGCACTGTGGTGAACAAGCCCATCTTTAAGTGTATCCAAAAATGTCAGCTGTCACGTTTGAGGGCAGACAGCCAGTTCTGGCTGGCCCTCCAAAGGTGGGGGTGTTATCAGAAGGCCATCACAGAGCACTTAATGGAGCTCCACTCCTAAATAAACATGGCAGGGGGATGCGGGGTGCAGCCCTGTCCTGGTTGTTTGTGTGTTCCTGTCAGACCAGTCAGTTCCACTGGCCTGCGATGTTACAATGACTTCCTGGAATATGAGATTGCACAGATCTGCCTTCATGGGATCGGGTGGCTAAAATGGGAATGGTTTAATGAATCTCCAGTCAGATCCTGTATATAAAATCCACATCACAGGGAAATGGCCAGGCCTCTGCTCAGCATGGGAAGATTTATCTTCCCTGGGTAGACCATGACCCTGTGCTCTCTCACCCTCCTTTCACACCAATAACAATGTTATCTCGTTCCCTAAAGGGCCCACAAGGTCTTATTGGAGGCCCTTTAAAACCTGGAGCCAAGTGTCTGAATGACGTTTTAATTGCATGGTTGCATTGAGGAGCCACATTAACTCTTTCATGGGAAAGTGAACAATTTCCTGAAGGTGAAATTAGGAAGAATGCATTATCATTGTTCTTGATTCCCAAGGCCAGATGCCCAGCTGGCCTGAAAACGCAAAATCTGTGTCACCTAGTCCCTCAGTCAGGCCACAGGAACACAAAAGGTGAGTCTACATTTAAGGTTCCCCTCCCACCCCACTCACCCCCCAGCCTCTTTCTGGTGCCTGCTACTCCTCCATTAGAGATATTTTCTTAGGTTTAAGTCTTTGTAGTTCTCTAATTGTCATTGCACCTTAATGTGAATGAATCTGTAAGTTTTAGATATCAGAAAGGGATAACTGAGAATCTGTTAATATCTTTCCAATCCCGTGGAACGTTATGAACTGTGTCTCCCATTACTCTTTGCTGTGTTCATTGCCAAATCTTTATCTCATCTCCCCTAGACCCATGTAACAATTTCTCTTTATTTTATTATTGTATATATTTATGGTGTACAACACCATTCATACGGTGTATGAAACACGATGTTTTCATATACATGTATGTAGTAAAATGATTACTACAGTCCAGCAAATTTACAAATTCATCAGAGCTTCTCCATGGGTCTTGCCACAAATGTGCTCAACACACCCTACAATTTCCAGTCTCTTGATTTGTGCCTGCACCATCCAGTCCAGCAAGAAGGAAGTCCCCCTCCTTATATCCAGCCATCTAATTATATCAGCCCCAAAGATTCCTCATTTTGGGGAATAGGGATTCCCTATTTAGGGGAGGCTCTACAAAGAGTCTCCTCCAAGGGAGTAGAATAGCAGCCCACTTCTGGTGGGAATTCTGAAAGCTGAGATGTGCAGCTTCAGGCCGTGGAGTAAAGGGGTCTTTTAATTCCCTTGATGAGCTTTGCCTGGAGCTTTTTTCCCATTTTTGTCTTTCTCTACAGAAAGCATGCAAATCCCAGTGTAAACAGTGAGGTTGCCCAGATATAAGAAAATCAAATGCCTGCTCTCCTTGTTTCTTGAAACACACCCTCCAAGCCTCTATCTCCATTGCCAAGACAGCAGTACTCCTCTACTTACAGCAAAACTGGGAGCATAGTATGTAATAAGAGGCACCTGTCAGGAGATAAATAAAAGGGAATGGTGGGGATTTGGATGACCTGGAGAACACTTTTCTCATTTCAACTTAGCAGACACCATTCAGTTCCAGCCAATTCATACCAAAAGGGAAATGAATTTAAAGCCTCAGGACACATTTTTTATGTAAAATCTCTTGATTTCTAGATGTTAGTTTAAATCTAAGAACAATGTGGGTCAGTGTATGATTGCTGCCTTAGACATATCAGATTAGGGTGTGGATATAAGTTAACATTTCCTAAGATTTATATTATGACATACAAATTTCTTAGGTGCTTTAGGCTTCATGGTCCAATAAGTTTAGAAAATCGATCTAAGTAATGTGAAACAAATATCTTAATCTTTACTCTTTACTAATATGCAGTGTAAATTTCTGAGAGGGAAATCTAGGAAGCAAGTTTTTTTAAATGTCTATAACCATGAACGTCCTTTTTTTCAAGGACCATCTCAAGGGGCTACTGAGCCACAGAACAAGCTTAGGGAATGCTGGCTCAGGGAAAAGGGATCTCACCAACTGCCCAAGCTGCTCAAATTGCTGGCCTCAGGCCAGGGGCACAAAAGAAGCCTTTGTGGTCCACATAAGACCCAGTCCAGTGCCTCAGGAGGCTACACTGAGGTTTGGAGACAAAGCCCTTTCTAGTAATGAAGTGCTCAGTAGCTGGGTCTTGAACATCTGTCTCCTTTTGGGGCCTCACAGTATGACTCTGGTAGGTCTTTCATTCTTATTACAACAAATATTAAGTGTAGGGGAAAACAGAGATGCAAAGACACACCTCTTTTTGCAAAACTTCAAGTTCTGCAGGAAGGCAGAGGTGCAGACAGAAGGATGCAGAAAGTAAGATCATTGCTGTATTAGGATTCTCTAGAGAGACAGAACTAATAGGATATATATATATATATATATATATGGAAGTGTATTAAGTATTAACTTACATGATCACAAGGTCCCACAATAGGCTGTCTGCAAGCTTGAGGAGCAAGGCGAACCAGTCCGAGTCTCACCACTGAAGAACTTGGAGTCCAATGTTCGAGGGCAGGAAGCATCCAGCATGGGAGAAAGATGTAGGCTGGGAGGCTAGGCCTTTTCATATTTTTTCTGCGTGCTTTATATTTGCTGGCAGCTGATTAAATGGTGCTCATCAGATTAAGGGTGGGTCTGCCCTCCCCAGCCCACTGACTCAAATGTTTATCTCCTTTGGCAACACCCTCACAGAGACACCCAGGATCAATACTTTGCATCCTTTAATCCAATCAAGTTGACGCTCACAAAGTGACACAGGCATGAAGGAGAAGAGGCACCAAGCTTTGAGAATCAAGAAAGGCTTCAAGAGTTTGCCAGCTGGTCAATGACGTGAGGGCATTCCAAGCGGAGAATGCCATTGGTCAGTGGTTCTCAACCAACAGCAGCCTTGCTCCCCCAGGTGATACCTATTTGGCAAGGTCTGAATACATTTTTCATGGTTACAACAGAGAAGAATAGACTTGCTACTGGTGCCTAGTGAGTAAAGGCCACGGATGCTGCTAAGTGTCCTACAATGCACAGAACAGTCCCAAGACAAAAAATTTATCTTTCCCAAACATCAGTAGTTTCAAGGCTGAGAAATCCTTCCATAGGAAAGGCACAGAGGTGTGAAGGCACAGGTTAGCTTAGGCATCAGCAGGTGTCTGATGCAGCTTATTAAGGCTATTAGAGGCCCATTTCCCTTTTCCGTCATTTCCAGAGCATAAGCCCCTCAAATTCACTGACATCCTGTATTGGTATGTATGCTCCCAGAGCCTAGTCTATGGTAAGTGCAAAGTAAATGAATAAAACAGGTTTCCCAAGAGTCAGTAGTGGTAAGAGTGCTGCTGAGAGCACAGGTGTCCTAAGTTCCCGTGGCAGCCAGAACAAATTACCATAACTTAGTGGCTGAAAACAACAGGAACTTATTCCCTCACAGTTCTGAAAGCAGGTGTCTGAAATGGAGATGCTGGCAGGATTGGTTCCTTCTGGAGATCCTGAGAGATTCTTCCTTGTCTCTTCTTGCTTCTGGGGCTATCAGGTGTTCCTTAGCTTGTGGAAGCACAAATCCAGTCCATGCTTCCATCTTCTCATGGATCTTCACTTTGCCTTCTCCTCTGTATCTATGCCTTCTCCTCTTCTGTCTCTTATAAAGACACGTCTCTGGATTTATAGTCTACTCAGTTAATCCAGAATAATCATATCTTGAGATCCTTAATTACATCTGCAAAGACACTTTTTTCAAACAAGGTCATATTTGCAGGTACTGGGGGCTAAGATTTGAACATAGCTTTTTGGGGTGCCACTGCCTTAAGTACTACAACAGATATGCCTGGATGGTAGAAAAAAGGGAATTGTCTATAGGAGGGAAAGAGTGACTCCTCCACCTGGGTCATGATTACTCCAAGAGTTGGCCATGGTGATTCCATTTCTGACTCTCACTTCAATAAAAAAGTCAGTAAGATAAATGTTGGGCACATTCATTTTGAAGCACAAATTACATGTGTACTTCAGAATACATGTGTGCAAAATATTTACATTGCAAAGAGTCTTCCAAGAGGGAAAAATAAAGTCAGGAGAGTCAACAAAAACCTCCCCTAATTCACATGGTAGCCTAGATTTGAAGTCTGTGAAATCTGCTCAGGGCAAAGATTCCATCTGTGCTGTTGGTAGAAAGCCTCATTTTCTTGGGAGTAGAGAGTAAAACTTGAGAAACTCTCTAAGAAGCTCTAGAGGCCACAAAGTACCTCAGTTTGAGCCCAGTCCTCAAAATAAGAAACACTGGGCCTCTGTTTTAAAATTGGCCCTGTCACCTTAAATTATCCCCCTTCTTGTCTTGATACTGCCTTGAAAGCCTGCTGCTCAGACATGGTTGCATCAAAGCTGCATCGGTGCGAGAGGAAACATATTTTAAAATGACAGATCTAAGAAGCAAGCCCTCGGTACTCTAAATGAATATGTTATTTCAAAGATGGAAATGACTCCTGGAATACCCTGTAATCCAACGTTCTCAATAAATCTCATGTAATAAACTCTCCCCAGGTCCGAAGATCTGGTCTGGGGCAAGCCCGTGCCTCCTGGAGCCATATTGAAGAGAGAACTGAAACACATACTACAAGAGGGAAGCAGACAAGTGTGCCTTTGACAGCGTCTCCAAGATCATATCACCGAAGCAAGCATGATCTTAAAGGAGGGGAGAAGAATGGCCAATTTCATAAGCGGTTCCCCTCAGACCATTGGATGGTAAAGAGGGACTCTGCCATTTTATGCAAATATTCTGGTTCCCTGGGCCTCAGAAAGGTTGGAAGCCGGGTGGGAAGGTTTTCCACTCTGAATGGCTTTCGATGTAATAATACTTAATACTCCTTTTTGAAACAGTTTCCTCTTTTTCTGAATATTTTCATGGGACTGTAACCCATTTGTATATAAAATTGGTTGAAAGTGACATGTTGAAAAGTCCGACAAACACTACAGTACACTCTGTTTTCAAGGAATATAAAATTGGGCTCTGTCTGACACCTTGAGTGCGCTTGTGAAAACAGAATGTCACATCTCAAAGTGTTATTCTTGATAGTTTTAAAAAAAAAAATAAAATAAACAGACCTCTCCAGGCAAACCGCCTCTTTGTATTCCAATTTCCATGGAAACGCTGGCAATTGTACTTTTTGTGGCATGGTCTTTTTCACTTGGTAAAAGTCTGGTTTAGGCAGCTTGCTTGGGGACCCTTAGAATTCAGGAAACACTCTTTATCAAGCCAGCAAGGGATATTTTGATAGATCCTAGAGATAACTCCTATGCTATAGGCCTAGGTAAAGAAAAAAGGCACGTAGTTATTGTACAGGTTGGAGGAAGTGGACTTCAGTTTGTCCTTAGCAACACTGTTATAATTATCCATTTTATTCAATATCCCTACTCTGAAAATTCCTGGATCTAAATGACAAAATATATATATTTCAAATCCTCCTTACAGAGTAATTCTCAATAATACATGTAAATACTCTCTTCTCCATGAGGTAGAGTTTAGTTCCCCTCCCCTTGAGTGTGGCTGGACTTAGTGACTCAGTTCCAAGGAATGGAATATGGAAAAAGATAAGTTGTAACTTTATAGTGGAGAAAACCAGCAGGCACCTCCTTAATCAAGTGGTGAATGTTACTGTCACCAGCAATAAGTTATTTTGACCTCATGTACTTCTTGACATCATATGACATGATATGACATGATATGATTAGAAGGGCACTTCACCTCTGTAGAATTCTCTCTCCCAATCACAAAAGCCCAATCTAATCATGTAAAAAAAAAATAGACAAACCCCAATTGAGGAGCATTCTGCAAAACACTTGACCATTTATCTTCAAAACTGTCATGATCATGAAAAAGCAAGGAAGGTGAGAGACTGCCATAGACCAGAGGCGATTAAGGAGACTTAATGACTAAATAAATTTATTTCCTAGATTTGATTCTGTAATATGAAAAAAGACACTATGGAAAAACTAGTTCACTCCAAATGAAATCTATACTTTGGTGAATAGTATAATATAATCATATATTATATTCATGTAGATATTATATGTGTATATTTTAGTGAATAGAATAGTATAATATAACTCATGTATATTATACTATAATATATTCACTAAACTATAGACTTTATTTGGAGCTTATAATTACTATATCTTATAGTAATTATATTACTATATCAGTCTTGAGAAATGGACCACGCTAACATGCTAGAGATAGAGAAAAATGGGTGAGAAGTATATGGGCATACTCTACATTATTTTTGTAACTTTTCTATAAAATATTCTAAGAGTTAAGTTTATTTTAAACCTCTCAAGGTTGAAGAGAAAATGGCCAAACAAGAAATAGAGAAAGTGCCATCCTTTTGTGTAATGAAGTGGATTCTTGTTGAGATGACAACACCGACACGGAGTAAGAAAAGCAGAGATAAAGATAAAGGCAGAGACAGTACAGCCAGATACAAAGGTCTAAATCCTAAAGAAAAATGTGGATTGAAGAATTCAAATCCTTAGACAGATTGTTTCCCATTGCCCAGGACATGAGCCCTTTAACTATGATTGACACAATAATACTCAAGGAAGCTTTGTAAAAATGTAGATTCCTTGGCCTCATCTTCTTGATTCTAAATTAGTAGGTATGAGGTAAGATCCAGCCATCCACACTTTATGCAGATTTCATTGCCTTTCTATGGTGAAGTACACAGACTCTGATGAAATAGAGTCTCTTTCCATTCCCTTTGAATTTGGGCTTCTCATAGGCTATGACTGATAGCCTGTGGCAGAAGTGACCTACATAACCATAATGGTGAACTTTATGTTAACCATTGCCCCACAGGGTGCCCAGACATTTGGTCAAATGTTATTCTGGGTGTGCCACGAAGGAGTTTTTGGATGAGATTGACATTTGAATCAGTAGACTGAGTAAACCAGATTATTCTTCCTAATGTGGGCTGGTCTCATCCAATCCATTGAAGGCCTGAATTAAACAAAAAGACTGATTGATCTTCTCGTGAGAGGGAATTTCTCCTCCCTGACTCCTTGAGCTGGGACATTGGTTTTATTCTGCCTTGGAACTTTAACTGAAACATTAGCCCTTCCCTGGTGTCCAGCCTGTTGGCCTTTGGACTGGAAAGATACCAGTGGTTCTCTTGGTTCTCCAGCCTACAGGTCTTGGGACTTATCAGCCTCTGTAATCACATGAGCAAATTCTTTCTAATAAATTTCTTTATATGTATACACACACACATACACATGCACACACACACACACACACACACACACACACACACACTCTATTGGTTCTGCTTCTCTGGAGAGCCAGACTAATACAGTAACATGCAAGTCTAAGCACTAAAAGACTTACAACATTTTTGTTTATGTATTTGGAAGGCTCCTTTTTTTTAATCCCACCACCACTATGTGAGAAAGCCGAAGCAATTTCACAGAGAGGCCCATATGATGAAGACCAGGCACATCGGCTGAACTCACAGCCAACAGCCAGCCCAGCTGCCAGTGACAGAATGAGCCATCCTGCAGGTTCCAGCTCTGGATTAGCTTTTCTGGATGTCTTTGACTCTAAGCAATATCACATGAAACAGAAGAACTGCCCAGCTGAGCCCAATTAATTCACAGAATCTTCAAACATATTAGGCTGGTTCATAAGTATTGCAGTTTTTGCAATTGAAAGTCATGGCAAAACCTGCAATTACTTTTGCACCAACCTAATAATACATAATAAATGTGTTATCACAGAGATCAATCTGGATTTACTCCTGGAAGGATTTGATAAGGAGGCATAGATGGAGAAGACAGTCACAGGGTGACAACAAGCACAGACACATGTGGCTGGGTGGCATCAGGTGGCTGGAGAATCTTTCAGAATGACTGTTTAATTTCTCTGGGTTTGTAAAGTATCAGATTTTGTTATAGAGATTATACCAATGATGTAAAAATATAAGGAAAAGAAGAAAACAGAGCTTGTCAGAACTAAATGACCTATGAATGATTTTTTCTAAACACAAGACAGCTTTCTTCTTTAACAGGCATTTCACCACCAACTTTCAATAATTTGCTTTTTCTTCCCACTGCTGTTGGTGATCCTGTTAAATGTATTGGGAGAAGCGTATTGTCTAATTAATTCTTTGTTTAGCCCCTGTTAATGTGAGGAGCTGGGTATATTGGAGAGCAATATCAACTCTTTATTAAGGATATCAAAACTTTGTAATTGTATTGAAAATCTTTTCCCACACTCATTTGCATTTTAATTTGGTATATGTTTTTGACATGTAGAAATTTTCAATATGTTGGTAAATTAGCATATTCTTTTACACTTGCAGTTCCTCCCATTGTTTGTTGGGTTTTGTTTTGTTTGCTTAGAAAGGTAGTATGCATCTAGAAGTTAGAGAATTACCTGCATTTCTTTCGAGTGTTTTCATGGTATTATAAATTGATGAATACTTGGTCCATGTGGAATTTACTGTGATGGATGACTTCTTTGGAAGTCCCAATTTTCATCCCAGAAATACTGTCTCTTTGGTCTTTTATTATTATTATTATACTTTAAGTTCCAGGATACATGTGCAGAATGAGCAGGTTTGTTACATAGGTATACACATGCCATGGTGGTTTGCTGCACCCATCAACCCTTCAACTACATTAGTTATTTCTCCTAATGCCATACCTCCCCTACCTGCCCCCCAACCTCAGCAGGCCCCAGTATGTGATGTTGCCCTCCCTTTGTCCATGTGTTCTCATTGTTCAACTCCCACTTATGAGTGAGAACATGCATTGTTTGGTTTTCTGTTCCTGTATTAGTTGGCTGAGAATGATAGTTTCCAGCTTCATCCATGTCCCTGCAAAGGACATGAACTCATCCTTTTTTATCGCTGTATAGTATTCCACAGTGTATATATGCCACATTTTCTTTATCCAGTCTATCATTGATGGGCATGTGGGTTGGTTCCAAGTCTTTGCTATTGTGAACGGTGCTGCAATAAACATATGTGTGCATGTGTCCTTATAGTAGAATGATTTATAACCCTTTGGGTATATACCCAGTAATGGGATTGCTGGGTCAAATGGTATTTCTGGTTCTAGATCCTTGAGGAATCACCAGAGTCTTCCACAGTGGTTGAACTAATTTACACTCCCACCAACAGTGTAAAAGCATTCTAATTTGTCCACATCCTCTCCAACATCTGCTGTTTCCTGACTTTTTAATGATCGCCATTCTAACTGGTGTGAGACGGTATCTCATTGTGGTTTTGATTTGCATTTCTCTAATGACCAGTGATGATGAGCATTTTTTCATATGTTTGTTGGCCACATAAATGTCTTCTTTTGAGAAGTGTCTGTTCATATCCTTTGCCCACTTTTTGATGGGGTTGTTTGTTTTTTTCTTGTAAATTTGTTTAAGTTCCTTGTAGATTCTGGATATTAGCCATTTGTCAGATGGATAGATTGCAAAAATTTTCTCCCATTTGGTGATGCAGTGAGCCTGTACCCTCAACCTCCTGAGCTCAAGGATCCTCTCACCTCAGCCTCTCAAGTAGCTGGGACTATGCCATGTTAATTTTTTCTATTTTTGGTAAAGAAAGTTCACCATGTTGCCCAGGCTGGTCTTGGATCCCTGTACTCCAGGGTTACACCAGCCTCAGCTTCTCAAAGTGCTGGGATTACAGGCATGAGCTACCATGCCCGGCATACTTTTTAAAAGTTAGTATCAACTAAAGCAAATGTTTGAAAACTCAAGAACTCAAAAAAGAAAACTATGAAAAGGACCTCATATCTACCACTTTACTAACTGTGATCTTGGACAAGGTCTTAACTTTCCTGAGCCTCAGTTTCCTCTTCTGCACGGTAATAACATCTGTCTTGAAAGGTTGTTATGAGCATTGAACATAAGTCATGTAGAGAACTAATTGCAGGGCCTCAAATGCCAGCTTTATGTATTTAAAGGTATAGATGCTTTCCTCCTTCTTGCTAGTTTTGAGGTGTATACAAACTTACACATTTCCACTTACTGTGTTATATGCCACATATTTGTTTCTTGTCTATCTTCCCTTCTACATCGACATCCTTAATGTCTGGCCTGTGGCTTTATTTCTATATCCCTTGTTCTCATTATGGCACCCACAATACAGCAGGTCCTCAAATAATTTCTGTTGACTTGAATAAATGTCTTTAAAATATCAAAGAAAGATATCAATGAGTGCAAGACCATATCATCTGAACTAAATGCAACCTTTCAAGCTTTGAAGTAATCAGTGAAGATGCAAAAGGCACGATCTATAGATTTGACTAGGTGAAGGTTAAAAATTTTTATTGTAATATAAAAAAGTATTAATATGGGAATGTTCATGGACTTCCCCACGGCTGCCAAAGAGACTGTGGGCAATTATGTTTTGATTTTGTCCTCTCCTCTCCACCTCCTCCTAAGAAGTAATGGGCTCAGCTTTGTTTGCTCCAAGGCTTTAGGGTACAAAATGAGTAAGTGGATAGAGAAGAATGAGACCAGAGGGCGAGGAGTAAGGGAGACATGAGGATAATCTGCAGAGTAAAAACTGAGGACAGGTTGGCAGGAGAAAGGGTTATCTTCAAACATATTCAAGAGTAGAGAGAAGAGTATAATGGATCCCCCATGGATCCATCACTAACTACATTTATCTACATTGTATGGATATTATTTTATGTAATTCCCACCACCACTCCTTTCATGGCTGGAGCATGTAAAAGCAAATTTCAGAAATCATGTCATTCTACCTGCAAATATTTGAGTGTTCATCTCTACTGATAAGGATATAATATAATCTCCATGTTATCATACCTAATAAAATTAACAAGTCTTTATATAGAGTGACTCACAGCCCCTATTCAAAGTTTTCTATCATTTCTAAAATGGGAAGAAAGACACTTTGGTGAGAGAGGGGAATTTTTGGATAATGAAGTCTTTGAGTAGTGTAGGGCATGAGAAAACTTGAAAGATGTAAAAAGAAAATAGGAAACATGTTGTGAACATTAGGAACAGGATCCCCTTTAACTTTTCTAGAGACGTGCATAAGGTTTGGGAGTCTTCTTAATTAATGTTGGGCATTGTAGTGTACCTCAAGAATAACCTAGTCAGGCATGAATTCTACAGGACCACAAGTCAGTATAATATAAGGGAATTAAAAGACAAACCACTAATTGCCAAAAATGTTTTTAATGAAATACAGCAAAGGGTAATTAAGCATTACAGAGAAAAAAATAAGTCATTTAGATTCATAAGAAAAAAATATCAAAGCCTGTAGTGAGATGAATGGTGCCCCTTCCCCCAAAAAAGGCATGCCCTCACCCAAATCCCTGGAACCTATAAATATTACCACATGTGGAAAAGAGGTCTTTGAAGATGTAATTAAAGATTCTGAGATGAGAAGATTATCCTGGATTTCCAGGTGGGCTCTTATCAGACGACAAGTATCCTTGTAAACTAGATTGACAACGGAGAAGGCACACAGAGGAGAAGGCAATGTGAAAATACAGCAGAGGGGTGTAGCCAGGAGCTAAGGAACGCCAACAGCTCCAGAAGCAGGAAAAGCAAGCAACTGATTATTTCCTAGAGTCTCCAGAGGAAATACAGTCCTGTGGAGACCTTGATTTCAGACTTCTGGGTTCCAGAACAGTGAGAGAATGAATTTATGTTGTTTTGAGCACCAAGTTGGTGATAATTTGTTAATGTGGCCACAGGAAACTAATGGAAACTGAGAGAAACACGGGCAAGATAGAGGTAGGAGGAAAAGACAGAGTGCAATCACTGCCTTCCATTGGAGAAATGGAAGATATTCAGAAGCTTCTGGAAGGTTGAGTTCCTGGTAGGAAGTAGAGGGAAAGGGAATAATCTAGATGGTAGCAAGAGCTCATGGCATAGGAAGTCTTCAGGGCCACATGCAGCAGTTTGAACTTAGCCTGAGGACAACTACTAGCCTTTGAAGAGTCTATGTCAGAAGATACACAAGGAGTGGTATAGAAAGATGCCTGATGAAGAAAAATAAAGTATTTTTTATTTTTAAATTTATTGCATTATTTATTTTGAAAGAAGTTCTCACACTATCACCCCAGCTGGAGTACAGTGGTGCAGCCTCAGACTCCTAGGCTCAAGCAATCCTCCTGCCTCAGTTTCCCAAGTAGCTGGGATTGCAGGCACATGCCACTACACCTGCCTAATTTTTCATTTATGGATTTATTTGTTTGTTTATTTCTTTCTTTATTGTAGAGATAGGGTCTCATCATGTTGCCCAGGCGGATCTCGAATTCCTGGACTCAAGCCATCCTCCCACCTCAGCCTCTCAAAGTGCTGGGATTACAGGCATGAGAGACCACGCTCAGCCTAAGCAAAGGAAATTATAAATAAAAACTAAGAGAGTTCATCTTCCCTTGGAATTAAAGATGCTTACTGAGCCTTCTACTAAGTAAGAGGCTTACAGAGTAATGAGGAAGACAGACATTAATGAAATAATCATATGAATGAATACACAGTTATAGACTGAAATGAATATCCTGAAAGAGAGGAATTCACTGGGCTAGGTGCGGTGGCTCACACCTGTAATCCCAGCACTTTGGGAGGCTGAGGTGGGCAGATCACCTAAGGTCAGGTGTTCAAGACCAACCTGGCCAACATGGAGAAACTCCATATCTACTAAAAATAGAAAAAGTAGATGGACGTGGTGGTGGGTGCCTGTAATCCCAGCTACTCAGGAGGTCGAGGCAGGAGGATCACTTGAACCCAGGAGGCGGAGGTTGCAGTGAGCTGAGATCATGCCACTGTACTCCAGCCTGGGTGACAGAGTGAGACTCTGTCTCAAAAAAAAAGAAAAAAAAAGAGAGAGGAATTCATTGCTGCCAGCATCCTACCTTCCCTGAACCAAGGAGGTGGGAAGGGCTTCCCGGAGGAGTTAGAGTTGAGCTGAGCTACCAGGCCTTTCATAGTGTGTCAAGATGTGAGAACCACGCCTCGTCTTTTCTTTTTAACCAATAATGAAGGAGGAGGTAGTGGAAGGACCGCTATACATTTAAAGAAAAATGCTTATAAAACTAGATTTTAAATACCACTCTTGGCCACTTCTATTTAGCAAGTTACACTCAGGTGCCATTGTTATTAAATGGTACCATACCTTTCTATAACTTGGGAAATTCAAGGTTTAAGTTCCATGAGAAACTTTATTTTCCAACTATCAACTAGTTAGTGCCAGACCTGCCGTCATAGCAACATTGAAAGTCTGGTCACCATTCAATGAATTTGACCCTGAAGACAAGTGAAATAGGAAACACCTCCCATCCTGAAATAATCTGGCCCTGCTACTCTCATGATCTGAAGTATCAGGTAATTTTCCATGTTAATTTGGACTGAAAATACAAAGGAAAAGTTCAAACAGGGACACGGTGTCTCTCTGGCCTAGCCCTTCAGGGATGGTTGCCTTAACCATACATTTTTTATTGTCCAGTTAAGTTTTCAGTAATTCAGTTGATGGGACTTTCAGACCTGCCCATGGGCTGTGACTCATTCCACTGTCAAATTAACAGCTCTTTTGGAAAATGTGTTTTCATGACTTGGCCAAAAATTTCCACGGCTTAATTTCATCTTTTTCTTCCCAGAGAAACTCTTTGAACAAGTCCAATTATTGTACACTTCAGAAGAATCTTTATTTCCAGCCTCAGCAAATGCCTGACCAACCCATCACTTTCATTCAACTTTGATCAGCACAATTCCCTGGGGCTTTCACTTTCTCTTCTCGTCTGCTTATCGACTCTTCTTCCAGTGCTAAAAGTCGATTTGCAGCATCTGGAAACACCCAATTCATGAAATTAAAAGTCATTTGGCAAAATGAAAAGACACACAGAAGGGCAGTCCAGAATGCCTGGATCCTCTCTGAGCCTCTAAGAACAGCAAGACTTTACCGAATTGTCTTTTCTCTTGCCTTCTTCATTTATCAAACAATAAAGTTGGACTAAATGACTTTATGATAACTTCTACCTCTAAAACTGAAGAGCTGATTTTGTTTAGGTTAGTGTGAAATCATATAAAAGTTGGTCCACAAAGTTCAAGCTACAGGCATGGAGCGATGTAGGGTTGTCTGAGAACACGGAGATGCAGAGTCCCAATCATCAGATAAGAAAGATGCAGGTGCAGCACATTAGTCAACTAATGCATTATTTTCTTCAATAATGCAGCATAGCAAGACAGCCAAAATGTAAGTGGTTACCACTAATAAACATGTATTCTCATGCTCAGGGGTCCACAGGTCAGCTGGGGCAACCCTCCTTCAGGCCACAGGTAAGATTCAGGCCCACACCACATGTCTCTCATTCTCCTGGGGCATGCTTTTTTCAGGGTGATCACTGGAAATGAAAGCCAAGCCGGTTTATACAAGCACACTTAGGTCTCTGCTCATTTTCCATCCTCTGACATTCAGCTGGCCAAAATATGCCACATGACCAAGTTCAGCATCAAAAGGGCTAAGAAGTATATTCTATTCATGATGGGAAGGGAAGAAAAGTGGCTACTGCTGAACAATCAGCTTGTAGCTCTCCTACCATTGCCTCCCATTCTTTTTTGACACGATTTCACACCCCACAGACACACACACACACAAACACACACACATTTAGTTGACTTAAAGATATACACACATACGTATATACACACACATTTTGTTGACTTAAGGATCAAATAAGACCAATTTATGGAATGCACATTTTTGGAGGGAAAAATTATTTGAGAGGTAATTCACCTAACTCACAATTTTCATTAGAGCAAGAACAAGTGAACTTACTGCTGTGGATAATCATGTAATAAAAGTTAAAATTTGATCATCACTGACTATGTGCCAAGCATTATTCCAGGTTCTTTTCATTTATTATAGAATTTAATAGAATTATTCAAATACCTCAACTTGACATTTTACCACATATAGAATACCCTACATAGAATTAATCCTTAAAAAAATCTTTCCAATTTACACCATTTAAAAATACTGGCCTAAAAACATTTCATTATTATTTAACCAATTTAATCAGTGCTCATTAAGTATCTCCCATGCTCGGTTTCCCCAACAAATCCTAAAATCAAGTATTATCATCCACAGGATAGAATTCAGAGCAGTAAAGACTATAAAGGATTAAGTGACAGCTTACAAGGTAAAGGAGCAGGAATATGAACCCAGATGATAAACCTGGTACATTGACCTCATTGTATCATGTGTCCTTCGATAGCATTGAAACTATGCTTAATAGGTGCTTGATTAAAGTGTATGGAAAAACAAAAGATAGAAGGAAAAAATAGGAGGGAAGGGAAGGAAGTGGGAGGGAGGAGTTGATAACTTTCCACAACAGAAAAACTACACATGCTTGGAACACATCCATAGAATACAAGGCACTATGAAGCTATAAATCAAGGAAAACAAAATTTTATTTTCACAGAGTTGAATGATCAATTGGTAGGTTCATTCATTTATTAAACAAACAGTGCTACATCTCAACACAAGTCCCCAGGTGGTAGGAGAATAGCCTCTGCCTGCCCCCTACCTGAGGAATTCAACATGGGAGGTGTCAGGGATACTAACACCCACAGCTGTCTTAGAGGCTTATCAGGCTCATCATTTTGTACAGATGGCTCGGACCTCTTTCTCAAGTATGGCACTAAAGTTTCTACACAATTTGATTCTAATCTACTTTCTATCTACATCCCCTTTCCATCCCCTACACAGTCCCTCGGCATTCAGCTTCTCACCAGTTCTTTTTTTTTTAGACAGGGTCTGGCTCTATTGTCCAGGCTGGAGTCTGTAGTGCAATGGTGCAGTCTTGGCTCACTGCATCCTCTTACTCCTGGGCTCAAGCTATCCTCCCATCACAGCCTCCTGGATAGCTGGGATTATAGGTGCATGCCATCACATCTCACTCATTTTTTGTATTTTTAGTAGAGATGGGGTTTCACCATGTTGCCCAAGCTGGTCTCAAACTCCTGGACTCAAGCAATCCACCCGCCTCAGCCTCCCAAAGTGCTGGAATTACAGACATTAGCCACCGTGCCCAGCCCTCACCAGTCCTTGAATGCACGACTCTCCTAGTTCTGTGTCTTTGCACCTGCTGTTTCCTCTGACTGGAATTCATCCTCTTCTCTCATCTCCATCCTTCAATGTCCAAACTAATTACTTTCTCTTATTTGGCAACTTCCTCAGATTTCCCCAGGAGATTTAGTTCTTCCTCCCCAGTGCCCCCAGGTGTGATGGTTAGTTTCATGTGTCACCTCAACTGGGTTAAGAGATACCCAGGTAGCTGCTAAAAGATTATTTTGGGGTGTGTCTGTGAGGGTGCTTCTGGAAAAGATCAGCATGAATCATTGGATTTACTAAAGAAGATCTGCCCTGAGCAATGTGTGTGGGCATCGTCCGATCTGTTAAGAGCAGGTTAGAACAGAAAGGCAGCAAGTGGATAAATTTGCTTCCTCTTCTTGAGCTGGGACATCCACTTTCTCCTGTCCTCAGACTTCACAGCTCCTGGTTCTTGGACCTTCAGATGCCAGAACTTACATCAGCACCTCCCTATCCTTTCCTCTGCCCCACTCTTGGTTCTCAGGCCTTCCGACTTAAACTCAGTGACACCACTGGCTTTCCCGGGTCTCCAGCTTGCAAATGGCAGATCATGGAACTTCTCAGCCTTCATAATCATGTCAGCCAATTCCCATAATAAATACACACACAGAGAGAGAGAGAGAGAGAGAAGAGAGAGAGAGAGAGAGATTGACTGCAACAGGTATCACAGGTCACAGGATCAACAATCTACCTGGCTGTTCCCTCTGCTGAACGTCGAATTCCTCAAAAGCTGGAAATATCCTAAGTACCTTTGTTATCATCTTGTTGTACGTAGCCTAAAACCTAGCAGATTAGAGCATGTTGCCTTCTTACTACACAACTTTAATCATTTATTCTCCCTAGTGGCAATTGGCGGAGAGAAGCCGTGTACCAAAGGAGAAAGGTGTTGTGCTTTTTTACACCCAGAGGTGGAGCCAGGCAACCATGAGGACTTTGCCTTGTTTGCCTGGCTTATTCCTACGCTTTCTTCAAGACTCACCTTCTTCCGTAAAGCCTTCCCCAAACCCTGCCCATGAGGTCAGGACCACGAGGGTCCACTTGCAGGAACATGTGCTTGAAGACGGGAACCAGAGGTCAGGTTCAGGTGGCTGTTACTCTGAAGGGAATAGGCTGAAACTTAGCCAGGAGGGGAGCAAGAATCTCAATCCAGGAAATATAAGAATGCATATAACCAAAGAATCAATGAGCAGCTGCCAGGTTAAAAGTTAAGCATCAAGAGAATGGAATAAGAATTTTAGTACAAGATGAACAGGCAAACTACAGAATGGGAGAAAATTTTTGCAATCTACTCATCTGACAAAAAGCTAATATCCAGAATCTACAAAGAACTCAAACAAATTTACAAGAAAAAAGCAAACAACCCCATCAAAAAGTGGGCGAAGGGTATGAACAGACACTTCTCAAAAGAAGACATTTATGCGGCCAAAAAACACATGAAAAAATGCTCATCATCACTGGCCATCAGAGAAATGCAAATCAAAACCACAATGAGATACCATCTCACACCAGTTAGAATGGCGATCATTAAAAAGTCCGGAAACAACAGGTGCTGGAGAGGATGTGGAGAAATAGGAACACTTTTATACTGTTGGTGGGACTGTAAACTAGTTCAACCATTGTGGAAGACAGTGTGGCGATTCCTCAGGGATCTAGAACTAGAAATACCATTTGACCCAGCCATCCCATTACTGGGTATATACCCAAAGGATTATAAATCATGCTGCTATAAAGACACATGCACACGTATGTTTATTGTGGCACTATTCACAATAGCAAAGACTTGGAACCAACCCAAATGTCCAACGATAGACTGGATTAAGAAAATGTGGCACATATACACCATGGAATACTATGCAGCCATAAAAAATGAAGAGTTCATGTCCTTTGTAGGGACATGGATGAAGCTGGAAACCATCATTCTCAGCAAACTATCGCAAGGACAAAAAACCAAACACCACATGTTCTCACTCATAGGTGGGAATTGAACAATGAGAACACATGGACACAGGAAGGGGAACACCACACACCAGGGCCCGTTGTGGGGTCGGGGGAGGAGGGAGGGATAGCATTAGGAGATATACCTAATGTTAAATGACGAGTTAATAGGTGTAGCACACCAACATGGCACATGTATACATATGTAACAAACCTGCACATTGTGCACATGTACCCTAAAACTTAAAGTATAATAAAAAAAATTTAAATGTAAAGAATTTTAGTACAAGATAGGAGAGCTCAGACAACTCAAGAAATGTTATCTTTTTTTATGTGATTCCTTGAAGATACCAGAGCTAGCTACTTCCTTCCCTCTCTGTTTATGGTAATTGAGTTAACCTTTATTAGAGCACTTATCTCAATACCCCACACTATTTATGGATCTGCCACTCCCATTAGTTTATCAGTTACTTGAAAGCAACAATTCCATTCTGTCACTTTCTCCTCTGGCATCCAAAATAGTGGGTAGGCCTTCAGGGAATTAATAGAAGAAGAAAAAGAAAAAAGAGGAAATCAGTTTAGGGAGGGAGGGCAGGGAATAGAAGGGAAGGTGCTTCTCAAAGTTAACTTGGCTAAAGATTTCTTGATTTCCACCACCCTCCAGCCATAAACTAGTTCTGCTTCTAGTGTTCTCCATATCTGCCAAGGGTAGCACTGACTACCTTGCTCTACTGACCAAAACCTAGGCATGATCTCTTGTTCTTCTCTTTCTCTCACCCCTCACATTCGATTCATCAGCATAGTTATTGACCTCCAAAGTAGAACGCAAGTCTAGGCCCTTCCCACTATCTTCAGCACTTCCTCCTACACAAATCCCTTCTTGACTCCAGCAGCAGTCTCCTAATTGGCCTTCCTGCTTTCTCTCTAGCCTTCCTACAGAAGCTGAAGTGGTATTTTTTAAGTCAGAATATATTATCTTCCTGCTCAAAATTCTCCAAAGGTGTCTCATAAGCCTTAGTCAAAGTCAAAGTTCTTATAGGATCCTGTGTGATCTAAGCCTGCAACTCCTCTGATCTCTTCCCCTCCCCCGACCTGGAACACTCTGTTCTAGCCCCACTGCCCTTCAGTATATTCCTGTGCATGGCACACTTATTTCCAGCTTGAGGGCTTTGATCTTAATAACCCCTCTGTCTTTGCATGGCTGTCTTCCTCATACAAAGTGTCAGCTTCTCAGAGAGGGCTTCCCTGATGTCTCTAGTGAAAGTAGACACACACACATACACACACACACATATATGCACATACACATTCACACATGCACAAACACGCTCACACACATACACACATATGTAAACACATACATACCCAACAAATACACACATGCACACTCACACACAAATGCACATACATACATCAACCATATACACACTCACATACACACATATATACACTCTCACAGAGACACACATACACACACACACACACAGAGATTTCAACCATTATAAACATAAAGTTGATAGTCAGTTACACAATTCCAGGCTGTTTCCTACTAAACATTTGATATTTCATTTGTCTTCCAAAATTACATTATTTACTGTAATTTCTCAAGTTCCATGTCTTGGCAGTAAGCTTTGATTTACTCTAAGAGCTAGGATAACAATAGGAATAAAGGTCATTTTTCACGTTTTCAGAGTAGTCTGGAGAATTGTGTTGTAAGCTCAGTGTTGAGATTGTATTTAGTTCTGTGGTCTCTCGCAGAAATTAGAGCATGATACTCACTTTGACAGCCTGGATCTTACAACAGCCGAGAAACGAAGGCTTGAATTGAGGAACCTGAGAATTAACTGTGCGATTCTTATAAACATTACAGGTCTTCTGGATCCTATGAATTGCCTCCATTTAAACTCAAAAGCCCCATGACATGGTTCCAGGGGCCTGTAAATCCTGTGATACCAGCCATAATAACTCCCCTGGCAAGAACTAAGCTTCACTTCCCGTGGCCTATAAAGGACCTTGCCCGTCCTTTAATATCAATCAGAGCTAACATGTGCCTGTGGCAGAAGCCCAGGCCTGGAGCCCAGAGAACCACAGCTTTGACTGGCAGCCTGGCACATGCCACAGGCTCTCCCTCCCCAGGGTGGAAATCCTTGCACGCCTCCCTTGCCCCAACCCCGGGGAGGAAATATGACTACCTACAACACAGAGTTATGTGAGAAGTAAGGGGTCTCAGCACACATTGATGGAAAATTCTCCCATGCCAAGCACTGTACAGAGCATGATGTGGCCCTGATGTTGAGGGGTGCCGAGACCAGTGGGAAAGGCAAACCTCAAATAGATCATTTTAATATTTGGTGGGTATGTAAATTATATGATAAGTAAGGGACCTGGCATATGGAAGGGGCTTAGTAAATGTTCATCTTCCCTAGAGATTCATGGGCTCATGGAACTTATTCAATGTGAGGGTGACCACAGGAACCAGTACAACCTGGACAGAGCCAAATTAGAGCGAATGTCCTGGAATGATCATTAACAATGCCCTCTTTCACCATCATAAGTACACCAGATAAGACAGCAAACTATATGGTCACCTCAGCCAACATGTTCATCTTTGCAGAAGGGGAAATTACAGTCCATAGGGGAGAAGTGACAGGTCACATCTGATCCCCACACCTGGCTCCCTTCATCATTTTTATAATCCTGAAAAAATTATGGAATCCATACCTTCCTCTGCTGTCAGCTTTCACCCCGGCCTGGGTTTCTTCCTAGGTCCACTGTCTGTGTGGGATTCTGATAATTAGAAACACTTTCCCATATTCCCTGAAATAACCTGAATCACTGATAATGACATATGCATATGCATGTGACAGTCTATGTCAGTAAACTTACAGAACTTTGGTGAAATTCATTACTTACATAGATTTCGAGCAACCTTTGTACCCACACAGACTAAGAATTTGGAATTATTTGGATGTTAGTAAATAGCAAAATGGACATTTTCAGCACAAATGTGAATTCCACTTTCTTTATCATGAAAAGTTCAGTATCACTAAGATGTTACAATTCAGTAGAGATGGGCAGGTTTGTCTTCATAGCAAAGCTTGAAGTAAGGCAAGAAGGGACAGAAGGAGTGGAAAAAGAAGCAAGTTATCTCAATTAATCCTTGGTAACACTGCAAGGTAGGTATTCTCACTCCCACCTTTCTAGATAAGGAACCAGAGGCTTCCCCAAATTTACCCAGCATGACAATCCTTTGATGGGTCAACGTTTCTAGGCTATGGTTCCTGGTTATTCCATAAAACACCTATCTAGGTGTTACTGTGAAATTATTTTGTGGATGCGACTAGTTCCTGTTTCAGTTGCCTTTGAGTAAAGATTGTCCTAAATAGTCAGGGTAGGCCTAATTCCATCAGTTGAAAGGCCTCAAGAGCAGAGCTGAGGCTTCCCAGGCAAAGAAGAAATTCTGCTTGTGGACTGCAGTTTCAGCTCCTGCCTGCAAGGTGCCTCTGCCCTTCATTACAGCCTGCCTTATGGATTTCAGATCTGCCTAGCATCTCCCACAATCAGGTAAGTAAATTCCTTACAGTAAATTCTCTTAATCTTCTACCAGTTCCACTTCTCCAGTTGAACTGTGAATAGTAAAACAAGCTAGGACTTAGTACAACCAGAATTCATGCTCAGGTCCCTAAAAACCACATTCTAATTCCCTAAAGTGATTCTTTATCCCTTTGAGGCATTTCTCTCAATGCGGGGAGTGGTTCACAGTTTAATAACAATCTCATACTTGTGTCAACCACTTAAAAACCATGGCTGTTTGCTCACATGGATCAACTGTGTGCAAAAAGACAGAGCTTAGATGGGGAATAGGTAAAAAGAAAACGAAGGGCCTGTCGCGGTCGCTCACCCCTGTAATCATAGCACTTTGGGAGGCCAAGGCGGATAGATCACAAGATCAGGAGATCGAGACCGTCCTGGCTAACACGGTGAAACCCCGTTTCTACTAAAGTATACAAAAAATTAGCTGGGCATGGTGGCGGGCACCTGTAGTCCCAGCTACTTGGGAGGCTGAGGCAGGTGAATGGGTGAACCTGGGAGGTGAAGCTTGCAGTCAGCCAAGATCGTGCCACTACACTCCAGCCTGGGCGACAGAGGGAGACTCCGTCTCAAAAAAAAAACTGAAAGAAAAAGGAGAACAAGGATGAAGAGGAAGGAAGAAGAATATAGATTAATATTTATTAGGTATTTATCACATATCAGATCTTAAGAATTTTCACACTCTTTATATAATTTACTAAGGATGATAGATTACTGTTCAAAGATATTCACTCCTTCCCTGAAGCATAAATGGAAGTATACAATCATTCCTCACCATCTAGGGGAGATTAGTTCTAGCCACCTCCGCTCCCAGGATACCAAAATCTGTAGATGCTCAGGTCCCATAGTCTACCCTGCAGAACCCATGGGTATGAGCAGTCAACCTTCTGTTGTATCTTCACATCCCTCAAATACCATATTTTCTATTCGGATTTGGTTGAAGCTGCTGATACAAAGGGCTGACTGTACTTTCACACCTTGACTTTGGACTTAGACTTGTGACTTTCTATTGATAAACAGGATGTTAGCAGATGTGACACAAGCAGGGGCTTAAAAATGTGCTTAAGGGCTGGGCGTGGTGGCTCACGCCTGTAATCCCAGCACTTTGGGAGGCCAAGGTGGGTGGATCACGAGATCAGGAGATCGAGACCATCCTGGCTAACACATAAAAAACACTAAAAATTACAAAAAATTAGCTGGGTGTGGTGGCGGGCATCTGTAGTCCCAGCTACTTGGGAGGCTGAGGCAGGAGAATGGCGTGAACCCAGGAGGTGGAGCTTACAGTGAGCAGAGATCGTGCCACTGCACTCTAGCCTGGGGGACAGAGCGAGACTCTGTCTCAAAAAAAAAAAATGTGCTTAAGCAATATGTGCTTTCACATGCTTTTAACATCACAATGAAAAAAAAATACAATGTGGCTGTCCTACTGATCCAAGGAGGTTGAAAGATACATGCAACAGACCTTACCTCAACCTGTAGCTTATCTGCAAGTAGCCAAACCAATCTAGCTCAGCCAACCTTCAGTCGACCTGCAGACATGCAAGTTAAATAAATGCTGATTTTTGTATGAGAGTTTATGTTGCTAGTTATGTAGCAATAGTTGACGATACACTGAAATAATAAGATAATAATTACTTCCCATTAGAGCTACATGAAGAGCTGAAGAGTATGCGAAAGGTGAATTCAGAAACTAACCATAAAACTGGGTAGGCAGATCACAGAGTCTAGTAGGTAGAAGCAATGATTCCAAACCTCCTTTTCAGAAAACTATGGTCTCCTTAGGATCACAGGAGAAATGGAGAGATAAAGTAATCTCAAGTCATATACATAGAGCCTTATTTGCTACAGGGCTCTACCTAGAGAAGGGAAAAGTCTGTTCTGTACACACAGATTCTCAACACTTGCAGTTTGCACAAAAGCTTATTAATTTCCAGTACCCTCCCTTGCCTCTGTACTATTTTAAAACAGTTTATACCATATTGATTTAAAAAGGATGTATGGAGTAGCTAAAACCCCAAGTCAGTATATTTAAATCCAAAACCAATGTGGTTCCAAAGGAACTGCTGCAGAGGTGAAGAGGGCCTCAGCTGGCTTTACCCCACAGATCTCCATCCTAGAGTCAACCAGAACAACTCCAGTCTTTATTGTTTTATACTCTGGGATTCCACATAACATTTCATTAGAACAGGAGTGACTGCCAGGCTTTCCAGCCCTGCCACAAACATGACAGCTGTAGTCTCTAAAACATAGGACTAAAACTAAACTCATCGTTTTGCCCCTCCCAAACACTGCTCAACCTTCTTAATTCCCCTTTAGAGATTCTCATCACCTTTCATCCACAGATGAGTAAGCCACCAACCTGGGAGCTACCTTTATCCTCACTTTATTATTCCCATCTCATCTGTCTCCTAAATGAATGACCAATATGTGCCTCTCTCTCTACTCGGACTGTCACCATCCTTGTTCTCACTGCCATTGCTTACCTGGGAGGCTCAACAGTCTTCTAACTTTGGCATCTCTATCTCTCACTTACACTCTCAGTAATGGACAGGCTCTCAGATGGCCCCCAATGATTCCCACCTCCTGGTGACATCGCCTCTCCTTGTGTAAGCTCAACTCCTTGAGTGACTTGCTTCTAACCAATAGAGTATAGCAAATGTGATGGAGTACTGCTTCCATGAATAGGGTACACGAGATTCTGACTTTTGTCTTACTGATATACTCTCCTCCTTGCTGGTTTTGACAAAACAAACTGCAGTGTCTGAGCTGCCCTATGGAGAGGCTCACGTGGCAAGAAACTGAGAGTGGCTTTCAGCTGAAAGCCAAAAGGGAACTAAGGTCTGAAATCCAATAATCTACAAAGAATTGAATCCCAACAACCACTACACAAGCCAGGAAGTGGGTTTTCGGTTCTTCCCCACTTGAGCTTTCCCTTTGATTGCTGCCTCATGAGAAACTCTGAGGACTTAGCTAAGTCATTCCTGGATTCCTGATCCATAGAAACTGTCAGCTAATGCATGTGTGTTGTTTTAAACCACTGAAGGGTTTAAATTAATTTGTTACACAGCGACAGGTGACTCATACACCCCTCCAATGCACACGATGGCACAGTCAGAGTGATGGCTCTAAACACAAATCTGACCATCCCCTTCCTCTTACTCTAACCCTTCCTTCAATGTCACAGGAAGCAAAAAAGTGGCATTCACTGAGTGCCTACCTTGTGTTGGCCTCTTCATGTGCTATCTCATTTCATCTACACAGCAACCCAGCAAAGCCAGGATTATTAATTCTCTTCAACAGAATTTTTTTTAAACTAGAGAATTAAGTAACTTGTTCAAAACTACAGAGCTAGGAAATGACTAAGCCATAACTATGACCAAAATTACCTAGCTTCAAAACTCTTTCTGCCACACCAACCTTTCACAAAACCCAAAACACCCTATTGTAGCGTCAGGGAGATGCTAAAGTCAGGCAAACCGGGGCAGATGAACCTTAAGGCCTAGGAGAAGAGGAAGTTCAGCAAAATGAGGAAAAGAGAGAAATCAGAATGTTTCTGCACAATGTCTGACTTGGGAGAGTTTTATTGATCTCCTTGGAAAAATTGAAGTTCAGCAAAAATAGGTTTGCTCGTTATAAATCCCAGGGCTCTGGACTTCAGTGGGCTTTGTAAGAGATGTTTAAAATTGAAAGATAAAATTCCAGAGTCAAAATTTTATGAGTAACTTAGAATAGGGCTACATTGCCCCAGGACAACTGCCTGAAAGAGCTCCTCTTATTGCAGAAAACACAAGCCCAGGCCCTTATTATAGCCCATCTCAGCTTAAAGAATCTTCTTGCAGCAAAAGTACACACTCCTCTTAAGTCGCCATTCAACACACACTCAGGCAAAAACTTAAACCTCCTAGCAGTATCCCATTAACCTCACAAATCCCCTTCATACCAGAAGCTGTGTCAGTCTTTAAAACCCAAAAGGCAGAGGGGAAAAGCTCACAGAATCCTTACAAGGATGTTGAGGTGTTACAGGCGTGTTCATGGAAGGAGCCTTTGATAAATTGAGCGTGAGTCTCTAAGAGAGAGAAGAGCCAAGAAGTCAGCCTCTTCCTCCCCTCAGATTTATGAATCTTCCCGCTAGAGGCAAAAGCATCACTCTGTCAAGATCAAAGCTCAGAGGGGTGAGAAGACCAGATATTCTCCTGGGATGGGAGTATGTCTGTTTTATGTAACATACATGGTCTGTGTTCTAGAAAGCACATTGCATAGGAAACCCATTTTAATAGTCCCCATAAAATAAATACTTCCTTTGCATTAAGAATACAAAAAGATGGAAATGCTCCTTGCTTGGAATGTATGAAGCAAAGGTTAAAAGTTCCACTGTGTTTTCTGCTCACGGAAAATAACTTTTGATCCATCAGCCCAGAATCCAGATTTTTCTTGGAAGAACCAAACATGAGACTGAGAGCATTTGCAATACTTGGGCTGGCACAAGCTGTTGCCTTAAGGTACCTATTGTGTAAGAGTGTTTATAGTCATTGAAGTCAAAGTGGCTGCAAAGACTGACTTAAAAGATAATAACTACACTAGAGAGCCTTAATAGATTGCAGAACTCTGCACATTCTGGAAGACTATGTGTTCTGGAAGATTCTCTACATAAACACCACATGATTCACAAACTCATTGATATTCCCTCTTTAATATTTGCTATTTGGTGTGATGGTCATTAAAGAAAAGATGTTCGGCAATGCATGATTATGGAAAAAGAACAAAGGCTGAGAGAAACTAAATTCCCCACTTTAAGAAAAGAAATCCAGAAAATAAAATGAAAATATCAAAGAGCTTGTGTCCCATGATACACATTTCAGCCAAATGCAGACATGTGCAACAAACAGCTCAGCCTTGTCTGAGTAACACCTCATTCCTCAACATTTGCAGAATTTGCAAAGGCTGACTGAGGACAAAAAGGATCATGGATTCAGAAGCTAAAGCACTGAACTAGGCATCAAATGGCATTGCTTCTGACCTGGATCCAACCCTTCTTATTCATCTGTAAAATGGGAAAAATACTAATTGTATTGTCCAAATTACCTATTTATCCATCTAGTCATTCATTTCTTTCAATCATTTTAACACATAAGGCATTGGGTACAAAGATCAATGCACTATGGGCCCTGCCCCCAGGGGGTTCTCAGTCAAGGATGGGGGGTGATATATGTACATGGAAAATAATATTCTTGTTGAGAATGGTAAGTGTCATATTACATAACAAATCTAATGAAATAGTATCACCAGCTGCCAAAATTTTAGAATCAAATTTGTAACCCTCTCTCTCACAAAAGCACAGGATATTATGGCATATCTTTTCTGTACCAACACCATTTCTGGTACCATCTCCTTTTCTGACTTTTATTTTCCTTTTGCCTAAATTTTCCAATTCATTTTAAGTTTATTATCTCTAGAAATATTGTCTAATCTTTGCAAATCCTTTCTTGAACAATGAAGGTTGTAAATAAAGGGATATGTGGATGTCTTTAAAAAGCCATGATAAATATGCACTTGACTGATGTATACCGTAGGCTCGGCTCAGTGGCTCATGTGCCTATAATCCTAGTGCTTTGGGAGGACAAGGCTGGAGGATTGCTTAAAGCCAGGAGTTTGAGCCCATCATGAGCTTTGATAGCACCACTGTACTCCAACCTGAATGACAGAGTGAGACCCTGTCTCTAAATACACACACACACACACACACACACACAGACACACACACACAGAGAGAGAGAGAGAGAAAGTTTTGTGATTGTGATGATGATTATTGGGATGCAAAATATTTTTACTCATATCAACATGAAATGTAAATTTATATAAATATATTCTCATAAAATATATAATAACAGTGGTTCCAAGCTAAAATAAATGATCTATATATGGCCAGAGTTTGGTAAACTGACAGCACTCATTGGCCATCCAGCTCAGCAAAGCAGCTGGGCATCAGACTCTCCTTGTAACTGACCTCAATGTTCATAAGGTGAACCTGCTTCTCTGGAAACCTGTGTCTCCTCAGGACAGAATCCCAGACCCAGTCTCCAGGCTCTGACCTCCTCTGTTCTTAGACAAGAACCTGACAGAATCTTCTCCCTGAGCAAGAGGCAAGAGATAAGAGAACAAGTAAACACACACACCCTCAACGACTCAGGGGCAAGCAAACCTCGGGCTGGTCCCTGAACCTAAACTCCCATCCTCCTTGCTCTCCTTCTCTGTTACTTATCTTCAAAGTCCAGTCCAAATGCCACCTCCATGAAGCCCTCCTTCCCCAAGACTAAGCAAAATAGTCTGCTATCTTGTCCCTGCTCCCAGCCTCTATTACAAAATCACTGCATTTTCTTTGCAGTTAGTTCTCCCTCTGACTAGCGTTGTCCGCCAAGCAGGGACTTCACAGAACCCATTTTAGTAACCCCTGGAAACACTTCCCCCAGCAAAGAGCATGTTGTCCAGAACTTGCCCAGTGAATGTTGATTAAATTACTTCTTTTCAGTTTTCCTTTATTTTCCCCCTAACTATTTGGAAAGCAAATTACAACACTAAATCTCCTCTAAGAAAGGAATCCTCAAGTATTATTTGCCAGGCCAATAGGCAGGAACATGGTGGTGGCTTCAGCTGAAAGTGAGAACAATTGCTACAAGGGACCACATTTCATTTCTAGCATGGTGAAGACGAAATAGCACTGGGTGGCACCCAATGGGTCTGAGTTCAAATCCTGAGTCTTTAATTCAGAATCTGTGTCTCCACCCATTCAGGCTGCTATAACAAAATACCATAAACAACAGAAAATTATTTCTCACGGCTGAGGAGGCTGGGAAGTTCAAGACCCAGGTGGCAGCAGGGGAGATTCAGGGTCCGATAAGGGCCTATTCCTCGTAGAAGATGCCTTCTCACTGTGTCCTCACATGGCAGAAGGGGCAGGGGAGCTCTCTATGATCTCTCCTCTAAGGGCACTAATTCCACGCAGGAAATCTCTACTCACATGATTCACCTCCCAAAAGTGCCCCTTCCTTGTGGGTTGGGATTTCAACATATGAATTTTGAAGGGACACAAATATTCAGACCATGGCCCCTTGTAAGTAAGCAAATAAGTCTTTGAACCTTTTTAACTTTGTTTTACCATCTGTAAAACTAGGACTCTTAGGCCCAACTCCAGGATTGTAAAGAGGATTCAATGAGAGGGCATATAAAGGAGCCTGCCCAGGCCTAGAGCACAGTAGTCATTCAATAAATGTGGCTTCCTTCCGACCCTCAAATGAGGAAGCCCAACTAATCCCATCCTCCTATAAAGGAGGGAAAAATATGTATGAAGAAAGAATTGTGCAATGTCAGGAAAGAGAGGGCGCATTTGTATAAAGACCCATTCCTGCTCATGTAGGTATAACTGAATAATTCATGTTTGCACCCAAAGCAATTAAATGGCCAAGTCCCACAGACATCCATCTATGCCTTAGACATGGGAATTTATATTAAATTTTTAGTATGCTTAGGATACATAATTCTAAAACTAAATAAGATTGAGCCAATGATGAAAAGCATACCATTTTTTAAAAGTCAAGTTTTGAATGTTTTTCTTAACAGAGCATTAGTGTGCCTCTCTTATACATGGCACTTAAACCATCTGCTCTATTTTTTCTTAAAGACATAACGAAAAGAAGTCCAATCGTAATTGGCAGTAAGAAAAATTGCATTCCTCCTGCCCTTTGCTCAGGCATACAGCCATCGAAGTGTTATGCCATAAAATTTAATTTTTGAGTTTTGAATGATTTACAGTGGAACAGAACTTATAAATCAGAACAGTAACCATTACTATGAATAGAGATGTATGTTTTTCTAAATGTCTAAATGAAATACTTTGAAACACACTAAAAGACCGGCACAGTTCCCCAAAGGCTGCCATAATTGAAGTTAATCATGCTTATTTGGACAGAAGGACCCTTACTGACACCTACGCACCTCCCCCTTCTTAAAATGAAGTGATCAAATCGTCATCATCTTTTCTTATGAAAGTAGTTAATCATGGCAATATATCAAACTCTTGCAGCTCAGGTTCTAGCCTTGTCTGCTAAGTTTGCAAATCTTTTCTAATATCTTTGAATGTGTCTTTAATCAGATGCAATTCTTAAAATAGTTAGAATACCTAGAGCATCATCACGTGAAAGCCAATAAAGATTTTCTTCTTTTCTTTTACATCCCAATAGCCAATCCAGTAGCAAGTCCTCTACATTTTGCCACTTCCGTCCACCTCTCAATTTCTCATCCCTTCATCTCTCACTCTGACGACTGTAACTGCCCCTAACTGCCTTCCTGCCTCCGTTGTGGGAAGAGAGTGGGAGTGGGCTGTGCAAAACATGAATTTCATTGTGGTATTCCCTTTCTTTAACTTCTCCAATGGCTCCCCATTGCACTTAGAATCAAAGCCTACCTTCTCACCTGTGGCTTACAGGGCCCTACATGAGCCTGGCCTCACGGCCCTTATCTCTTTCCAGTCTCTCCTTTTGATTCTCCTATTCTGCAAACATACCACTTTGTACACACCTCATGACCCCAAATTTGTGAAAAATTCTAGATGGACAGATAGAGACAGACGGATTTATATAGGAAGGATAAAGACCATTAATATCCTTTATCTCTGGCAGATGGGGGTATAGGTAATTTTATTTTCTTCTTTATACCTGACTGTTTTACAAAATTTTGAAAATGAACATGTATTATTTCAGAGGTTTCATGCAGAAAGGACTTCAGACATATTCTAGGAGACTACAAAGAGCAGAACTAGGACTTTTAGGTGCAAGCTCACTAAGGACATTAAGATTTGTGTCTTTAAGTTCCATAGAACAGGGATGTTCAAGTTTTAGTTATCTGCAGGTCTTTCACAGTGACTGGCCAATCAAAACATCTGTTGAGTAGCTATGCTCTGATTCCTTTCCCCTGAAATGTGAACAAAGGGCACTTGGAGCCAGCATGAAGCAATGCAGATAAAGCACAGCTGCTGAAAACAGCAGTCAGAATTAGAGAGAGACTCTGAAATGGGTTAGCAAGCATCTGGTAATATTAACAAATACCGTACTTGAATGTTTTCCTCTTTCCAACCAGATTGTAAACTCTATAAAGGCAGGGATCATAACTATGCATCTTATTTGTTCAACAAATATTTACTATCTACTACATACAAACATTGTTTTAGGTGTTGAGAATACAGCAGTGAAGACTCAGCCTTTGCCCCATGGAATTGCATTCTAATGGGCAGAAAAAGTAAGTAAACAAATTGCTAATGGTAGTAGAGAGTGATAAATGACACCAGAGAATCAAAAATAGAGGAATGCAAAAGATGGAGCAGCTCATTTAGGTAGGATGACGAGAAACACTTCTAGAAAGAGTCTACACTAGACCCGAGACATAAATGATAAGAAGGAGCCAGCGGCAAGACATTGCAGTAAAGAGGCTTCCAGGCAGGGGGATGGCTGGGGTCAAAGCTGTGACAAATGCAATGCTAGTGTGATGAGCTCAGGAGGCAGAGCATGAGCAGCACTGCTAGGAGATGAGATCAGTGATATATGGGAATGGGGCAGATTATGAAAGGTCTTACCCATTGTGGTAAGGAGTTTGTTTGTTGTTTTTTCCCAAGTGCAAGGAAGAGCCATTGGGTAATTTGAAGCACAGGAGTAAAATGCCCCCATCTAGCTTTTGGAAAACCCACTCTGGCCGCTGTGTGGGGAGTGGATTAGTGGACATAGGAGTTAGGAGGCTATCACTAAAATGATGAGGTATTGGGCTATGACGGTAGCTTTGGAGAAGAAAGAAAGGAATGGCTTCTAGGCTGGAGGTGGCACTGACAGGATCAGAAATGGAGTAGGTGTGGAAATATTGAGAATAAGGAAAAACAAGGATCAAGCCTGACTTCTAGGTTTGGAGTTTATTGACAGGTAGGTCCCCAGCACCCAGTTCAGGTTCTGACACAATGAGCACTTGGTGATGATTGAGTGAGTGAATTAATCAATGCATGGATACATAATAGAACGATCATGAGAAGCAAAGCATAGAGCAGTTCTATGTGTATGGGGTGGGTAAGCGAAGCAGCAATCATGTTCCTCACTTCCTGAGTCCTTGTCAGGCATTTTGCAGGAGGACAGCACTGGGGAGGACAGCACTGGGGAGGACAGGGCTTGAGAGCTGGTAGAGTTCACTGAGTCATGGAGTCAGACGGACCTGTGTTTAAGACCTAGCTCTGACATTCACTCACCATTTTCCCTTGTATTACTTTTTCAGCATCGCTGAGCCTCAGTTTACTTATCTGTAAAATGGGGATAATTATATCAACCTCATAATCCACCCTTTGCTGCATTTGGCTTGTGTGACCATGGGCAAGCCACCCATGGTCACATGGTGGCTCTAAGCTTCAATTTCCTGATCTGTAAGATGAAGCACTGCTACTTCTGTCACAAGACAGTTGGAAAATTAAAAAAAAAAATTAAAAAACAGATGAGTAAAAAAAATGCTTTGTCATCCTTCAGGACAACATGGACTCCAGCACAGCTCTTCTGCCAAGATCTGAGTCAGCAAAACCAGGTAAGAGGAGAAGTGTCCTTCTGTGACCAAACCAACCTCCATGCTTGCTTGAAGCCACAATCCCTTTTCACAAAGCCCCACGTTACCATTATTTCTGGCTGTCAGGGTTCCAACAGGGGCAGAGCCATGTTCCACAGATGTCTGTCAGAATGTGAAGAGCAAAGGTTTAAAAATGTCAGAAAGGAGAGGTCTGAGAGCCCCATGGAGTCCTCAGTGCAGCCTGCATGAAGAGCATTGCATTATGGGTACTCCAGGACTAATTGAGGATGACAGGTTGGATAAATGTATTTATAGCTGCAAAACCCAGAGCTTTCTGGCTTGCGCCCTGTCCTGCTCTAATTGCCCCACACCTGAGGCCCACTGGGCAGGCAGGCAGGCGGGTGGGGAAGGGAGGCACCAGAGAGCTTCAAGGGCCAGAGGACCAGATATAAATCCCATCCAGACTTCCTTTCCTAAACCCAGGAAATACCAGTCAATTTATATCTCATCATCTTAACCCTGCAGGTCTGGTTAATGGTTTGACCCATGTATTCTTTCCTTTTCCAAAATCTTGTCCCATTCCCTCTTAACTTGATTTACTCTACTTACTCCAGCTGCTGACTTTGGCAGGTTCTCCAGCTCTCAACCGACCACTGCATGCAGGCATCATCCTGAATGCCTTCCACTGCAGCAATGGTGCAATTGCTCTCACTACAAGCTCAAGAAAGTGCCCACTCTCATAACTTGAGCTGGAAAAACACCTTCCCCCAGCCCCACCCCTTTTCACTTTCAACACCCAGGCACACTTTGGGGCGCAGCATGAAAGGCCAGGCTAAAAGGGACTTGTATTTTTACACCATATTTGAGTTAGCTGTTTTATCTGGACGTGAACCTGAGCAGGGAAAGGAGGGGGGCAGAGAGGGGCTTTATGAACTCAAAACCAAAATAGACCATTTAAGCAGGACTTGAGTGAAGTCACCGAATGTGCTGTGGAAAATACTTTCAAGGCATTTTATAAATTTTGCACCCAAAAAGCTGCCTCGGCCAAATTGGACTAACAGCTTTCAGATATTCAAATCCTCCATTTTTCCGTGATTTTTCTTATGGCTTAGGAACTTAAGAAAACAATGAGAACGTGTCCTGAAATGTTACACGTTACATGAGCACATCATGCAAGCTCACTTTCCTACAAATGAGCCACAAAAATTACAGGCTGTGCAAAAGTGACCTTCTCAGAGTTCTCCCTCCTTCTTCACCCTCATCTTCTCTTCCTTCTCACTGCTACCATTAACATTAATTAACCATACCACGAATGGCTTCAGCCTCCTGGGTTCCGGGTCTAAACGTGCTTCTCCAGCGGCCCCACTGATAACCTAGCTACCAATTTCAGTTCCTTGGTGGTTTCCCTGAGAAATCTACTCAAAAACACAAAAATGTCATGAATTTGATAGATTTCACCAAATTTGCTGTGTCCATGCATCCTGTCTCATCTCTCACATCCCCTTGATGAAGGACAATGCCACTGGGCAATGGCCCCTGCTTCTCACATATATGTCCTCTCTGCAGGTCTTTGGCCTCCTCCTGAGAGAGGCCCCTGCCCTTCCTCGGCCCTTCATTTCAGTTCTAGCCACCCAAGTCCTCCCCCCATCATAAGGCCTGGCTCGCTGCCACCTCCCCCAAGACTGTCCCATCTCTGACTCTCTCCTGAGCATTTCATCTGCTTCCTTGCTGCCAAATGCAGCTCTTTCTATCTTGGCTAAGACAGCTGGTTTGTTCCAGGTGAGTGTCCTCGCTCTGGGACTCGTTAGCTACATGATCTTAAGCAAATATCTTAAATTTCCCAAGCCTCAGTTCCCTCCATTGCAAAATACAAATAGCATGTATCTCATAGAGTGGTATAAAAAATAAACATAAAACCTGCTGGGCGCAGTGGCTTGCATCTGTAATCCCAGTGCTTAGGGAGGCTGAGGCAGGTGGATCATTTGAGCTCAGGAGTGTGAGACCAGCCTGGGCAACAAGGTGAAACCCTGTTTCTACAAAAATCCAAAAATTAGCCAGGCATGGTGGCACACATCTGTAGTCCCTGCTACTTAGGGGGCTGAGGCAGAAGGATCACCTGAGCCCAGGAGGTTGAGGCTGCAGTGAGCCAAGACTGTGCCACTGCACTCCAGCCTTGTCAACAGAGTGAAACTCTGTCTCAAAAAAAAAAAAAAAACAAATTTAACAAAAATTTATGCGAGGCTCTTCACACAGTGACTAGTGCATCCTAAGTTTCAGTAAGGGTAAGCTGTTGGTTTATTTATAGACTAGTCATGTACATACTTGTGTCTAATCATATCTTCTTTACTATATCATAAGCTTCTTAAAATCAAGGTTAATATACAGTCTGCCTTTGTATCTCTCACTACTCTCACTAGAAGTGACTGGCATATATGCGCCAAGTACAGTGCTTACTACTTTGGGCAAGTGTCCCTCAATATCCACGGGGGATTGGTCTTAGTACCTCCCATGGATACAAAAATCCACAGATGCTCAAGTCCTCTACATAAAATGATATAGTATTTTCATATAATCTAAGCACATCCTCCTATATACTTTAAATCATCTCTTGAATATTTATAACACATAATACAATGCAAATGCTATGTAAATAGTTGTTACACACTATTGTTTAGAGAATAATGACAAGAAAAAAAACTCTGCCATTGCTCAGTACAGGCTCAATTTTTAAATATTTTCAATCTGTGGTGGGTTGAATCCACGGACATAAAACCCACAGATACAGAGGGCCAACTGTATGTGTTTGTGACAGTCAGTTTTACGTGCCAACTAGGCTAGGCCAAAGCACCCAAATGGTCAATCAAACATTAAGTGAGGTGTTGTTGCTAATGTGTTTTGTACATATGATTAATCTCTATAATCAGTTGCCTTTAAGTAACGATTATCCTAAAAATAAATCTGGGTTGGCCTGATTCAGTTGGTGGGAAGGTCTTAAGAGCAGAGCTGAGATTTCCTGGAAAAACAATTCTACCTTTAGACTGAAGTGTCATCCCTGATAGCCACACTGGATTTCAGACTTGGCTAGCCAGCCCCCACAATGGCTGTAAGGCATTTTTTTGCAAGAAATCTTTTTCTCTCAACATATAGATGTGTGTGTTTATACGTATATACATACATATGTAGTGTCTATGTGTGATATATAATATATACATCTATATACACATCTCCTACTGGTTATGTTCCTCTAGTGGAACCCTGACTGATATAGCATTAATACACTATTTTTGTGTCAGTATCAGTAGCAGTGTGTGAAGGTTAATTTTATGTGTCAGTTTGGCTGGGTTGCAATGTCCAAGTATGTGATCAAACATTATTCTGGATGTTTCTGAGAGGGCATTTTCGGGTTAAATTAACATTTAAATCAGTAGACTTTGAGTAAAGCAGACTGCCTCTATTCTGTTGGTGGGCCTCAATCAATCAGTTGGAGTCCTAAGTAGAAGAGAAGACAGATCTGCCTCTAATAAGAGGACTATTGTCAGCAGATGGCCTTCAGACATGAACTGCAATATTAGCTATTCCCTCACTCTCAACTCTGCTGACCTTCCATGAAGAGTTTGGACTTCCCAGTCTCCATAATTGTGTGAGCCAATTTCTTAAATATTTTTCTCTCTATATACACAACTCTCTCTCTCTATTTTTTTCTCTATATATATGCTGTGGATTCTGCTTCTCTGGAGAACCCTGACTAATACACAGTATTTGAATGGGTCTTGCTATTGGAATTGCTATTGGCAATTCTATTGCTGTCGGTATCTGCATCAGTATTAGTACAAGTATTAGCGCTGGTGTCAGTATAAGTATCAGCTTAGTATCAGTATTTGCATTATTAGGATTAGGACTGACATCCTAGTTTATAATCAAAACTAGCTAGTGTCAGAGAGAAATGTCTTTGAAACCTGAATTCTAATCATGATCTGTGAAATAACCAAAGGCCTTCCCATTTCCCCATCCTGTCTCCCAAGCCCAGGGGTTAACACCTGGAAGGCATTCAATAAATGCTTACCCAGCCAAAGTTGAACAAACTGGATGATGTGCAACATCCAATTTCCTTGTAGTACGGAAAATTTAAGGAGACAGACACTTCAGGGACTCTCCTTTAAACTGAGCATTTTCATGAGTCCAAGAAAAGTCCCTTAAAATAGCTTCCACTGGAGCAAAGAGAAGTCCATGAAGCCAGAACACATTATAGATGAGAGTCATCACACATGTGTGCTATAGGTCAAGTATTAAAAGGATAAATGCTCTATGCAGGAAACATCTGAAATACTTGTGTTATGAATGGGCTTCCCAGTAGGTAGATGATAGTTACCAGCCTCAAGTATGGCTGTTTTCACCCATCAACAATAAATGGCCACAGGAGACCCTGCCTGTGTAACAGGGAGAGAGATACCCCATTCATCTGAAGTCTCCTTTTCCCGGTTTGGGGTCCTTTGAGTCAGAAACTTTCCTCTTGTGTCAACAATGCTTAGGTGAATGTTTAATTTAATATACACCATCTGAGGACCCAAGAGAAAACACTGGGATGTTTTTTTCATGAAATAACCATATCCCAACTATCAAATTAAATTGAAAATGCAATGTACAGACAAATAAACCATGTCATGGTTGATGTTAGCACTGGTCATTAACAAATATATGTTTCTCCTAGATGGAGGGAAAGTAAGAAAGGAGAAAACAATGGACCTGAAGTATATTTTACACATAGGCACTTGGTGAAGTGCCTTCATGCAATTACGTGATTTTCTTCTTCTCTCACCTCAAAATGGGCCAGGCTATTCCAAGCCCTGCCATTGTTCAGATATCATTCCTCTACCAAGAATACCATTCTCCTCAGCCCCTTTTCTTTATCTAGAGGACACACATTTTTGGGGAATCAGGCTGTAATCTTCGGCCATGGCTGGTATTCAACATCATGTGAGATTAGAGTTGCAAGATTTAGCAAATAAAAATGCAAATTTGAATTTCAGAAAACAATAAATATTTTCAGCATACATTCCATGAAACACTTGAAGCAAATTCATTTTAAAAATCATTTGCTCCTTCTCTGAAGTGCAAATTTTACTGGTCCTTCTGCATTTCACCTGACAACACTATCAGAAATACCTTACCTTTGGAACTCTAAGGTACCCGTACCAACTTTGAGCTCCTGTTAACACTCAACATCTGTGGGGCAAAATATTTATTGAGATGATTAGCGTTTTGTTGCTGCTGCTTAAAATATTCAAAAAGAATGAGGTCTTTTTGTGTTTTGGTCTTTGCACTTTTCCCTCTCTCTCCAAGGTCAGCAAACATCGCATCCCCTAACCTCAGGGGCCACACTTAATTCAGAAGGTGCTTGCAGGTGCTGAGGTCCCTTCTGGTTTTTGCAAAAATCCTCACTTTAGACAGGGCAGCCAACTCTCCAGGATGGTGGGGGGAAGAGAGCAGGGGTCCTTTGAAGGGGACAGAGGAGGAAGTGGCTCAGTACTAGAAAGAAATTATTGGAAAAGCTTCCTAAGTGGTCTCCCGGCTGCCGCTCTTGCCCTGTATACCATGACCCATATTTTAAAATGGAAATCGAATCACATCACACCTCAGCGCAGAATCCTTCTGTGGCTTCCACCTCCCTCCAAATAAAAGGTGGTGTTTGATCTGCCCCGGGGCCCTCATCTCACTCCCAGCCAGGCCCCTCATCTCACTCCCATCTCGCTCTTCCCAGGCACACCTGCCGGCCGCTTCAGCCCCTTGGCTTCTGCAGGTCCCTTTCCCTCTGCCTAAAAGTCTCTGCTTCCAGACAGCCCCCAGTTGACTTTATCACCTGCTCTCCGCATTTGAGCAAAATGTGAGGCCCACCCTGACTTCCTCCTAACACCCTCATCCCTCTTCCCTACTTTGCTTCTCTGTATCATCAAACTTTCAAATTTTGATACAATTCACTTATTTGTTTTATTTATTATCTGTCTCTCTGACTTCTTGCCACTGAGCATCATCAGGGTGGGAATTTCTATTTTTCCCCCTTCTCTATCCTCAACCTGAAAGGTGGTGCCTGGCTTACAGTAGGCACTCAACAAAGATTGGGGGAAGGAACAGAGGGAGGAACAGAGTGAAGGAGCAGGGAAGAACACTGAGATCTGAAGAGTAATGGGAATGTAAAGCCCCTCTTTTGCAGTCCTAAGGGAGGTTTCAGGACCTTTGAGGGATCTAGTCTCTGGACCCAAGGGTATTCAGGACTGAGCTCATTCCTATGCCTAAGTGGGGCACTGAGCCAGTAATGTCTCCAGGAGTTCAGGGACCATGCAACCCATTAGGGATAATCATGACATCAAGTAGGTCTCTCAAAACTATGCCTTCCGGAGATGAAATTCCAGGGAAGAGAAAGCAGAGGCCCAATAATCAGAGTAACATTGAATTTCCTCAGTGAACCTGAATTTCCCACCAGTATGTGAGATGGGAGGTTGAAGTCAGATTAAGACTGATTTAGCGAAGTTAAAAATATGACATTCCTTACGAAACCAATTAGTAAAATTTGTACCAGCTACATTATGTACTTGTCAAAAATACAGTGACCATGTAAACAGTAAAAAATAGTCTGGTCCTGGTGGCCCACTTGCTAGTAGAGTGACTCTGGGCAAGTCACCTCTCTAAACATAAAGTATCTCATCTATAAAATCAGTCAGGGTGTGCTACGTTACGCTGCAGTAACAAATCATCCCCAGCTCTCCATGTCCTGAAATATCAATGGGGGTGTTCCTTGATCATACTGATGTCCACCATGGGTCAGCTCGGGAGCTCTGTTCCTCGCATCAACAGGAGCTCAGGCTGGTAGGGCTTGTAAATTTCTGGTGGCTGTGCCAAAGGGAACATGAGTTCTAGAAGGCCTCTACGTGGCAATCAAGTGCCCCACTGCCACTTTAGCTCATAGTTCATGGCCAGAACTAGTCACAAAGCCCCACCCACCAATATGGGGATCAGGAAGTGCCATGATACCATGTTCCAAGGGAGAAAAAGCCAGGATATATTTGGAAACACATTCCATAGGGTAGGCATGAGGGTAAAATGGGACAATGCATATACTGCATTTTGCAGTGCCTGATACATAAAATGTACACAATATTTGAAAACTATGAGTAGATATTATCGGATCCTGAGAGTTTTGAGGGTCAGGCTGAGATAAGACTCATCCTGTGCCCAATGCCTTAGCTCCTAATACCTCCTAATAGGCATTCCTTTAATAAATGTCATTAATTGAATTCACTAAACACTTGCTATATTTCAGACAATAGATATTCCTTGCCCTCAAAGTTGTCATGGGGGAAAGGAGCATTAACATACATGATTCCTGCATAGCTACACTCCTGTGCCTACCCAAGCCTACATCACCAGTATTTACTAACATCTTCTATGTTTTAGGAAAGTGCTCTTCTAGACCTTTCACTTGTAGATACAGAAGTGAAAACAATAGAGTCCCTGCCCTCAGTGAACTTACATTCTAAGGAAAGATGAGGAGGCAGACTGTGAAAACTTACACAAACATCTTGGATATTCCAGTACTGAGCCAAGCAGAGGAACCAGAACATGGAGACAACCAGAGACTGCAATGACATGTCTGTGTTTAAGAATCATACACACCACGGAATACTATGCAGCCATAAAAAAGAATGAGTTCATGTCCTTTGCAGGGACATGAATAAGCTGGAACCCATCGTTCTCAGCAAACTAACACAGGAACAGAAAAGCAAACACTGCATGTTCTCACTCATAAGTGGGAGTTGAAAATGAGAACATGTGGACACAGGGAGGGGAACATCACACACTGGGACCTATCATGGGGTTGGAGGCAAGGGGAGGGAGAGCATTAGGACAAATACCTAATACATGCGATTCTTAAATCTTAGATGATGGGTTGATAGGTGCAGCAAACCACCATGGCACATGTATACCTATATAACAAACCTGCACATTCAGCACATGTATCCCAGAACTTAAAGTAAAATTAAAATTAAAATAAAATAAAACACAGGTTTCAAATGAAAAAAAAGAATCAGAAGCAAAGTCGGTTTGACTAAATCCTAGTGTACAAGGAGGAGATTGAGGATGGAGGAATCAGAGACAGGCATGGTCTTGTAGGCCAAGTAAGGAATTGAAATTTCATTTGAACTTTAGCAGAGAGCAAGTGCAGAGTGGGTGGTGTACAACTTCAGAAAAAATTAGCAGTGCATTAGCCAAGGTAAGTTTGAGATGCCTATAAAAATTCAAACAAAGCCATTAATTGGATAAATACCAAATCTACATTCCAAAGGAGAATTAAGATCAGATATACAAAGCAAAGAGACCTTAACATATAAAGTCAGAATAAAATGTCTTTTCAGAGAACCTTGTCTGGCCTTCCTGGAGCACATACTGGCCAAAAACCTCAGTGTTGCTTACTTCAAATAATTAAAAAGTTTTTGCAGTTGAGAAGAGTTCTCTTGGACATGTCACTGCCAAATCACTCTATTGTTCCAAATAGTACATGCAGAATTTATGAGCAGAAACTTGAAAGATGATGAACATGGTCTACCATAAAGATACATGGTTTTCAAAAAAGAGAAATTCAGCAATCTGAAGATGAACTGTATCAGTGAGGATAGGCTAGGTTCTTCTGTGATAACAAGCAACATCCAAATATTAGTGGTTTAAAGCAGCAGACATTTGGCTGGGCGCGGTGGCTCACACCTGTAATTGCAGCACTTTGGAAGGCCAAGGCGGGCAGATCACAAGGTCAGGAGTTCGAGACCAGCATGACCAACATGGTGAAACCGGCCTCTACTAAAAACACAAAAATTAGCCGGGCGTAATGGTGCTTGCCTGTAATCCCAGCTACTCGGGAGGCTGAGGAAGGTGGAGGTTGCAGTGAGCTGAGATTGAGCCACTGCACTCCAGCCTAAGCGATAGAGTGAGACTCTGTCTCAAAAAAAAAAAAAAAAAGTGGCAGAGATCTATTTTTTTGATCACACTACATGTCCATCAAGGTCAGCAGAGGGCTCTGCTAATCAGAGTTCACCCTGGGGACCAGGTTAATGAGGCAGCCACAGCCTCAAAGGTAGCCAGCTACAAGGAAGGGAGCTCAGGAGAGTCTTACCTAGCAATTGAATATTCCAGCCCAGAAGAAATACAATCCCTTCCCATTTCCTTGCATTTCTGTCTCTTGCTTCTCTTGCCACCGTGGTTTTACTGTATGTAACCATCAAAACCTTAAGGATTGGGGGAGAAATTTTTCACTAATATATAATTTATGATATCATTTAATTCTTACAACAAATCTACCAGCTAGTTGTTATCCTTCCCATTTTGCAGAGGTGGAAATGGAGGCATAGAGACATTCAGTAGCATGCCAGAGCTTCCCTCAACTAGTAGAAAGAGCAGCCAACATTTCAGGCCAGGCACAAATCCAAAGCCATTCTTATTTTTTCCACAACACCACACTGCCATTTATGACCGCCTACTCTCCCTTTAAAATGAGTTAGCATTTTCACTCTGGCCAAGCCAAAAAAACAAGAGAGAGAGAGAGGGAACATTTTGTTTGAATACTATATTTGAATTAGAGAGAAAGAATAAATGTAGCAAATGTTGAATTGGCTCGATTTTCTTTGGTTGTCTTTGTCTGCTGTGAGGGATGGAGAAAAGAAGGCGCATAAAACACAGGACAGATAAGAGACCTCTGATATCTCTGGGGAAGCCTGCGCTTATTTTCAAAGATTCTGTTGGGATTCAGACATGTGTAGGCCAGCCCAGTCTGAAACTCATGTTTCATGGAGTTGATTCCTTATGAACCATAAAAGTTTTCACTTGTCCCCAGTGTTATTTGTAGAAATATGTATCAGAGAGATTAGAAAATGATTATATATTCTTTTTACAAATGACCCCAATAAGCAGTCTGTTCTATTTCTCCATTAGGGCAGCGTATTGGGTTATGTTTCAAGTTCCTGCCAGTTGGGACTGCCTTCATGCAAAACTTTGCACAACTTTAGCTTTCAGCTGAAACACAGAAGGATCCATGTTGGTTCAGGAATCTGACTTAAACTTTTTATAAATTCAGTGTATTGAGTTCAGTTTGTCATATTTATTTATGAACCATTTTCTGACACCTTGTTACAATTAATCTACACCCCTAATTACAACTTGAATCCTGAGAGAGAAGTCTAAACCATTTGGCCTGAGATGCCTGTGGCATACTCTGCTCTTTAATAAAGAAGCTCCATTTCTCAAGGCTCAGAGATGCCAAATTCCAAAACAAATGCCCCCAATTAGGGAAAATCTCCAGCGAAAAAAGGAGAGAATGTGGAAAAGAAATCATAAAGCTATAGCTCATAAACAGTTTAAACTACTTCTCTTTTATTTCCCAGCCCTACAAGCAGGCCTTTCTAATTCCCATTTACACATCAATAAAGCCAGGCTAAAAAATGAATGGTCGTGGATTGGAGCCCTCACCAAAGGCAACTATCTCCTGTTCTGAGAAATACCTATCAGGTCTTTGAGCAGAGAGAATTTGTCTGTACAATATGAGGAGCAGCCCCTAACTTTCCAAAAGTGGTGCTAAACTGAGATCAAATCTGGACTACAGGTGAGTTATCCCATATTATAGAGGAAAGGAACTTTAGATACTATCACATCTCAGCTTCTTACCTTAACAAAAGGGGAAACTGAGGCCCAGAGAAGTGAAACGATATGCTCCCGCCCTTGCTTGTAACAAAGCTAGGCCTGAATCCAAGCGATCCACTTTTAGGAAAGAGCTTCAGGTGGAGGGTTAGTTCCCAGCCGTGACTGATTAACTTGAGTCTTTGACTAGTTCCCAACTCTCCGAGCCTAGGTGTCCTCACCTATAAGATGGAGATAGTAACATTTACTCCATAAAACTCGTAGGGACATGAGAGATTTTTTTCCCTAGTGCACCCTTCATATTTCTGACATTCTAGTTACATGCAAGTGTAATATAGGTGTTACCGATAGTTTGCTTATGAGACTTTCTGCCTCACTAGACTGAGACAGTCTTAGAGAAGGTCTATTTCTTTCCTATTTGGGTCCCTGCCTCCGGCACAGGGCGTGTATTAGGTAGTCAAATAGCTGAATACATCAATCAATTAAATGACATATGCAAATTGCCCAGGACAGTGTCTGATAATTAGAAGTTACTTTATATAACTTCCCAGTTTTTCTTCTATTCTAATTTAAGACGCCCTGCTCTTTGCACTACATTAATCTGTCCCAGGTGCCCAGGTATAAAATTTCATATGTATAATTGACCAAAGGCTCTTAACAGTGTTGAGAATAAATTTACATGTAGGTTACAATTAAATAAACATTTAAAGTAGATAGATCTAGCATAGTCTTTAATTTAGTCACATTTAATCAAAATAGACCAATCTAACTTACATGTTTTTTAATTAAGTAACATGTATTTTTATCTTAACTACAATTAATGACCATCGTCAACCTCACACTGATCCCCACTATGGGCTCTTTCCTGCCACAGCTCTCCCTGTCTGGGAGTTCATCTCTGCCTCTCCTTCACTTGCCCTCCAACACCACCTGAATGATTCCAGTGAAGCTGGCCACCTAAGTGACATCCTCCAGCTCAGATGGGCTTTCTCTGAATTTCTATTGGGATCTTAGTTTATGTCCCCACGATCTCCCATGTCTTTGTACATTTGTTAAGCATTTCTTTGACATCTACTTAAATGGTATTACATCGGTCTCACCTATCAAACTAGCTGCTAGGTTTCTCCAGGCCAAGAAAGTTTTCTCCTTCCCCTTTTCAGACCCTCTAGGCTCAGAGTAGCAAAGAAGTTCCGTTCTGTAAAACAAGTCTGATCAATCGGTAGGGGCTGTATAGAGCTCCAGAATGCAAGAATCCAGGCTTAACAAAAAAATGCAGTGATTGATTAGCAATGTCTGATACAGAAACAGGACTAGAGAGCAGTGAAATTGTCTTGACTCATATTAAATGATAATTAGCCTAGAACTGAATGCATAGCTTGTAAATCAATCAATAAACATAGGCTTATGATAGCCTCCAAGTCTAGGAGACATTCCCCAAAGACACACACACACACATACACACGCACACATGTACACATACACACACACACAGAGTGGCTTCAGAATTTGTTCATCCTACAAAAGGATAATCCAGAATTTAAGTTATCTATTTTAAAGATCAAGAAACTGAAATAGAGAACCCCTACATTGATAGGCAAAAAACATTCAGATGGAATAGAGGTAAAGAATATAACTCAATCATTGTCATTGTCCCTTAGCAACCAAGTTTGAAGCCAAATGTAAAAGAGGGAAGAGGGTATCTAGCGGAATCAGTAGTAACTGGTCTTTATGTAGTTAACTGTGTAAAATAAAAATGGGAGTTTAAAAAACCATGAGGCTTTACTTTCTTCAGAGCAACATGGCAAGAATATCAATTGGGAGAACCAAGCCCCTCAGAGCTTCTCATCTTACCACGCCAGTATTCTAACAGATTTCCCTCTTCATCCCCACCATGAATGCCTTGGTCAGCTTCCCACCAAAAGCAAAACAAAAGAAAAGCTAGGCAGGAAGAAAAAAAGTGCATGGCTGTTCAAGTAGAAATTTAAGCTGCTGTGAGTGTGTGCTAAGTGAGTGATCACAGTGATGGGGCACCATGAGTCGGAGCTGGCAATGCATTCTGGCTCCATCCTGGACCAAGGGGAGAGCAGGCGTTTTATGCATCCAGCCTAAGTCACGGGGTGCTTCACTCTGCGGGTGAGACTTTCGGTCTCCCGGCCTCCTGAAAATGAAGTGCTCGCTCTCAGGGGAGCCTCCAGACCTGCCTTGCCTGTAACTATATACACACACATTTCATTCCTGGCGTTACTGGTGCAACACTTTATGCTTGAATGTGAGTAGTTGAAATGTGTACCACTAGCTTTTAGATAAATTATTTCCTAAAAAAATAATAACTCAAAAGAAAAAAATATCCTAAAAGAAGGCACTTCTAAATATTCCTCAATTCTGTTTTTCCTCCTTAGGATAAAGGGAATTAACTCTAGCTATCCTAAAGGGGGTTTAGCCAAGATGCCCAGCAATAGATTAATTAAAATCAATCGGGTCGGGCATGGTGGCTCATGCCTGTAATCCCAGCGCTTTGGGAGGACGAGGCGGGCAGATCACCTGAGGTCAGGAGTTCCAGACCAGCCTGGCCAACATGGTGAAATCCCGTCTCTACTAAAAATACAAAAAATTAGCCAGGCATGGTGGCACACACCTGTAGTCCCAGCTATTCGTGAGGCTGAGGCACGAGAATTGCTTGAATACAGAGGTGAAGGTTGCAGTGAGCCTAGATCACAGCACTGTGCTCCAGCCTGGGCAACAGAGCAAGACTCTGTCTCAAAAAAAAAAAAAAAAAATCAATCATAGCTACCATTTTTAGGTCACAGACCCAGATGATTTGTCAATAAATTTTAAATTTTTTTAATTCAAGCTTCATAGCAATCCCATGAGATGATTCTTATCACACCCATTTTACAGATCAGGAAATAGAAACAGAGACGAGTGACTCGTCCAAGGTCACACACCAGGGCCATACTAGGGTAAGGAAAGCAAGGCAGCTGAGTGCAAAATTAAAGGAGATATGCACCCTCAGTGTTGTGCAACGTTGTCACCTGAGTGTGACCACCTTAAAATGTACATCCTACAAGTCCTCCTTGCCTCACCCTAGTGCTGTCCACATAACACAGTAGTGGCAGAGTTGGGATCCAAACTAAGGTCCATCTGGTTCTAAAGCACTTGCTGACATCACCCCTCCTCTTGTAGGAACAAACAACTCTACCAATGATACTTGAATCCATAAGATAAGTCTCCACACCAGCACCCTTGAGACCTAAGACCACTGAAGGGGCTGCTTTAGTAACATGAACCCACCAGACTAGCATGGGGGGGTTTGGCAGGTTCACATCTTCACACATGTACACATGTACACATATGGACATCAACATCACAAAAAGCCCTCCCCTGCTATAAGAGCACCAGGCATCAATGATGTCAGAGATCACGGGGTAACCCAATATTTTAAAAGGAAAAACCATTTTCGTAACTGTTCCCAATATGAACAGGTGACTAAAAGAAATCTGCTCTACTTTTAGCCTAAGTAATTGATCAAATTGTTCCCAGAGAATATAGTACACATTTTATGTCAATGTAGAAATCAAAAACAAAGTTATGATTCAATACTATGCCCAACTCCCTGGCCTCAGCTCTACCCTCCTCCTGGCTTAAGCCATAAAACTTCTAACTGGTCATTAGAAGAAAACATGTTTGTTTGGAACAGTAAGGTTGACTGCCATGAATCTCAACATCATTTCTGTGGACCAGAGAAGGAAGAATAGCTTAGGCTTTTGCCTGCTAGAAAGCACTCCTCTCTGACCCGTTGGGAGTAGGGAGTTGGTTGGGGGAGAGGATGTGTGGGAATTCTACAATGTCTGAGTTTGTCAAAATTACTCCAATTATGAGAGATATTACCCAAAATTGTTCTTTTCCCTTGCCAGCCACAACTTCCCATTGTAATTTTCATTCTCCTCTGAAAAGCATTTTTACCAAAAATAAAATGATATATTTATTCTGAAAATGGGTATCAGCCAGATGTTGAATGTGATGCAGGCCTATTGATCCTAATTGAGTTACCCTAATCCACATCTGTCAGAGCCACTGACCCCTGAAGACGGTAAAGACAGGGGTGAAGAAGGCAAACAGGGATGTGAGGAAAAACAAAGCTTTGATATACCACACGTTGGTGACATGCCAAACTTATAGCCTAGCAAAACTGACAGAGAAGCGGCCCTTAAATTTCTAACGCTGTTTGTTTCTTAGCTCAGCCTAAGAATACAATGAAATCATAATATTTCAGTTAAGGGTTCCATCATAAGTATTGTATTTCCATCCTCTGCAGCAAAAGAACAGAGAACAGTGGAACTTGCACAGTAGAGAGGGTGACATTTTATCATTTTAATTCTTAAAGATTTATTTGAGCCCCAAAGCTCCTGAGCATAACCTGGGCATTGGTTAGAAATGCAGTCTTCTGGTCTCTACTCCAGACCAACTGAATCAGAGACTGAATTTTACCAAGATTCCCAGGTGGGTCATGTACATGTTAAGTCTGGGAAGTGTCATGTTAACTCTAAGATCAGGGATGAAAAGGGAAGACATAATAAAAATAATAATAATCAGCCTACTGAAAATTATTATTTTCATAAATTTATTAAAGAGTTGTATCTGAATTGGTATCATCAGAACTGATAAGCTCTCAATAACAAAAACCCCTTGCCCTTTGCCTCAGACCATGAGCTCCTTACAGGCGGTGAAGGCATCTGTTTCATTTTGTACCCCTAGTTTCTAAGCCAAAGCACCTAGCACCCAGCACACAGCCAGTGCCAGATAAATATTTATTGAATAAAGAAGGAATGAATGAATTAATTGCATACTTTTCAATCACTGAGCACTTATTCAACAAATATTTATGAAGCACCAACAAACTGAAATATTGTGTTAGGTATGAGGAACACAAAAGTGAATCCTAAGCTTAATTTTATACTTTATATAATACACAGAAAGCACAGGCTTTGGGTTATACACAGCAAGAGGTGCATCCTACCCTTGTTACCACATCAACTCCTATAGTTCTGTTTCATTATCTACAGAATGGAAGAAAATACTCCTTAGGGTCTTTGTGAAAAGTAAGACGATGTAGATAAAATGGTAAGTGTGTGCTTATCATGTGATATAAGCCCCCAAAATAGTAGCTATTCTCACTGATACCATGTGTTCCTCAAAAAACATTTTTAATCTTTTATCCCTTTGCAAAAATAGATATGAGTCAAAGCGATCTACAAATTCAATGCAATCACTATCAAAATCCCAATGACACTTTTTACAGAAATAAAAAGAAAAATTCTAAAATTTGTGTGGAAACACAAAGACCCTAAATAGCCAAAGCAATCTTGAGGAGAAAAAAAAAAAAGCTGGAAGCCTCACACCACCTGATCTCAAAGTCTACTACAAAGCTGTAGTGAACAAAGCAGCATCTTAATGGCATAAAAACAAGACATATAGCTCAACAGAACAGAATTGAGAGCCCAGAAATAAATTTATACCTTTATGGTCAACTTATTTTTGACAAAGATGCGAAGAACAAACAATGGGAAAAGGACAGTCTCTTCAATAAATAATATTGGGAAAACTGGATATTCACATGTAAAAGAATACAAGTGGACCCTTATCTTACCCCATATACAAAAATTAAATCAAAATGAATTAAAGAGTTGAATATAAGACTTGAAACTGTAAAACTACTTATAAAATAGTAAAAAAAACCCGACATCAGTCCTAACAAAGATTTTTTTAGCTATAACCCCAAAAGTACAGGTAAAAAAAGCAAAAATAGACAAATGAAATTGCATAAAACTAAAAACTTCTTCACAGCAAAGGAAATAATCAATGAAGTGAAGAGATAGCTTAGAAAATGGAAGAAAATATTTGCAAAGCATACATCGGAACAAGGGGTTAATACTCAATATATTTAAAGAATGCAAACAACTCAATAGCAAGAAAACAACCCAATTAAAAAGTGGGCAAACATTCTAGCCCCACAGGAGACAGCGAATCTGCTCACACACCCCACACATTGCTACTACAAGCAGTATGTATGAAAGCCATTGCACAAAGATTCTCTATAACCAAGACACATATACAGAGTCTTTGCCACTGAAAGTACCTAGAGCTGAAACTAGATGACAATAAACTATAAGTCACATCCTCAGGGGAAAAAAAAATTTTAAACACCCAATAAAATCAAAAATAAATTTAAGAATAATTACAAGGAATAGTCTACCCACATAAGAAGAAACCAGAAAAAGTAATTCTGGCAATATGAAAAAATGCGGTTCTATAGCATCCCCAAAAGATCACATTAGCTCTCCAGCAGTGGATCCAAACCAAATGAAATCTTTGAAATACCAGAGAAATAATTCAAAAGGTTGATCATTAAGTTACTCAAGGTAATACAAGAGAAAGGTAAAAGCCAATATAAAGAAATTTTTTAAAATTCAGGATATGAATGAAAACTTTTCTAAACAGATAGACATTTTCAATAAAAACCATCAGGGGAAGGGGCGCAGATGGCCGACTAGAAACAGTTGGAGTCGGAGGCTCCCACCAAGAAGAATGAAAATGGCAAGTGAATTCTGCACTGGCAACTGAGGTATCCAGGTTCTCTCATTGAGATGGACTAGGTGGTTGGTGCGACCCATGGAGAGAGAGGAAAATCAAAGGTGGTGCCATGGCCCACCCAGGAGCCACATGGGGCAAGGGGAGCTCCCACCCCCAGCCAAGGGAGGTGGTGAGTGATTATGCTACCTCACCCAGGAAACCATGCTTTTTCCACGGGTCTGTGCAACATACGGATCAGGAGATCTCCCTCATGGGGCCATGCCACAAGGGCCTTGGGATCCAAGCACAGAGCTGTGCAGATTGCTGAAGGCAAAGGGAATACAGAATGGGCAGTAGAAGAAGGTAGTCATCAATAGCAACTATGAACATGTGACCAGCTGCAGAAATGAGGACTATATATATCATGAATATTTCCTCCTTCTTTTATTAAAAACATGTTTGTGCATGTATACACTTGTCTTAAGAAAATATCTTCATTTTATTTCCTCTTCCTTTATCATGTGACATAAGTTTATTGACTTCATATAGGTATTTAAGTATTGTTAACGTTCTGTAACAGTATTTGGGTTGGGGATTGCTGCAGTTCCAGTTGCATGAAGGATAGTTGTATCATGTTAGGCATAATTATGACCTTATTATTGTCTTTATTTGAAGATTATGTATGATCGCAGGAGATGTGTATGGGTTCAAGTTGACAAGGGGTGGACTTGTGATGGTTAATACCGAGTGTCAACTTGATTGGATTGAAGGATGCAAAGTATTGATCCTGGGTGTGTCTGTGAGGGTGTAGCCAAAGGAGATTAACATTTGAGTCAGTGGGCTGGGGAAGGCAGACCCACCCTTAATCAGTCACCAGCAAACATAACACAGGTAGAAAAAATGTGGTAAGGTGAGATTGGCCTAGCCTCCTAGCCTACATCTTTCTCCTGTGCTGGATGCTTCCTGCCCTCAAACGTAAGATTCTAAGTACTTCAGTTTTGAGATTTGGAGTGGTCCTCCTTGCTCCTCAAGCTTGCAGACAGCCTATTGTGGGAACTTATGATCGTCTAAGTTAATTACATATATATATATATATATATATACACACACACACACACACATATATATATATATATATATATATATATATCTCCTATTGGTTCAGTCCTGTTAGAGAACCCTGATGAATACAGTGCCCCTCTGGGATGGAGATCCTAGAGGAAAGAGCAGGCAGCTATCTTTGCTGTTCTGCAGCCTCCACTGGTGACACCTCCAGGTGCAGGAGGGACCCAGGTGAGGGTGAATAGGATCTGAAGTGCACCCCCAGCAAACCACAGCAGCCCTGCGGAAAAGGGGCCTGACTGTTAAAAGAAAAGCAAGCAAATGGAAAGCAACAACAACAGCATCAACAAATAAGTCCCCACAAAAAAACCATCCCAAGGTCAGCAGCCTGAAACATTGAAGCTAGATAAACTCATGAAGATGAAAGAGAATCAATGAAAAAAACACCAAAAACTAAAAAAGCCACAGTGCCTCTTCTCCTCCAAATGATTGCAACACCTCTCCAGCAAGGGCACAAAACTGCACAGAGGCTGAGATAGATGAATTGACAAAAGTAGGCTGCAGAAAGTGAGTAATAATGAAATTTGCAGAGCTAAAGGAGCATGTTCTCACCCAATGCAAAGAAGCTAAGAACAACGGTGAAACATTACAAGAGCTGTTATCCAGAATAGCCAGTTTAGAAAGGAACATAAATGACCTGATGGAGCTGAAAAACATAACACAAGAACTTTACAATGCAACCACAAGTATCAATAGCTGAATAGACCAAGCAGAGGAAAGAATTTCAGAGCTTGGAGATTATCTGGCTAAAATAAGACAGGTACACAAGATTAGAGAAAAATAAATAAAAAGGAATGAACAAAATTTCTGATAAGTATGGGATTATGTAAAAAGACTGAACCTATGACTGATTGGGGTACCTGAAAGAGACTTGAAGAATGGAACCAAGTTGGAAAACATAATTCAGGATATCAACCAGGAGAGCTTTCCCAACCTAGCAAGACAGGCCAGCATTCAAATTGAAAAAGGTAAGATACTCCCTGAGAAGATCAACCCCAAGACACATAATCATCAGATTTCCCAAGGTCAAAATGAAGGAAAAAATGTTAAGTGCTACCAGAGAGAAAGGCAAGGTAACCTCAAAAGGAAGTCCATCAGGCTAACAGTGGACCTATCAGTGGAAAACCTACAAGCCAGAGGAGATTGAGGACCAATATTCAACATTGTTATAGAAAGTAATTTCCAACCCAGAATTTTATATCCAACCAAACTAAGCTTCAAGAGTGAAAGAGAAATAAAATCCTTTTCAGACAAGCAAATGCTGAAGGAATTCATCACCACCAGGTCTGCCTTACAAGAGCTTTTGAAGGAAGTACAAAAAATAGAAAGGAAAAACTGGTACCAGCCACGGCAAAAACACACTGAAGTACAAAGACCAATGACACTATAAAGAAACTGCATCAACTAATGCACAAAATAACCAGCTGGCATCATGATGACAGGATCAAATTCACACATAACAATATTAATCTTAAATGTAAAGGGGCTAAATGCTCCAATTAAAAGACACAGAATCACAAGCTGGATCAAGTCAGGACCCATCCATGTGCTATATTCAAGAGACCCATCTCTCGTCCAAAGATCACAGGCTCAAAATAAAGGGACAGAGGAAAATTTACCAAACAAATGGAAAGCATAAAAAAGCAGGGGTTGCAATCCTAGTTTCTGACAAAACAGTCTTTAAACCAACAAAGATAAAAAAAGACAAAGAAGGCATTACATAATGGTAAAGGGATCAATTCAACAAGAAGAGCTAACTATCTTAAAATATATGCGCCCATCACAGGAGCACCCAGATTCATAAAACAAGTTCTTAGAGACCTACAAAGAAAGGTAGACTCCCACACAATAACAGTGGGAGACTTTAACATTCTACTGTCACTATTAGACAGATCATTGAGACAGAAAATTAACACGGATATTCAAAACTTGGACTCAGCTCTGGATCAAGTGGACATGATAGATATCTACAGAACTCTCCACCCCAAATCAACAGAATATACATTATTCTTGTCATCACATGGCACTTACTCTAAAACTGATCACATAATTGGAAGTAAAACACTCCTCAGCAAATGCAAAAGAACTGAAATCATAACAGTCTTTCAGACCACAGTGCAATCATATTAGAACTCAAGATTAAGAAACCCACTGAAAACCATACAATTACATGGAAATTGAACAACCTGCTCCTGAATGACTCCTGGGTAAATAATGAAATTAAGGCAGAAATCAAGAAGTTCTTTGAAACCAATGAGAACAAAGACACAACGGACCAGAATCTCTGGGACACAGCTAAAGCAGTGTTAAGAGGGAAATTTATAGCACTAAATGTCCACATCAAAAGTGAGAAAGATTTTAAATCAACACCCTAACATCACAACAAAAAGAACTAGAGAATGAGAAGCAAACAAACCCCAAAGCTAGCAGAAGTCAAGAAATTACTAAGATCAGAGTGGAACTGAAGGAGAGAGTGACACACGCACACAAAAAGAACTTCAAAAATCAGTGAATCCAGGAACTGTTTTTTTGAAAAAAATAATAAAATTAAATAAAATAGACTAGCTAGACCAATAAGTGAGAAAAAATAGAAGAATCAAACAGACACAATTAAAAATGATGAGGAAGATATCACCATCATCTCCACAGAAATAAAAACAGCCATCAGACAATAGTATAAACACATCTATGCAAATAAACTAGAAAATATAGAAGAAATATATAAATTCCTGGACACATACACCCTGCCAAGACCAAATCAGCAAGAAATTAAATCTCTTAATAGACCAATAAAATGTTCTGAAATTGAGGCAGTAATGAGTAGCCTACCAGACAAAAAACAAAAACAAAAACAGAAAAAAACACCAGGAACAGACAGATTTACATCTGAATTATACTAGAAATACAAAAAGGAGCTGGTATCATTTCTTCTGAAACAATTCCAAACAATTGAAATGGAGGGACTCCTCCATAACTTATTTTATGAGGTCAGCATCATGCATCATCCTGGTACCAAAACCTGGCAGAAATACAACAATAGAAGAAAACTTCAGGCCAATATCCCTGATGAACATCGATGTAAAAATCCCCAATAAAATACTGGCAAACCGAATGCAGCATCACATCAAAAAGCTTGTCCGCCATGACCAAGTTGGCTTCATCCCCAGGATGCAAGCCTGGTTCAACATACACTAATCAATAAATGTAACTTATCACATAAACAGAAATAAAGACAGAAACCATATTACTATCTCAATAGATGCAGAAAAGCTTTTGATAAAATTCAACATCCCTTCATGTTAAAAACTCTCTATAAACAAGGTATTGATGGAACATACTTTAAAATAATAAGAGCCATTTATGACAAATCCACAGCCAATATTATACTGAATGGGCAAATACTGGAAGTGTTCCCCTTGAAAACTGGGCAAAACAAGGATGGCCTCTCTCAGCATTCCTATTAAACCTAGTGTTGGAAATTCTCGCCAGGGCAATCAGGCAAGCAAAAGAAATAAAGGTATTCAAATAGGAAGAGAGGAAGTCAAACTGTCTCTGTTTGCAGATCACATAATCCTATATCTAGAAAACCCCATTGCCTCAGCCCCAAAGTTTCTTAAGCTGATAAGCAACCTCAGCAAAGTCTCAGGATACAAAATCAATGTGCAAAAATCACAAGCTTTCCTATATACCAACAATAGACAAGTAGAGATCCAAATCATGAATGAACTCCCATTCACAATTGTTACAAAGAGAATAAAATACCTAAGAATACAGATTAAAAGGGAAATGAAGACCTCTTCAAGGAGAATCTAAACCACTGCTCAAGGAACTCAGAGAGGACATAAACAAATGGAAAAACATTGCATGCTCATGGATAGAAAGAATCAATATCATGATAATTGGTGGTAAGGGCCATTTTCTGTAAAGTAACTTATAGATTCAATGCTATTCCCACTAAAAAACCATTGACATTCCTCACAGAGGAAAAAAACTACTTTAAAATTCATAAGGAAACAAAAAAGAGCTTGTATAGTCAAGACAATCCTAAGCAAAAAGAACAAAACTAAAGACATCACATTACCCAACTTCAAACTCTACTACAAGGCTACAGTGACAAAAACGGTATGGTAATGATACAAAAACAGACACATAGACCAATGGAACAGAGCAGAGATCTCAGAAATAAGACTACATGTATGAGTTTGTTCTCATGCTGCTATAAAGAAATGCCTGAGAGTGGGTAGTTTATAAAGGAAATAGATTTAATTGACTTACAGTTCCTTAGGGCTGGGGAGGCCTCAGGAAATTTACAATCATGACAGAAGGAGAAGCAAACATGTTCTTCTTCATGTGGTGGCATGAAGAAGAAGAATCACAGCCAAGTGGAGGGGGAAGCCCCTAATAAAACCATCAGATCTTGTGAGAACTTACTCATTGTCACAAGAATAGCATGGTAGAAACTGCCCTCATGATTCAATTACCCCCCAAAGGGGCCTCCCATGACACGTGGGCATTAGGGGAACTACAATTCAAGATGTAATTTGGGTGGGGACACAGCCCAACTATTTCATTCTGCCCCTGCCCCCTACCAAAACTCAGGTCCTCACATTTTAAAACACAATCGTGCCCTTTCAAAAGTACCCCAAAGTCTTAACTCTATCTAGCATTAACTCAAAAGTCCAAGTCCAAAGTCTCATCTGAGACAAGGCAAGTCCCTTTCCTCTACTAGTCTGTAAAATCAAAAGCAAGTTAGTTACTTCCTAGACACAATGGGAGTACAGGCATTGGGTAAATACACCCATTTCAAATGGAAGAAATTGGCCAATACAAAACGACTACAGGCCCCATGCAAGTCGTAAGAGGAAGGAGTGCTAAGAAGAAGGTTTATAGCACTAAATACCTATATCAAAAAGCATAAAAGTTCAGAAAGTGGCAACCTCATGTCACACCTCAGGGAACTAGGGAAACAAGAACACACTAAACCCAAAGCTAGCAGAAGAAAAGAAATAACAAAGATGAAAGAAGAACCTCATTTGGTCGAAACCAAAAAATTGAAACAAAAAAATACAAAAGTTCAATGAAACAAAAAGTTGGCTCTTTGAAAAGGTAAGCAAATCTACAGAACACTAGCTAGATTAACCAAGAAGATAGTTTAACTCAAGCTCAATTAGAAATGAAAACAGGAGGCCAGGCATGGTAGCTCACGACTGTAGTCCCAGCATTTTGGGAGGCTGAGGCAGGCAGATCACTTAAGCTCAGGAGTTCAAGACCAGCCTGGGAAACATGGCGAAACCCCATCTAAAAATTAGCCAGGCATGGTGGCATGTGCCTGTATTCCCAGCTACTGAAGCAGGAGGAGCGCTTGAGTCCAGGAGGCAGAGGTGGCAGTGAGGCAAGATTGTGCCACTATACTCCAGCCTGGGTGGCAGAGTGAGACAAAGAAAGAGAGAGAGAGAGAGAGAGAAAGGTAGGGAGGGAGGGAAGAAAGAAAGAAAAAGGAAGGAAGGAAGGAAGGAAGGAAGGAAGGAAGGAAGGAAGGAAGAAAGAAAGAAAGAAAGAAAGAAAGAAAGAAAGAAAGAAAGAAAGAAAGAAAGAAAGAAAGAAAGAAAAAGGAAGGAAGGAAGGAAGGAAGGAAGAAAGAAAGAAAGAAAGAAAGAAAGAAGGAAAGAAAGAGAGAGAAAGAAGAAAATGGAGCTATTACAACTGACATCACAAATACAAAAGATCACTTGAGACTCTTATGATCACCTCTATGCACACAAACTAGGAAACCTAGAGTAAATGGATAAATTCTTGGATACACACAACACGTCCCCCCCGACCCACCAGCTTGAATTAGGAAGAAATAGAAATTCTGAACAGATTAATAACAAGCAGTGAGATTGAATTAGTAATTTAAAAAAACTGCCAACACAACAATAACAACAAAAAAACCAGGACCAGACTGATTCACAGCTGAATTCTACCAGACAGTCAAAGAAAAATTGATACCAATACTACGGAAATAATTCTGTAAGACTGAGAAGAAGAGAATCCTTTTTAACTCATTCTGTGAAGCCAGTATCACCCAAATACAAAAGCCAGGAAAGGACATTAAAAAAACAAAACTACAGACCGATATACCTTATGAATACAGATGCAAAAAATCCTCAACAAAATACTAGGAAACCAAATCCAATAGCACATCAAGAAGATAATTCACTATGATCAAATGGGTTTTACCTCAGGGATGCAGGGACAGTTCAACATATGCAAATCAACAAATGTGATTCATTACATAAACAGAATTAAAAACAAAAACCATATGATTACCTCAATAGATGCAAAAAAAGCATTCAATAAAATCCAGCATCCCTTTATAATAAAAATAAACTTAGCATAGATGACATACCTCAAAATAATACCTCAATAAACTAAGCATAGATGACATACCTCAAAATAATAAAAGCCATATATGACAAACCTACAGCCCACATCATACTCAATAGGCAAAAGTTGAAACTATTTACCCTAAAAACTGGAACAAGACATGGATGCCCACTTTCAACATTTCTATTCAACATATTAGTTTGGTGCAAAAGTAATTGCGGTTTCTGCCATTACTTTTAATGGCAACCTAAAATAGTACTGAAAGTCCTAGTCAGAGCAGTCAGGCCAGAGAAAGTAAGGACATCTGAATTGGAAAAGAGGAAGTCAAACCATCTCTGTTTGCTGATGATATGATCTTATATCTAAAAAATCCTAAAGATTCCTCCAGAAGACTCCCTAATCTGATAAATGAATTCAGTAAAGTCTCAGATTACAAAATTAATGTACAGAAATCAATACCATTGCTATACATCAACAATGACCAAGCTAAGTGTCAAATCAAGAGCTCAATCCCTTTTACAATTGCACCAAAAAATTAAATACACTTAACCAAGGAGGAGAAAGATATCTAAAAGGAGAACTACGACACACTGCTGAAAGAAATCATAGATGACACAGACAAATGAAAATACTTTCCATGCTCATGGATTGGAAGAATCAATATCATGACAATGACCATACTTCCCATAGAAATCTACAGATTTGATGCAATTTCTATCAAAATGTTAACATCATTTTTTACAGAATTAGAAAAACACTGCTGAAATTCATATAGAACAAAAAAAGAGCCTGAATAGCCAGAGCAATCCTAAGCTGAAAGAACAAATCTGGAAGCATCACATTACCTGACTTCAAATTATACTACAAGGCTATAGTTACCAAAACAGCATGATACTGGTATAAAAGTAGATATATACACCAATGGAACAGAATCAAAAACCCAGAAATAAAGCCAAATACTTACAACCAACTGATCTTCAACAAAGCATACAAAAACATAAATGGAGAAATGGACACCGTATTCAATAAATGGTCCTGGGAAAAGTGGATGGCCACATGTAAAAGAATGAAACTGAATCTCTGTCTATCACCATACTCAAAAATTAAGTTAGATTAAAGACTTAAATCTAAGACCTGAAACTATAAAAATTCTACAAGAAATCCTAAGAAAAACTCTTTTGGACATTGGCCTAGGCAAATAATTTATGCCTAAGGCCCCAAATGCAAATATAACAAAAACAAAAATAAATAAATGGGATCTAATTAAATTAAAAAACTCTGCTCAGCAAAAGAAATAAGCATCAAAGTAAACAGACAAGCTACAGAATGGAAGAAAATATTTGCAAATTATGCATCTGACGAAGGACTAATATCTAGAATCTAAAAAGGAACTCAAACAAATCAGCAAAAAAAAAAAATAACAATCCCATTAAAAGGTGGACAAATGACATGAATAGATATTTCTCAAATGGAGATACCCAAATGGCTAACAAATATGAAAAAAAAAGCTCAACATCACTAATCACCAGGGAAATGCAAATTAAAACCACAATAATATACCACCTTACCCCAGCCAGAATGGCTATTTCTAAAAAGTCAAAAAGAAAACAATAGATGTTGGTGGGAACATGGTGAAAAGGGAATGCGTAATACACAGTTAGTGGGAACGTAAATTAGTACAACCTGTATGAAAAACAGTATGGAGATATCTCAAAGAACTGAAAGTAGATCTACCGTTTGATGCAGCAATCCCACTACTGGGTATCTACCCAAAGAAAAAGAAGTTACTATACCAAAAAGATAACTGCATGCATACGTTTATCACAGCATAATTCACAGTTGCAAAGATATGGAATCAAGTTAAGTGCCCATCAATCAATAAGTGGATAAAGAAAATGTAGTATATATACATCATAGAATACTACTCAGCCATAAAAAAGAAAGAAATCATGTCTTTTGCATCACCTTGGATGGAACTGGAGACCCTTATTCTAAGTGAAGTATCTCAGGAATGAAAAACCAAATACCACATATTCTTACTTATAAGTGGGAACTGAGCTGTGGGTACACAAAGGCATACAGAGTTGTATAATGAACATTGGAGACTCAGAAAAGGGGAGGCCAGGAGGAGGGTGAGGTATGAAAAACTACCTATTGGGTACAAGGTACACCACTTGGATGATGAGTATGCTAAAATCCCATGGCGCACCACTATACAAGTCATCCATGTAACCAAAAACCACTTGTACTCTAACATCTATTAAATTGAAAACTTAAAATAATTTTAAAATAAAACAAAATGAAAAAGTAAATAAAAAGTGTGTGAAGCACTGGAATGTCTGTTTAAGTATAGAAATGTCTATTTCTCAAGAGAAGACATATAAATGTTCAACAGGTATATGAAAAAATGTTCAACATCATTAATCATTAGGGAAACGCAAATTAAAAGTGCAATGAGATGTCACTTCACGCCCCTTAGAATGGCTTTTATCACAAAGGAAAAAGGTGTTGGTAAGAATGTGATGATAAAAGATCCCTTGTTCATTGTTAATGGGTGTAAGTACAGCCATTATGGAAACAGTATAGAGGTTTCTCAAAAAAATGAAAAACAGAACTACCATATGATTCACCAGTCCTACTTCTGAAGGAAATAAAATCAGTATGTCAAAAAGATAGCTATACACACTCCTATGTTCATTGCAACACTATTCACAATACATAAGATATGGACAAAACTTAAGTGTCCATCAGTGGATAAATGGATAAAGCATATGTGGTATATAAACACAATGGAATACTATTCAGCCTAAGAAAAGAAGGAAGTCTTGTCATTTGCCACAAAATGAATGAACCTGCAGGACATTACATTAAGTGAAATAAGACAGGCACAGAAAGGCAAATATTGTATGACCTCACTTACACGTGAACTCTAAAAAAGGTCAACTTACAGAAGCAGAGCATAGACTGATTGTCACCAGAAGCTGGGAAAGAGGGCAAATAGATGCTGGTCACAGGGTACAAAGTTTCGGTTAGACAGGATGAGTAAGTTCTGGAGATCTATTGTACAGCATGGTGACTACAGATAATAAATAACGTAGAGTGTATTTGGAAATTGCCGAGAGTGTAGACTATAAATATTCTCACCACGCACAAAAAAAGATAAGTATGGGAGGTGATGGATATTTTAATTAATTTCACTTAATCATCCCACAATGTGTGTGTGTGTGGAAACATCACATTGTACCCCAAAATATATATGATTTTTAATTGTTAATTATTAATAAATAAAAGTCCATATACTTCACAAATCAATTCTCTTTTTAAGATAAAGTCAGTTTCATAGTGGTCCACCTTTAAGAGAATAACCTTTGGAATTCTAAGGGAAATGGACAGAGTTATCAAATATCACCCAAAGATCATGGCTTGAAAGTAGCACAGAAGCATGGGGAAACCCAAAGTTAGACTAAGTGTGGAGAGCAGAGCATCTCTCATCTGCTGGTGGTGGAGTTTCCTGACACATGGCTAGAGCAACAGATCAAGTCACCCTTCCATAGATCTGCCACCTCCCAGAGAAATACAACTTCCATCAATTTACGTTATCACGATGGGAGGAGGGAAATCTTTTCCAACAAGTTTTGGGTGTAACTCTGCAAATGGATGTCACAACACATGAAATGGGAAACTGTTAAATTACTGCTGTTAGCTCTGATACCTTCTCTCTACAGCTTCCTCACCAAGACCAAGCCAAAATAACTTAGCCCTAGCAGATCAAGAAAAACAGCCAGCACGAAATAGCCTCAGCCCTTCCCTAGCATAACCTTCAAATATTCATGTGCTAGACCCTGGATGCTTCTAACTACCCCACACAGCCAGGCATTTCTCTGCCTTATGAACATTCGCTGTTTCCAGGGCTCCCTTGAAACACATTCCAGGAAGTATACCCCACAGATGCCCTGATGTTGTGTTTTTCAATCAATGTTCAAACAAACCAAGACATTTTTGTGCACTAGTTACGAGTGTGCTCTCTGGAGTCATACTGGCTGTACCTCATCAGCTATGTTACCTTAGAAAAACGATTTAACAGGCCGGGCACAGTGGCTCACACCTGTAATCCCAGAGCACTTTGGGAGGCCAAGGCGGGCAGATCACGAGGTCAGGAGATTGAGACCATCCTGGCTAACACGGTGAAATTCCGTCTCTACTAAAAATACAAAAAAAATTAGCCGGGCATAGTGGCGGGCGCCTGTAGTCCCTGCTACTCGGGAGACTGAGGCAGGAGAATGGCGTGAACCCGGGAGGTGGAGCTTGCAGTGAGCCGAGATCACGCCGCTGCACTCCAGCCTGGGCGACAGACAGAGCAAGACTCCATCTCAAAAAAAAAGAAAAATGATTTAACATCTCTGTGTCTCAGTTTGACCATGAGTAAAATAAGGATAATAGGAGCATCTAATAATAGCATAATTTTCACAGAAAATTTAAAAATGTGACACATACAAATATAGATTGCACAGATGTCAAAGCTCTAACTCATTAAGTAGGAAACCAACAGGGTAAAAGTAGTTCAAAGAGCATTTGAAGAACTGACATTTTATAGACACTAGAATATCAGAATAAGATTGTTAGATTAGATACAAAACTGGTTAATGTCATATAGGAAATATGTTCCTAAGCTTTGGAGTTATCTTTTCCACTAGACAGAAAACATTTACATCTCTATCAGACAAAAACTTACACATTGATGAATAATTTAAAGAGTCTGGGCCCTATTTAGTCAATAGTAAGTGACATACAGGTACACACCCTACAGTTGCACTGTCAAATACGGTAACCACTAACCTCATGTAGCTGTTTAAATTAAAATGTAAGTTAAATAGAAATAGATAAAAGTGAAAATTCAGTTTCTCAGTCACTGTAGCCACATTTTATGTGCACTGTAGCCACATTTTATGTGCTCAGTAGCCAGCTGTGACTAGTGGCTTCTGTATTGGAGAGGATAGAATGGAGCATTTCGGCCATAGCTTAATGTTCTAGTGGACAGCACTGGCCCTAGAGAGTTCTCAAGTGAATGTACTAGCTTTCTGTTGGTGCTGAAACAAGTTACTGTAAACAGCAGCTTTAAAAACAAAAAAACAAACAAACAAAAAAACGCAAATTCATTATCTCACAGCTCTGTAGGCCAGAAATCCAGGTCTGCTCAATTAGTTTCTCTGCTTCAGATTTTCTAAGGCCAAAACCAAGGTGTCAGCCAGTTGAGCTCTATCTAATCAGGAGGTTCTAGGAAGAAAGCACTTGTAGGCTCCATGATATTTAGTTGTAGGACTGTGTTTCCGGTTTCTCTACTGGCTTTCAGCCAGGTGGCCTTACTCTTAGAGGCTGTTTGCATTTTTTTCTCCTGCTTTCTATGTGCCCCTCTCCAACAACACAGCTCAGGTCCCTCCCACCCTTCGAATCTCTGACTTCCCCTTCTGCTCTTGATGCACACCAGCTGAAGAAAGTTCTTTGCCTTTAAAGGGTCAATTGATCAGATTGTGTCCACATTGATAGCCCAAGATATTCTCCCTATCTTAAATTCTATCAGCTTTATTACATATGCAAAGTCCTTTTTACCTGTAACACAACAATTCACAGGAACCAGGAATTAGAGTGTGGACATATTTGGAGAGCTATTATTCTGCTTGTCACAGCAGTCTCATCTGACAATGTTGAGTGTGACTTTAAAAGAACGTGCAACCCTCTTTTTGCCTTATTTCTAAGGGTTGGCTAATTTTTTTTTCATAACTTCCTGGGGGTATTGTGAAGACTAAATGCATTAACCCATATAACATGCTTAGAATAAGTCTTGGTGTTGTATGATCATTAACCTTTCTGTATCTACAAGCTGTTAGGTTGGAATAGTAATGGTTTATTCAGTATGAGGTTGTTGTGAGATTTAAAATGTTAATATATTAAGAACATATTACAGTGCTCTACCCATAAAAATGGCTCAGAATTCCTTTGGTCTTGGTAAAGAACCAAAAGTGGCATGCTGGCAAACAGTGTTCCTGCCTGCTAGAGGGTAGAAGAAAGAAGTTCCAATACTTCTCCTCTCCGCCCACCCTCTGGTGTCCTATATTCTAGTCACACTACAGGGATGATACTACAGTCTGAAAGTTTGTGCCATCAAAATTCATGCGTTGAAGCCCTAACCCCCAGTGACTACATTTGGAGATAGGGCCTAACTTAAAGTAGTTAAGGTTAAACAGGATCATAAGAGTAAGGCCCTGATCCAATAGGATTAATGTCTTTATAAGAAAGGAATGAGACACCAGAGTTCACGCTTTCCTTCTCCTCAAGCACTGAGGAAAGGTCATGTGAGGACACAGTGAGAAGGTGGCTGTCTGCAAGACAGGAAAAGAGCTCTCACCAGCAACCAAATTGGCCAGCACCAAGATCAAGATCTTGGACTTCCCAACCTCCAGAAAGGTGACAAATAAATTTCTGTTGTTTAGTCTACCCACTCTATGGTACTTTGTCATGGCAACACAGGCTGAATAAAACCAAACCCACAAAGCCTCAATGAGGATGACTCAGAGTGAACGCTACCCTCCCTCAATGAGCTGTTGCTCTCCAGTGAAATGTCTTATGCTCCCTCCCACAGAACACGAGGAAAATGGGAATCTGCTCCACTGCAGGCCAGAGAGGACACAGGGAATAAAGACGAGCAGAATAATGCCTTGTGTATTTCTTCCCATGGAAGCCAAAATCCGCCATTACAGGTTTAAAGTCATCTTCTTTGTATATAGCCTTTTGAGGTTAACATAAGGGGCAAAGGGCAGATTTTTATTGGCATAGTGTTAAAACCTAAGCTGAAGCCATCTTTTAATCTTGATTTTGGCCTTGTCTGTGAAGCCTTTCCATCTTTAGTGTGCCTGAAACACCCCACTGGGACTTCCAGCCACTGCAACTCTCTCACTTCATTGTACTCATTTTTGTTGCAGATGCAAATCAAAAGACATGAATCCATGTATGCAATAAATGTGCCTTTCTCTTGTAGAATTCTATGTAGTTTTTATTCAAAGCCCCTATTCACACCATGAGGCTCATATCAGTCAATATAGGATTCCTTACCCCTCTCTGCCTGGTGTCTTAAGCACAACTTGAGTTTCACATTGAACCAAGGCTATAGAGACTATGTAAGGCTGGGAGGGTAGCAGGATAGGTGGCCTTTGACTGCCACCTAACCACACCTCCTCAGCTGGCATGTTCAGCAACCAAGTTCATTCTCAGTAGTTTTTCCTGCAGGACCCCCCTTAGCCATCAGTAGTTCCTCCTAAGAGTGACTTTCGTGTAAGTCTGTGCTATCCTGAGCATATAGAATCAGTTTACAATTCCTCAGCCACACTGGCTCTAGGTCTCTTCAGAGTTATCTGAGACCCATCTTCCGGGGAACCCCTTGTAGCTGGTTTTACTTGACTCATGAACCATTTTCTGGAAACACTCTCCAAGCACTAGTATATCCATGCACACAGCCCTCAACACCCCTTGCTTCTTCTCCTTAGAATGTAGTCAGCCAAGCCCTGCTTTCCTGGCCCAGAAAGGTGAGTGCTCCAAGACTGGTCACATGGATAATCACTTAAAACTAATTCCTCAATTGTGTCAGAGAGATAGCCCCCAAACATCTGGTTCAGATAATCCTCCCCTCACCCCAGCCTGAAACGTTCCACCGAATGTTGCAAAGAAAAAAATACAACCTGTGCATCATTGCAACTGGTTGGTGACCCAACTCTGCAGGCTGACACCTGGGAACAAATCCACACCGGGAAGGAAGATCTGATTTCAGTGTGTTCATTTCCATGATTCAGGAATAAACTCTTCTCTCACCTCCAATATCCCCATAACCTTGAGAGAAGAATGTCACCCTGAAAACAGACATAAACCTTAAGGGATGATGCCACCAGGGAGGCTGCCCCAGGGCTTTGTAATATGAGCACTTAACATCTTTCAAGTGATCTCTCCAAGGCACCTGGCTCCATTTATTTATTCTTGTGTTTCAAACCTTTATTGGGACTCCCAGTGCATGCCAGGCTAGACCCAGAGTGACAAAGAGTAAGCATTTCAGAGAAAATCTAAAAGAGCACTTACTACAACCTCCTGTTGTTACAGATTCATCCTGAGAGGGGAGGTTACGCACCTACAGCCATAAATTACTTAAGTAGCATAGCTAGGACTAGAAGAACCTAGTGTTGCTGACCATTCACATCCATGGGGAAACTAAGGCCTGAGGTTTGCAAGTACAGCTGACTGAGAGGTCAGCTTAGATGTACAGACTTTCTCTCTATCCTCTTCAAAACCACCATTAGCTTCCAGGACAAAGCAAAAAAAAATGTCAATTTTATTTTGTTCTGGGTGTTTTTGTAAGAAGGGCTTCTGAAAGCCATAAAAACTCCCTTAGTGCCAGAAAAGAGATCTTTGTTATTAGTCTGTTTGCTAGTCAACTGATCTTAAGATTTTCCAGAAGCTCCAGGGTATCTACTATGTTGAGATTTATCCAAGACTTATTGGCAGTTGTCACTTGACTTCTTTCATCAAGAAGGCTTCTGCCCATGAAGAGTTGCTTAGAAAGAACCTCAACATTAGGGGTGTTGTGCCCCTTGCATTCATTTTAATTCTCTGTGTTTACTCCAAACTCTATTACAGTTAATCATACACATGTCTATTTCCTCTTGTGGATAGAGAGTGCTGTCCCTTCATCATTGTCCTGCTTCACTCCCACACCCCTCTTTTCACATACCACTGCAACTACTTTCTATCTGATCTCTTGGTTTCCAACCACCACCAGTTATCAAAATGATCTTTGTAAAATGCAAAGCAACTCAAGTCTTCACCCCACTCCATCCCTACTTAAGTGCTCCTCATGATCTCCTACGGCCAGAATTAATTCTGAAGAATTTAATTGGGAAGACCCTCCATTATCTTGCACCAAGCAGATCTAACCAGCTTTATCTTCTAATAATTCCTACATCCTCCTCCTAACCCTGTGGATCAGTAAGACTAAACACCACACCATTCTCCAAAACCACCACCCTTTTTTGTATTATCATACCATGCCACATGGCCAGAAAGTCTTCCTTCCACACCATCACATAAAAATCTCCAAACCAACCTTCACCCAGTTTGACTGTCATCATGTTAGTTAACTATTTCTCACTGCCCTTGGAAAGTGACTTACTTCCTCTATTCCTGTGATACTGTACCCATTTATCCACCATATTGCACATTGTTGGCTAAAGCAAACTGAGGGTTCTCAAAGAGTAGGAACTAGGTGTTGTTCATTAGTCATTACTTAGGTTCTTGATAAAATTCTTTTAATAAGTCAATGGCAAGACTTGCGCCATTAATCTTTCTATTCCTAATTCTTAACATAGTACCATGGCATACAGTAAACACTCAAATTACATGTAAAACACAAAAGAAAGAGAGAGGAAGGAAGGAAGACAGAAAAGAAAATGGGAAGGGAAGGGAGGGGAGGGAAGGGAAGGGAAGGGAAGGGAAGGGAAGGGAAGGGAAGGGAAGGGAAGGGAAGGGAAAAGAAAGGAAAGGAAAGGAGAGAAGCCTGTTACCCAAGCTCACCTCTGAGTTCTTCCCTTCATTTCCACTCTCTGCCTGGGTCAGTAACACTACTTGTTCTTTGTGCAATTCCTTAACTTTGGGGTTCTCTGGATGAAGATGCTGAAGGCATATTTGTAGTACATGGCAAAAAATTTTCCTATATTCTCCCATTAAGAGCATCAGTAAATTAGATTAGTGGTTTTGACATTTTTCTGCCTGCTTGTTGACCTAATCCTCTAAATAGAGCCTCTATATTCCTTTCTCATGGCCCATCTCAGTGTTTATAAGGTGGTAGAAGTTGTGGGACTTACCTGTCGCTGGGCCAAGGTCAGAAAGAGCAAAGCACAGCTTTATTAGACCTTGGAAAAGTTCCCAATAGGAGGCTCCTTCTCACATACATAGGTTGTAACTGGTAAAATATCCTGTAGCAGCTTCTAACTCCACTGAAAAGGCAGACCACGGCCAGTAACCCTCACCTAATATATCAATGTAAATCTTATTTCTATCACCTTTTATTCCTTACTCCTTTCTGTGCCCAAGCTGTATGAGGTCACTAGGAAATTGTTTGAGTTTCCTTCCCCCAGGATGGAGGAACTCACTTCACATTGCTTTTTTTTTTTTTTGCTACTTAGATTCACTACCAGGTGGGGATTAAAAGTTTTATGACAATGTTATGGCAGTATTGGAGGCTTCTAGAACCTGGGGTACCTTAAGAAGTTATTTGTCTGGGTTTCTCATTACAGTGGAGGACACAGAGGGTGTACAAGAGAATAAGTCCTCTGTTGTCATTAAGCAGAAGTAAACTGGCTAAAGAAGTACTCTGAAAACTGCTCCCCACATGGTTTTCCTCACTCTGGCACCAGAATCTTAACTGAAATAGACAGTTCTGTTAAAGCAGCTCAGGTGTCTCTAAAGAGCAATGCCTGGAGGGGTCTTAAACTCAGGATTTTATAATAACAGTTAATTTTAAAAGATTGACTTCCATGCTTTACGTTGAAAACTAGCTACAGATCTCTCCATTGACAATCTAAGCTTGTATCCATTAAAAAAACAATCAATTTTAGTTCTTCCTTGCTAAGAAATGTTAGAAAGTTTCTAGCTGGACAGAGTAAAGAAAGACTCCCAGCTCTGGTCCACTCTGGATTTTTTGTCTTCCTCCAGGCTATGTTAATCCTCTTAGGGCCTCACATTGTTCTCTTCTCTCGTGATCTGCCACTTCCTTTCCTGAGTCAAGGTCATATTTTCAGCTTCAGCTTGTGCTTTTCTCTAAGCTTTTTTGCTGTGGTAATAAAAGGCTAGTTTTATATTTGACAACTTTTTGTAAAATGGTCAACCGAGGGAGGTCTAACATACAAATGGATTTGCTCCATTGGCTGGAAGCAGGGTGACTTGATATTTCCTGTGTAATGTTAATAAGCATTTGCCTTGTGTGGAGCAAGTCAGAATTTTTCCTATTTAACTATTTCATGCCTCTGCTCCCTGGACTACATTAGCAGGGAGGAATGAGTCCTTGGGGAGCGGTTAGTACAATAGGTCTTCATTTCTAATATAGCTTGACCAGTTGCAATAAGGCTCCAGAAAAAAATTTGCCTAAATTAAAAGAATGATTTCTCCTGGACAGAGATCTAAATCCCAAGTCTAATGAGGCTGAGTTCCTTTGAAGAACATTTAATCTGGGTAAGGATATTAACTCCTTACACAAAAGACACTCAGCTAAATAGTTTACAATATTATTTCATTTAATTCTCACAACATCACAATGAGATAGACATTATTATTATTACAAATAAAGATTATAAGGCTTAAAGAGATTAAGCTGTGCAATACTACACATATGTTAAGTGGCAGAATTAATTCCCTATACACATGTGGTTCTACAGGGAAAACTTAGCATTTAACCATTGTACCAAAATTCTGAGGCACCCATAGGCATGGATAGTGCTGAATCTCTATATTGCAATGGAAAACAAACCTATGCTTTAAATGCAAGTCAGGGTATTTAGAACACACTGGCAGTTTCTGGACTGCCAGTTTAGGTGCCATCCTCTTAGAACTGGCTAGTAATCTCTTAAATACTTCCAAATTTGATATCTCTGAGCTATTTATCTTCAGTCTTTCAAAGTCTCAACACTTTTGCAAGCTTACCTCTTGATGAGGGTAGAGATGAAAGTAGAATGTGTTAGACACCAGGGTTTATCTGTAAGGGGGAAGGAGAGGTTATGACTTGGGTGATTAAGTGGGGGTAGGGGGTGTATCCTGATGAAAGAAAATTGTGTCAGAAAACTCAGCTGGATGTCTTCAAGATCTGAAGACACAAACATGTGAACCACTTTGCCTTTTACAAATTCCTTTTGCTTAAACCCATCTTGGCTTCCTATTTTCTACTCTCTAATTATTCTCAGTCCCAACTCATTCCACTTTTCATACGGGATTCCATACTTCAGACTTATTTTATTCTGATTTTTTTTGGGCAGTGTTCCGTGTATGCCTATTAAATCTAGTTGAATTTTAGCATTGATGAAGTAGTTTAGTCCCATACTGATCTTCTTCCCAATTGTCCTATTCAAATTGAGGCACTGAAGTCTCCAACTATTATTATTGATTTGCCTGTATCTTCCTTCAATTTTGTCAGTTTTTGTTTCATGTGTTGTGGGACACTGTTTTCAGGTTGATTTTAGTTATATGTTTATAAGCATTATATCTTATGGTAAATTAACATTTTTATTAATATATAATGCCATTATTTGTATTTTGTAACAGGTTTTTACGTAAAGCCTTTTTGTCTGTTATTAATGTAGTCACTCAGCTCTCTTGGTTACTGTTTGGATGGTATAAATTTTTAAATTATTTTACTTTCAACCTATATGCTTCTTTGAATTTAAACGTGTCTTTTGTAGACACCATATATTTAGATAATTTTTATCCATTCTGAGGATCCCTGCCTTTTAAATGAAGTATTTAATACATTTACATTTAATGTATTTACTGATAAGGTGTGATTTATGTATGCCATTTTGCTATTTGTTTTCCATTTCCTATGTCTTTTTTGTTTCTCTATCCTTAAATCATTGCATTCTTTTGTGTTAAGTAGGTATTTTTTTAGTCTGCTATTTTAATCCCCTTGTTTCTTTCACTCTTTTTTTTAAGTCATGTATTAGTGTTGTTCTGGTCATTACAGTATTGTATTTTAACTTATAACAGTCTAGCTCAGATTAATATCAACCTAATTTCAATAGTATATAAAACTTTGTTCCCTCATCCCTCCTTTGTGCAGTTATTGTCACACAAATTGCCTTTATGTGTTGTACCACCATCAACATAGATTTATAATTATTGCTTTATACAATTGTCTTATAAATTATACAGAAGAAAAAATTTGCAAACAAAAAAATACATTTATACTGTCTTTTATATTTACCTATTTAGTTACCTTTACTGATGTTATTTCTTTATGCAGATTTGAGTTACTCTCTAGTGTCATTTATTTTGGCCTACAGCATTCCTTTAGTATTTGTTGTACAACAGGTCTGCTAGTGACACATTTTTTCAGTTTCTGTTTATCTTGTAATGTCTTAATTTCACCTTCAATTTTGGAGGATAGTTGTACTGGACACAGAATTCTTGGCTCACAGTATTATCTCTCATCACTTTGAATAAACATTCAATTAACTTCCAGAATCAGTTTCTGATGAGAATTTAGCCATTAATCCTACTGAGGGCCCCTTGTATGTGGCCATTCACTTTTCTCTTGCTGCTTTTAAGAGTCTTTGTCTTGGGAGGCCGAGGCGGGCGGATCACGAGGTCAGGAGATCGAGACCATCCCGGCTAAAACGGTGAAACCCCGTCTCTACTAAAAATACAAAAAAAAATTAGCCGGGCGTAGTGGCGGGCGCCTGTAGTCCCAGCTACTTGGGAGGCTGAGGCAGGAGAATGGCGTGAACCCGGGAGGCGGAGCTTGCAGTGAGCCGAGATCCCGCCACTGCACTCCAGCCTGGGCGACAGAGCGAGACTCCGTCTCAAAAAAAAAAAAAAAAAAAAAAAAAAAGAGTCTTTGTCTTTGATTGTGATGTGCCTAAGCGTGAATCTCTTCAAGTTTACACTACTTGGAGTTCATTGAGCTTCTTGGGTGTCTACATTAATATATTTTTATCATATTTGGAAACTTTTCAACCACTATTTCTTCAAATATCCAATCCACCCATTCTCCTTTCCCTTTTTCTCTCTCCTCCCCTTTCCTCTCCTCTACTCCCCTTTTTCTGCTGACACTTCTCATCCTTTTTCCTTTCTTTCTTTTTCTTTCTTTCTTCTTTTCCTTCTTCTCCTCCTCCTGTTTCTTCTTTTTCTTTTTTCTTCTTCTTCTTTTTCTTCTTTTTTCTTCTTCTTCTTTTTCTTCTTTCTTCTTCTTCTCCCTCTTCTCCATCTTCTTTCTCCTTCTACTTCTCATTCTTCTTCTTCTTCTCCTCCTCCTCCTCCCTCTCCTCCTCCTTCTTCTCCCTCTCCTCCTCCTCCTCCTTCTTCTTCTTCTTCCTCCCTCTCTCCCCCTCTCTCTCCCCATCCTCCTCTTTGAAGACTCCTATTATGTGTATATTGGTATGCTTGATGGTATGCCACAGGTCTATCCAGCTCCTTTCATTTTTTGTTGCTGTGTTCCCTTTCTGTTTCTCAGACCAGATAATTTCAATTACTTGCATTCAACTTGGTATATTCTTTCTCCCACCTGTTCAAGTGCCCCCACGGTGACTTTTTATTTCAGTTATTGCACTTTTCAACTCCATGTTTTTGGTTTGGCTGCTTTTTATCATTTTTATCTTTACTGATATTTTCAATTGGTTGAAAACTCATTCTTCAGCTCTCCTTTATTTCTTTAGACATGTTTTCCTTTAGCTCTTTGAATATACTTTAAATAGCTGATTTAAAGTCTTCATCTAGCAAGTCCAACATTTGAGCTTCCTCAAAGACAGTTTCTAGTGACTGCTTTTTCCTATGTAAGAGTCATACTTTCTCGTTTCTGTGCATATCTCATAATTTCTGTCAAAACTGAACATTTTAGGTAATATGGCAATTCTGGATTCTACCCCCTGCCCCCAACCAGGGTTTGTTGTTTTTACTGTTATTGCTGTTGTTTGTTTAGTAATTTTTTGAACTAGTGCTGTAAAATCTGCATTCTTTTACATGTATCAACACAGAAGTCTCTGCTTTGTTAACATAGTTGTCAATTGGACAGAGATGTCCTTAAGTGCCTGGAATCAATAAGCCCCCAAGTCTTTGACAAATGGCTCTACGTGCATATTGAACATGCCTTCAACATTTAGCTAGACAGTTAACTACTCTGCTTTAATTTTCAGTTTCCCCTAAGTGAAGCCTCAAAGTGAGACACTGGTGAGAGCTTAGAGCCTTCTCAAGCATTCCCTGAACGTTCATACATACCACAGCATGCACATGGCCTTCTAGATTCTCAGGAATGTGTCAAAGTTCTTCAGAGCCCTTTATGGACATCAATTTCAAGCATTTCCTGTTAAGCTATTATTTGCCCCAACTATTATTCACTACCACAGGCAGCCATAATCTAAACAAATGCTCTTAATTGTTTTCAATAAATGACCCCAAGAAAAAAGCTATTCATACTAGATGATCTCTGAATCAGTTAAATAAGACTACTTTGAGAATGGGGTCTTCCAGGGAACCACCAGGCAGGTCAAAAAAAATAACAAATTCTCCAGAAATAGGATTTTGAAAGAGTTCCAACCCTCTTTTGCCCCCTCTAGTGGCAACCAAGTCTCGAGTTTTTACTGTGGTCATAGTCTGTTGGTTTTCAAGGTTACCATGGAGCTGGAAATGAAGGGATGAGAATAGGAAAAATTAATACTGCACTGTTCATATCAGGTTTTTATACCAAAATTCAGCTGCTTTTCTTAAATGTTCCCTGAATTTTCCCCAAATCTTTTATTAATGTCTACAGTTTTTTAAAAAAGTTAATTCTGAAAATTGTTGCCCTTGTTCTTATTGCTTTTATGGAGGAGAGGACTTTCAGAGGCCTTTATTCTACCACTTTCACTGATACCCAAACCAGACTTATTTTATGTCAGTGTTTCTTTGCTCTGTTTGACCCACTTAAGCTTCTGGCTGCTCTTTATACTCTTTTTTATTCCAATTTCTTCATTGCCCACTTTCAATCAAGACTTGTTTTTCCTATCTCAAGTTTTTCAAATATTTTTTGCTTCTACTGCTGTTGGCCTTAAGTAGGGGTTTTATCATCTGTTACCCAGATAACTTCAACAGTGTCCAAACAGGTCCCTTTGCAGCATGTCTTATTCTGTTCTAATCCATTCACCACCCCAGACACATTGATCATTTTGAAACATAAAACTGACTTCATCTTTTCTTATGTAAGTCCTTCCATAGATTCACATTATCTCCAGAATAAAGCCCAATCCTGGTCATGGCAGAGTATACAAGGCCTGCTTGATTTGGCCCTAAATCTCCCCTCTGCCCTTGCAAATCTTAGCCCAGCCATACATATACGTGCAATTCCATATCAATTCTGCATAGTCTCATTAGTATTCTTGTCCCTTCTTCCCTTAGTGAATCAATCAATTAATTAATTTGGTACATATTTTCTAAGCATTTACTATGTGTCAGGCCCTATGGAAGGCACAAGATAAAAGAAAGTGAATAAGACCAACAAGGTTCTTCTTCCTGTGGATTTTATATACAGAGATGGAGACAAGTAAATAGATAAACAAACTGAATAATTACAGAATGCTGTAACTGCAATGCAGAGAGTAAATGGAATGATAGAAACAGGAGAAACTTGTTTATTAATCAGTGGGAAAAGAAAATTTCTCTCTAAAGAGGAAACATTTGAACTGAGACCTAAAGGATGAAAAGGAACCAATAAAGCAAAGACTCCCATGACAAAAGCCTGAGACCAAAATTAAAATCAAAGTGGGACAAAGGCAGAGACTAAACGAAAGGCAGATAAAAATAAAAGTAGAGAAAAGTTGTCCCAGAAACCCCCACACATTCCAATGAACACATACACACACACATGCACACACACGCACACGCACACACACACATGCACACAATCCCACACATGCCACACTTAACTTAGATTCCTCAAGTGAGTAATTGCTGGATGCACCAGCTGACAGATGGGAAATCCTTGCACAGAGCTATGACAAGGGGAAGTCTGTGGGGAAAGGTGCTGTTATTTAGCTAGCCCACCCCTGCTGAGTGAGTCCAAAGTTTCCCTTGGATTCATTCCCACCTGAACTTCCACCCTCATGAGCTAAAAAGGCCTTTTACATGCATGTTTTATACAAAGAAAGAGATGAGGATTAAGTAGCAGCTGCTTAGGTTTGGGTGTAGAGAAGAAACACATACACATATATGCTTGGTTGTAAAATGATTATATTTTGAAACGAAACTTAAAACCTTCCAGCTACGCTTCTCAGAGTTGTGATCCAGCTAAGGAGTGTTGGGTAAGCAAAGCCCTTTATGGGAGATGGCAAGAGGAGTGAGAACGTGTTCCACAAAGAGAAGTGTTGATGGAGGAGGTGATAGACTCTTGCCACTGACTGAGTAACCAGCCCTTAGAAGCAGATCCTGCTGACGTTGGGGATTTCTTGTAGAAGTAGAACCATGGCCTAATGGTCCTGAGTAAATTCTTCCTGGTTCCAGTACATTCTTCCTCCATTCATTTAACAAATAACTACTGAGTGCCTACAATGTGCCAACCCTTGATCTAGGTCCAAAGATACATCTGTGAACAAGTACAGATCCCTTGTTGAATTACATTCTAGTGAGGGGAAAGACAGATGGCAGGTAAATAAATGGGTAACATAGAGAATGTGTTGGATGTTAGTTAATAAGCACTATGGAGAAAAGCTAAAGCAGGATAGCGAATTAAGAAGTGCTGAGGGGTTCTGCTTTTAGGCAATATGGTATAACAGGAACCAGATTTACCCTTCCATTTAAAATAACTAAAAATCTGGGTGGGGGGAAGTATATGAAACAATGGTTTTCAAGTCACTGGTGACAAATGGCAGTGATCCCTGAGTGACAGAAAACAAATTAAGTGAGGTTACTGCTTGGAGAGTCTCTAGACTGGGGTGCAGAGAGAAAGAACACAGACAGAGCTGATTTGAGAATGTGATGCTGAGAGTTTGGAGAGACCAAGGCCACCAAAGTTTTTAGGAAAGAGTATCAGAAAAAAAAGAACTGTCCAGAGAGAAAATTCTGAAGATCTTCAAAGGATGTATGTTGAGAATTTAGCAGAGTACTGATCACCACATGCATGTGAGGAAACTATCCAAGGCAGGAGGAAGAATGACCTTGAAGTAAAATGTGCCTGGTGTACTCCAGAAGCCTAATGCAGCTGTAGTGATCAAGGAGAGAATAGGAAACACAAAATCAGAGAGGTATTGGGGAGCAACTCAGGTGGGGACTTATAAGCCATTGGAAAAACCTTGGCTTTTGCGAGTGAGACAGGGATGATGGGAGGATATTAAGCATGGGAGTGGCATAATCTGACTTATGTTTTAATTTAAAATAGTCGCTCTGGATACTGAGTGGAAAATAGATTTTCAGGGTAAGGGCTAAAGCAATGGAACACTGTGGAGGCTACTGTTACAATACAGGCAGGAGGTGATGGTTCCCAGGACCATGATGGAATAGTGGAGGTGTTGAGAATATATCGGATCCTGGACGTATTTTTGAAGAACCCACAGGATTCATTAACAAATTTATTCCAGAAAGCGAGACTGCCTTAATATTAGGAAATATTTCCAATAGACTTGCCTTCCATTTTATTCCTTTCTATCTACACAATAGAACTCACAAGCTAACTTATGCCTTTCTCCAAAGAACACTATCTATTCTCTTCTATGTTTTCTTTTCATGGGACCAGAGTGTAAAGATCTGACACATGGGCTGGGTGTTGAGTACAATAAAAATAGAAAGAACAGTTGCCTGCTTTAGCAGGCAAAATCAACTTAGGAAAAGTTGGTGTTTACTATGGCCCACCCTTACCCTCCAGGGTTCTTTAAATTATAATATGATCTTCTTTGTAATTATCCCTTGTGCATATTTTCTTCTTAGAAACTTCATTAGGAAGAGTGGAAATAACTTGAGATAAGACTCTGGTATTCCCAGTTCGTCAAACCAATTCCCAGCTAATGTTGCTCCAGATTTTCATACGTTATCTGTAACAACATGTTGTTTATATATAATTGATCACCTCAATAAATTAATAGAAAAAAACATTTATTTCAACAAATGTTTAAACATTATGTGATAAAATTTTAAATTCATTGTTTATCTTAAATCTTAATTAAAGAGAATAGAATATTCCTTAACAAGATAAATGGTATTGATCTTAAAATTAATTAACAGAATCATCCCCAATTGTGGTACCTCAGATAAATTCCTATTAAAGTCAAGGATAAGACAAGAACAATGAGTACTTCTACTTTTATTTATCATTCTTATGGAACTTTTAAACAATACCATACACTGCGATAAAGAAATAACTCTTATAAATGTTAAAAATAGAGGACAGAGATATATTTATTTGCAAAATATATTATAGCATACCTGTAAAGCACAAAAGTAATTGAATGAAAAACTGTTGAACTAATAGGATAGTTCAATAATATGACCAATTTTGAAAAACATTTTTAAATAATTTTTCTATATAACAAAAATAATATATTATAAAATATAATATAAAAATCCCTTTGGCAATAACAAAAAGATTTTAAATTCCTATGAGTAGACCTAAAAATAAATGTGCTGGGGTCATATTATGAGCACTTATATGCTGCTTATAAAATTTATCCTATAGTTGATAAAACACAATGTGTAAAGTTAACACTTTGATCATGGAGGAATCAGAGGAAAAGTGACAGTATTAGAGGATGGCAGGCCAGCTGAGGGTCCCCTGGTATATTTTAGGCAAGACATGCTAAGGCTCTGAACAGAGTGACAATAGGTAAGGTGAAGAGGAGAAAAACTGACCAACATTTAGTAGCTAGAACTGACAGCAGGTGGTAAGCAATTAAATGAGAAGTGAAGGGAGTAGTTCAGGGCAGTTTGTAGCCTTCTAGAAGTCATTGACTGAGACGGGAAACACAGGGGGAGGAGTAGGACCTAGGGAGGAAGAAAAGATGACTCTTTATTGAGATGTGCTGGATTCTAGGTGCTATGAGATATCAAAATGAAAGTCCAAGTACCTTTGATGTTTGATTCTAGATGTAGAATAGAATTTGTTTTCATTCATTCCATTTATTAAATGATTATTTATTGAGATTTTAGCCAGAAATGTAAACTTAATAGTCATCAGCCTAAAGAGTTTCAAGAATAGAGGTGATTATGGAGGAAGAATGGATACAATGAGAAGAGAAAATGCGGCAAAGGACAGATCTCTAAGACTCACTAACATTTAACATCAAGCAGAAAAGAAGGAGCCATACAGGAATATAAGAAGGAGTGACCCAAGAGATAAAATGGAAACTCAGGTTAACATAGTGCCACTGAAACTAGAGATGAGAAGGAAGGGGTGATTAATTGTACCTAACTGTAGGGAGTGGTTAAGAAATATGGGATTTTAAAAGAGCTCACTGTATTTCAAAATCAGGAAAATATTGGTGACTTTTATTTAAATACTTGTAAGGATAAATAAGAAAAAAATAAAAGAGATAAAAAGATGAAGAAAGCAAAAGAAAAAAATTGAGGTATGTCTATGAAAAAGAAACGAAGTTATAAGACTGAAACCAAGTGCAGTAACAGTCAAGGGAGTTTTTAGTATGAGAATCATTGTCTCATGGTAGTTTTATGGGAATCCTTGTTCAAAGATCAAGGGTGATTCCGTTCTATTTACCATGCTTCCAATCAATTAATAAATATTTCTAAACTAAGGTAGCAAATAAATAATTTAGAACTCATAAAGGAAGACATAAGTGATATAGAATTAATTAAAAGAAAGTTCCCTTTATTTTCCATTTAAGATAATGTTATGTAATATCCCATAGTTGCCCACAATGGTTTCTCAGCCCTAGGTTAACATGCCCTGTTTTTATGATTTGAACTGTAAGTAACAGAAAATCCCAATTCTACTTGCTAAAATAAGGAATATTTTTATGATCTTACATATAAAGAAAATCCAAAGGTGGAAGAATTGTAGGGTTGGTTAATCCAAACAATTAAAAATGTCATCAAGTTCTAGTGAAGCAAGAAACCTGGTTTTGGGGATGAGTGAGGCTGTGGCTCCCTAGTGCTCCTCATGCCTGCAAGAGTAATTTCATTCACAGTGGGCATTTAAGCAAGCTCACTGGGTTCTAGCACCCAAGCCATGTATTCCAACAGCTTGGCCAAGAATAAAGATGATATTTGACCCCTTTCCACCTGATTCCTGCCTCTGCATCTCAAATTGGTGTAACTCAGTCAGGGAAGAAAAATGCTATTTGTTGAGCCTTTTCAAATTCCACCACCAGCAATGAATATGTGACAAAAAGAAACTCTGACAAAATAACTGAGGCTTTGCTTTCCTGGATCAGTGGCATCCATTGCCCCAGGAGATAATCAAAGTCATGAATGGAATTTCTAAATAAGTTGTTATTAACTCATAATATAGAAAATGGCCTATAAAGCCAAGACTTTCAAATGCAAGACCAAATCTTGAGAGAAAACTTCTATTTTAACTCCAATAGCTTAGGTTTGAATATCAAGAGCCAGGCCTTTAAATAATTCTATTCATAAAGTTAATACTGTTAATTAGTGTTTTTTAAACCACAGGTTGCAATCCATTGGTGAGTTGTAAAATCAATGTAGTAGGTTGCAAATAGATTTTTTAAATGAGGGACAAGAATAGAATAAAACACCAGGGTCTGTTATACATAATGATCATTATGCTTCTTGATTTTTTTTTTTTACTTTAAGTGTGGTGTGTGTGTGCGTGTGTGTGTGTGTGTGTACTGAGCCTTAATGTAAAATATATTATTTACTGTGAGCTGTGTCAAGGACTTGAAAAGCACTGCCACTAAAATTAATTTGGGAAAACTTTGAAGAAAAGCCTGATTGTCCAGGCTCTCAATAGATAAATGAAAGAATGCATCAAACAAGAGGTGACCAAAGTCATGAAATAATTGAAAAAATGGAAGAATAGCAGGAAAGATGCAGCCTCAGGCTAAGCCTGAGATAGACATTTGGGAGAAAGGAGAGTATTCCCAGGAAGAGGAGCAGCAGATATAAAGATTTGAGCTACTATAACAAAATGTCCTAGATAGGATGGCTTATAAAGAGCAGAAATGTATTGCTTACATTTCAGGAGGCTGGGAAGTCCAAGAACAAGGCACAGTAAGATTCAATGTCTGCAAGGGCCTCCTTTCTGCTTCACAGATGACACCATTTAGCCATGTCCTCACGTGGTAGAAGAGGTGAGGCAGCTCTCTGGAGTACATTTTAAAAGAGCACTTATCCCATTTATGATGGCTCTTTCATCATGACCTAATCATCTTCCAAAGTTCCCACCTTCTAATACCATAAGCTCAGGAGTTAGGATTCACATATGAATTTGAAGGAACACAAATATTCAGGCTAGAGCAATGGAAAAATATAATGTATACACAGAAGTTAAAGAATAAGTCCATCTAGCTGGAGCCAAGTTGGACTGAATGATGGAGAACTGAGGTGATCAAACTGGAAGTTCATATAGTAAGTAGGCTTTTGATGGTCAATAGGGAATCATGGAATATGTTTGAGCTGGCAGATAACATGGAGATAACAGGATGGCCTGGAGGGAAAAAAAAGCTGGAGGCAAGAATTTTTAGAAGTCTGGCAAATAGCCATGCCCAAGGAAATAGATAAGATTTGCAGCAGGGACCAAATAACAAATATGATGTGTCCTAGGATTAAAGCCTTGAAAGTTCTTGGAAATTGAAATAATTTCTAAGAATAAAAGCCTCCATCTCCTGGGCATTGCAAATAAATCCACTTATTAGTATTGCTAAAATAATTAGCTAGTTCTGTTAATATCATAAATAAGTATTTTATGCCTCTCAATGTGCTTTTGCATCCATTAGTCATTTGATTTTCATAATCACCTTAAGAGGCAGCAAGGTGATATACTAATATCTCCATTTTAAAGATGGAGAAACTGTAGTCTAAAGGGGTTATCCAGCTTCCCAAGGTCACACAGTTAATGACAGGATTAGATTCACCAGATCTTCTCACTCTGAGGCCAGGATTCTCCCACTCGACAATAGGTGACACCTCCCACGTTGTCATTCTCTAATAACGACCCATCAACTTGTTGACTAAAATTATTCCAAAAATTGAATTGGCTCAATATTTCAGGAAGAAAGCCTATTCAAAAGGTCACTGTGGCTTGGTGTAAGTTTATTTAATAAATATTTTTCTTGTTTGGAGGTTTTAATTTTAAGTATGTGGTCTACTCTTTTTGTATGATTATTTGCTCAAAAAAATTTTTAGTCAGCAACACACCTCATAAAAATTTAATATGTTTCAGAGCTCTTTTTACTGTTTAAAAAAGCACAAATCAGGCATTCTTGCATTTTGAATGTGGCGCCCCTGTAATTGGGCCCTCTCTAAGGAAGGCCCTTCCAAACCCTGTAGGGGAATTGCTCTTTTAAAATAGAAACAACACTCAAATGAAGGGTTGTCCGAGATGATTCCTCTGCTCACACCATAGGTCTCAATACCAACCACTCTGATGTGTCCTGGCTTTCCTGGTCACCTGTATATTTTTTTCTTCAACTTGAAAAGACCTGCTGTCAAGTGTGTTTTTGGCTTTCAGGGCAGTAGAGCAAGATGATGACTCAAGTAGGATGGCCCTGGGTTCGAATCCCAGCTCTGGCTCTCACTAGACATGTAACTGTGAGCAGGTTAACTCATGTCCCTGAGTATCACTTTCTCAGCTCTACCATAAAGTGGTTACATTTCATGTCAGAGTTATTACCTGAGTTTAAGATAGCAAACTTGCAACCACTGAACCTGAAGTGGCTCCTCATTGAATATTTATTACCTAAGAGCCAGTGACAAGATTTACCAATAGAACACTCACTAGGTTCATAATGGAGAATTAGTGCTTTCACCTCTCAGACTGCTCCTTTACCAGTCCCAAAGAGTTATGCACATGGGCTCTGACCTGGTCAGATTCTACAACCAAATGCTTTAAGCAATGAGCTGGTAAAGTTTATTTGAAGTTGGAGAGCAACAGTCCTGACTTCTTTATTTCATTCCATCAAAAAATATTTTTTGGGCACTTACTATTGTTCTGGGCATTGAGGATACAGAGATTAAAGAACATGGGCAATGTTCTCACTCTCCTGAAGCTTATGTTCCATTAGGGAATACAGGCAATAGGTATGCAAGCCAGTAGACAAGACGGAATATGAGATAGCGATAGGTACACTGCAGAACATTAAAATAGGGTGGCATGATAAAGTACTGGAGTCTACTTTAGATAGGGTGGTCAAAGAAGGCCGTTCTAAGGAAGTGACATTAAATCTGGAAATCAGGTGATAAGAGGGTTCTGGCCCAGGTAAAAATCAAGGGAAAGAGCAACCCAGGCAGAGGGAACAGCTCATTCAAAGGGCCTAAAATGGAAATCAGCTTGGAGTTCTCATGGGTCAGAAAGAGCACCAGTGTGGGCGCATGAAAGTGTAGCTGCAATCTCAGGGAGAGAAGGGGATAATAGAGGATGCATGTAAGGAAGGAAGAAATCAGCTTATGCAGTACCTTGTAAGGCATAGGAAAGACGTGGGATTTTGTTCTAAGAGGAATTGAGTTATTTATACGATATTAAACAGAGAAGCACAATGACTTGTTTTCTCAACGTTCACTAAGTATGCATTTTGGAAGGCAAGGACAGTACCAGCACATCTCTTGGAGGGTAGTACAGAGGTCCAAATGGGAGAAAATGGTGATTAGACTATGAAGGTCACAGTGGCAATGGAGAGAACTGGATACATTCAGAAATTATTTAGGAAGCTGAGCTGACAAGATCTGGGAGGTAAATGTGATAAAAGAGAAACTAAGGCTAACCCTAGAATGTGGGTTTGACCAAGTGGTTGAATTGTGGTGCTGAAGAGGAAAATATGGAAGGAATGAATAGAGGAAAGGAGAGAGGAAGAGACTTAAATGTTCTCTGTTGGCTTTATTATGAGACTGAATCTCAGAATAGTTGGGACTAAATTTATATATTCAGGATCAGTCCTCTTTGTATCCCCAGGACAGAGCCTAGGGCAACACATGGCCCAGGTATTTCAGTATGTGTATTCATGTGATGGAGAAAAAAAGAGCATTACTTGAAATTCTGAGTCTGTTGCTTTATCCACAAGCCTTTTAATTTCTTGGAACTTCAATTTCCTCTCTTGTAAAATTGGGACAGGAAGACTTACCTTGCCTAGCCCATGGAATACTGTATGAAAATTAGATAAGTATGTAAGCATTGTGAAACTATAAGCCACTTAGCAAACACAGTTTTGTGAAAGGGATTAATATGATTCCATGTCAGAACGTAAGCATCACAAGGATAGGGACTCAGTCTACTTTGCTCATTATCTCCAGCACGTATAATGGAGGTTCTCAATAAATAAATGTTAAGTGAATGAATTAATGAATTATAGTAGATCCTATGAAACACAAGACTGGAGGTTGTGAGCACCAAAGAGCCCTATAACATTATGGTATAATTAGTTTGCTACACATCTGCCTTCTCTAGAGCCCAGGAACCAACTTCATTCATCTCAAAGTCTCACTATTAAGTCCAATACACAGTAGCTGTGTGAATAACTAATGAATTGAATTCTCTGCCAACTAGATGAAGAGCCACCAGCAGTTAACTAACAAGTACAGTGCCTCACCAGACAGGTGCATTGGTCAATGCCCTTGGACACCTCCTGCTTCTTGAGATCGGCAGCCTCAAAACAAAAATACCCCATCACTTAAGTCTGACTTGCCCACGAATATGTATCTGTGCTTGGGCATAGTTTGTCCTCAAAAAAATATTCTTTGGCCGGGCACAGTGGCTCATGCCTGTAATTCCAGCACTTTGGGAGGCCGAGACCAGATCACCTGAGGTCAGGATTTTGAGACCAGCATGGCTAACATGGTGAAAACCCATTTCTACTAAAAATACAAATATATATATATTTGTTGCACAAATGAGCAAATAAATTCATGAGTGCATATTAAAAACACAAGTGGAGAGATTATGAAGCAGGAATTATATATTTTTAAAGATAAACAGTATTCTTAAGGAAAGATTTTTAAGTTTGAAGTAGGCCACATCTAGCTATGCTGCCCAGATTCTCATTGGAGCAGAGGGCCTAAAAATTATCTGCACTTTGAGTGGCATAATGTGTGTGAAAGGGGATTGATATGGTTTGGCTGTGTCTCCACACAAATCTCATCTTGCATTGCAGTTACCATAATTCCCACGTGTTGTGGGAGCGACCTGGTGGGAGATAATTGAATCATGGGTGTGATTTCCCCCATACCGTTCTCATGGTAGTGAAATAAGTCTCACGAGATCAGATGGTTTTATAAGGGGAAACCCTTTTCACTTGGATCTCATTCTCTCTCTTGTCTGCTGCCATGTAAGACGTGCTTTTTACCTTCTGCCATGATTGTGAGGCCTCCCCAGTCATGTGGAACTGTGAGTCCATTAAATCTCTTTTTCTTTATAAATTACCCAGTCTCAGGTATGTCTTTATCAGCAGCATGAGAACAGACTAATGCAGGGATGAAAAATGCAAAGCATCAAATACAGGTGTAACCTAGAGGCTGAAGTCAGGTCATACTCTCTCTAACCACTATCCCCAGTCCCTCCTAACTTGGCACTTCAGGAATTCACCCTCCAAAACTGAAGTTCTTTAACTCAGCACATAGCATGATGAGGAAATAATGGGCCATGCTCCAGGGCCCCAAGATAGTCTACTTTGCTGGAGTTCAATGCATTTCTAAACATTTTCTCATCTTAATATGGGGAACTTTCTCTTAAGAGTCATAATAGTCCTAAAATTATATTGGAAAATCCCTTACCCCTTAGAAATACATATTGGAATATTTAGGAATGAAATCTCACAACAAGTATACTTCAAAATAATTTAGCGGGGGAAAAAAATGAACGTAGAAAATTGAGCATTACTGCTAATCTAGATGAGGAAAACATAGGTGCTTATTATGCTATTTTGAGTTTTCCATATGTTTGAAAATTGTCGTGCTAAAATTGAAAATATCATAAAATGGCATACTGATCTGGGAAGATTATTGAGAGTATTAAATGAGATACTTATCACAGGCTCATAGTAGGTGTTCATTAATATTATTATTTTTAATATTTTAATTAATATTTACTTCTAGTAATTATGTATTATTTTATATTAATATTAATGCCACAACTCATGAGCTTACACATGGGCACACACTCAGCACCTTCTCCTTTCAAAATGTACAGAAACTCTTCCTTTTGGACAACATGATAAATCATGTAACTTAATCCTGTTTCAAAAGATTGTATGTAGATCCCCTTGGGCACAAGGCCTGATGGCATTGATGATACTAGTTCATACACATAGTCTATTATTCATTTCTTTCTGGAAAGATGGATAAGGTAGAGATGACAGTTGTACCTTTGAGGTTAGGGAGATGTGGGTGCATCCCTTACTTCCACACATATTCATAGCATGAGCTTCAAAAATTTACTGGTTTCATGGAGCATTAGTGTTTTCAGCAACACAACAGGATCATTATGCTATCCAAGGAACTGCCCTGGAGGTTATGTAAGAGCTCATGCACAAACAGGCTAATATGTTCCACACATAGTAGGTGTGAACGATGTTAACTGCCTCTCATTCCCCCTTAGAGACTCAAAGAATGAGCAAAGACCTTTTGGGGGTAGCTTCTTAAAAAGTTTGGCACTGAGTAATTACTGTATCCATCAATCCTTGGTTAGCATCAACCATTTGCGCCTTAATCATTTAAGGAGAAAATGGGAAATGACAAGAAAAGTTTATTGAAACAAGCCACTTTTAGACATGTCCTGGAAGCAAAAGTAATTCAAAAGAAAACCAATATTTAGCATGATGGGCAGGACAAGTCTTGGGGTTCTCATTTTATGGTCAAAGAAACTGAGTCATCAACTGGCCAGAAAGTGGGAAAGTAAGGCTGAACCCTAGGCAGTGGGAGCAGATCCAAAAGCAGTCTGCGTTTTCCAGACACAGGAAGAACAGGCAGGAAAAAAGAAGAGTGTATCTTTTTCTCATTCCTTCAGCATAGAAGTGGCAAAGCCACATCAAGGAAAAGCATTCCAACCATGCAGTTGCAAACAGGGATAACATTGTGAATGCATGGAGCAGCTGATTAATTGGGACAGGAGATCAAATATCAACAGTCCTTTGAAGATTTGGAGCAGAGCAGTGAGGCCTCCCTGGGATTTGGAAGCTCTGAAGCAGGCTGGCAATAAATAAAGACCCAGGCCTCAGGACTGGAGCTCCCAGAGATGCCCCTTCTCTAAGAGGGAAAGTTGATTTTTTATTGCTGGCCTATGGGGTAGAAGATTCCCACATATAGCCCCAGGAGATGGAGGTGGGGAGAATGTATTTCTGGGAGGCTCAAGTCACATTCCAGGTCTGCTTTCTGCAGAGGAAAGATGTTTCTGACAGGTGTGTGTTCCTGCTGCCTCACTGTGTGTGCTGAGCCCAGCAAGGCTCCCAGGCACCACAGGTGAGCCTTCTACTAGACTATCAGAAAGAGTCAACAATGAGCCAAAGACATATCCTTAGCTGCAAAACCTAGAGGTGAGTGCAGAGAAGTGAGCACAGAACTTCCAGCCCCCATGTCAGACCCTCAGAGAGGCACCCACACATTTCTTTATTCACCCATCCTTGCAGCAAATACCCACTGAGCATTACTGCCTGACAGACACCAGGCTAGGTGCCGAGGGATTTGAACACTGCAGCTGATCCTCACTCAGTCATTCGTTCATTCCCTCATTCATTCATTCTGCAGGCATTACTGAGCCCTGCTCCACACTACATTCTGAAGTTGCAACAATCAGCAAGACAGATCTTATTCCTGACCTCATAGGTTGACAGTCTAATGACTCTCTGGGGCATGCTGGGGGTCAGTGGACCTCAACTTAAAGCCTTTGAACAAGTAGCTTGGCCTCTTACAACCTGTGTTTCTTAACCTATAAAATGGGCATTATCCTACCTCCTTACTTATAAAATAGGCATTATCCTACCACAGGGATTCTGTGAGGTTCAGAAATAAAAGACGTGAATGCACGGGATAAGCCCCAATCCAAGACTCACAGGTTGGTGATGACTGTTCTTGGGGCATGGGGAAAGGCTTGTAAATTCCCCCTGAGCTATTTACCTACAGACAAAGAAGGCACCAAAAAGCTGTATCAAGTTACATACTCATAAATGCAGGATGGGGAATTTCATAAAGAGACCACTGTGCATGCAGTGACTGATTGAGTGTAGAAGACGGTTGGGGCCAGGCAGAAATAATTTCCAATTACATTTGAACAGCATTTGGGGGTTTACAAAGGTGTTTTTGTAAACTGTAGAGCACCTCAACAAGAGTTGGCCTTGCTCAGGTGTGATTGTCTCAGGGGCAGAAGCTGCTCACCTGGTTTGCCCACTCTGGACACAACAAGCAACTCCAGCAGTCAGTGAAGATCTTTATACCTGATAGGAGTTGCTAAGAGTAAATAAATCCAGGCCAGGCGCGGTGGCTCACGCTTGTAATCCCAGCACTTTGGGAGGCCAAGGCGGATGGATCACGAGGTCAGGAGATCGAGACCAGCCTGGCTAACATGGTGAAACCCCGTCTCTACTGAAAATACAAAAAAAATTAGCCGGGCGTGGTGGCGGGTGCCTGTAGTCCCAGCTACTTGGGAGGCTGAGGCAGGAGAATGATGTGAATCCAGGAGGCAGAGTTGCAGTGAGCCGAGATGACGCCACTGCACTCTAGCCTGGGTGACAGAGCGAGACTCCGTCTCAAAAAAAAAAAAGAGTAAATAAATCCATGGAAAACAGAACTCTATACAGGTCTCTACACATGTGATATAAAACAATGTCTACACTACAAAAATGAATGAGTTCTTGGACTTTTTCATGCCACCATGCTGTTAAAAACAAAACACATGCCCATGAGTAATACTCCTTTGCATGTAGTAATTTTCAGCCAGTTGAGATAAGGGAAAAGAAGGTAGGGAGAGGGATGACACAGGGGGGAAATTCACTAAAATCTCTCAGGATTGGGGAAGCAGAAGTCACTTGATAAAGTCTTCCTGGAAGTTACAACACTTACCCCCCACCACTACAGCAATTTGGGAATCATTGCAGGACAGAGGAGGTTTGACATTAGCCCTGCCTCTCTGATCAGAGCCTGTTCAGTGCCTGCACCTTTTTGCTGCCCTAATACTACAGTCTCAAGTCCTCTCAATGTCCCATGATAATCTGTTTTTAACCCAGTCTGCATAGGAACAGACATTTGATGTAGAAACAGACCCTGGGACTCAAGTGCCTAATTGATGAGAATTTTATCTCTTTGTCTGAAATTGCATAGTTTTTTTGTTTGTTTGTTTGTTTTGGGTTTTCTAAGATGTGTTTTTATGGTACTTACTGTTGCTTTCCTAATATAATAGCTATAGCATAGCTCCTTACAATGATAAAACTCAGGGACACCCTCCATCCTCCAGTAGACACTCTGCAAAGATGCCTGCTGCAGTTATCTGTAACTTGAGGGCGACGTCTCACTATTCATCTCTGTGGTGCAGTAGTAGGAGGCATAATATGGATTGCCTGGTTTTCAGCACTAGCAGAAAATTCCACCCAACTGTACATACATCAACAATTCTGTATTATTTCCAGTACCGAAAAAAAGAGAGATAAAGACATGTTTGTTCCCTGCCTGAGGCAGGCTGTGGCTTTCTTGTTGACCTTTTGCCCACTCATGTGTGAATCATTTTTACCCCACTCATGTACCCATCCATAGCTGATACCACAACAGAATCTCAAGAAAACACTGTCATGACCAAGAGAGATAGAGCCATACCAGTTAAAAAGAAACAAAATTGAACTAATCCTTCCATGTCATCTAGTTCCAAGCATACTAAGCGCCTGTAGTCAATACTTAGCTTCTGTCAGAAAGCCTCCCTGACCCTCAGTGTCTTCATCTTTATATAACCCAGATGCTCACTGTCTCTTCATCCATACATGCTGTTTCTGCTTTGACTTTGGCAACAACCTGATGAAGACATCGACTTCTGTGCCAGACTCCACAAGAAATTCAGTCACAGCTGGAAGTTCATGGCTTTGCAAAGATCTTATCCAAAGACTGGTAGAGCCCTGGGAAGGAGGTCAGATCATGCAAACATTCCACTAAAGAACCCGTACTCTCCAAGGGTTACTTTAAGGGTTATCTCTCTCAGCTTTTCCCCTCCTCCATGCAGCCTCAGTGGCCTCTCTCCACACCTAGGCACCTGCCTCCCACAACACTTTTCACCTGGAGAAGACAGTAACCTGTTCCATTTGTCCTCAGAGCATGTCTTCCTCAGCCACCCTTCCCAGGACTTACTTCAATGTTTCCAAACAAAGACAGTCCATCCTAGAAGGGGGAGTTGTGGATACAAGCCTTTCCTCTACCACAAGAAGAATGGAAAGAGTAATAACATATTCCTCCCCATCCTAGGTTGTAACGGAGGACTATATGAGGGGGGGTATAAACAGATAAACAGTACTTGTAAAATGTAAAGTAGCAATCAAATATAAAATATTATAGGCTGGATGCAGTGGCTCATGCCTGTAATCCCAGCACTTTGGGAGGCCGAGGCGGGTGGATCCCGAGGTCAGGAAATCAAGACCACCCTGGCTGACATGGTGAAACCCTGTCTCTACTAAAAATACAAAAATTAGCAGGGCGTGGTGGTGGATGCCTGTAGTCCCACCTACTCGGGAGGCTGAGGCAGGAGAATGGTGTGAACCCAGGAGGCTGAGCTTGCAGTGAGTTGAGATTGTGCCACTGCACTCCAGCCTAGGCGACAGAGCGAGAATCCGTCTCAAAAATAAATAAATAAATAAAATAAAATATTATGATGGCGGTAGTAGCTGTAATGTAACATTAGGGATAGAAGGACCAGTCCACTGTTTTTCACACATTTGTGGCCACAATGAACAGTAAGAAATCTATTCTGCCACTTGTATACACTACACGCAAACATACACGCATACACACACAGCTGAAACAGGTTTCACAAAGCAATCCCTACCTTGCTATGTGTAGTCGACTTCAATTTTTTACTCTAGCACCTTCACAACCGGCCGATGAGTCACATGCCTTGCTTAGAAGAAAACTGATAGAGTCCCACTCTCTTTCCTTTTTTTTTTTTTTTTTTTAAACTGAGTCTCGCTCTATTGCCAGGCTGGAGTGCAGTGGCGTGATCTCAGCTCGCGGCAATCTCTGCCTCCTGGGTTCAAGCGATTCTCCTGCCTCAGTCTCCCAAGTAGATGGGACTACAGGCGCACACCACCACTCCCAGCTAATTTTTGTATTTTTTAGTAGAGACAGGATTTCACCATGTTGGCCAGGCTGGTCTTGAACTCCTGACCTCATGATCCACCCGCCTCGGCCTCCCAAAGTGCTAGGATTACAGGTGTGAGCCACTGCGCCCAGCCCCCACTCTCATTCTTTAAAGATGGAGAAGTTGCAGTTTGTACATTTTTTTTAATGAACATTTACTGACAATCCACTCATAGACACACTGTGCTGAACTTGGGGAATGAAAAGATAATTGCTGCCCTTGAGGACATCATAGTCTAGTAAGAGTGAAGATGCAAATCTGGATAACAACCTGCTCAAGTTTATACTATTCCAGGGAAAGAACTAAAATTAATACTAATACTACCCATCTTTTAAAATTACATGTATACAGTTTTTAAAAATAGAAAAACTCTTCTTTTAATTGTATTCTTACTATTTTTTATTTTTAATTAACAAATAAAAACTTGGATATATTTATGGTATACAACTTGATGTTTTGATGTATGTATACAATGTGGAATGATTTATCAATTGAATTAACATCTCCATCACCTCATGTACTTACCAGTTTTTATGATGAAAACATTTTAAATCCACTCTCCTAGCAATTTTCAATTGTACAATACATGATTATTAACTATAGTCACTATGCTGTAAAATAGATCTGCAGTCTAACTGAAACTTCCTACACTTTGGCCAACATCTCCCCACAGTTGAGGGAAAAAAAAAACAAAAAACATTTTCATAAATGTTCACGACTTTTGCTCTGTGAACATAAATCTGCTAGAGGTGGAAGATAAACCTCAGTAGCATAAGACAGAATGTTTGGCCTTCAGGAGCCAAAGAACACAAATTCCTAGTTTTTTATAGCATTTTATAGCTTAAAACACTCTTCCATATAACACTGTTTGTTTTATTTCAATCTTCACAACAATCCCATTGCATTGCTAGTCCCATTTTATGGATAGGAAGCTGAAGCTCAGACAGTGACTCACCCGACGTCACTCAGTGAGTAGCAGGAATAATAAATCCTTCATGGATTGTAATGGGAAATAGGAGGCAGTGGAGTTAGATCCATTTTACAGGAGGCCTGGGTTTCTCTTGATGCAACAGATATAAAATGCTTCAATCCTTCCTAAAAATCAATAAGCTTAAAATCGTTATAAAGATCACCTCAACATGTCAATATATCATAAATGGTCCCCATAAACTCTGGTTTATCACCCCTTTCCTGGCACGGACTTCAGTCTGGGGGTAGATGTCAGGAAGCAGGAGTCCAAGACCACTCCCAGTGTCAAGTCTCAAAGTAAGAGACCCACAACATAAGCTAAAAGTTCATTTCTCCCCCCACCAACCATGGCACTGACTCATATTCTCCACTCCCAGAGTGGCTCTCCTTCTCCAAGCTGTTTATTTATTTTCAGGAATTCTCACAAGGCTAATGGCAAAAAAACTGACATTTGTCTAAAAGAGCTCAGACTGAGAAAAAACGCAAAGCCCCTGAAGGGACAGTTGTGTGAACTTGAGAGAGGGGTTTTAAACCCCAGTGGCAAACCAGAGCAAGGGGTCATTGTTAGCATCAGACAGGAGACAAGTTCGACTACAGTTGATCTATGCAAGGCCTAGAATACTTGTAGAAAAAATATAAATAAATAGAGAATATATAGTACTTCTATTTGTTGGTCTTACAGAGTAATTTTCTTTCTAAATTCCTTTGTCATTAACACACACAGCAAAACACATATTTACACACAAACAGTACAAATAGAATTTGAAGTGGACTTTACTAAGAATAGCTTATACGTTTATAAAGGCCATCTCAAGTCCAATAACTTGTAAATTGCTTTCCTTGTAGAAGTAGCGCCAAAAGTTATTTATAATATTAAATGCAAGATTATAATCATGTTTTAAATGCCAAATATTTTCAGTACAGGATGGAAAAGAAGACTGAAAAGGTAGGCAAATGTCAAATCAAAAAATGTTTTATGTGGCACATTACAGAAATTATCTTGTAGAAAATAAGCAGTCATTGAATAATTGTAAGCAATGCTACTTGCATGACACTACTTGCATTATGAAAGATTACCCTTGCAGCAGAGGGAGGATGCGTTGGAAGAGGGTAAGACGTGGAACAACTTGGGCATTTGGGCAGATATTTTAATATTCCGACAATAAATGTCAATTGTCCTGAGGAGGTGAGGAGAGAGAATCCTTCGTGGGTCTCTTTATGTTTCTACAAGTCTTGTAAATGAGGCCTTGATTGCTCTCTGTTCCAGACCATCTCTTCAAGGGTTTTTGTATATTGAACAGCATTGGGAGATAATAGATAGTGTCTCCTCCAGAAAAAAAGAAAGGTGTGCTTACAGCTGTGGAAGATAGCAGTAGTATCTAACTCTCCCCTGCTCTGCAGCAAAGAGTAGGCATGCTTACGACCCATCATAAAAGGCTTTTCCTCCCTAAACTCAGGATATCTCTCCTGCTCTGCACCTCACTGTGTATGCAGGTGTCTTCTGGCTCTCTGTGCATTATCCTGTGGGAATCGGTGCTCGGGAAAATGACACAATAATGCTGACACTGGCGACTGCTTATATTGTGAACAATAAATTGTCCTTTGTGTTTGACTCCTGGGTCTTGAGTCTTCTACCAGCATCCATGAAACTGTGATAGTTTGTCTTGTTCACTTACAGTTAGGAGGAAATTTCAGTCCTTTCACAGTCCTTGACACTGGGCTGTAATTGTTACAGCCAGGAATGGAGAGAAGGGAATGAACGGGAAAGAAATTTGACTGGGTTTGGACAGTAAATAAAGAAAAATATTAAATTTGAAATAAATGCATTTTTCCTCTTTAATACGTCCCTCCTTTCCAAGAACACGTCTGTGAATCTACTCAATTCTTAGTCTTTTGTGATGCTAAAAGCAGTAGGAATGAGAGAGAAGTCTGAGAGGTACAGAAGGTTATGGAATTGATTTACATCAGAAAGAGTCCAGAGTAAACCATGAAACAACAAAAGAGAGGGGTAGTAAAAGATCTTGGGTTTGGGGATAGTCACAAGCTGGGGTTGAAGAGAGGAAGTTTTTCAGGGAAAGGGAAAAAAGGAGCTCTTCAGGTATACGATAGAGGGAGAAAGACATGTAGCTATAGATAAAGATAACAGAGAAAGGCAAAAATGAGAAAAGCATATTTCAAAGTTCGCTGTGCATTATGTGTGGGATATTTTGGGGGGATTCTTTAGAAAATTAAGTAATAGTTTAAAATGTTTTCATTTTTATTTGTCCTGCTTTTTTTGTTTCCAGACTGCTGTTTATTTGTCTATGTTTACAATTCAAGGCTCACATTGAGACAAGAGCCAATAGTCCAAGATATAAGTGGGTTACAGGTGCAAAACTGATGAGACAGTGATTGAGTAGCTGACTGAGCCAGATTTTTTTTAAAGGAGGAATCTGTTATAGCACTCAGGTTTCCATCTTAAATATATGATTTTATAGGGTGCCACTTACCACACTAGATTATACAGGTGGAGGAGCAGGTTTGAGGGGAATGTTATAGACAATGATCTTGAACTTGTTGAGGTGGGAGTGCCTAAGGAACATGCAAGTAGAGTAGCCTGAGCTGGAGTCAGTAGCAATGATAAAGCACCTGCAGCAGTGGAATTGGGTGAAAGACTGCCAAGGGTGGATCTCTGGAGCATTTAACAGAGACTGAGAAAGGCCAGGGAGGTAAAAGAAAACTGGGAGAAATGGTATCATGAAAGCTAGGACTGCATGTCAAGAAAGAGGATCAAACACTGCAGTAAGATCCAGGAAGACAAACACTGAGATTGTTCCATTACTTGCCAATCAAGAGGAGAGTGAAGTAATATTTAAACACTCATTCTTGTCTAAATAAAAATAGCAACAGGAGATATAAAAGATATTTTTTAAAATTTATTTTAGACTCAGGGCGTACCTCTATGGGTTTGTTATATGGATATATTGCATAATACTGGGGTTAAAGCTGCTATTGAACCTATCGCCCAAATAGTGAACATAGTAACCAATAGGTAATTTTTCAACCCTTGCCTCCTTTTCTCCTCCCCCACTGTTGGAGTCCTCAGTGTCTATTGTTTCCATCTTTATATCCATGTGGACCCATTGTTTAGCTCCCACTTACAAGTGAGAACACACAATATTTGATCTTCTGTTTCTGCATTAGTTCACTTAGGATAATGGCCTCCAGCTGCACCCATGTTGCGCAAAGAACACAATTTCATTCTTCTTATGACTATATAGTATTCCAGGGAGTATATGTACCACATTTTCTTTATCCAATCCACCATTTTGGGGCACCTAGGTTGAATACATGACTTTGCTATCATGCTGCAATAAATATATGAGGGCAGGTGCCTTTCTGTTGAATGGCTTACTTTCCTTTCAGTAGATAACCAGTAATGAGATTGCTGGGTCAAATGGTAGTTCTATTTTTAGTTCTTTGAAAAATCTACAAATTGTTTTCCACAGGTTTGAACTAATTTACGTTTCCATCAAAAGTGTAAAAGCATTCCCTTTTCTCCATATTCTCAAAAACATTTATTATTTTTTGACATTTTAGTGATAGCCATTCTGACTAGTGTGAGATGATATCTCATTATGATTTTAATTTACATTTCTCTCATCATTAGCAATGCTGAGCATTTATTCATATGTTTGTGGGCCATTTGTATGTCTTGTTTTGAGAAGTGTCTATTCACGCTCTTTGCCCGTTTTTTAATGGGACTATTTGTTTTTTCTTGTTGAGTCGTTTATATTCCTTATAGAGTCTAAATATTAGTTATTTGTTGGATGCATAGTTTGCAAATAATTTCTCCCATTATGTAGGATGTCTGTTTACTCTCTTGATGGCTTCTTTTGCTGTGGAGAAGCTCTTTAACTCAATTAGGCTCCAATTGTCTTTTTGTTTTTGTTTTTGTTTTTGTTGAATTCGTTTTTGAGGTCTTAGTTATAAATTATTTGCCTAGCCCAATGTTCTGAAGAGTTATTCCTAGGTTTTCTTTTAGGATTTTTATAGTTTGAGGACTTACCTTTGAGTCTTTAATCCATCTTGAGTTAATTTTTGTATATCATGAGAGGTAGTGGTCTAGTTTTATTCTTCTGCATATGACTCACTAGTTATTCCAGCACCATTCATTGAATAGAGTTTCCTTGCCTCATTGTTTATTTTTGTCAACTTTGCCAAAGATCAGTTGGTTGTAGGTGTGTGACTTTGTTTCTGGGTTCTCTAACCTATTCCATTGGTCTATATATCTATTTTTGTGGCAGTACTATGCTGTTTTGGTTATGATAGCCTTGAAGTATAGTTTGAAGTTGGGTAATATGATACTTGTGGCTTTGGGTTTTTTTTTTATTTTGTTTTTTGTTTTTATTTTGTTTTTGTTTTGCTTAGGATTCCTTTAGCTATTCAGGCTCTTTGGTTTTGTATAAATTTTAGAATTACTTTTTCTAATTTTATTAAAATTACATTGGTAATTGGATAGGAATTGCACTAAAACTCAAGATTGCTCAGCAAAGTCTCAGGATACAAAATCAATGTGCAAAAATCACAAGCATTCCTATACACCAATAAGAGATAAACAGAGAGCCAAATCATGAGTGAACTCCAATTCACAATTGCTACAAAGAGAATAAAATACCTAGGAATCCAACTTACAAGGGATGTGAAGGACCTCTTCAAGGAGAACTACAAACCACTGCTCAAGGAAATAAGAGAGGACACAAACAAATGGAAAAACATTCCATGCTCATTCATATGAAGAATCAGTATTGTGAAAATGGCCATACTGCCCAAAGTAATTTATAGATTCAATGCCATCCCCATCAAGCTACCATTGACTTTCTTCACAGAATTAGAAAAAGCTACTTTAAAGCTCATATGGAACCAAAAAAGGGCCCATATAGCCAAGACAATCATAAGCCAAAAGAACAAAGCTCGAGGCATCATGCTACCTGACTTCAAACTATACTACAAGGTTACAGTAACCAAAACAGCATGGTACTGGTACCAAAACAGATAATAGAACAATGGAACAGAACAGAGGCCTCAGAAGTAACGCCACACATCTACAACCATCTGATCTTTGACAAACTTGACAAAAACAAGAAATGGGGAAAGGATTCCCTATTTAATAAATGGTGTTGGGAGAACTGGCTAACCACATGCAGAAAACTGAAACTGTGTCCCCTCCTTACACCTTATACAAAAATTAACTCAAGATGGATTAAAGACTTAAACATAAGACCTAAAACCATAAAAACCCTAGAAGAAAGCCTACGCAATATCATTCAGCAAATAGGCATGGGCAAAGACTTCATGACTAAAACACCAAAAGCAATGGCAACAAAAGCCAAAATTGACAAATTCAATTTAATTAAACTAAAGAGTTTCTGCACAGCAAAAGAAACTATCATGAGAGTAAATGGGCAACCTTCAGAATGGGAGAAAATTTTTGCAATCTATCCATCTGACAAAGGGCTAATATCCAGAATCTACAAAGAACTTAAACAAATTTACAAGAAAAAAACAAACAACCCCATCAAAAAGTGGGTGAAGGATATGAACATACACTTCTCAAAAGAAGACATTTATGTGGCCAACAAACATATGAAAAAAAGCTCATCATCACTGGTCATTAGAGAAATGCACATCAAAACCACAATGAGATACCATCTCATGCCAGTTAGAACGGTGATCATTAAAAAGTCAGGAAACAACAGATGCTGGAGAGAATGTGGACAAATTAGAATGCTTTTACACAGTTGGTGGGAGTGTACATTAGTTCAATCATTGTGGAAGGCAGTGTGGTGATTCCTCGGGGATCTAGAACCAGAAATACCATTTGACCCAGCAATCCCATTACCAGGTATATACCCAAAGGATTATAAATCATTTTACTATAAAGACACATGCACACATATGTTTATTGCAGCACTGTTCACAATAGCAAAGACTTGGAACCAACCCAAATGCCCATCCATGATAGACTGGATAAAGAAAATGTGGCACATATACACCATGGAATACTATGCAGCCATAAAAAAGAATGAGTTCATGTCCTTTGCAGGGACTTGGATGAAGCTGGAAACCATCATTCTCAGCAAACTAACACAAGAACAGAAAACCAAACACTGCATGTTCTCACTCATAAGTGGGAGTTGAACAATGAGAACACATGGACACAGAGCAGGGAACATCACACACTGGGCCTGTTGGGGGGTGGGGTGCTAGGGGAGGGATAGCATTAGGGATACCTAATGTAGATGACCAGTTGATGGGTGCAGCAAACCACCATGGCACATGTATACCAGTGTAACAAACCTGCACGTTCTGCACATGTATCCCAGAACTTAAAGTATAAATTAAAAAAAAAAAAAACCTGAAGATTGCTTTGGGTTGTAAGGGCATGTTAAAAATATTGATTCTTCCAATACACAATCATGAAATGTACTTCTATTTCTTTGTGTCATCATTGAGTTATTTCATCAGTATTGTCAACAAAATACTAGCACACTGAATTCAGCAATACCTCAAAAAGATAATTCATCAATATCAAGTGGGCTTTATTCCTGGAATGCAAGGATGGTTCAACATATGAAAATCAATAAATGTAATTCACTACATAAACTGAATTTAAAACAAAAACCATATGATTATCTCAATATATGCAGAAAAAGCATTTGATAAAATCTAATGTTCCTTCTTGATAAAAATTATCACAAACTAGGCATCAAAGGAACATATTTTAAATTAATAAGAGCCATCTATGACAAACCCATGGCCAACATTATACTAAATGGGCAAAAGCTGAAAGCATTTTCCCTAAAAACTGGAACAGGAAAAGAATGTCCACTCTCACCACTCCCATTCAACATAATACTGGAAGTCCTTGACAGAACAATTAGGCAAGAAAAAGAAATAAAAGGCATCCAAAGAGGAAAAGAGGAATTCAAATTATCTCTGTTCACTGACCATATGATTATACCTAGAAAACACTAAAGATTCCTCCAAAAGACTCCTAGATCTGATAAATGACTTTAGTAAAGTTTCAGAATAAAAAATCAACATACAAAAATTGGAAGCATTTCTATAAACCAACAGTGTTCAAGCTGAGAACCAAATTAAGAACACAATCTCATTTACAGTAATTACAAAAAAAAATACCCAAGAATGCATCTAACAAAGGAGGTGAAAGACTTGAAAAAATAATCATATTTTTCAACAAGGTATGCACCCCTGTAGGCCACACGTGGAAGAGAAGCACCTAGCAATAAGTGGTAAGAGAAGTGAGATCTATAGAGCACTGGGCCAAAAGCCAGCAGGGGCAGCCAAGACTTCATAACTGAGATGGGCAGAGGCCCACGGAGTGTGATGGGATCCAGCATCAGAGTCAATGCACGAAACCTGGGACTTCATGCATAAAAGGTGACTAAGAAAGCTACGTAGCAGATATCAAACTGGTATCTGGGTCAGCCAGAAGCAGAGGCAGCCCTGAGGCCAGCTGGGTCCACTGTAAATCACCAGCACATTCTCTCTATGCAGTTCTCCCTTCTCCAACACAAGCGTCCATTCCCCTTGGCCTTCCAGAACTCCCAGCTCTGTCGTCTCAACTAGGGAAACCATAGACTGCTCAGCTCACCCGTCCCTGTGCCACATCCTGGAAACTATCTCCAGGGAGTAAGCAGGGAAAATCATAGCTCACCTCACGTGCCTCCCTACTCTCAGGGATCACTGCCCTGCATTGCCTAATGTCTAGCATGTGAAAAGCATTTTCTTATATTCTCTACAGTTTTCCATTTTCTTATGTTGAAGGTAAATCTGGTCCCTGTTATTCCACCTTGGCCAGAAGCAGAAATTGCTCCTAAATGTGATCTGTTTTTACGTGGTTCACTCCCAAATTTATACTTCCAGCCCTTGCCTCTTCCTCACACTCTAGTTATCTATCTGACAGCTTCATTCAGATGCCTAATCATTACGTCAAACATAGAATGCCTAGAAGAGTCTTGTTGATTTATTGCCCCAAGTCTGAACCTGTTCCTTCCCTCCCTTGCCCCACTTCTCCTCTCCTCAGTCTGTGGCATCCCTGACTTCTCACTTAGGCAAGGAGTTAATGATCCTTTCCATTCCCTCCCCAAATCCTCCCCACTATACACACATACATACTCACATTCAAATAATCAACAATGTCTGAACAATGAAATCAATTACATAATTTTATTTCATCAAAATACATATTGCAATTGTCCTCTTCTTCCTGCTTTCACCCAGGTTCAGACTACCAGCATCTCTCACCTTGAACATCACTGTGGCCTCTCACTGGTCTTCTTTGGTCAACTCATGCCCCTGCCACACTATGTTCCACAGAGCAGATGGAACAATATTTTTACAATATTTATCTAACCATGTTTTTCCTCTGCAAAAGCTTCCTCAATATTTTTTCACTGTGCTTTGAGTAAAACCTGAAGCCCTTTCTGTGGTCTCCAAGGCACTGCGTAATCTGGACTTTGTTCCCATCTCCCATCTTTCCCACAACACATCAAATGTACTGGCCCCTGTTCCATTCCTTGAGCATGCAAGGCCACTTCTGCCCCAGGCTCTTTACTTGTGCTGTTCCCTCTACCTTAGAGTGAGTGCTTACCTAAATGTGATGCCCCAGCTGCCTACCTTGCCTCACCCTGGTCCTGGCCCTGGGCAGCAAGGATACTTTTGGGGAAATTAGGAAAACAGATCAGATAAGAGTAGACGGTGGTCAAGGTAATAGACAGAAGTAGGCCCATCTGGAGAAATGGAGAGACCTGGAACCACCAGTGCTCACTCTGCAGTTCACATTACACCTGTCTCCTCACTCACTCTACCTACAAGCACCTTGGCCTGTCTTTCTGTTTTCTTAACTAGCTTGTTTATCATTTTTTGTAAGTCTTCGGAGTCAATTATTTTAGTCATCTATCACCTCACTAGCCACAAGTGGCATTTTTCGCTAAAAGGGAGCTCCAAAAACACGTTAGGAAAGGTTTGGGATTCACAGACTCAGAATTCTGGGGCATGATAGCAGAAAAGAAATAGGAAATCATTCATATAGTCTGGAAATTCTTGAATCACAGCCCCACAAAATGCTTCTGTCTTGGTGCTAGGCAAGATGTCCTAGTAGGAAATCCAAAAATTCATAAAATCTTCCTAGTTTGTAGGTAGTGTGGTTTGAGTGAGGGGGAATTAAATAAGTACATTAATAATTATTGAATTTAAGTTTTCCTAAAAAGCAGTTTTCTACCATATTTAATGTTTATCTCCTGTCTTTATTTCATTTTAGATGAATGAGACTTAGCAGAATGTAATGAACAGTTATTTTTCATTTAACACAATAATTCCTGAATCCTGCTAGGAATACTAGGACCTTCAAGAGCTCTGTCTCCAGAGCATGACTGAGAAATAGGGATCTATTCCTCCTTGATTTCCAGTATAATAAACTGAGATGCCCAAGTTCACCACATAAGTTGACAAATCTGGGACTCCCACTCCAACCAGTACTATTCCTATTACAATCCACTCTTTTCCCGGTTACTGCTTGTCCAAGCAGGTTTGTGTCTCATATCAGTCAGGATGGCCTCAGTTATGCTGCAGTAACAAACAGCCACAAAATCTCTGAGGTACAAACACATTAATATTTTGCCCTTATGCACACCTCCAGTGCAGGTAGATATGGGAGGGAATGGAAAGAGGGCTCTGTCATCCTAATCACTCAGCCATCTAAGTAGAGGGATGCTTCACCAAATCTATGCTTGCAAATGGGAAAAGGGAATGTGCAAAATCTGCACTGGATTTTTAAATTTCTGCCCAGAAGGGACACAGGCCACTTCTGTTCAAATTGTATTGGCTAAAGCAAGTCATGGCCATAGCTGATTTCAAAAAGGACCAGGAAGCACACATTTACCATGAGGAGAAGCATTTGGTGAACAGCTCTAAAGATTATCACACTTCCCTATACAATTTTTTGAGATGGAGGCTTGCACTTGTCACCCAGGCTGGAGTGCAATGGCATGATCTCAGCTCACTGCAACCTCCACCTCCTGGGTTCAAGCAATTCTTCTGCCTCAACCTCCCAAGTAGCTGGGATTACAGGTGCTCGCCACCACACCTGGCTAATTTTTGTATTTTTAGTAGAGACGAGCTTTCACCATGTTGGCCAGGCTGGTCTCGAACTCCTGACCTTGTTAACCACCCGCTTTGGCCTCCCAAAGGGCTGGGATTACAGGCATGAGCCACCGCACCTGGCCCCCTATACACTTTATAAAGGAGGGAAGAGGAAGTAAAATGGAGGAAGAAGAAAAAGAAGGAGGAGTAGAGGGACACAGACAAGGAAGGAAGGCAGCAGCAGAGGAAGAAGAAAAAGGAGTAGATGGTCGTGGAAGAGAAAAAGAACAAGACAAAAAAAAGGAGAAAGAGGAACAGAATAAGAAAAACGAGGAAAAAGAGGAAGAAAGATAAAAACTGATGCGTTAAAGGATTAAAAGGCTTATATTAATATTTTCTTAGTAAAATGTATGATCCTGGATAATTTGCTGAATCTCCCAAAGTCTCAGTTTCCTCACCTGTATACAACTAATAGTACCTACCACATATGGTTATTGTGGAATTCAATTAAATAGTTTCTGCAAGATGCTTCCCACATTTCCTGGCAAAGAGTGCTTAACAAGTATTATTTGTCTCATATATTAAAGTTTTCAAAGCACTTCCAAGTACATTAGCAACTAGCCTGTAAATGCAGTAAGAGGAGATTATTGTTATCCACAGTTCACAGATGTGGATATGGAGGTCAGCAAAATCGAGGTGCCCAAGTTGTTACATGCAGGATGAGGCTGCAGAGGAGCCCAGGGCTCAGGTCTTTGGACTCTAACCCAGCACTCTTGCCTGCATGTTTTTCTTCTCCCTCTGTTTTCTAAGGTCTTATTTTTAAAACTCACTTATGACTGATGAATATTAAGCATATATCAAAATGAATGACTGAAAAATTAAAATGTAAACTTGTGGATTTGGCCCGGGCCAGAAGACATAACACCTGTGTTAGCAGAAGTCAGTGGAAAGCCTCCGGACATATTTCAGGATCATTTTTTACACGTTAACAAAAAACTCACTTGGCTGCACACAGAAGACAGACATGCCCAAGGACTTCAAGGGTCCCCGAGTGAGATCATACCCTCCCAGGAAGGAGGCCCTGGAGACAGGAATCAGGCTGTTGTGTTTTCCATTCAGGGCTGCATGCATTGTTGCATTTGGTAAATATCGAGCCATCCAATGTGTAAAAGGATGAGCTATGCTAAAAGGCAGCTGGAAACAGATGTGACATGAACACCTTTGCCTTTCTGTCTTAGTCTGGGGAGAGACTGATTTCTTAGTTCTGAAAGTTAAAGTAAATACATAAGGGAGAGCTCACCTGGGCACGGTGGCTCACGCCTGTAATCCCAGCACTTTGGGAGGCCGAGGTGGGTGGATTATCTGAGGTCAAGAGTTCGAGACCAGCCTGGCCAACCCGGCAAAACCCAGTCTCTACTAAAAATACAAAAATTAGATGGGCTTCATGGCAGGTGCCTGTAATCCCAGCTACTCGGGGGGCTGAGGCAGGAGAATCGCTTGAACCCGGGAGGTGGAGGTTGCAGTGAGCTGAGATCATGCCATTGCACTGCAGCCTGGGCGACATAGTGAGACTTCGTCTCAAAAAAAACAAAACAAAACAAAAACAGAGAGAGCTCAGACCCTCCAGATAGATAAGCGCAAGCTTCCTTGCCACCTCCTACCATTCCCAGCCAACTGCTCAGGGAGAGAAAAGTCTCCAGGCCAGGACTGAGTACGAATTGCATCTCTTACCCTCCAGCCAGGATCTAATGATGCAGAGAAAGAAGAGCATGGGTTGGGTATTGTCCCAGTAGCCTGCACATCCTAAGGAGCACATTCTGCCTCCCTTCTGAGACCTCTGGAAGCTCTCGAGAAACCCATCTCTGGTGCCATCTCCTCCAGTGCTCCTGCCCCACTGGCTCCCATCATCCTCATTTCCTTTTGCCTCACAGTGACCTCATCATTGATACCTTGGTGGGTCTCTGACTGTTTCATGTGTAATGAAATATGGGAAAATGCATTTCCCTCAGTATCAGGAGATCTGGGGAAGTTTAAGCGAGCCAGGTGAGGTTGAGGTTCAAATGAAGCGAGCTTGAACCTTTTACACTAGGGGAGTCATGTACAATGGGGTATAGACCTGTCTGTGGTGGGGGATTTAGAAAACATCAAACCTAATGTGGGAAGCCTACAAGGTGGGAAAAGCTGGGTGCTAAAAACCAGAATTCTTATCCTTTACTCTCAAATCTTTCTTAAAGTTACTAAACCCACAAAATGTACCCATACGAGTAGATTTTTATAAAATAAATAAAATGACAAAGGAGCCAAGGTCTGTTTCACATTTGGCCCAGATCCAATCCCAGATGGTACTCAGAGTTGCAGGAGCAGAAACAGAGGAGGCCATGAGAAGGATGATCAAGAATTTGCAGAAATTTCAAGAAAAGGCTCTGGATTCTCACCACCAAAAAGATTGGATGTTCAAACTAAGTCTACCTGAAGTCCCAAGGGAGAGCGGAGTTAATTTTGTGTATTTTCATTAATTTAGTTTTCCCATAAGCTTTTTGAGGATAGAAATCAAATCTTGATTAGCTGAATTACTACCTCTCCAATACCTTTGCACACAGTTGGTGTTTAATGACTACTGATACATTCAATTGTTTTCAGAAGCCCCTATGCACCTAGCTCACTAAAGTCTTGACAATAGACAGGAAAATGAAATAGCCACCAATGCCCTAAATTAGGAGAACAGACAGCTGGGGTTTTCATTGCTGCTCAGCTCTTTGCTAGTTATGCCACCTGGACAAGGTGCTTAGCCTCTCTGAGCCTCAGTTTCCATAAGTAAAATGAGCATTAAAAATCTAATTAAAAGACTACTGATTGGGTAAAACAATGATGAAATTAAAGAGATGCATAAATCATAAACAGCTATACAAATAGTTTTCTCATCTTATTATAATATTGCTAACATTTTGAGAGTGCAACTAGGAAAGAAATGAGTTTCAGTACAAGCCGTTTGCACGTCTGCATGTCTTTGAAACATTCTTGCTCAGAACTACCATGCAGACACAGAAAACAAAGGTCCTCTAATGCAGGATTCCCCAACCCCTGGGCTGTGGACTGGTACCAGTCTGTGGCCTGTTAGGAACTGGGCTACACAGCAGGAGGCGAGCAGCAGGTGAGCAAGCATTACTGCATTACTGCCTGAGCTCCACCTCTCCTCAGATCACGGAAGGCATTAGATTCTCACGGGAGCACGAACCCCTCTGTGAACTGCACATGTGAGGGATCTAGGTTGCGTGCTCCTTATGAGAATCTAACTAATGCCTGATAATTTGAGGTGGAACAGTTTCATCCCAAAACCGTCCCCACCTGCACCATCCATGAATAAATTGTCTTCCATGAAACAGGTCCTGGGTGCCAAAAAGGTTGAGGACCACTGCTCTAATGTGTCTTGCAAAAACTTTCTTTGCTCACCATCATCCCATCCTTGCCTTTCTTGCCAGCCCTATCTCTATCTCCATCTCTCTGTGTCTCCAGATCATCTCTGGGTCTGAGCATCTACTCTCCTTCTCTCCAGCTCCTCCGTCCTCTGCTGTTGGTTACAGTGTCTCTGTGTCCATAGCTTTTGCCTTTCTAATCCTGTTGTTACCAGTCAGCGCCTGCCTTGCTGCCTCTTTTGCTTCCATCTTTGCCTCTCTTTCTCCATGGCCTTATAACTCCCTCCTCTGTTCATCTCTGTCGCTCTTATGTTTTTATCCTTTCACTGTCTTTCTTTCTTGCCCTCCCACCCTCCAGCACCACCTCTTTTAGAGCAGAAGTTTTTATTTTTTGTAACATTCAACTTATTTTTTCTTTTATCGACTTCGCTTTTGGTATTGTATTTAAAAACAAATCACAAACCCAAGGTTATAAAAGTTTTCTCCTGTGTTTTCGTTAAAAGTTTCACAGTGTCGCATGTTACGTTTTCATCTATGATCCTTTTTTTAGCTTTATGGAGGTAGAGTCCATATACCAAAAAAAAAAAAAATGCACACATTTACTGCACACACCTTGATGTGTTACCTCTCTATTTAGTTCTGCCTCTTTCTCTCCTTGTCCCTCTCCTTCCTCTGTTCCTCTCTGTGTCCTTATCTTGTTTCTGTATCGTTCCTGCCCATTACTGTGTCAGGGCCCACCTCTCTTTCTTTCTTCTTTATTCAGTGGCACCCACAGAGACTGAGCTCTCCTCAGCAGTGCTTAACTGTTCATGCCAGCCTCTCCCTGAATTCCCCACACTCCATAACTGTTCCTCACTAGATCTCCCTGGTCTGTCTAAACCTCTCGTTTTCTTTAGGCAGAAGTGAGGCTTGTGTTCAGACATACAGCACAGCCCTGGTCAAGACACAAGTGGAGGGGAGGCACATGCCAGCCCCCACTCTGCCTGGGGGAAAAGCCCCAAGAGAAAGTCAGTTCAGGATGGGTCCAAAACCAGGACACCTGGAGGCTCCACAAATGTGTGGACAGCATTTATCTTTCATCAACCTCAAGATCTTTTTTCTGTATTTTTCTGACGCCCCAAATCACACGTGCATACAGTAGAAAATTTAGACAGTATAAGAGGCTAGGCATGGTGGCTCATGCCCATAATCCCAGCACTTTGGGAGGCCAAGATAGACAGATCACTTGAGGTGAGGAATTCAAGACCAGTCTGGCCAACATGGTGAAACCCTGTCTCTACTAAAAATACAAAAGTTAGCCAGGCATGGGAGTGGGCGCCTGTAGTCCCAACTACTTGGGAGGCTGAGGCAGGAGAATCACTTGAACCTGGGAGGCAGAGGTTGCAGTGAGCCGAGATCACACCATTGCACTCCAGCTTGGGTAAGAAGAGTGAAACTACGTCTAAAAAAAAAGAAAAAGAGAAAGAAAATTTAGACAGTATAAGAAATAGTAAAAGCACAGAAAGAAAAGTGACCCATTTTCCCACCACCCAAAGGAGACCAATGCTGTCATCCGCCATTATTTTCTTCAGGCTTTTTCTCATGCATACTGTTTATCCTTACATAAAACAGATCACAGTAGATACAGAATTATGTAATATTTTTGTTGTTTTAATATCCTATCATATTTATTTTCCTTTATCCTTGAAAGTTTTTCACAAATATGGTTTTCTCTTCTCATGGGAGGAGAAAAAATAAGAAACTTTCAGTGCTTCCCCATTTCTTACAGGAGGAATCAAAATATTTTAACATGGTTACCATTATAGCACCATCCCTTATGATTCCAAAACACCATATTCTGCACTACAGCCACATGAGGATCTTTCTGTTTCCAAAACGCATTAGTTCACCTTTCCCAGGCGGCCTTTGCAGAAGCTCTTGTCTCTGTCTAAAACACAAGTGCCTGCATTTCCTCTGGAAATCTTCCCTGATCCCACAAGTTTTGCTTCTCCCGCCTTGACGTCTGGGAAGGATGCCCCGTAATATTGCATACTTCCCCACTTGGGAAACTTGTCTCTGTTCACTTGACATTGCTCTCACAAAACCATGAGACCCTGGAAGGGTTTTCTGTACTAAATGATACCAAGGACATGGCCAGCACTGAGCAGACGCTCAGTTTTAGTTAATTCATATATTAGAAACTTACCCAACCATTCTTAAAGTAGGACTTCTAGGGTGCTTTCGGTTTTTCCAGATGATAAATAACACTATCAAGTGGCTTCTACAAAAATCTTTGTCTGTGTTTCCACTCATTTACATAAGCTAAATATTTCCTGATTCTGTAAAATATCATAGTTAATGTATCATCATTATTTAATGTTATAAAACATTCTCTTTGACAACTTAGGATCCCTGCTACAGATCTTTTCCTAAAAGCTCCTGATGAATTGACAGGAGGTGAGAAACATTAAGTCCGTGGAATCTAAGATTAGAAAGATTTCACTAAATTTAAAACAGTTATAAATCAGAATGCTTGAACTGAGAAAGATCCCACAGATCCTATGCCTCAATATGAGAAAAATGAAGCACTGAGTTATGGGACTTACGCAAGTTCACACAAAAGCAGCTCTTTTTTTGCTGATGATACCTTTAAAATTCCCCCAGGTAGCCCTATTACATTTGCTAAGCTCAACAACATGAGTTCATCAACAGAATGTGGCCAATAGAATACATTAAACTATCCTGACTCAAAAGCAAGGAAACTGCCCCAGTTCCCTAACTCAGCTGTAGTCCAACATTAAATCCTAGATTTTGAGACTATTAATTCAAGAAGTATTTAGTGAACATCTACCAGGTATTGGGTGCTATGCTGTTTTGCTGGGATTGAGGAAATAGTAACAAGAAACAGTGGGTGCCTACCTGCAGGAGCTCCCTGTCAATGGAGATGGCTCACAGTGTGATAAAATCCATGACCACAGTAAGGAGGGGGATTACAAGAGCACAAGGCAGGACACCTAAAACTGGAGGTATGTGGGATGAGGGAGAGGCCGGAGAAGGTGCCTGGGGTGAGTTGTCATCCTTAACATTGAATTATGACAGGGTGGGAATCTTTCTAGAATTCCTTAACATCTGATAGGCCAGCTGCTGTGACAGGTGTTTGACATGCAGCAGTACAATTTAATCTTCACAGTGACCCTAAGAGGAGGCAAATATTACCCTGATTTACAGGTTAGAAAACTGAAGCTTAAAGAGGTATCCAAATAAACTCTTGCTGCTGAGTTTAGAAACTGGAATTCAAATCCAGAAATGTCTTTACCCAGAGCGCATGCTACTTTCTAATACACCCATGACTCCTATTCACTTCCTAGGAGGATGGACAAGCCATTCAATGTATTTTTTAAAATATAATAGGTTCAACTATAGGTTATATAACATTCTAGAACACATAAACTGCCATGGGGCACAGAGTAGGGATACTAATGCTGCCTGGAAGGAAAAAGAATGTGTCAAGGGGACTTCAGAGAAGAGGTGACATTTGTCTTGATGCATAGAAAATTTCTCTGTAGAGAAGGGAGGATAGGACATTCTGGGCCAAGAGAGGAACAAGTGAAAAGGCCCAGTGGCTGATTTGATTACTGACAAGTCACTCAAATTGACTAAAGCACAGGATGGGAAGAAGGGGAGAGATGGGTTGACAGCACTAGGGAAGGTCATTTGGCTCTATTTTATTTTTCTATTGCAAGGAACAAACCACTGCAAAACTGAGTGGCTTCCAGCAATAACATATTACCTCCTGTAAGTTACACGTTGACTGGGTGGTTCTTCTGTTCCATGTAGTGTTGGCCAAGCCCCTGAGGTGGCTACAGTCATCTGGAGGCTTCAGTGGAAGCTCAGTTAGGGATGGGAGCTGGGGCCTCAGTTCTGCTCCCCATGGTCATTTCCACATGGCTGCTTGGGCTGCTCCACTGATGGAAGATGAATTCCAAAATAAAGCATTCCAAGAGCAAGCATCCCAAGAATGAGGATATGGAAGCTGCCACATCAATTACTAGCTACACTTGAAACCAATATGGCAGCATCACTTCTGCCATGTTGAAGCAGCCACAGACCCAGCTTAGAGCAAGGTGGTTATCAAAGTAAGTGCAAATACTGGTAAATTGGGAGTCACCAAAGTCAAAGTTGTAACTGTAGCAGTTACCAAATAATGAAGGGCATCTTTGGCCAACCCAGGGAGTTTGGATTCTGTGCTGACATAGGTAGTTCTCCACCACAAGGCTGCAACACACTGGTTAGTCAGGAGGTTGTATCACAAGAAAATAAAGAAAAAAAGCTTTTTTATTTCATTTTTTCTTCCAGCTTTTATTTTAGGTTCAGGTGGTACATGCACAGGTTTGTTACATGGGTAAATTGCATACCATGAGGGTTTGGTGTACAGATTATTTCCTCATCCAGGTAATGAGCATAAAACTCGATAGGTAGTTTTTCAGTCCTCCCACCTTTCACCCTCAAGTAAACCCTGATGCCTATTGTTCTCTTGTGTCCATATGTACCCAATATTTAGCTCCCACTTATAAATGAGAACATGAGGTATTGGTTTTGTGTTTCTACATTAATTTGCCTAGCATAATGGCCTCCTGCTGTATCCATGTTGCTGAAAAGGACACGGTTTGTTCTTTTTTATGGCTGTATAGTATTCCATGGTATATATGTACCACATTTTTTTTTATCCAATGCACTATTGATAGGCATCTGGGTTGATTCCATATCTTTGCTATTGTGAATACTGCTGTGATGAATATAAATTTGCATGTGTCTTTATAGTAGAACAATTTATATTTCCATGGATATATACTCAGCAATGGGATGGATGGTTGGATCAAATGGTAGTTCTGTTTTAAATTCTTTGAGAAATCTCCAAACTGCTTTCCACAGTAGTTAAACTAACTTACATTCTCACCAGCAGTAGGTAACTGTTCCCTTTTCTTTGCAACTTTGCCACTGTTATTTTTTTGTCTTTTTAATAACAGCCATTCTGACTGTTGTGAGATGGTATCTCATTGTGGTTTCAATTTGCCTTTCCCAGTGATTAGTAATGCTGAAGCATTTTTTCATGTTTGTTGGCCACATGTATGTTTTCTTTTGAGAAATGTCTGTTTATGTCCCATGTCTGCTTTTTAATGAGGTTGCTTGTTTTTTACTTGTTAATTTGTTTGAGTTCCTCATGAATTCTGCATATTAGACCTATGTCAGATACATAGTTTGCAAATATTTTCTTCTATTCTCTAAACTGTTTCTTTAAAGTGTTGATAATTTATTTTGCTGTACAGAAGCTCTTTAGTTTAAATAGGTCTGTCTCACTTGTCAATTTTTGTTTTGTAATTGCTTTGGGAGTCTTTGTCATGAAATATTTGTTAAAGCCTATGACCAGAATGGCATTTTCTAGGTTTTCTAGGGTTTTTAGTTTTAGGTTTTACATTTATGTTATTAATTAATCTTAGTTAATTTTTGTATATGGTGAAAGGAAGGGGTCTAGTTTCAGTCTTCTGCATATGACTAGCCAATTATCCTGGCATCATTTATTGAATAGGGAGTTCTTTCCCCATTGCTTATTACTGTCAACTTTGTCAAAGATCAATAGCTGAAGGTGTGTGATTTTATTTATGGGTTCTCTAACCTGTTCCACTGGTCTATGTGTCTGTTTTTGTACCATGCTGTTTTGCTTACCATAGCCTTGTAGTATAGTTTTAAGTTGGGTAATGTGATGCTTTAAGCTTTGTTCTTTTTGCTTAGGATTGCCTTGGCTATTCAGACTCCTTTTTCATTCCATATGAATTTTTAAACAGTTTTTTTTCTAATTCTGTGAAGAATGTCATCGGTAGTTTAAAAGGAATAACACTGAATCTGTAAATTGCTTTGGATACTATGGCCATTTTAAAAATATCGACTCTTCCTATACATGAGCATGGAATATTTTTTCATTTATTTGTGTCATCTCTGATTCCTTTGAGCAGTGTTTTGTAATTCCTGCTATAGAGATGTTTCACTTCCCTGGTCAGCGGTATTCCTGGGTATTTTATTCTTTTTGGAGCTATCATAAATAGGATTGCATTCTTGATTTGGCTCTTAACTTGGATATTACTGTTGTATAGAAATGCTACTGATATTTGTACATTGACTTTGTATTCTGAAACTTTGCCAAAGTTGCTTATCAGATCTAGGAGTCTTTGGGAAGAGACTATGGGATTCTCTAGGTATAGAATCATATCATCTGGGAAGAGAGATAGTTTGACTTTCTCTCTTCCTATTTGGCTGCCTTTTATTTCTTTCTCTTACCTGATTGCTCTGGCTAGAACTTCCAGTACTATGTTGAATATGAGTAGTGAGAATTGGCATTCTTGTCTTGTTCCTGTACTCAAGGGGAATGTTTCCATTTTTGCCTATTCTATATGATGTTGGCTGTAGGTTTTTCATATATGTTTCTTATTACTTTGAGGTATGTTCCTTCAATGCCTAGTTTGTTGAAGGTTTTTAACATGAAAGGATATTGAATTTTATCAAAAGCCTTTTCATCTTTTAAGATGATTGTATGGTTTTTGGTTTTGGTTCTGTTTATGTGATGAATTATATATTTTTTGATTTGTGTGTGTTGAACCAACCTTGCATCCTAGGAATAAAACCTACTTGATTGTGGGGGATTAGCTTTTTGATGTGCTGCTAGATTTGATTTGCTAGTAATTTGTTGAAGTTTTGCATCTATGTTCATTTGGGATATTGGCCTGAGATTTTCTTTTTTCACTGTGTCTCTGCCAGGTTTGGGTATCAGAATGATTGTGGCCTCATAAAATGAGTTAGGGAGGAGTTTCCTCCTCCTCAACTTTTGGGAATAGTTTCAATAGAAATGCTACCAGCTCTTCTTTATACATGTGGTAGAATTTGGCTGTGAATCTATCTGGTTCAGGAATTTTTCTGGTTGGTAGTTTTTTTATTACTGATTCAATTTTGGAACTCATTATTGATCTAATCAAGGTTTCAATTTCTTCCTGGTTCAATCTTAGGAGGTTGCATGTTTCCAGGAGTTTAGTCATTTCTTTTAGGTTTTCTAGTTCATAATAGTCTCTGAGGGTGTTTTGTATTTCTGTGGAATCGGTGGAAATGTTTCCTTTGTCATTTCTGATTGTGATTATTTGGATCTTCTCTCTTTTTTACTTTATTAGTCTAGCTAGTGGTCTATCAATTTTATTTATTCCTTCAGAAAACCAACTTTGGTTTTCATTGACCTTTTGTATGGTTTTTGTTTTTGTTTTGTTTTGTTTTTGAGATGGAGTCTCGCTCTGTCTCCCAGGCTGGAGTGCCGTGGCGCGATCTCAGCTCACTGCAAGCTCCGCCTCCAGGGTTCACACCATTCTCCTGCCTCAGCCTCCTGAGTAGCTGGGACTACAGGTGCCTGCCACCACGCCCAGCTAATTTTTTGTATTTTTAGTAGATACGGGGTTTCACCATGTTAGCCAGTATGGTCTCGATCTCCTGACCTCATGATCCACCTGTCTCAGCCTCCCAAAGTGCTGGGATTACAGGCATGAGCCACCGTGCCTGGCCAATCTTTTTATGTTTTATCACATCTCAATTTCATTCAATTCAGCTCTGGTTTTCGTTATTTCTTGTCTTCTGCTTGTTTTGGGGTTGTTTTACTCTTGTTTCTCTAATTCCTCTAGGTGCGATGTTAGGTTATTAATTTGAGATCTTGATGTTAGCATTTACCACTAGAAACTTTCCTCTTCACACTACTTTAGCTGTGTCCCAGAGATTCTGGCAATGTTGTATTTTTTTTATTAGTTTGAAAGAATTTCTTGATTTCTGCCTTAATTTTATTATTTACCTAAAAGTCATTTAGAAGCAGATTGTTTAATTTCCATGTAATTGTATAGTTTTGAGAGATCTTCTTAGTATTGATTTCTATTTTTATTGCACTGTGGTCTGATATTGTGGTTGGTATGAATTTGTTGAGAACTCATTGTTTTATGGCCAAATGTGTGGTTGATTTTAGAGTATATGTCATGTGTAAATGAGAAGAATGTATATTTTGTTGTTGTTGTTGTTGTTGTTGTTGGATGGAAAGTTCTATAGATGTCTCTTAGGTCCATTTGGTCAAGTGCTGAGCTTAGGTCCATAATGTCTTTATTAGTTTTCTGCCTCAAGGATCTGTCTAATAATGTCAGTGTGGTATTGACATCTCCCACTATTATTGTATGGTTATCTAAGTCTCTTCACAGATCTCTAAAAACTTGTTTTATTAATCTGAGTGCTCAAATGTTGGGTGCATATATACTTAGAATAGCTAAGTTTTCTTGTTGAATTGGACCCTCTATCATTATGCAATGCTATTCTTTGTCCTTTTTTGTTATTGTTGGTTTAAAGTCTGTTTTGTCTGAAATAAGAATAGCAACTCCTGCTCTTTTCTGTTTTCCTTTTGCTTGATAGATTTTTTCTTCATCCCTTTATTTTGAGCCTATGAGTGTCATCACATGTAAAATGGGTCTCTTGAAGACAGCATACAGTTAGGTCTTGCTTCTTTATCCAATTTGCCAGCCTGTGTCTTTTAAGTGTGGGGGCAGGCAGGGTAGCCAATGTATGTTAAAGGTTAATATTTACATGTGTGAATTTGATCCTGTCATCATGTTAGCTGGTTGTTATGTAGACTTGATTGTGTAGTAGCTTTATAGTGTCAATGGTCTATGTACTTATGTGTGTTTCTGTGGTGGCTGGTAATAGTCTTTCATTTCCATGTTTAGCACTCCCTCAAGGATCTCTTGTAAGAAAGGTCTGGTGGCAACCAATTCCCTTAGTATTTGCTTGTCTGTAAAGGATTTTATTTCTCCTTAGCTTAGGCAGCTAAGGAGAAAGACACTCAGGCTTCTCATGAAGCATTCTTGGCTGGTTGTGAAAGTCTTGGTTAGAGTATCTTTTCTTTAAGAAAGCTGAATATAGGCCTTTCTAGCTGCCTTCAATAGTTTTTCTGTTGCATTGACCTTGAAGAATCTGATGACTATGTGTCTTGGGGATGTCATCTTGTCTAGTACCTTGCAAGGTTTCTCTGAATTTCCTGAATTAGAATGTTGACCTCTCTAGCAAGGTTGGGGAAATTGTTATGAGCAATATCCTCAAATATGTTTTCCAAGTTGCTTGCTCTATCGCCCTCTCTTTCAGGGACACCAGTGAGTCATAAGTTTTGTCTCTTAATGTAATCTCATATTTTTTTGATGTTTTGTTCATTCTTTTTTTTTTCCTTTTTTTCTGACTGAGTTGATTTGCAGAACTGGTCTTTGAGCTCTGAGATTCTTTCTTAAGCTTGGCCTATTCTGCTATTAACATTTAGGGTTATAGTATGAAATTCTTACAGTGAGTTATTCAACTCTATCAGATCAGTTTGTTTTTTTCTTAAAATGCTACTGCATCTTTCACCTCTTCTATAATTTTACTGGAATCCTTAGATTCCTTGGATTGGGCATCAACTTTCTCCTGAATCTCGATGATTTTCATTGTCATCTAAATTCTGAAGTATATATCTGTCATTCCAGCCATTTCAGTCTGTTTAAGAACCATTGCTGGGGAGCTAGTACACTCATTTGGAGAAAAGAAGGCACTCAGGCTTTTTGAGTTGCCAGAGTTCTTGCACTGATTCTTTCTCCTCTGTGTGGGCTGTTCCTTTAATCTTTGAAGTTGCTTTCCTTTGGATGGGGCTTTTTGCTTTTATATATTTTTTTAAGCCCTTGAGGGTGTGACTGTGGTATAATTTAAGTTCAGTCAACTGCCATTGTTTCTGGATGATTTCAGGAGGCCAGGGCTCAGCTCAGTACTCCTGGGCTGCATGCTCTAACTCTGGAGAACTTGGACCAGGCCCATGGCTTTGTTCTCTAGCCCCTTGTAGTTGAGCAAGGAGGGGCCAAGGTATTCCCAGTTCACTGGCAACAACACTCTGATGGGGAGTGCCAGCAAAAGTGCTTTGTTGAGGTTAGCAAAAGCAAGATCCATGCTTGGTGCACACACCAGCAGCAGCAGGGCAACAGCACTGTGGGGTCTCTGCATTCATGTTTGTAAAGGCAGGGGCAGGGTAGTGGTGGCAAGATCTACACACACTGGCAAAGGAGTAGGGGAAGCTGTCGGTGAGCACATGCCGGCAGGGATGTCTCTGTCAAAGCTCTCTGATGGTTACGCAAGGTTTGCTGGTGAAGATGCTACGGAGAGGGCCACTGGGAAGCACGCCAGTTGGGCAGCTGAGGCTGTACTGCATGCAGGTGTGGCCAGTCACAGGGACCCTGGGAGGGGCCAGCAGATGGAGGGTGCTCAGATCAAACTGGTCTCATCCCACAGGCAAGATAGCCCTGTTTCATCCATGTCTGACAGTCAACAAAGGCCAAAGCCACCTAGAAGAGCATGGCAAACCTTGAGGAATGGGCATCCCTGGCTATGCTCCACTGCAGCCATGCCCACTCCAAACACTGGGCTCCACACAGGCTTGGAGTCTGGTTCTTGCTTATTCTCCAAGAAGTTCTCCCTGTCAACTCAAATGTCCATGAGGGTTATGAAGTCTTCTGCAGCTGGAATTCCAGAGATCCGTGGTGAGAATGGGCCACTCCATGCCTACTTAATTTACCTCTTTCCCAGGAGCCACTTGGGGCCAGGAACAAGTTCTGGTACTCAGCAACTTTGTGCAGAGTTTCCAGCTTCCTCTTCCTTCAGCCCAGGGTCTGTGTCCTCCCTCCATCTACTCTCAATGCCTTCCTTCCAAAGATCTGCTCAGAGTGTACTGTTCTTCTCCATGGTCTTGTCTCTTGGTGGGAGGGGCACTTCCTGGTTACACCTTGTCAGCCATCTTGGATTTTCTCTTGCTTTTATTTTATTTTATAATAGAGCATATTTAAGGCCATCCTTCATAAAATGTTAATGTTTTCACTTCCATTCTGATGTGCTTTCTTTCTTAACTCTTAGGGAAGTACAGTTAATCCCCAGCCTGGCATATCTGAGCAGTAGCCCATATGACTGTCATCCCTGTGGTTGCCCCACTCCTACAGACAACTGGACACCAAAAGAGCAGGGACCAGTGTGGTGGACTCTGTTTTAGACAAAAAATCACTCAACCTGCTGAGTGGGATATGAATCCTAGAGATAGAGACACCAGCTGGAAGGGACCAGGAGATACAAGATGAATGCAATACCAAAGCAGCAGAAGTAGGAATGAAGGAAAAAGATGAACTAAAGATAGACCTCTCCAAGTGATACCTCTGTTGCCTGCATTTCCTCCCATCACCGCAATTACAACCATACCTGTGGCAAACAGCTACAACTCACACCTTCCCACCTCACCAGCAGGGTCTGCCTTTCTTCACAAATTTCTGTTGGTTAAGCCATTCAATTTGTGGTACTTTGTTATGACAGCCCCCAAAAAACTGATACAAGGACTATTTGAAACATAGAGTTAGATCCTCTATCATTAATGAGGAACCTCACTCATGGATAATGCACTTTGAGATATTAGCTAATGATAATAGTTACATTTGTACATTATAATAGTACATAATTTATAAGTAAGTGTACACATACACACACAGAGCTGTATATTAGCACGCAGTCTCAAGTATTTTTACTGATGGACTGTGCGATCAAGAACATCTTGCTTATTTGGCTAAACTAGCATTCCTGTGAAAGTCTGTCCACTGTGAGTTCCTTAAAATAAACCTCCCATTACCAGGGTAACCTGGAGAGGTCTCCCCCTAAAACCATGAAAACCGAGTTCAAACTCTCATTCACCCATAGCCCTTTATTCCTCAGAGACTAAGCATGCATGTTTAAGACTTAGGTTGAACTTTTCTATCCTCCAAAGGGTGGCCCAGCCTAGTAACTATTTTAGAACAAACACATCTCATCCAACAACTAAACTAAAGCTCCCACCTCAACTGATCCATTCGACAGGATCTGGCCAATGTGGGAGTAACCCATTAAGGTGTTGTTAGGGTGGTTCCTTCTGATAGCTGTCAGAAAGAATCTCCATGCCTCTCTCCTAGCTTCTGGCTCCTCAATTAAAAAGTATACAGATGATGTGCTTTACAAGTTGCCCAGTTTTCTTTTTCCATAATGTCTGCCAAGTTGCATCAAGGTCTGTAAAACTTGCAAAAGGTCATGTAATATCAGCTCAGTCTAAAGTGAAACTGTCAGTGAATTTCAGATGATGGCTCTTCCAACTGGATTAGTGAAGTAGAGGGAAAAATGTGAGCAGATATCATAAATCATTGATTTCATTGACAGCAGCTACTATGCATTAAGTCCTTACTATATGCCACACCCTGTGTTAAGTGTTTTACTTACAGACATTATTTCCAATAATCCTGATTTCAACCCTATAAAGTAAATGGTGCAATTATTTCCAATTTACAGGTGAGGAAACTGAGTCTCAACGTCACATAATTACTATATGGAGGAGGTATAATTTTAACAAGATCCTAACTCAAAATCATGTGCTCTTCTATTCACAATAGCAAAGACATGAAATCAATCTAGACGCCCATCAACAGTGGACTGGATAAAAAAACTGTGGTACATATACACCACGAAATACCATGCAGCCATAAAAAAAGAACAAAATTATGTCCTTTGCAGCAACATGGATGCAGCAGGATTATCCTAAACAAATTAACACAGGAACAGAAAACCAAATACCACATGCTCACTTATAAGTGGGAGCTAAATATTGAGTACACGTGGACACAAAGAAAGGAACAACAGACATTGGAGCCTCTTTGAAAGTAAAGAGTAAAAGGGGGGAGAGGATAAAAAACCTACCTATAGGGTACTCTGCTCATGTACCTGTATGATGAATTAGTCTGTACACCAAACCCCCATGATATGCAGTTTACCCATGTAACCAACTTGCACATGTACCCACTGAACATAAAATAAAAGTTGGAAGGAAAAAATAAAAATTAAAAAAAAACTGAAAGTATAAATGGTTAAAAAAATAACGTGCTCTTAAAAATTTTGCTGTTTATTGACCTTTTGGCTGCTTTTATAACACAATCACAAGATGCATGTTGACGAGTGAGTTTTACACACCTCATCTCATACAAAATCTCAGGGTCAAGTTGAGCGGTTCTCAAACTTGTTTCGATGTTGCTGAAGCACCTGAAAGTCAGGCAAGATATCAAGAAGTGGTTTTACAGTTAATGAGACTTTACAAACAGTTCTAGGAGCAGATAAATATACACGTTCATGAAATTGAGTCTCACCCAGAATGAGGATCCACAGAGGAAGTAGCCATCACAGTGGGTATCGGGGAGCGGAACCTTCATCCTTAATCACTCACTTGCTACTCTGTCATTTATTTTGCTGTCTGTAAAGACTTGCAAGCAGACATTCAGGTAGGTCAACAGAGTTTCAGGAAAGATTATAGGAGAAAGACTTAAAACTAAGAAAAGCTCATCCAGCAGAGCACAGGGCTGAGAGTGAGACCTCCTGAACTCCAATCCTGGTTCTAAGACTTCCAAGCTGACTGCATAGCTCAGTTTCCTCATCTGTGAAGTGGGAAGAATATTTCTAAATACCTTCAATGGCTATTATGAGGATTAAATAACATGTAATGCACTAGAATAGAGTACCTTTAATGTAAGTAACCAATAAATATTATCATCTAAATAACACATATAATGCACTAGAACAGAATACCTTTAATGTAAATAATCAATAAATAGTAATTATCATCTAAATAACACACGTAATACACTTGAACAGAGTACCTTTAATATAAAGGTACTCTAAAGAATACTGTTAATGTAAGAGTATCTTTAATATAAATAGTTAATAAATATTAGCTATCATCTCCTTATCATCATAAATTTGCTTTTCCCACAAAATTGTAAAGGCCTGCCATTATTCTTGGTTTTCAGCTGAACATCCATGTTCTATAGGATCATGTATGAGGACATCACTCTGGATTAATATGTATACAGTACTACAAAGGATTGCCTTGATTTGACATTGATGACCTCAGGGGTTTCGGACTAAAGAAGGGTATAGGGAAAGATTAGAAATTTTTCTTCCAGTAACTCTGTATTTTTGGTTTGTTAAAACTGCATATATCACTGTTGTAATTTTTTAAATCTAGTAACATAAAAGTCAAGTTACCATGACTTTAAAAATCAAAAGGTGAAATCATCATTACCTTTTCCAACACATCCCACATTCAATAACATCAAGGTTTGTGTCCATGGGGATGGAGAGGTGATAATAATAATAATAATGGCTGAAAGCGCAAGGCACTGTGCAAAAAGCCTAACACAAAAAAGCTTACTGGAGTTGTGACACATTACACAGATTTCAAGATATAAAGCCTCCAAGGCTGTGTTTGCCAAAAAAAAGAAAAAGTAAAACAATAACAATAAGACATTTCTGCATTTCTGACAGAGTGCTCTTATTCCTGCATTTTCCTTATGATTGGTGGGCTTTGCCTTCAAGCATCCCCTGCTCCCACCTATTCCTTCCCCTCCCCTCCTCCCTCTCACCCTCCCCTTTCTCCTGCAAACAAGTCAGGGGAGGCAGGGAGTGTGAACACAGTACATGGGAGGGGGAGGACAGAGTTCACCCTGTTAAAAATCATTAATCATCTTGAGGTCACCAGGCCTGAACACATTTCCTTCTCAAAGGCTGTCCTGTGGGCGATCTGTCTCCTAACAGGTTTTGTAATGCTGAGTTGTAAAGTGTTCCTGATGAATTATTGTTGGCGCTCAGTCCAAAGGCTTGAAGTCTCAAGTCCATGAAAAGAAAAAGCAGACCCTCTCTCCTGCGCCTGTTGTCCATGGGGCCAGCACAGGGCTTGCATTGTGCATGAGGGTGGATGGCCTGGAGGCCCCTCATCCCTGCAGCCCAGACTCCTGGAGGGGCCTAAGACAGACTGGCTTTTATCACTACACATGGACATATGGGAGCTGGGTGTTTGAGGGCAGGTCACGCCTACTCCATGCCCCCTCATAGCGTACCTCTAGGAAAGGGCAGGATTTGTGTTCCCATTTGACAGATAAGGAAACTGAGGCCAGGGCTATATTATGGCATGTCCAAGGCAACCCAGCTACTTTGTGGCAAATCTAGGATTAGAACTTAGGTCTCCAAACTGCTACCCATTTCCCTTTCTCCGTGCCACTTGCCCTGGGCTACAGGGCTTTCAGCGATGTGGGGTCCTTTTCCCTATAGGATCTCAGCTGACATGACTGCTGCCTCACCTAAGGCCTCTGCTCCAGCCCCCCATCTGCCTGAACTGCTCTGCTCCTAGACCCTCCCATGTGCTTCCAAGACCAATGTAAGGTCCCACTCAGAGAGGCCGTCCTGACCACCTGGTCTGAAATCACCACATCTCTCTTGATTGCAACACCCTACTTAACTTCTTCAGTGCATTCAGCACTTTCCAACGTTCTCTTGTTTATCTGTTGTATATTTGTCCTCTTTGTCTCTCCCTCTGCCATCCAGCTCCACCTCGTTCAGATTATCAGCTCAGGAAGGCAGCCACCATGTCTCTCTTGTTCTCCACTTATGGCCAGCACTGAAATAGTAACTGACAGGTGCTCAATAAATCTGTGGTTAATTAATTAACAAATCAAAATCAAATCATTAACAAATCAACAAATCAAAATCAAAATTAACAAATCAAAATCAAATCATTAACAAAGCCGTACTTTTGCATAAAGTCTTTTTAAATGTGCTTGTGTGTGTGTGGATGTCTCTTCTCTCTCCCCCCATATATTTATATATTCTAAAGCACTTTCACAATAACATTTTATTGTCACTTATCCCACATGTAGTAGGAAGAACAGGCATTATTATAACCATCTTACAGATAGGAAAGTTAAGGCTCAGAGAAATTTGGTAACTTTTCCTCTTGACCTTAATTTTTTTTTTGAGACAGGATCTTGCTCTGTTGCCCAGGCTGCAGGATAGTGGCATGTTCATAGCTCACTGCAGCCTCAACCTCCTGGGCTTAAGAGATCCTCCCAACCTCGGCCTACTGAGTAGCTGGGACTACAGATACACATTACCATGCCTGGCTAATTATTTGATTTTTATTTTCTAGAGAAAAGGTATCACTATGTTGTCCAGGCTGGTCTCAAACTCCTGGCCCCAAGTGATTCTCCTACCTCAGCCTCCCAAAGTGCTGGGATTACAGGAGTGAGCCACTGCACCTGAACTTTGACTCAAAAATTAGAAGACCAGGATGCTCCTGCAAGTTGCTTGCTAGGTAACCTCACAAAGGTCTTTTTCCCTTTTGGAGCCTCAGTCTCCCTATAATAAGGGATTGTAAATTAAAAGATCTCTAAGGTTCTCTCTGGGAATAATATTCTTGGATAGTGTTTCCCAAACTGTGTGCTTGGAACCCTAGTATCTGAGGAGATGGTAACATGTTTTCTGTGGAACAGTCTGGGAAACACTGTTCCAGTATTGGCTTTAAGTTTACTTCAGGCAGGGACTGGATCCCTGGGTACGGTTTGTCAAGGCTTGGAGCAAAGAGTGAAAAAGGAACTAAATCTCTCAGCTCCTATACTGTCAACCACATGTGACTACTTCCCTGGCATCATCCCATTTGACTTTAAAAACCCCTAGAAGTAGATATTCTTCTTACTTCCACTTTATGGCTTGGTAACTAAGTGAAACTCAGGAAAGTCAATGAGATCATGTGTATGGCAGAGGATGGTTGTTCAAGGAGTTGACCTCAAAGGGTCCGTTCAAACACTTTAAAGGGGAAGTAGAAAGCTTTCTTGACTTGTGTTTGATTTGCCACCAATTACAGGGAGCTGCTGCTTCACTTCCACCTTCCAAATGTCAAGCAAGTGTATCTACTAACTGAAACATAGCTCACACTCTAGCTGCAAGGGAGTCTGGGAATTGTCATTCTTTATGTCCCTGTGGTGCAAGATGGCACATGTCAGAAGGATGGTATTGGTGTTAAGTGCCAATGACCACATTCATCATTTATCCTATAGTGAATTTGCTTTCAAAGCTGCTCTCCTCCTGGTCTCTGAAAGTCTGAGATGTGAACTGGAGAACTGAGGACAGGGAATTGGTGTAGGAATAAATTTGGAGTAGAGGTGGCAATCCAGGTCAAGATGAAAACACAAAGCTCCTGCCCAGCATTGCAGCAAAACAAAAGAAAGATGAAGAGAAAGAAAGGAATCCAAGCAGCAGTGAGGGAAGGGTTCGTTGTCTCAGACAGAAGCCACCTGAGGGGTTTCATCTGGGCTCCTCCCTTTCTCACTGTGTGATCTTGGGCATCTTCTCTCTCTCTCTCTCTCTCTCTCTCTCTCTCTCTCTGAAACACATTTCCTTTATCTTTCTCTTCCCTTTGGTTTTAAGAATCAACTGGGTCACAGTACACAGACATAATTTGTTTACTGTTAAGGAATGCACAGATGAAAGAAAATATGATCATCTCCCAAACAGCAAAGCCAAGTGGCCTCAGCCATTTGTCTTTAAAGCTGCGCTCATTTAACCTGGAACATCCTGTAAGTGGCAGAGACATCTTTCAACATAATTTCAATTCAGAAGAGCAAGATTTCATGTGATTTTTATTTTATAGTAATCTGATTTCTAAGAATCAATATGTCTTACCTTTATAATCAAGAAAAAATAAGTTAAAAATACAATATCTTGATCAAAATAAAATGCCCAATTATAATCTGTAATCTGTAATCTCTCTCTCCCTCACACACACACACATATTTTTACAATCACAACTGTGACTTAGCATTTATAGCATTTTTATGGGATCATAGAATGTTTGAGCCAGAAGGATCTGAAAGCTCATCTATCCAACCATGTTGTGAGGACCCAAGAAATCCACAGAGAATGTGAAGAGCCCCCAGAGTAGAAGGGATGGTAACCCAGACGTCTCCTCCTGCCTTCACCAGAACGTTTGGCTTTCATCAATTTTATATTTTAAATTTGCCTGCATGATTCCATTTCAAAAAGAAATCTCACTGCAACACACACAAATATGAAAACCGGTGGATAAGCTCAAAGCTTCATAGCTCTGCCGTTTCTCCAGTGGGGAAGCTGAGGCCAAGAAAACTAAAAAGCCCATGTGTAAGCCCCACAGAAGCACAAAACGGGGTCTGGAACTGGAATTCTGATTCCTAACCTGCTTTCCCCACCGGAAGAATCCCAGGCTGGGCGACCCAGACAGCCATGGCTCTGATCCAAGGGGCAGATCACTATTGGTACTGTTTGTTTGCACAATATATAGTATTGTTTAAGTTCTGAAGCTCAGCGACATCCCCTGGCAAGACTCTGAACTGGAGCCCAAAGGAGAGCGCTGTGGTCGTGGAAGGAGAGAGCCACGGCGAGGAGAGGGTGGCTCCTTCCAGGGGGCGGTGCGCTCTGCCGTTCCGCGTCATATCCCTTGGCAGTATTGTAAACACAAGTCCACTGTATGTTTTTAAAACGTGAGAAGAAGCAGGATCCTGCCCTCGTGTTTTGACATCGCCTGCAGGGAGGGAGAATGGGACGAGCAGATCTGGCCTGTGCAAAATGTAATTGCTTTTCCCACCTGATGGTTAATCTCAGGCGGGACGGGCTGTCCCACAGGCTCTCAACCTGAGCCGCCCACACCCGGGTGCAGGGCGAGGGCCATGGACTCAGATCCTCGGCCACTGCAAAGTTGCCAATCGTGTGCTCTGGGGCTTTAGGGGTCATTATTCTCACCTGAAAAATGAGAGTTGGCCTAGATCAGGGATTTCAAGCTGTCAGAGAGACTCTGGTTGGATCCATGTTACAAAATGGATGTCCTGGTAAGATTTAGGTTGAAGTTTCCGCTACGAAAAGGAAGATGGAAATCCAGGGGACTCAATGTTTCTCACAGCTCTTTTTCTCTAAAGTATTCTAATTCGAGATTTTACTTGTCTTTAAGGTGAAAGATGAAACTAAAAGAAGTTTCATCTCCACCCAAGAGAGATGGAGAAAGGCATCCTCAGCGCTCAGAAAGTCATCTGAGGAACTCAGGGTCTGTGGAGCTGAACCTTGGCAGCCCACTAACCTCCCCTCAAACCCACAGTTAGTTGCCCTCTCCTCTCCCCTGAGTCAGCACTTCATATCTTGCACCAATAACACTGCCATACAGCTCTTGTGTTGCACTGTCCCATCTCTCCTGCCACTTCCTACCTTCATCTTCTATGAACTGCCTGAACCCCCTGGCTGTGTCTTATTCCTAGATGAAACCCCCATATCCAGCACAGTGTCTGGGACATTGTAATTGCTCAATAAATGGATGTGGAATTGAATTGCATCTCAAAAATTGGCCTGACTCTCAAACTCAGCATTCTAAGGCTCACTTTTAAATATATGCACTTTCAAAGAAATATTATGGCTTGGTATAGAGACAGAATTCATTCAACCACTAAGCAGATGTTGAGTATCAACTATAAGCCAAGTGCTACTCCAAATCAGGGGATACATTGGAGACTAAAACAGATTCAGTATCTGGTGGAAAGCTATTATAAAAGAATAACAGAACTGTATGTCTAGTGAGGGTTGAAAGGGCCTCTATGCCCAGAGAATACATCTTTCTGCTGTCATGGTTCACATGCGGAAGCTGTCCAAAGCCTCAGAGAAGGAGACGTCACCAGCTTTGGTTTCTTACTGACACAAGAGGCTCCCAGAAAGGGGCACTGAAATATTGAATGGAGTTTGGTTGAAGAGGGCACCACAGAGAAAATACACAAAACAAGAGGGAAAGACTGGGTATCTCCCATCTCATTTCCTATCCCAAAGTCTGTGGCAAGTGGCAGAAAAAGTGAGGATTTTGACAGTCCAAGTTGCCTTAACCTCTCTGAGAATGTTTTGGGGAAAAGGACGTGAATTTTGTTGGTGATGTGTTGAGCTGGAAGTGGCTCTGGGATCACCAATGGTGGGATCCAGAAGGCACATAAACAACCAGATCTGGAGTTCAGCAGAGGTGTTTGAACCAGAGAGAGGGATTTTGGAGTTGATTTGCATGTATGGGCTCCTTGAAGCCATTGGTTTTTGTGATGACTTCCAGGGACAAGAGGATGTAAAGAAAAGAATGGAGGCACTTTAAGGAAGGAGCCAGGGGGAGCACTTTCATTAGAGAGGCCCAGAAGATAATATTCCTAGGAGAAGGATTTTCTCCTCTATGCTCCTGCAGGGCCTCGCCTGAGCAGCCATTGTGTCACTCCTATCAAACTGCCCAGGGAATCTTTGTTTTGATGTCTCTCTCCCTCTAACTATTGTAAACTCTTTGATGGCAGGCCAAGGTTTAAACCATCTTTGCATTCCCAGAATCTAACCCAGTGTTTGTTTGTTGAATGAATAAAGGGATGAATGAAGTCTAGAAAGCACATCCTGTGAGAAACAATAAAAGGATCTGTAAATGTTGCCTTGGAGAAGACTTGCTTCAGGGAACCCAGAAAGAGCTGACATATGGGAAAAGGCAGAGCACCATCATGTTATTGTTGAAAGATAATTATTTTAGCTCAGGACTGGAACTGTCTAGTGATGGAATAGGCCATCTGGTGAAGTAGTGAGGTCTTCAATACTGAGAGCGTGTAAGCTGTATTAGTCCATTCTCACACTGCTAGTAAAGACATACCTGAGGCTGGGTAATTTATAAAGGAAAGAGGTTTAATTGATTCACAGTTTAGCATGGCTGGGGAGGCTTCAGGAAACTTACACTCATGGCAGAAGGGGAAGCAAACACGTCCTTCTTCACATGGAGGCAGGAAGGAGAAGTGTGGAGCAAAGTGGAGAAAAGCCCCGTATAAAACTACCAGATCTCATGAGAACTCACTCACTATCACAAGAATAGTATGGGGGAACTGCCCCCACAATCTAATCACCTCCCATGAGGTCCCTCCCCCAACACGTGGGGATTACAATTCAGATTACAATTCAAGATGAGATTTTGGGTGGGGACACAGCCAAACCATATTATAAGCAAAGATAGGTGTCATTCTCCCAGGAGGAGTACATTGAATGGGAGCCCAACCACACCTTCTAAGGAATGCAGCTCTCAGGGTCTGTGATTCCAACATGAATGACATCCAGGCAACTCCTCAACTTTGCCAGTTGACTTCACAAGGGAAAATTGAAGCCCATCATTAGCAAACAAAGAAGAGATCTCTGAAGGTTATGGAATCCATTCTATGGAATTTCCAGGCCAGCTGACCCAACTTTTCCCTGAGCATTCGAGGCCCTGAGAATATGGTCCCTGCCAGTCTCTTCAGCCTTCCATCCCACTAAACATCATGATACCGGCATATGTCTACTTACATATCTCTTCCACTCCCAGCCCTCACTCACATTTGATGGGAAGCCCTTTGAGAGGCAGGACCAGACCTCAGGTACTCATCAAACAGCTGTGTTGCAATGGTTAAGAGCACTGTGCTATAGTCATATTATCTTCATTGCTTAGTCTGTGAGTCAGACACTTGTAAGACTATTGTGAGGATTAAAGGGTTAATACCCATAATGTTCTAGCATGGAGTAAGTTCTCAAAGCTCATATTATTATATGAGTTTCTTCTGTACCTGGCAAAATGCCTGTCAATAAAGGTTTACTGAACTTAAAATAAATATACGTATATAAACAATTAAATATGGTTGTTGCCATCACTGACCAATCAAGAAACATTTATTAATCTCTACTATGCACCCAATACCTTATTGGATACTGGAAAAAAAAAAAAAAGAAGTGAAAAAATACACAGTTTTTTATTTCCAAGGATTTTGCAATCTGGTGATAAAGACAAATATCATTATTTTAAATTAATAAGTCAAAAAATAAAATCTAACAAAGCCTTTTAAAGTAACACATACCAAGCACATACCATGGATCAAGCCCTACTAGCCTTCGTAGGTTATCTTATTTGATTAAGTTTTGAATTGTGAGGGACCTTCAATTAATGCTTTGAGAGGGAAAGGGAAAGTCATGTGGGCTTCCTCAATAGGGTAAGTTTGGACTTTCTTGAAAAGTGCCCTTAATTTACTTAATATTCTTCCAGTTGCCGTGAACTATCCCAACAATTTAAACGAGGTAAGATGGGGATGTGAGGAAAGGGGAACTAAGCCCTGGCAATATGATTCATATTTAGGGCTTAAACCCTTTATCAATGTTAATTCATTTCATTCCAATCTTAAAGCTACTAAGTAGGTATGGTTTTCCCCCGGGGGAACCCTGAAGTCAATCTTCTCACTCCTCACCAATGTGAATGAAGATCTATAGAATTGGAAATGAGAGGGAAATGTCAGGGGTCCTGTCCTCTGACCTACCAAGAGCCATAGAGCACAGTGGGCTTTGGCCAGTCACACAGAAAAGATTCCCTGCAGACCCAGCTGCTGATGGGATTATGTGGGAATTCACCATCAATGTCCTCACAAAAGAAAACATAAGCACCATTGATTACCTTCTAATAACTATTTTATTACATATTTTATATTTATGAAATGGCACTGGGAGAGGGTTGTTACTGTTTTTCTAATGCAAAGCAGATGGGCCTGACAGAGGTAAATGGGGCTTTCTGGGTGTGTCCCTGAAAGTTTGTGTTTTCCCGGAAGGTTTTGAGCCAGAGCCAAGCCAGATCCAGAAGTTCCCATCCAACCCTGTCTCAACACATGACTTTCATTAACAAAATTGCATTGCTCTTTTTTGCAGAAAGTGGTACTATTACTAAAATAAAAACATGTCTATTATGGATCAATTGCCACCTACGTGGAGCTGAGGAGCACTTAGCAAGAAGAGGGCAGGAACTGAGGAGAAAAAAGAAAAGCTGATCTTGCAAGAAGGCCTAGCCACTGGGGCTGGGCAAGAATGAGATGGATCTGATTGCACCTCTAGCATGATCACCCTGGGCTAATCTACTGCAGAGAGAACTTGGCCCTCAAAGAGCTTTCATTCTAATCATGAAACCAGCCCATCCCACTTGTGTGCATCTTGTCAATGGAAGCCAGTGCAAGCACCACCAGCGGCCTTCCTTCTAGGCCCACCCTCTGGCCCCTCTTGGACTTCTTCCTTTGTTCCTGACTTTGCTTTCTTGCTGTATCCTAATAACAGCTCATTCAGCTTCTAGCTTCATGCTCACTTTTAAAACTTTAATTTGCATTTCCTGACTTGGTCATGGTCATGCTTTGTACCACTAACAGGTTCTACCACCCCTGATTTGCTCAGGTTGACCCCTGCCTGACTAATACCCACTCCTGTGCCCCCACCCAGAGGTCAGCCTGCCCATGTCTTCCAGCCACTCCTAACTTAACCTGTTACCTTTGCATGGTAGAAGACACTGATTATCCTCTAAGCATATTCACTTCTTAAAGAAATTTTCTTTAGACTCTGAAGCAACTTAAACTTTTTATAATCTAAGATGTCCTCATCTTGGTGGAAGTGCTTTTCTCTATATACCTATAATTCTTAAGCTTTTGGGTGCATGAAAATTAGCCAGGGGAGAAGCAGGAAAATGAATTCCTGAGTACTATCTTCAGAAATTCTGATTCTGTAAGTCAAAATGGGCCAAGAATCTGCATTTCTTGTGGAGAAACAAAAAAAAATCTACATTTCTAATGTAGGCAGAACCTGGGATGTACTTTGAAAAGCACAGCCTTGGCTGTGCGTGGTGGCTCACGCCTGTAATCCCAGCACTTTGGGATGCCAACGCAGGTAGATCACTTGAGGCCAGGAGTTTGAGACTAGCCTAGTCAACATGGTGAAACCCTAACTCTACTAAAAATACAAAAATTAGCCAGGAGTGGTGGCATACACTTTTAATCGAAGCTACTCAAGAGGCTGAGCCACGAGAATCACTTGAACCCAGGAGGCAGAGGTTGCAGTGAGCCAAGATTGAGCCACTGCACTCTAGCCTGGATGACAGCAAGACCCTGAAGAAAGAAGGAAAGAAAGAGGGGAGAAAGAAAGAGAGAGAGGAGAGGAGAGGGGAAAAGAGGAGAGGAGAGGAGAGGAGAGGAGAGGAGAGGAGAGGAGAGGAGAGGAGAGGAGATGAGAGAAGAGGAGAGGAAAAGAGTAAGCCTTAAATTGACCTCATTTGCCTGCACTGGTAAGTGGGCAGATGGGGAAATGATGACAATCTTTTGCATTTGTACAAAGCAAAACCTTTTTAACCATCACAGCCATCTGTCCTTTCTATCCTTCCTCTTTCTCTCTACTATTAAGGGTATTATTATGTTTATTTTATAGATGAGGAAAATAAGGCTCAGAGTATGTAATCTCCCAAATGCTGGTGCTAGAATCCTAGCATAGGTTCTGTCTCCAGTCTGGAGCCTCTCCTCTGAACTCCAGACAAATATACCCCCAACCTGCTCAATATCTCTGCTTAAAATAGCTAATAGTTGTCCAATATTAACATACCCACAAATAAGCCTTTGTTCTTTTCCCCCAGATGTGTTCATCCTGGTATCTTCATCTCATTAATGGCAACTCCATCCTTCCATGGTATCAGTCCAAATCCTCAAAGTTATCCTTAATCTGCTGTTTTACAACCCATATCACTCCCTTCCAATATATCCAGAATCAAACTTCTCACCACCTCCCCTGCTACACCCTATCCCACCATCATTTATCTCCCCATGGGTTTCCCTGCTTTCAGCTCTGCTGCACTCTTAGTCAGCTCTGGCTGCCATAACAAAATGCCATGGAATGGGTGGCTTCAACAACAGACATATGTTTCTCACCATTCTGGAGGTTGGGAAGTCAAAACTCAAGGTGCCAGCACCCTCGGTTCCTGGTGTGGGCTTTCTTCTTGGGCTGCAGACAGACGTTTTCTGTCTGTGTCCTCACCGGGCAGAGACACAGAGCTCTGGTTTTCTTCCCTTTTTTATAAGGATAGTAATCCCATCATCAGCACCCCATCTCCATTATTTCATCTAAATCTAATTCCCTCCCAAAGTCCCCACTTCCAATTACTATCACATTGGGAGTTAGGGCTTCAACACATGAATTTTGAGGGGACATAATTCATTACATAGCACCACTTAGGTCCATTCTCAACCCGGCGGACATAGGTAGCGAGTTATGTCATGTTCCTCCTCCACTCAAAGCCTCCAGTGACTCTCAGTCACTCTCTGAGTGAAAACCAAACTCCTTACAGGGGACTACCAGGTGCGGAGCATCCGGCCCTCATCCCTGCCCTCATCTCCCACTGCTCTCTCTTTATGCACTTCAGTCCAGGCAAACTTGCCTGCCTGTTCCTCCAACATGCCAGCCACACTCTTGCCACAGGCCTGTCCCACCATCACTCCCATCCGCCTGGATTGCTTTTCCTCCAGAGATCCCTGTGGCTCGCTTTCTCACCTCCTTCAGTTCTTTACTCAAACGCCATCTGAGTGAAGCCTTCCTGAACTGAAAATTGCTGCTCCCCACCCCCCTAAACACATACACATTCATGCACATACATATGCCCTTTTCCTCTTTATTTTCCTACACTACATATCAACCCCTCATGTAGAATATGGTCTATTTAATTGTTTTGTTCCTGATCTTTCTATCCATTCCAGACCATCAGCTCCATGAGGATGTGGACATGGGTTGTTCCTCACCGTCTCCCCAGTGCAAGGAACAACCTGGCTGACATCAGGCACTCACTCAGTAAATATGTCTTGAATGAATAAACTGAAGAATAACCCAGGTCTTGACCAGTGGCCTCTCGACCTGCCCCTGACTCTCTGTCACTTTAACAAGGGCAGCACCCTCTCACTGCCCCTAAAGCAAATGCTCAGGAAAGAACCTACTCCGAGCCCTTAACTATGGGCTCCTTGAGGACAGAGACCACGTGTTATTCACCTCTGTATCCTTCCAAGCATCTGAGATGGGACCCAGTTCCCATTAGGTGTCTGAAAACTCTATGTTGAAGTGTTGAATGTGACTTTTTTGTAGGGTTATTTGCATTAGAATATAATTTCTTGCCCTAAATGAAAATCTACTCTCTGTTGGAAGAACCTCAAGCCACAGAAAGAAGGTGGGAGATGGCCCCATGGTGACATGAGAGGCAGCTTTTGTTGGGAGCCCACGGTAAGTTCAGAAATGTGAAGAATGCTGTGGTCCCAGGGATATGGGCTTTGGAGCCAGGCAGGGTGTGACTCCCAGCTCTACCCACTTGTACTCTGGTCACATTTACAGTCAACTTCCAAATTTCAGTTTTCTTGTCTATAAATAGAAACAATCCCTCCCTCATAGACTAAGAGCATTAGGAAGCAAATTTTTATAAAGACTAGCACTGAATAGGCACTCAGTAAATGGGAGTTTTATTACATTCTGGTCCCTGACTTTAAAAATATAATCTAATTAGAGAGAGAAGACTAACATACAAGAAACAATTTAAGAAAAATGCAAGTCAGAGCTTGGCCCAGGACTAAGCAGCATGGTGCTCATCAGAGGAGCTGCAGGAGTTTGGAGGGCAGCAGCAATTCAGAGGGGCTCTTGGAGGACATGGGACCTCCTTGGCCCTCAAAGTGGGAATTTAGGAAGCCAGAGAATGGAAAGGATTCTGGCCCGGGCCACAGCAGGACAGCATTAGTCATTAAGAGGAGCATTTGGGAAAGTGAGCGAAAGACAGAAAGACGAAAGAAAAGAAAGAAAGAAAGAAAGAACGAAAGAAAGAAAGAAAGGAAGGAAGGAAGGAAGGAAGGAAGGGAAAGAAAGAAAGAAAGAAAGAAAAAATCAAAGAAAGAAAGAAAGAAAGAAAGAAAGAAAGAAAGAAAGAAAGAAAGAAAGAAAGAAAATGAGCGAAAGACAGAAAGAAAGAAAGAAAGAAAGAAGGAAGGAAGGAAGGAAGGAAGGAAGGAAGGAAGGAAGGAAGGAAGGAAGGAAGGAAAGAAAGAAAAGAAGGAAAGAAGGAAAGAAAGAAAGAAAGAAAGAAAGAAAGAAAGAAAGAAAGAAAGAAAGAAATGTATGCCTGCTTCAATACAGAAAGAGTTTGAAAAAAAAAAATCAGGACTGGAGGAATTTTTTTTTCCCCAAACTGAAGCCAAGACTAAAATAGGAAAATCTGAATATGCAGATCATGAAGGCTATATTACAGCTGTTTGGGGGGCAGGGGTTGTAGATTTTACCCTGAGCATCCAGGCAACCAAAGGAGAAAGGAAACTAAAGGCAGTTCTACAGTGTTTTTATGTCAAAGAGAAGTAAAAACACATACTGTTTTTCAGAAGATGAAATAATTTTTCCTAGTATTGGACTCTAAAGGAAATTTCTCATTGGACTTATTTCAAACAAAGCTTTAAATCTTCAAAAAGATTCATTATATAGAATGAGATCTACAAGGCTAATATTGGAGAGTTTATCTATATAAGATGCAAATATTACTCAAAATCCAGCAGGACAGAGAGGACAAGATGACACAGCCTCAAGTTCACCTTTCTGATGTTTGGGACTAAGTCAGCCCCAGCAGAGCTGCACTGCCCACTTCCTCCTCCATAAGCACTGTTACAGATTTTTCTGGAGGCTTCCTGCTGCTCTTCTCACAAAAGTCCGGTCTCCCTACCATGGCCTGCAAAGATCAGCACAGTCTAATTCCTGCTCACCTCTCCAGGGTCTTCTTCCCACCGCACTCTAGCCACACTGGCCTTTGGAAAAGATGCCAAACTCTCCCCCACCTCCCACCCCTTGTACTTGCTCACTCTCTGAGAGGGTTCCATCCTGATCTTTTCATGTGGCCGCTGCCCCCTTATTCTGCAGGTCACAATTCACAGTCACTTCCTCCAAAGAGTCTGCCCACCCCTCTAAAACAGGCCTCTCCATCATTTGCCAGCTCACCTGTCATGGTCAATGACAATCTGAACACTATTTATGCATTTATCCATGTATTGGTGTCTCCCCACCAGAAAAGAAGAGGATAAGGATCTTACCTGCTTTTTCTCCATCATATCCCTATGGCCCAGGATAGCACCTGACTTACAAGTACTTAATACAAATTTATTGAACAAATGAAAAATGCAGTGCTCTCCAGTGAGAGCCTGGAGGGCAGGTATTTTGGCATTAAATCTTGGATTAAAAGATCTAACCATTCAAGAAGAGACCCTTCCAAGGAAATCAAGGAACCCAAAAACAACATTCACTCCAAGGAGAGCTAGCCAATTCCAGCACAAAGATAGCTCACAGATCCCCACAGATGAGGTCAGATGCCTCTCAAAAATTAGTTCTGGGTAGAGCCAAGTTTGCTCTTCACTGCAGTCTTTGGCAGGGGTGGGGTGCAGCACACAGAAGGACAGTGGGATTCTTTTCTTCTATCCCTTCCAATCCAATCCCCAAAGAAAAGTTTCCCCAGCAGGATGAAAACATACCTCTATTCCAAAGACACCAAAAAGTACTACATGGTGTAACAAAATTAAAAAGAGACACTGTCTGGATATGAATGAAAAAAAAATCTCTCACTTGGCCTTTTTCTGGTACCAGGGTCTACTGACATTAATATGCAGGTAAGGGCAGCAGCCTTTCTTGAAGCAAAGCTTCTACCCCGGCCCCGCAGAGAGGAGCATTAACCAGGGGTGAGGCCACCCACCGGTGTTGGCTATCCAGCTGAAACTGAAGGCTTATTATCACACCCCAGTCCTCTCTGTTCCCTTTGGTTTCCTCTTTCTTTCCCACACTCTTCCACAGCTCCAAATGGGACACCTGGTGCCTACACCCAAATTCCTACACTCCAGTCTGTCCTTCTCTCTGCAGCCACCTGGAGCTAGGACCGCGGCCCAGAAAGTTCTCCAACCGGAAACCAGGGTGATGTGGTCAGAGACTTAATTCCTGCTTGGCCACTCTCAAGCCCTGGGACCCTGAGTAAAATTCTTTCTTGCCTTAGTTTAGGCATCTATAAAATAAGTAAACTGTTCTCATTCATGTACTGCCTTCATGATTTCTACCATTCCTTCCTATAACCCGTTCTATTTTTAAAAACATAATTATGTAATGTTTGTCTTTATGCTTAGACACTTGTTAAAAAAAATCTGTGAAATCATAAGAATGCCATGTATATTTTTCTAATGTACATTCAAAATAAATATTAAAAAATTAATCCATCTACTACCAAAAGTTATCTTGTATTCCATCAGTCCAACATAAAAGCATATTTTTAGAAATATTGGATTAATTAACTGATCTCTCAAAGAAGTTCCTAGAGTGCATGACTCTTTAAGTATAATTCCAGAATATAGAGGAACTAGTTCTAATTTGTGAGGTTATAAATTTGGTCCTCAAATCCACCACTGATGGTAACAAGTCTTAAGAGTGAAGGTGTTATTCTCAGCATAACTTGATTGGTCTTGTGTGTAAGCCCCTATTATGTGTCATGTCTGATGCTAGGTGCTCAGAAGAAAAATATTAGAAGGCAGAAGTCTGTCCCCATTAGGTGTAGCAGGAAGCAGTTTAGCAAGAGATAGCCATATATGCTAAAAATTCCATTATGGCATAGTAAGAAGACCAAGCCACAAACTTCTTGAGAGCAGAAACCAAATATTATTCACCTGTGAGTCCTAGCCCCTGGCACAGTGCCCAGCACATAGTGGCGATTCCCTTGGCTTATCTGCTGAAGTTCTATAATGGGATATTTACAAAGTCCTCCCAGAAAATAGTGACAAGATTCATTCTTTATAGGGAGCATCGTAGAAGGCTCTACTAAGCAGGCTTTTGAAAGATGAGGTGTTCTCTCATGAGAAAGTCACTCCAGGAAGATAAAAAGCCTATGCAAAGACCTAGAGGAGAGAGAAACACAAGCGTGTAGAGACCTATGAGGCATTTAAAAGAGAAGGACAGTGGTCTCTGTGCAGGGGAGGTAGGGTGGGGATGATGAGGGCTAAAGATATCCGGGTAACCCGGTCACATAGCAACCTGGAGGTGAGCTAAGGGGACATGAACTTCATCTATTGACCGGGCATAGGGAGTATTAAGCAATGGGGCACTAAGTAGAGATAGCTTCCTGGCAACTGAGGGGTAATGCATTAAAGAGACCTGAAACCCCCTCAACCACCATGAAAACTGCTTCAAACTCAATGTATCCCAATTCTCCTGGGTAAACAACCAACATGTCATCATCCCTATGCTCTGGGTTTAAATTTGAATGTTTCATTTGTTGAACAACACTGTTAACTGACTTGACCTAATTGGCATTTACCACATCCAGTAACATCAGAATATACTTGCTTTTCAGGAACACATGGAACATTAACTAAAATAGATCATATGCTGGACCATAAAACAAGTCTCGATGAATTCAAAAGAAATAATGAATTTAGAGTGCATTCTCAAACCACACTGGAATTAAATTAGAAATAAGTAACAAAAGACATCTAGAAAATCCCTAAATATTTGTAAATTATTGCTAGGTAATCCAGAGGTTTAACAAGAAATTTTAAAAAAATGGAAAAATATTTTCATTTAAATGATAATAAGAAAACATAATATGTTAAAATTTATAGGATTCCACTAGACCATTCCTTAGAGGGAAATTTATGACATTAAATGAATATGTGTTCTTGATGAGTATCGATGCAAAAATCCTCCACAAAATATTGGTGAACCAAATCCAGCAGCACATAATAAAGCTGATACACCACAACCAACTCAACTTTATCCCTAGGATGCAAGGTTGGTTCAACATACCCAAATCAATAAATGTGATTCATCACATGCACATAACTAAAGACAGAAACCACATTTTAATCTCAATAGATGCAGAAAAGGCTTTCAGTAAAATTCAACACCTCTTCATGTTAAAAAAAAAAAAAAAAACTCAATAAACTAGGTATTGAAGGAACATACCTCAAAATAATAACAGCCATCTATGACAAACCCACAGCCAACATCATACTGAATGGGCTTTTAAAAGCTGGAAGCACTCCCCTCGGAAACTGTCACAAAACAATGATGCCCTCTTTCACCTCTCCTATTCAAAATAGAATTGGAAGTCCTAGCCAGGGCAATCAGGCAAGAGAAAGAAATAAAGGATATCCAAATAAGAAGAGAGGAAGTCAAACTATCCCTGTTTTCAGATGACATGATCCTATATCTAGAAAACCCTATAGTCTCAGCCCAAAAGCTTCTTAAGCAGATAAACAACTTTTTAAAAGTCTCAGGATGCAAAAATCAATGTGAAAAAATCACTAGCATTCCTACACACCAACAGTCAAGCCAAGAGCCAAATCAAGAACACAACCCTATTCACAATTGCCACAAAAAATAAAATAAAATAAAATACCTAGAAACACAGCTAACTAGGGAGGTGAAAGACCTCTACAAGGAGAACTACAAATACTGCTCAAAGAAATCAGAGATGACACAAACAAATAGAAAAACATCCCATGTCCATGTATGAGAAGAATCAATATAATAAAAATGGCCATATTACCCAAAGTAATTTATAGATTCAATTCTATTCCTATTAAACTGCCATTGAAAGTCTTCACAGAACTAGAAAAAAACTATTTTAAAATTAATATGGATCCAAAAAAGAGCCCAAATAGCCAAGGCAATCCTAAGCAAAAAGAACAAAGCTGAAGGCATCATGCTAACTGACTTCAAACTATACTACAGGGCTATAGTAACCAAAAACAGCATGGTACTGGTACAAAAACGGACACATAGACCAATGGAAAAAAATAGAGAACTCAGAAATAAGGCCACACACCTACAGCTATCTGAACTTCAACAAATCTGTCAAAAATAAGTAATGAGGAAAGAACTTCCTATTCAATAAATGATGCTGGGATAATGGACTAGCCATATGCAGAAGATTGAAACTGGACCCCTTCCTTACACCATATACAAAAATTAACTCAAGATGGATTAAAGACCTAAGTGTAAGATCCAAAAGCATAAAACCTGGAAGCCAATCTAGGCAATACCATTCAGGGCATAGGAATGGGCAAAGATTTCAAGACAAAGATGCCAAAAGCAATTGCAACAAAAGCAAAAATTGACAAAGGGGATCTAATTAAAGAGCTTCTGCATAGCAAAGGAAACTATCAACAGAGTGAGCAGGCCACCTACAGAATGGGAGAGAGAATGTTTGCAAACTATGCATCTGACAAAGGTCTATCTATAAGGAACTTAAATTTACAAGAAAAAAAAAACAACTCCATTAAAAAGGGGCAAAGGACATTAACAGATATTTTTCAAAAGAAGACACATGTGGCTAACAAGCATATGAAGAAAAGCTCGTATCACTGATCATTAGAAATGCAAATCAAAACCGCAATGAAATACCATCTCACACCAGTCAGAATGGCTATTATTAAAAAGTAAAAAAAAAAAAAAATGATGCTAGTGAAGTTGCAGAGAAAAAGAAACACTTATACACTGTTGGTGAGAGTGTAAACTAGTTCAACCATTGTGGAAGACAGTGTGGGAATTCCTCAAAGACCTAAAAACAGAAATGCTATTCCACCCAGCAATCCCATTACTGGGTATATACCCAAAGGAATATAAATTGTTCTATTATAACGATACACGTATGTTTATTGCAGCACTATTCACAATAGCAAAGGCATGGAATCAACCTAAATGTCCATCAGTGACAGATTGGATAAAGAAAATGTGGTACACATATACCATGGAGTACTATGCAGCTATAAAAGAGAATGAAATCATGTCCTTTGCAGGGACATGGATGGAGCTAGAGGCCATTATCCTCAGCAAACTAATGGAGGAAGAGAAAAACCAAATACTACATGTTCTTACTTTTAAGTGGGAGTAAAATGATGAGAACACATGGACACAGAGGGGAGCAACACACACTGGGGCCTTTCAGAGTGTGGAAGGTGGGAGGAGGGAGAGGATCAGGAAAAATAACTAATGGGTACTAGGCATAATAGCTGGGTGACGAAGTGATCTGTACAACAAACCCCCGTGACACAAGTTTGCCTGTATAACAAACCTGCACTTATACCCCTGAACTTAAAAAAGATTTAAAAATTTAATTCAAAATAAATAAACAAATGGATACGTTAAATGCATTCTCTTAAGATGCAGCATGTGTCCTCTTCCCTATTTCTCCCACTAAATACAGCCAAACCCCTGGGTATTCCATACAAAAAAAAAAAAAAGTGAGAAAACTCTGAATTGTGGAGAGAAGAAGGTAGACTGCCTCCTCTCCCACCACAGTGGTGTTTAACAGAGAAGAGTTTAACTATAATCGATTTAATTAAGATCCAGACTCTCATGACATAACACTTAAGATGCCCAGCTTTCAATAGGAAATCACTATTTCAAGAACCAGGAACATCTCAACTTGAATGAGCAAAGACAAACGACAGATACCCACATCAAAATGACCACCGATGATAAAATTATGTGACCAAGATTTTAAATCAGCCATTATGAGCGTGCTTCATTGAACAATTATAAACTTTCCTGAAACAAATGAGAATCTCAGCAGATAAATAAGGAAATAGAAAAACTACATGGAAATTTTAAAACTAAAAAAATGCAATGGCAAAAATAAAAAAGAAGGAAGATTCAAAAACCAATGATCTAATCCAGAGGTCAGCAAACTATGGCCTCCAGATCAATTTCAGTCTGCTGCCTATTTTTGTTAATGGTTTTATTGGAACACTGCCATACTCAGTTGATTACACAGTGTCTATGACAGCTTTGCACTACAATGGCAGAGTTGAGCAGTTGCAACAGAGTGTATGACCCCAAAACCCTAAAATATTTATCATCTAGATCTTTATAAAAAACTTTTGTCAACCCTAATCTAAACCACTGCTTCTAGAAGCTAGAAAAGAAGAGCAAATTAAATACAAAGAAAATAGAAGGAAATAATACACATAATGAAATAATAAAAACAATAAACGATTGTCTTAGTCCATTTGTGCTGGTATAACAAAATATCTTAGACTGAGTATTTATAAATAAGAAAAATGTGTTGTTTACAGTTCTAGAGACTGGGGAGATTAAGGTACCAGCAGATTGTCTGGTGAGGGTCCATTCCTCATAAATGGCACTTCCTATGTCCTCAAAAGGCAGAAAGGGTGAATAAGCTCCCTCTAGCCTCTTCTTTAAAGTACCAATCCTTTACAACAGAACTCCGTCCCCAAGACCTGATCACCTCCTAAAGGCCCAACCTATTATTCCTGTCTAATTGGGTGATTAGGCCTCCACATATGAATTTTAAGGTGACACAAATATTCAGACCATAGGAAGGGTAATGAGAGAAATTTAGAGGGAAATGCTCTATATCTTGACTTAGGTAATGGTCTCATAGATTTCACATTTTTCAAAATATATCAAATGATACTCTGAAACCTGTGCATTTTACTATAGGTAAAATATACCTCTAAAATTTCATAGGTCAGATCACATCGCTCTTCTGGTCATGACTCTTCAATGGCTCTTCATTTCACTTCAAGTAAAAAAGACCTTCTAGAGGCCTCAAAATCCCTAAATGATCTGCCCCACTTCAGTGATGTCCACCCATCCTTTCAGTTATCTGACTACATCTTATATACTCCCTCTTGTTCACTGCACTCCAACAACATCAGTCTCCTTGATGTTGCTTGAAGATTCCAGCCACTCTTCCTCTTCTGGGCATTGCGCTGGCTTTTCCCTCTGCCTGGAATGGTCTTTACTCAGGTACTCAAATCATTTCCTCCTTTATCTCTTATAAATCGTTGTTCAAAAGTCATCTTCTCTATAAGTTCTACCTTGATGACCATGCTTATTTTTATTTATTTATTTATTTATTTTATTTTTTTTTTTTGAGATGGAGTCTCACTCTGTCACTCAGGCTGGAGTGCAATGGCATGATCTCGGCTCACTGCAACCTCCATCTGCCTCCCAGGTTTAAGCGATTCTCCTGCCTCAGCCTCCCAAGTAGCTGGGATTACAGGTACCTGCCACCACGCCCAGCTAATTTTTTTAATTTTAGTAGAGATGGGGTTTCACCATGTTGGTCAGGCTGGTCTCAAACTCCTGACCTCAGGTGACCCACCCACCTCGGCCTCCCAAAGTGCTGGGATTACAGGTGTGGGCCACAACGTCTGGCCTGATGACCATGTTTAAAATGCAACCCACTCATCCTTCTACCAAAAGGACTCCTGATCCCCTTAACCCACCCTACTTTTTTCCCCACAGCATTATCTTGAAATATGACATAATTTACTTATTCTTTATGCTTACTGTTTATTGTATGTATTCCCCGATGGTGTCAACACACACTAGAATGAAAGCATACAGGAGGTAAGAATGTTTTCTGTTTTACTCACTGATATTTCTCACCTGCTTAAAATAGCACCTGACACATAGTAGATGCTCAAGAAATATTTGCTGAATAAGTAAATGAACCATAGATAAAGGCTGTGAAGGTCATTAAATTGGAGCAAAGTATATGTAACCTTCATATAAATATGGCAGAGTTAAAAATGCTGGTCCTTTAACCTTGGCATTCACTCCTTGTTTCTGTTCCTTCTCATCTTTTAAAAATTATTTTTAATTTACATATAGTTATTATATATATTTATGGGGTACAGTGTGATATTTTGACACATGTATACAATGGGTAATGATCAAATCAGAATAATTGGTATATCCATCACCTCAAACATTTATCATTTCTCTGCATTGGGAATATTAAAAATACACTCTTCTACCTATCTAAAAATACACAATAAATTATTGTTAACTATAGTCACTCCAAGGTGCTTAGAATACTAGAACTATCCCTCCTATTTAGCTGTAATTTTGTATTCATTAACGAATCTCTTGCCATCCTGCTCTCTCCTCTACCCTTCCCAGGATCTAGTAACCACTATTCTACTCTCTATAAGATCAATTTGTTTTAACTTCCACATATAAGTGAGATTGTGTGGTACTTGCTGTTCTGTGCCTTGCTTATTTCACTTAATCTAATGTCCTCTAGACTTATTTATATTGCTGTGAATGAGAGTATTTCATTAATTTTATGGCTGAAAAGTATTTCATTGGGTGTGTGTGTGTGTGTGTGTGTATGTGTGTGTGTGTGTGTCACATTTTCTTTACCTACTTATCTGTTGATGGATACTTACGCTCAATCTGTATCTTGGCTATGGTGCTACAGTCCACATGCATAATCCACATGCTACAATGCACATGTACAAACTTTGCATAGTTTGCAAATATCTTCTCCCATACTGCAGGTTATTTATTCACTCTGTTGATTGTATCTTTTGCCATGCAGAACGTGTTTGTTTGATATAATATAATTTGTCTATGTTTTGCTTTTGTTATCTGTACTTTCGAGGTCTTATTTATAAAAATTTTTGCCCATACCAATGTCCTGAAGTATTTCTCCTGTGTTTTCTTCATAGTGCTACAAGAGTGCTACAATAAATATGGGATTGCAGATATTTTGTTGCCACACTGATTTCCTTTTCTTTAGACATATACCCCCTAATGACATTGCTGGATCATATGGTAATGTATTTGTAGGTTTTTGAGGAATCTCCATACTGTTTTTCATAGTGGCTGTATGAAATTCCATTCCCACCAACAATGTATTTGAGTTTCCTTTTTGCCACATCTTTGTCAGCATTTGATATTTTTTGTCTTTTTAATAATAGCTATTCTAACTGGGGTAAGATGATATCTCATTGTGGTTTTGATTAACATTTTCTTGATAATTAGTGATGTAGACCATTTTTATAAACCCATTGGCCATTTGTATATCTTCTTTTGATAAATATCTGTTCAGTTCATTTGCCTTTTTAATCAGATTATTTGATTTTTTGTTGTGGAGTTGAGTTCCTTGTGTATTCTTGGTATTAATATTTTGTCATAGTTTGTGAATATTTTCTCCCTTTCTGCAGGTTATTTCTTCACTCTGTTATTGTATCTTTTGCTGTGCAGGTTTTCATTTGATACAATTCCATTTGTCTATTTTTTACTTTTGTTGTCTGCCCTTTTGAGGTCTTATCCATAAAAACCTTTGCCCAGACCAATGTCTTGAAGCATTTCTCCTATGTTTTCTTCTAGTAGTTTCACAGTTTCAGGTCTTCAATTTAAGCCTTTAATCCATTTTGAGTTGATTTTTGCTTATGGTGAAAGATGAGTCTATTTTTATTTTTCTGTGATGTCCAATTCTCCCAGCATCATTTATTGAAGAGACTGGCCTATCCCTAATGCATGTTCTTGGTGAATTTGTCAAAAATCAAGCGGCTGTAAATACATGGACTTATTTCTGTGTTCTCTATTCTGTTCCGTTGGTCTATGTATCTTTTTGAATGCCAGTACTATGCTGTTTTGGTTACTATAGCTTTGTAGAATAGCATATTTTTAAATCAGGTAGTGTGATTTAAAGTTTTGTAGAACAGCATATTTTTAAATCAGGTAGTGTGATGCCTCCAGCCTTGTTCTTTTTGCTCAGGATTACTTTGGCTATATAAAGCCTTCTGTGTTTCCATATAAATTCTAAGATTTTTTTCTATATCTGTGAAGAATGTTATCCATATTTTAATAGGATTACGTTGAATCTGTACAGTGCTCATTTTTACACTATTAATTCTTCCAATTCATAAGCATGGGATATCTTTCCATTTGTGTGTGTGTGTGTCCTCTTCAATTTCTTTCACCAGTGTTTTATAGTTTTCATTATAGAAATATTTCACCTCCTTGGTTAAATTTATTACTAGACTTTTTTGTAGTATTGTAAATGGGATTGCTTTCTTAATTGCTTTTTCAGCTAGATCATTATTGGTGTATAGATACGCTACTGATTATTTTATGTTGATTTCATATCCTGCAACCTTATTGAATTTTTTATCAGTTCAAGAAGTTTTTTTAAGTCTTTAGGTTTTTCTAAATATAAGATAATGTCATCTGCAAACAAGAACAATTTAACTTCTTCCTTTTCAATCTGGATGCCCTTTATTTCTTTCCCTGTCATATTGCTCTGGCTAACACTTCCAATATTATCTTGAATAAGAGTGTTGATGTGGGCATCCTTGCCTTGTTCCAGTTGTTAGAGAGAAAGCTTCCAACTTTTACCTGTTCAGCATGATGTTGGCTGTAGGTTTGTCATATATGGCCTTTATTGTGTTGTGCTACACTTCCCCTATACCTAATTTTTGGAGGATTTTTATCATGAATAAATGTTAAATTTTATCAAATGTTTCTTCTGTGTCTATTGAGATGATAATATGGTTTTTGGTTTTTATTCTATTGATGTGATGTATCATGTTTATTGATTTGCATGGTTGAAATCTCCTTGCATCCCTGGGAAAAATCCCATTTGATCATGTCATATAATCTTTCTGACGTGCTGTTAGATTTGGTTTGCTAGCATTTTCTTGAGGATTTTTGCATCTATGTTTATCATACATATCAGCCTGTAGTTTTATTTTTACATTGTGTCCTTGCCTGGTTTTGGTATCAAGGTAATGCTGGCCTGGCCTCATAGAACAAATTAGGAATAATTTCCTTCATTCATTTTTTTTAAGTTTGAGAAAAAAATTTTTTTTTTAAAGTTTGATAGAATTCAGCCATGAAGCCCTCCTGTCCTGGGCTTTTCTTTTTTAGGAGACTTTTTTTTCAGATTCAATCTTGTTACTCATTATTGGTCTGTTCAAATTTTTTATTTCTTCCTGGTTCAATGCTGGTAGTTTGTATGTGTCCAGGAATTTATCAGTTTTCTCTAGTTTCACAAGTTGTTGGTATATAATTGTTCATAACAGTCTCTAATTATTCTTTGTATTTATGTGATATCAGTTGTAATGTCTTTATTTGTTTGTTTCTGATTTTATTTATTTGGAATGTCTCTCTTTTTTTTAGTTAATCTAGAAAATGTATTGTCAGTTTTTTAATCTTTTCAGAAAACAAACCTTTTATTTTGTTGATCTTCTGGAGTTTTAGTCTCTATTTTCTTTACTTTTGCTCTGATCATTGCTGTTTCTTTACTAATTCAGCGACTGGTTTATTCTTCCATTTCTCATTCCTTGAGATCCATTATTAGGTTTTTTATTTGAAATCTTTCTTAATGAATATAGGCATGTATTGCTATATACTTCCCTCTTAATACTATTTTTGCTCTATCCCATAAGTTCTGATGTTGTGTTTCTATTTTCATTTATTTCAGGAAATTTTTTAATTTCTTTCTGTGAATTTCTTTCTTCACCCATTGGCCATTAATTTCCATGTTTTGGTACAATTTCCATGTTTTGGTACAATTTCCAAAGTTCTGCTTGTTATTGATTTCTAGCTTTATTTCATATTTGTCAGAAAAAACACTTGATATGTTTTTAATTTTTAAACAATTTGTTGAGACTTGTTTTGTAGCCTGACTTATGGTCTATTCTGGAGAACGTCCCGTGTGCTGATAAGAATATGTATTCTGCAACCAGTGGATGAAATGTTCTGTAGACATCTGTTAGGTTTATTTGGTCTACTGTGCAATTTAAACTTGATGTTTCTTTGTTGGATTTCTGTTTAAATAATTTGCTCAATTCTCAGAGTGGGTTGTTGAAATTCCCACTCTCAGGGGAATTTCGTATTAGAGTCTATCTCTCCCTTTAGATCTGATAACATTTGCTTTACATATCAAGGTGCTCTTATGTTGGGTGCACATACATTTACAATTATTATATCTTCTTATTTAATTGACCCCTTTAGCATTATATAATGACCTTTTTGTATGTTTTTACAATTTTTTTCTTAAAGTATATTTCATCTAACTACTTCTGCTCATTTTTGGTATTCATTTTCATGAAATATCTTTTATTATCCCTTCTCTTTCAGTGTCTTCTTTCAGTGTCTTTACAGGTGAAGTGAGTTTCTTCTAGGCAGTATATAGTTGGGTATTTTTAATCGGTTCATCTAGTCTGTAACTTTTAATTTAGGAATTTAATCCATTTATTTTCAAGGTTATTATTAATTGGTGCGGACTTACTCATGTCAGTTAGTTGTCTTCTGGTTGTTTTGTATATCTCTTGTTTCTTTCTTAGTCTTTTATTTTTTATCTTTGTGGTTAGGTGGGTTTCTATGGTGATAAGATTTTATTCCTTCTTCTTTCTCATTTATATATTTTCCCTACCAGTAAGTTTTATACTTGTGTGTATTTTCACGATGGTAGTTATCACCCTTTCATGTCTGAATGTAGGGTTCCCTTAAGCATTTTTTGCAAGGCTAGTCTAGTGGTGATGAATTTCCTCAGTTTTCGCTTGTCTAAAAAACTTTAATTCTCCTTCATATATGAATGATAGCTTTGCTGATCATAGTATTCTTGGCTGAGTTTTTTTTCTTTCAGCACTTTAAATATATTATCCCATTTTCTACTGACCTGTAAGTGTCGTGCTGAGAAAGCTGTTGTTAGTCTAATGGATATTTCCTTGCATATGACTTGATGCTTTTCTTTGTTGTTTTTATAATTCTGTCTTTGACTTTTTGGAATTTGACTATGACTTGCCTCAGAGAGGGCCTTTTTGGGTTGAATCACAGATTCTCTTTTTGAATCTGGATGACCATATTTCTCCCAAGGCTTGGAATTTTTTGGTTATTATTTCATTAAATACGTTTTCTATGTCTTTTCCCATTTCCTTTTCTTCTTTAACTACATAACATTTGTTCACTTGATGGTGTCCCATAAACCCCATAGGCTTTCAATATTTGTGTTTGTTTGTTTTTGTCTCACTGGGTTATTTCAAAAGACCTCTCTCTATATATATATATATGTGTGTGTGTATATACATATATATATATGTGTGTGTATATATATATATGTGTGTGTGTGTGTGTGTGTGTGTGTGTATAGATAGATAGATAGATAGATAGATAGATAGATAGATAGATAGATAGATATACTTCAAGTTCTGGGATATATGTGCAGAACATGCAGGTTTGTTACTTAGGTACACATATGCCATAGTGGTTTGCGGCACCCATCAACCCGTCATCTATATTAGGTATTTCTCCTAATGCTATCCCTCCCCTAGACTCCCACCCACCGACAGGCCCCAGTGTGTGATGTTCCCCTCTCTGTGTCCATGTGTTCTCATTGTCCAACTCCCACTTGTGAGTGAGAACATGCAATGTTTGGTTTTCTGTTCTTGTATTAGTTTGCTGAGAATGATGGTTTCCAGCTTCAGTCACATGCACATGTATGTTTATTGCAGCACTGTTCACAATAGCAAAGACTTGGAATCAACCCAAATGCCCAACAATGATAGCCTGAAAAAAGAAAATGTGGCACATATACACCTTGGAATACTATGCAGCTATAAAAAAAGACCTGTCTTAAAGTTCAGAAATTCTTTCTTCTGTGTGATCTAGTCATTGTTTAAGCTCTTAATTGTATTTCTATTTTATTCACTGATATTATTTAGCCACAAGATTTCTGTTTGGTTTTTTAAATGATATCTACCTCTTTGTTGAATTTTTCATTCAGATCATAAATTGCTTTCCTGATTTCATTGAATTGTCTATTTATTTTCTCTGTATGTCTCTGAGTTTCCTTAAGATCACTATTTGAATTCCTTTTCAGGCATTTTATCGATTTTCTTTTCTTTGGGGTCTGGTACTAGAAAATTATTGTGTTCCTTTGGATGTATTATATTTCCTTGATTTTTCATAGTTTTTTATATCTCTCAATATCTGCACATCTGGTGGAAGTTGCCTCTTCCAATTTTATGGAGTAGTTTTCATAGGGAAAGACTTTTTCCTATAGATGTGTCCTACACTGTTGATTGGGTAAGGCACTTTGGCTTTGGTTCTGGGTGGGTGCAGTAGCATAGTCTCCCTGTGATTTCTTGACTGTTATCAATGTCAGCAGTATCTGCAAATGCCTCAGTGGCTTAGACTGTGGGTGTTTGTGGAAGCAACGGTGTGGCTTTGCTGGGGCTGGGGGCTCCCAATCAGGCTACTTCTCAAGCCCTGGTGGAGTTGGGGTGTGCCAGGCACAGTGGATACACTGGTTGTGGGGGCAAGGTTATTGGCGGTAGCATGCATCCGGTGGGCTGTATCCAAGTCACTGAAGAGTGCAAACAATGCACTGTGGCTCAGGCAGTTCAGAGAGTGAGAATGCTGGCAGTTGCAGGCATTGGACAAGTTCTTGTGCCAGTTCTCAGACCTTGTGGAAAGTATGTGTCAGCTGTCTCAGTCTTAGGGGCATCCTCTTCACTGTGTTGAGCTGCCCATTACTTGGAGCATAGGGTGCTGTGTGTATTCAGGTTGTACAGCTGTGTTGCAGCTGTACTGCTGGGTCTAGCTGGGTCCATGGCATTTCAGCTTTTTGTGAGGGTGTGGTGAAATGATAGCACAACCCCAAGAATGTGGAGATGCAGATGATATTTGGCTCCAGAACAGAATGGATTCCAGCAGTGGTTCTGTTTTTAAAATGGCACCAAGCCATAAAAACTTGCATTCCAGGGAGTGTGTTGTGGTGGAGTGTGGGGAGGAACTAGCATGAGTTCCTTCTCTGGAGTAATGCACCCACATGAACTCCAGGCAGCTTCCTGCAATGGGCTCAAAGCCTGCCAAGATTATGAGGCTCTGCTGTAGCTGGAATTGCAAGTATTCACATTGGTAATGGGTAATTCTGGAGATCTTTTCCCCAGCTTACCTTTTTCCCCACAATGGAAAGTCTTTCTTGGTTCCAAGCCAATTTCAGCTGGGTGTTTTTGCTTCCTTGTCTATGTTGTCATCTTGAGTTTCTGTGCTTCAGAGGGTTTTCATCTCTTCCTTGCTGAGTTCCAGTGTTCTCCCTTAGACACTCTATTCAAGGTACAGTTATTTATGTGTTGTTTTGGTTCTTCTTTATGGAGTAGGTGAGTGTTGGCACCTTTAGTCAGCCATCTTGATGACCCTGTTCCTTCCAATCTTGACCTCATGCTTACAGAGCCCACACCCTAAAAATCTACATTGTTTTATATTTAAAAAAATACCTTTTTACTCTACAAGTGGTAAAGGATTAAGGCATGCCTAAAATGGCAGAGTCATTGTCCCTCTCAAAATAACATGAGGTTTTGATATTTTATGACACCACCATGGTCTCTACCTTCTCCAAACTTCTATTTAAATAGTTCTACTTGCATTTACTACTATTAATATATAATTAATTTTCAGCACCTTTTTAAAAAGGTGTTTGAAATATGAGAGGTGATTTTCAACATGTGGCAGTCATTTCTGTACTTCTTCCATTATGTTGCAAAATAAGGACCAATCTCTCAGATCTTATTTCTTGTACTATTAAGTGCTCAGAAACTTTCTGTGTAACTTGTGAAATATCAGGAGCAGTCTTTATCCTAACCATGGGAAAATGCTTTTCTAAGACTGGCGCATATGTTACAAAAATTAGACCAAAGATAAGCTAATGGACTCAGCAGGAAAGAAAAATTAGCAATGCTGATCAGTCAGGGTTCTGTTTAAATTCTGACTGCCAATTCTCATTGTGGCTTGAACTCCTGTCTGTATTTATTGTAGGCCCAAATGCCTATTAGTTCTGTGTTTCTCAATAGGGACCCAAGCTCAGTCAACATTTTCATAGCAATAGTGAACTGTAATAAGCACCATTTATGCTACTGCCCAAGTCACAAAGACCTTCTATTTCTGAGAATTCACCTCCTCTCCTGCTGCCCTGGCAAACATGTTTGTGTTTCTGACTCTACATCTCTGTCTGTGGTTGCTGGAACCAAAATGGATGCCTGACCCAAGCTCGTTGTTTTTGAACTAGGATTCTGAGACAGTCTTTTCATGTGGTTGCAACCGAGGAGATGTAAACTCAAGACCTTGAAAATAGTCATCATTTTCCCACTGCAGTAGAGAGAAGCAGGGCAAGCAATTGGCGGAGAGAGAATAAAAACAGATGTACAAAGAGGCAAAAATGAGAGGAGAATAAGGACTGCCTAGGTTCCTGCTCACTTTCCAATTCTTAATTCCAGTCCCTTCAGAGCCCCACTGCTCCTGGATTCCAAGAACTACCTAAGTGTCTTTTTAACAATGACCCATTTTTGCTTAAGCCCACTCATGCTGGTTACTTGCAATAAACAGTTTGTGCTAAGATTTAAACATTATAGTTACAGTTGAGCAAATAAGGCTACACTACCCAAAAGAATGAAAAATAAGACACTACCTAAGTTATTTACCAATTATTTTTCCCTGGTTTGTATAATAAATCTAAAAATAGTACTAAAACTCTTCATAAAGAATTCTGATTGCATACTGTCAAGCTTTGCCACCCAGGTTCCCACCTGTTCATCTGTCAATGTATCCTGCCCTCTGTTTCTTCCCTAAGCACATGGCTTATCAAGTTATTTTCCAGATCTGAAATTTTGACCAGTCCTTCATTGTCTTCAGAATAAATCTGATTCTTCTTATGACATTTGTCATCAGACAACCATCAGCCTTTCTCCCTCAGCTCTTTTACTATCCTTCACTCAGCCTACTCACACCTACAAATAAAGGACTCTTGGTATCCTATGATATGATCATTATGCTGGTGTTTTCTATGGCTACACTGATCAATATGATTGTCACTATTCATGTGTGGCTGTTTGCATTTAAATTGATTAAAATTAAACAAAATTAGAAGTTCATTCTTAAGTCACACCAGCCATATTTCAAGTGTTCAATCGGCATATGTGGCTAGTTGCTACCATATGGGATGAGACAGATATTGAACAATTTCAACACTGCAGAATGTGCTACTGGACAACATTTCTGTAAAGTGCCCTTTCTTCTCCCATCTCTACCTGTCCAATCCTCCTTATCCTTTCAGGTCACCATCTTAACTGCCACATTCTTTCCACATGAAAGCCATATAGCCCTCGGTATAATAGAATTCCAGAATCTTTCATCTTTTCAATCTCTACTGGTTAAACATCCAGGCTCTGAATCCTGGCTGGAAACCTCTTCCCTGCTCACAAGCTGTGTGACGTTGAACAATTTACTTAACCTGTCTGTGCTCACTTTCTTCATCTGTAAAATAGAGATGATAATAATATTTTTCCAGTTGCCTTGTTATAAGCATTAAAGTTATTCATATATATATATATAAATATATATATATATATATATATATATATATAAATGTACAGTATTAATGTGTGTAAAGGCTTAGACCAGAGTCTGACACAAAGTAAGCTCCCATGGAGTGGTCCCTGTGAGCAGCAGTGACAGTACAGATCTTTTATCATTTAGGTACAAGTCTTTCCTAGTCTTTCTTCTACATTCTCCCTTCCTTGAATGAATGATGCAAGTCTAATGTGGACTTATAACAGAAATAAAAGAACGACTCCAGAGGAAGAATGTACAGAAATAATTATGATAAACATAAAAAAGTCTAAGGACCATTAAAGTTAGTATCTAATTTAGACATTGGCATTTAAAGAGCTCTTTTTCAAAGAGCCCTTGTTTCTAGCACCTAACATATGTGGAAATGACAATGCCGACCTTGTACGTTTGCATGGCAATTGCTAACAACTGATAAGACTTCACTCCTAACACTCACTGCTTGGCTGCCACTGGCTTCTGACACACATGCCCTAGGGAAGTGCAGAGAAGTGAACTGTAAGAGAGGTCAAAGAGACAACCAGCTTTGATTGGAAGTGGCAGGCCTTTTGCTCTTTTAAGGCACCTCATGCCGCAGTTTTCAGGCCAACTTTAATGGGCTTTTAACAACAGCATTTATACTCAAGACTCAACTTGCCCTGCTGATCAGCTTTCAAAGGCATTCTCTTCTAAGAAGGCCTGAACACCTTTGAATGCAGGCCCTCTTAGCACTAAGATCACAAAAAACAAAGAGGAAAATGAGAAGAAAAAGAAAGGGAACTGGGCCAGGTGTGGTGGCTCATGGCTGTAATCCCGGCACTTTGGGAGGCCAAGGCGGGCAGATCACTTGAGGCCAGGAGTTCAAGACCAGCCTGGCCAACACAGTGAAACTCTGTCTCTACTAAAACTACAAAAATTAGTCGGGCATGGTGGTACTCACCTGAAGTTCCAGCTACTTGGGAGGTTGAAGGAGAATCGCTTGAACCCAGCAGGCGGAGGTTGCAGTGAGCTGAGATCACACCACTGCACTCCCGCCTGGGTGACAGAGCAAGACTCAGTCTCAAAAAAAATAGAAAATATAAAAATTAAAAATGAATAATTTAAAAAAATCAAGAAAAAGAAAGGGAACTAACATTGCTGGGTTCCAGGCTACCTACAGGCCAGGTGCATCTGTTGGTTTTTCATCCTCATTCAATTTATGCTTCCTTTGATAATAAATGAGTAAGTAAAATGAGACTTAAAAGCATGCAGAAACTCTTGTATTTCATCCCACCACTAGTAAAACATGGCCCAGTAAAAATTTTCTGAATCATCTCTAAGATCTAGAGGTTTTAAGTATGGGATCTGACAACCTAAAAAGACTGGATTTTCACTTTGTTCATTTATTCACTGGTATGCTCACAGAATTGTTCTAGCCACTGGAGATAATAGCAAGAGATAAAACAAAGTGCCTCATATACCACATGGAATACTATGCAGCCATAAAAAGAATGAGTTTGTGTCCTTTGCAGGGACAAGGATGCAGCTGGAAACCATCATTCTCTGCAAACTAACACAGGAACAGAAAACCAAACACCACATGTTCTCACTCATAAGTGGGAGTTGAACAATGAGAACACACGGACACAGGGAGGAGACATCTCACCCCGGGAACTGTCAAGAGGGTTGGGGGCAAGGGGAGGGAGGGCATTAGGGCAAATACCTAATGCATGCGGGGCTTAAAACCTAGATGATGGGTTGAAAGGTGCAGCAAACCACCATGGCACATGTATACCTACGTAACAAACCTGCATGTTCTGTACATGTATCCCAGAACTTAAAGTTAAAAAAAAAAAAAACAGTGCCTAGAGGAATAAGTTTTCATGATCTATTGCACAACATGTCAACTATAGTTAATAATAATGTATTCTACAATTGAAAGTTACTAAAAGAGTAGATTTTAAATGTTCTCACTATGAAAAAATGGTAAGTAGGTAAAGTGATAGATATGTTGATTAGCTTGATTTAAACATTTTACAATGTATACATATATCAAAATGTCACATTGTACTTAATAAATATATACAATTATTCGTCAATAAAAATATTTTTTAAACATGTCTAAACTCATGGAGTTTTTTCTCTTCCTTCCTTCCTTCCCAGAAATATTTGTTGAGCACCTACTACAAGCCAGATATGGTTACAGTTGCTGGGAATAGATCTATGTACAAAATAATCCATCAAGAAACTCATGTTCTAACAGGAATAGACAGTAAATAAGTAAATTATATAATATTACAATAAATAAATAATATACTATTAGAAGGTGGTAAGTGCTGTGGAAAAAACAGAGCAGAATAAGGAACAATTTGAGTGGTGATGGTAGGGGGGCAGTAACTGCAACTTGAATGGGGTGGTCAGGATAAGCTTTATTAAGAAAGGTAGCAAAGACCTTTCTTATGCAAAGGTGCTAAAGGAGTGGGAGATGAAAATGTCTGAGGAAGAGTGTTGCAGACAGAGAGAACATCCTGTGCAAAGGCTCGGAGGTATCTGTATTTAAAACACGGATTTGAAATATTACAACAGTGGTTCTCAGTGTGATCTGGGGACTCCTTGGGGTGCTGAAGATCCTTTCAGAGTCTGCAAGGTCAAAATTCTTTCTTAATAATACTGACATGTTATTTGCCTTTTTCATTCTCATCTCCTCACAAGGGTATAGTGGAGTTTCCCAGGAGCCACATGACATGTGATGGCATGAGCACTAGGACCGCTAAGAAACATGTGCTTCTGATTACTGTGTTTTTAAAGCTTCTCAGTTTTTGTTTCGCCTCCATGGTCTAATAACTAGATATGGATAACACCAGAAGGCTCTATTACAGTTGTCCATTCAGAAATGACTTTCCTACTTGCAGAAATAAATTGAGTAAGTTCTGAGCATCTAATGTACAGCATAAATATAATGTACAGCATGACTATACTTAATAATGTTGTATTGTACACGTATAATTTGCTAGGAGAGTAGATCTTAAGCATTATCATAACACACACAAAAAATGGTGATACATGTGTTAATTAGCTTGACCCTGATAATTATTTTACAATGTATACATATATCAAGTCACTACATTGTACACCTTAAATATATACAATTTTTATTTGTCAATTACACCTCAATAAAGCTGGAGGAGAAATGACTTCCCCAAAGTCACAGGACTAAGCAAGGACATTGACAGGATGGACACCAGGTTTGCCCAACTCCAAAATCCACACTCTTCCCACCACAACCCACTCTGCCAGAAAGGACTCTTTTGAAAATTAAAGAAAGCTCATCTCAGATCCAAATGGTTGCTGAGTAAAATCTGACTCAGAAGCACTTCTGAGGGCACTATCCAGAATCTGTTCAGAGGAAGCTCAAAGGAATGTGATCACACATAGCACATCACAGAAGGGCTTTGTATTAGTCCTTTTTCACACTGCTGATAAAGACATACCTGAAACTCGGTAATTTATAAATGAAAGAGGTTTAATTTACTCGCAATTCCACATGGCTGGGGAGGCCTCACAATCATGGCAGAAGAGGAAGGAAGAGCAAAGGGATGTCTTACATGGCGGCCAGCAAAAAGACAAATGAGAACCAAGTGAAAGGGGAAACACCTTATAAAACCATCAGATTTCACTGGACTTATTCACTACCATCAGAACAATATGGTGGAAACTGCCCCCATGATTCAATTGTATCCCACCAAGTTCCTCTCACAACACATGGGAATTATGGGAGCTAAAATTCAAGGTGAGATTTGGGTGGGGACACAGCCAAATCACATCAGGCTTCTCCCCAGATTGAAGACCAAGGTGACTTAAGCATGTCTTCAAAATGAAAACATCACATCAGATGCTCTGGGAATGCCTCCTCTCAGCAGCATTCTCTGCTTATTGTCAATAACCCACCCACAATTCTTGGGGCCAGGACTGCTGGGAAAAAGTCAACCACTCTGTTCCCTTACCTCTAGTAACATCAAATATCTGGTTTATGTCTCTTTTATTGTACAGCTGCAAAAGGCAGCATCATTGCTCTGGCATTCTGACACTTGAGCAAAGTCCAAGATCAAATATAACCTGTGTGCCCAGAGGACCCACTTCTGCTCACTCAGACTATCCAGGAAATACTATGGTTTTTCCCCCATCCTGCAACTGGAGGGCCTCTGTGAACAACAAATAGTTTCTTTGTAGACAAGAGCCTGGTAGAAACAAGAATCTTTTGATAAATCTCTCAAAGACAACGAAAGTGCTCACAAGAGGACTCTGCAGAGGATCTCATTTTAAACATATGCTCTATAAAATGGAAGCCAAAAACCTAAGTGGGTGTATGCTTTAGGGGAACTATGGTAGTTTATACTTTGTTGCTTTAGAAGAGCTCATTCATTTCAATGCAAGTGCATAAAACTACATTTCCTGACTTCCTCAAGCTACCTTCAGCACATCTTTGGTGGCAAGGTGGCACAGAAGAAGAATCCTGTCTTTGGGAACCAAAGTCCCAAGTTCAAGGCCAAGTGCTTCATTCTAGCTACAAGACCAGAGCAGAATGGCTCAGTTGATTCATGTATACATAAGGGTAAAATTACTGCTCATTGCAAACTTGAATTAAATGAAAACTAAAATGACTCATAGTGAAACACCTGGCAGAATGCCTGGTCTAAAGTGGCAATTCAATATGCAGTAATTGTCTTCTTAGTTACACTGATTATCACTGATTTTTTTAAAAACAGTTATAGGCAGTGAAGTCAAGATGACATCACAGGGTGACCAGCCAGTTGCGGGCCCTCATGGGGCATCTCCTTCTGGAAAGCATCACGATCCCGGCTCTGGTCATCAGTCTTTGAGGTTTAGAAACTGGTTCAGCACAGCCAGAGAATCCATCTCTTGCTGATACACTGGATGGATGGTATGAAAGTTAATTCCCTGTCGACTGCATCATGGGGTGCCAAGATTAAACTTTATTTCGGGGTGTGCCTGTGAGGGGGTTTCTGAATGAGTCTGGCATTTAAATTGGTGGATCAATAAAGTAGATTGTCCTCCCCAATGTGGGCTGGTATCATCCAATGTGTTGATAACAAAAAGGCAGAAGAAAGAGGAATTTGCCCCTTTTGCTTCCTGCCTGTCTGAGTTTGGACATGGGTCTTCTCTTGCCCTTGGACTAAAACCTACACTATTGACTTCTCTGGTTTTCAGGCCTTGGGACCCAGACTGGAACTATTCCACTGGCTTTTCCTAGGTCTCCAGCATGCAGACAGCAGATATGGGACTTCTCAGTCTCCCTAATCATGTGAACCAACCTCATAATAAATCTCTTAGTGTGTGTGTGTGTGTGTGTGTGTGTGTGTGTGTGTGTGTGTGTCCCATTGTTTCTGTTTCTCTGGAAAACCTTGACTAATAACAATTTCTTTATCCTGTGGTCACTTTCTCTTTTTTTGAGGCAGGGTCTTTCTCTGTTGCCCAGGCTAGAATGCAGTGGCACAACCACAGCTCACTGCAACCTCTACCTCCCTGGTTCAAGTAATCCTCCCACTTCAGCCTCCCAAGTAGCTGGGACCATAGGAGCAAACCACCATGCCTGGCTAATTTTTTTATTTCTTGTAGAGACAGGGTTTCTCCATGTTGCCCAGGCTGGGCTGGAACTCTTGGCCTCAAGTGACCCACCCACTTTGGCCTCCCAAAGTGCTGGGATTACCTTGTGGTCATTTTCTTAATTTGCAAATAAGCTTATCCTTTTACTGGGATGAGACAAAAGCATCCCTTTCCTAAATATCAAGGATCAGCCATCAAAATCATCACATGGTCATGAGAACAAAGTACAGAAGGTCTCAAGCCAGATGTCGCCTAGACTACTGTCCTCCAATAATTACATTTGCATTTAATTTTTGTGTTTTCACTTAGATTATAGTCTTTAAAACATAAATGTATATTCTAGATTTGCACTACCACATGTGGATACTAACATTTTAAATTCATATTAATTAAAATTATTAATAAAGTTTAAATTCTAGTTCTATCCCATTGGCCACAGTACAAGGGCTCAACAGCCACATGTGGCTGGTGGCTGCTGCACCCCTCAGTGCAGAAAGTTCTATCAGACAGGGCTGTTCTCAGTCATCTGGATTGTTTGGACAACACGTGTTGCCATAAGATTTCAGACCTCCAATTAGGATTTGTGTTTACTGACAAATTAGAGCTCAATAATACCACTTTGACAAAGAACTTAAAGAGAACCAAGTATCTAATCAGCATAATACATTCCCTTCAGCAGCCATATTAAAAGGTGCCATAGTACCATATTGGTGGGAGAACAGGGGTGACACCAGGTAGGGGAAGGGACATGGTAAAGTATCTGCAACCACTGCAGTAGGAGCAGCAGCAAAGGTATCATCTGTGGCTTCTCAAGCCACCCGAGCCTGACAGCGAAATAGAGTCCACAATAACAGTGAGAAAACAGGACTGTCAGGCTCTGCGGGAGCCCCTGCCTTCTAAATTCCTTCCAACTCATTCAGAAAGTCACAGAGTGTCTCCTGTGTGCCTGAAAACATACAGGCTGTTGTTTGGAAAGCAAGTCCTCTTGGCTGTGGGACAGAGCCTGTCATGCTGTCTTCCCCTGCTGCACCCGCTCAGGTGACACCCTCTGCCACTTCCTGCTCCAGGTGATGGATCCCCTGGCTCACACTCAGGCCCCTGTGCCTAACCCCAGCCTGGAGAAGCCAGATTGCTGCCTCCTAAGGTAGAAGAAATACCTACTATCTGTATGGCTTTGTCTCATTAAGCAACATCTTTCAGGCATTTCAGCAACAAGTAATTTTACTTTATTTTTAATTGTTGTATCTTTCTCTTTTCAGACACCATCATAAGAGCCCAGCAAGAAACAGGGCAAGAAGACTAACCAAGTGCTAAGTACCATGCTACACTCACCCATCCACTCCACACCTAAAGTCCTTGAAAATTAATGAGCATCTTCATTTTCTTTTCCATTGAGGTACATTCCTTCAGGCTGAGTTGGGGAAAAATATAAATAGAAACAAACTAAGAATCCAAGATTCCCTCCATATAGAACTGTTAAATATACATTTATACAAGAAGGAAAGAAAACAAATTAGCTGTGGTTATATCTTGGGCAGTGGGGTTCAATTGTTTGACAAGTATTTATTGAGTGCTTTCTAGGTGCCAAGTACAATTTAAGTTATTGAAGATATGGCAGTGAAACACAACAGAGCAACATGTCTAACTTTATGGAATTCAGCGGGGAGAGACAAGCAGCAAAATACATAGTTAGTGTATCAGATTGTTCCATGTACCACGGTTGAGGCAGAAGAATAGGGTCTGGAGGCAGGGAACCTAAGGCTGATTCACACTGACTTCCTAGAACTAAATTGAAAGGAAAACACCAACTTTTCACACCTAAGTAACAAAAGGACCAGAGGCTACTCCCTGTGCAACTCCCTCCCTCCCCTTTTACTGCATGGCAGATGGAAAATTGAAAGTCCCTCTGATTGGTTGCTTTCCACAACCAGTCAGACAAATTGTGTGCCAAGTCTTCATTTGCATAGGCGTGTAACTTTATAACTTCAATTTATCCTCTAATTGGCAATTAGACATTTGCATGGGTATAACTTTGTAACTTCAGCCTCTGATTGGTTGCTTTCCACAATCAATCAGACTGATCTCAGGCCACTACTTAATTTGCATGGGGTGTACATCAAGTGGCCAATGGAAAACTTCTAGAGAATATTTGGACCTCAGAAGACCCTGTAACCAGGGCCCTTGAGCTGTTGATCAGCCCACTCCTACCCTATGGAGTATACTTTCATTTTCAGTAAATCTCTGCTTTCATTGCTTCATTCTCTCCTTGCTTTCCTGTGCATTTTGTCCAATTCATTGTTCAAAACACCAAGAACCTGGACAACTTGTAGTCAAGACACTCCACCAATATCATGGAGAAACATGAAGCTGAGATGGAAGCTGGGGCCAGATGTGAAGGTGGAGGGGAAAGGTGAGTGCTATTGCAAACAACATTCAGCAAGGACCCCGCTGACAAGAGAGCATTTGCGCATAGGGCTGAAAAAGGTAAGGGAGCATCCCCAGACCAGTGGAGATTGTAAAATTCCTTCTTGGCCCTCTCTCCTTAAAATCCTCTAGAATCACTTTTGACTTTCAAGTATCACCACCTCCCAAGATTTTGTTGAGCTTGTTTTCAGGAATTTCCATTAACAAAACAGTGTCCTGAGTTGTTTTGTTTTGTTTTTGTAGCACTCCAAATTTGGTACATTCTTTCACATGAACCAGTGACTTCCTAGAAATGCTGATAGCCTCTCTGTCCCGCAAATAGCTGTCTTATCAAAAGCAATATTCATGGCAGGTTATATTTTTCCAAAGCCCTCTTCAGGCTTCTGTCTTTTTGAAACATCTGATGTTTCACATTCTATCTCACTCATAGACTTGCTTACCTATGTAAAATCTTATTAGGGAGAGTCAGCATCAGTCAGAAAAATACACTCCAGGTTACTGTAGACTTCTAGTATAGTTTGAAGTCAGGTAGCGTGATGCCTCGATCTTTGTTCTTTTGGCTTAGGATGGACTTGGCGATGCGGGCTCTTTTTTGGTTCCATATGAACTTTAAAGTAGTTTTTTCCAATTCTGTGAAGAAAGTCATTGGTAGCTTGATGGAGATGGCATTGAATCTATAAATTACCTTGGGCAGTATGGCCATTTTCATGATATTGATTCTTCCTACCCATGAGCATGGAATGTTCTACCATTTGTTTGTATCCTCTTTTATTTCATTGAGCAGTGGTTTGTAGTTCTCCTTGAAGAGGTCCTTCACATCCCTTGTAAGTTGGATTCCTAGGTATTTTATTCTCTTTGAAGCAATTGTGAATGGGAGTTCACTCATGATTTGGCTCTCTGTTTGTCTGTTATTGATGTATAAGAATGCTTGTGATTTTTGTACATTGATTTTGTATCCTGAGACTTTGCTGAAGTTGCTTATCAGCTTAAGGAGATTTTGGGCTGAGACAATGGGGTTTTCTAGATATACAATCATGTCATCTGCAAACAGGGACAATTTGACTTCCTCTTTTCCTAATTGAATGCCCTTTATTTCCTTCTCCTGCCTAATTGCCCTGGCCACAACTTCCAACACTATGTTGAATAGGAATGGTGAGAGAGGGCATCCCTGTCTTGTGCCAGTTTTCAAAGGGAATGCTTCCAGTTTTTGCCCATTCAGTATGATATTGGCTGTGGGTCTGTCATAGATAGCTCTTATTATTTTGAGATACATCCCATCCATACCTAATTTATTGCGAGTTTTTAGCATGAAGCGTTGTTGAATTTTGTCAAAGGCCTTTTCTGCATCTATTGAGATAATCAATGGAACAGAACAGAGCCCTCAGAAATAATGCCGCATATCTACAACCATCTGATCTTTCACAAACCTAACAAAAACAAGCAATGGGGAAAGGATTCCCTATTTAATAAATGGTGCTGGGAAAACTGGCTAGCCATATGTAGAAAGCTGAAACTGGATCCCTTCCTTACTCCTTATACAAAAATTAATTCAAGATAGATTAAAGATTTACATGTTAGACCTAAAACCATAAAAACCCTAGAAGAAAACCTAGGCAATACCATTCAGGACATAGGCATGGGCAAGGACTTCATGTCTAAAACACCAAAAGCAATGGCAACAAAAGACAAAATTGACAAATGGGATCTAATTAAACTAAAGAGCTTCTGCACAGCAAACGAAACTACCATCAGAGTGAACAGGCAACCTACAAAATGGGAGAAAATTTTCACAACCTACACATCTGATAAAGTGCTAATATCCAGAATCTACAATGAATTCAAACAAATTTACAAGAAAAAAACAAACAATCCCATCGAAAAGTGGGCAAATGATATGAACAGACACTTCTCAAAAGAAGACATTTATGCAGCCAAAAAAACACATGAAGAAATGCTCATCATCACTGGCCATCAGAGAAATGCAAATCAAAACCACAATGAGATACCATTTCACACCAGTTAGAATGGCGATCATTAAAAAGTCAGGAAACAACAGGTGCTGGAGAGGATGTGGAGAAATAGGAACACTTTTACACTGTTGGTGGGACTGTAAACTAGTTCAACCATTGTGGAAGACAGTGTGGCGATTCCTCAGGGATCTAGAACTAGAAATACCATTTGACCCAGCCATCCCATTACTGGGTATATACCCAAAGGATTATAAATCATGCTGCTATAAAGACACATGCACACGTATGTTTATTGCAGCATTATTCACAATAGCAAACACTTGGAACCAACCCAAATGTCCAACAACGATAGACTGCATTAAGAAAATGTGGCACATATACACCATGGAATACTATGCAGCCATAAAAAATGAAGAGTTCATGTCCTTTGTAGGGACATGGATGAAACTGGAAACCATCATTCTCAGCAAACTATCGCAAGGACAAAAAACCAAACACCACATGTTCTCACTCGTAGGTGGGAATTGAACAATGAGAACACATGGACACAGGAAGGGGAACATCACACTCTGGGGACTGTTGTGGGGTGGGGGGAGGGGGGAGGGATAGCATTAGGAGATATACCTAATGCTAAATGACGAGTTAATGGGTGCAGCACACCAACATGGCACATGTATACATATGTAACAAACCTGCACATTGTGCACATGTACCCTAAAACTTAAAGTATAATAATAATAATAATAACTAAAAAATAAAAATAAAATAAAAAATAAAAAAAAAGAAAAATACACTCCAGGTATTTCACATAAAAAGGGAGATAGATGCTAACAAAATCCTTAGAAGAGACGAGGAGGAAAGAACTAGAGAGAGCTCCCTCCAGCTCTCAGATTCTCCCCAGCTTTTGGAGGACCTGGAAGTTGAAAAAGTCACAGAACGGCTCTGGAGTCACTCCGGCACAGCGTTTGTGCTGCCTGTGTGTTGGAGAGCCAGCCTACCTTGCTCTTTAATACGTGTAAGCCTTTTCTTTTCAAGATGCCTGAGGAAGTGCACCTTGGAGAGAAGGAGGTGGAGACTTTTGCCTTTCAGGCAGAAATTGCCCAACTCATGTCTCTTATCATCAATACCTTCTATTCCAACAAGGAGATTTTCCTTTGGGAGTTGATCTCTAATGCTTCTGATGCCTTGGACAAGATTCGCTATGAAAGCCTAACAGACCCTTCCAAGTTGGACAGTGGTAAAGAGCTGAAAATTGACATCATCCCCAATACTCAGGAACATACCCTGACTTTGGTAGACACAGGCATTGGCATGACCAAAGCTGATCTCATAAATAATTTGGGAACCATTGCCAAGTTTCGTACGAAAGCATTCATGGAGGCTTTTTAGGCTGGCGCAGACATCTCCATGATTGGGCAATTTGGTATTGGCTTTTATTCTGCCTACCTGGTAGCAGAGAAAGTGGTTGTGATCACAAAGCCCAATGATGATGGCATGCCTGAGAGTCTTCTGCTGGAGGTTCCTTCACTGTGTGTGCTGACCATGGTGAGCCTATTGGTAGGGGTACCAAAGTGATCCTCCACCTTAAAGAAGATCAGACAGAGTACTTAGAAGAGATGCAGGTCAAAGAAGTAGTGGAGAAGCACTCTCAGTTCCTAGGCTATCCCATCACCCTTTATCTGGAGAAGGAACGAGAGAAAGAAATTAGTGATGGTAAGGCAGAGGAAGAGAAAGGTGAGAAAGAAGAGGAAAATAAAGATGACGAAGAAAAGCCCAAGATCGAAGATGTGGGTTCAGATGAGGAGGATGACAGTGGTAAGGATAAGAAGAAGAAAACTAAGAAGATCAAAGAGAAATACATTGATCAGGAAGAACTAAACAAGACCAAGCCTATTTGGACCAGAAACACTGAAGACATCACCCAAGAGGAGTATGGAGAATTCTATAAGAGCCTCACCAATGACTGGAAAGACCACTTGGCAGTCAGGTACTTTTCTGTAGAAGGTCAGTTGGAATTCAGGGCATTGCTATTCATTCCTCCTTAGGCTCCCTTTCATCTTTTTGAGAACAAGAAGAAAAAGAACAACATCAAACTCTATGTCCATCGTGTGTTCATCAGGGACAGCTGTGTTGAGTTGATACCAGAGTGTCTCAACTTTATCCGTGGTGTGGTTGACTCTGAGGATTTCCCCTGAACATCTCCTGAGAAATGCTCCAGCAGAGCAAAATCTTCAAAGTCATTCACAGAAACATTGTTAAGAAGTGCCTTGAGCTCTTCACTGAGCTGGTGGAAGACAAGGAGAATTACAAGAAATTCTATGAGGCATTCTCTAAAAATCTCAAGCTTGGAATCCACAAGGACTCCACTAACTGATGCCACCCGTCTGAGCTGCTGTGTTATCACACCTCCCAGTCTGGAGATGAGATGATATCTTTGTTAGAGTATGTTTCTCGCATGAAGGAGATACAGAAGTCCATCTATTACATCACTGGTGAGAGCAAAGAGCAGGTTGCCAACTCAGCTTTTGTGGAGCAAGTATGGAAGCGGGACTCCAGGGTGGTATATATGACCGAGCCCATTGATGGCTACGTGTGCAGCAACTCAAGGAGTTTGATGGGAAGAGCCTGGTCTCAGTTACCAAGGAGGGCCTGGAGCTACCTGAGGATGGGGAGGAGAAGAAGAGAATGGAAGAGAGGAAGGCAAAGTTTGAGAACCTCTGCAAGTTCATGAAAGAAACTTTAGATAAGAAGGTTGAGATGGTGACAGTCTCCAACAGGCTTGTGTCTTCATCCTGCTGCATTGTGACCAGCACCTACAGCTGGACAGCCAATATGGAGCAGATCATGAAAGCCTAGGCACTTCGGGTCACCTCCACCGTGGGCTATATGATGGCCAAAAAGCACCTGGAGATCAACCCCAACCACCCCATTGTGGAGACGCTGCGGCAGAAGGCTGAGACACACAAGAATGACAAGGCAGTCAAGGACCTGGTGGTGCTGCCGTTAGAAACTGCCTTGCTGTCTTCTGGCTTTTCCCTTGAGGATCCCCAGACCCATTCCAACCACATCTACTGCATGATCAAGCTAGGTCTAGGTATCGATGAAGATTAAGTGACAGCAGAGGAACACAGTGCTGTGGTTCCTGATGAGATCACCCCTCTTGAGGGTGACGAGGATGTGTGATGCATCTCGCATGGAAGAAGTAGATTAGGAGTTCATAGTTGGAAAACTCACCATTGTATAGTGTCCCCATGGATCCCATGGCATCATCGAGTGCCCACTTTGCTCCCCCTGCTGATGTCTAGTGTTTTTTTTTTCTCTCCTGTCCTTGTGTTGAAGGCAAGAAACAAGGGTGTCAAGCCCCCATTCCCTCCTTACTCTGATAGCAAGATTGGATGTTATATATTATGAGGCTTTTTGTTTATTTTGTTCATTTTGTTCTGAAATTACAGTATGCAAAATAAAGAATATGTCATTTTTATACAAAAAGAAGTCTCAGAACAATCACTGATAGAACAACTGCCAGCAGCAAGAGACAGGTCATTCGAGGTTAACACCTGCAGGCCACTGCAGAGGCTCACAAGCAAAGGCCAAAACCCATGCATCTGCCCACAACTGCCAGAGGAGCAATAATATTGATTTTGCTTCTGCTCTTCTTCTTTTTTTGGACTATTTTATAAAACTACTTTTAATTGAACATATTCATGGGGTACATAGTAATGTTTCTATATGTATAACGTAGAGCAACCAAATCAGGGTCATTAGCACATTCATCATCTCAAATCTTCCTTGCAGCTATTTGAAACTATATATTTTTGTTAACTATAGTCATCCTACAGTGGTATGGAACACTAGGACTTATTCCTCCCATCTAGCTGTAATATTGTATCCTTCCACAGACCTTTTCCCACCCTGAACCCATCTGATCTCATCTGCCCACTTTCTAATCACACCTTAGTGCCCTTCATGGATTAATTCTAATCTGAAATCTTGCTGCAAGAAATTCTGGAAAATATCATCCCCAGGCTTCAGCCCCTGTGATTTAGGGAAGAGCATGGAGTCTATCCCAGATGAATGGGAATGGTGCTGACATTGGTAATCGACTCTCCTGCACAGTCAATTGCACAGTCCCTGCAATTTTCAATTGAAAATGTTGCATATGGAAAGTAAAGTTCCTTCCCTATTATCACAGCTCAGGGTAAGCCCAAAAGCTCAGTTTCCACCCAAAGTTGAGAAATATAGCTTTTATCACCTAGGTATCCCCAGGTCCCCTGAATGTTACAGTTGTCCTGAGGAAATAGCAGGTAGAATTCTCCCAGTTGTAGAACTCTACTCCCTGAAGGACTGGACAGCTGGTGGGCTATTGATACAACATTGCTCACCTCAGACAAAGTGGTTGACCAGCACTGGAACCAATACACCTGGCTTTCAGGATCTTTTCCCACTTTTCCTCTCTTCCTTGCTGCTCAATCATGCCAACTCATCCCATCTGAACTCCAACACAGAATACCCTGGAGCTTAATATCCTTCCCAAGGACCCTAATGTGCCATCAAAAAGAGCCTCAATGGAGCATTAAAATAGACCCCCTAATTAAGAGCAATGGAAGCCGACTCTTTTCTCTTTGAAGGCCCCCTCTGCACAAAATATTGTCTCATTTCTATTTTCCTGGGGAGAAGTTTTTTATCAGTCCTGGGAAAGATTAGTCCCCACTTTAGAATGGCCTAAAATATTGCTTATTTTAATTCCAAAAAGAAAGGCCAAAAAGTTGAGTGTTCACATAATTCTGTAAAGGTATTAAGCCATGGTGCATGTGCTGCTACTGAAGAATTCCCAGGCACTGAGACCGAGGCCAAGAACAAGCAACTGTGGATTTGACATCTCTCTGGATTAGTGCTCTCCTGAGTTCTGATTGATAAAATTCGTGACAGTCATTCAGGAATGCACATTCACAGAAGGGCAGCCATGATCAAATCATATCATGTGCAAATTATATTTTACAGAAAACAGAATTGTCTTTATTTATTCCAAGTAAATTGACAACTTTCCTATCAGTAGGCTGTGCAGATGAAGTGAACCCAAAGGCCAAACGCATTTATATTGCAGAGGGAGTATTCAAAGCACACTTGTATAGATGAAAAAATATGTTACTGTGTGAAAACCAAGTACTCTGTAATCTACTAGGAGACCCATAATACAGCCCTTACTCCTAAGAACACTTTTGTTGACTTTTCTGAAACAGATCCCTTGAGAATCTGGGGAATGGTGGACCCCACAGAAATCTGTTTGCTAGAGCTTTATCTGCTCCATGTGCTTCCCAACCCCCTTCTCCTGGTGCCTTTAGAGAACTCTTCCCCAACTCTATGTGTTCTGTAGGAATGTCAATATCAATGTTTAGAGGAAGGGTGCAAAGATGACTCAGGCTGATCAAGCAGAATGGCTCAACACCCTAGACCCAGTGAGTGGTGATGGCCATCTATATGACCCATGTGGGGACTGAGAGTCATCTTACCAGTGGGTAGTACCAAGCTGGGAGGTGTGAGTGTATGGAGTCATCCTTGTGGCTTTTTTGTTCACAAAGTGAAAAGATCCCCAAATCAGAATGAAGTCAGGGGCAAACTGAGTTGCAAGGTAGACAAAAACAGAAACAGCACAATTAGATTCAGCCACGCTGGAAGTTGTTACGGAGTGGGGTATGAGCTCCAGGAAAATAAGCCAATAAATTACTTTTATGTTCAAGATTTGTCTTATCCAGCCAAGAAAGTCCAGAATTAAACAGATCCCCTCTCTAAAGAAAATGCATATAACTACCCATGCATAAAATAATTTATATAATTCCAAGAGCTTAATGCATATAATATCAAAGCTTAAAGCCCTTTTGTTGTTGTTGTTGTTGTTGTTGAGACGGAGTTTCACTCTTATTGGCCAGGCTGGAGTGCAAATGGCACGATCTGGGCTCACTGCAACCTCCACCTCCCGGGTTCAAGTGATTCTCCTGCCTCAGCCTCCTAAGTAGCTGGGATTACAGGCACCTGACACCATACCCGGCTAATTATTTTTTTTTTTGTATTTTTAGTAGAGAAGGGGTTGCACCACATTGGCCAGGCTTGTCTCAAACTCCTGACCTCAGGTGATCCACCTTCCTCGGCCTCCCAAAGTGCTGGGATTACAGGCATGAGCCACCGCACCCAGCAGATTAAAGCCCTTCTAAGGACTTCAGGTTAAGAGCCCCTGCTCATTGAGTTTACTAGGTGGCCTTAGGGTTGATTTTACCATCGAAACCTTCTTCTTCCTACGCTACAAGGTTCTTTTACATGTAAAAATGTTAGACCCTTGGAAGGTAAACACCACAGACCATTAATAATCAGTAACAACCATTAACAAACAGTCCAAGGATAATAATTATGATTCCGAACAACCTGCATAGAGTTGTTTGGCCACAAAGTGATGAACAAGTGACATTTGGCTCTTACGATTTGAGTTCGAGCAAGTTATTTTTCCCATCTGAGAAATTTCCCTATTTATATAATAAAAAGTTTTGACAGATTTCTAAGGGTCCTTTCACTAATGGATCTGTTAAATTAACCACAAGTGCTTCTCCCGTTTTCAACTGTAATACAATTTAAAGCCGAGTTAACAAATGAAATATTTTTTCCATGAGCACAGCACTTTTCCCATCCCCCATCTGTGAGTCCCAGTGTTATAAAGACTAGCTTTGGTTTCTTATTCACCCAAGGAGTTTGTTAGAATAGTATGCAGAGGAGCCTGGCAGAATAATAAGTGTATCACATTACCCTTTAGTGGCTGTTCTTTTATTTATTCCAGGAAGACTCCAATCTCAATTCAATCTTCTAGTTCAGCAATCTCCCTAGGAGCATTTGGAAATGAATGTGTTAATATGTATATGTAAACCTATTAAAAAGCAAAGCAAAGAATTTTAAGATGAAATGCCAGAATATGTTGGAATATTCTCATTGGAAAAATAAAATTTAGATTTTGCTATTTAAAACATGGAAGTACCTTTGTGCTAGATTCAGCTCAAGAGAAAAATTAGTGAATGAATAACTAGCTGAAATATAGTATTTTTATTTTCAAAATCATGGAGTAGGATCCCAGTCTGTATGCCCACCCTGAGATTTATTCATAGCTGGCAATGATGGAGGAAGAGTGTGGACCCAACAGGATATCATTTAATACGGGAGAAAATAAGAGTATCCTAGTAGGGAAAAATTCACCCTAGGGACTGTACACTCCTTTCTACAACTTTGGCCAGAGAGCAATGTGTTCGCATCAGTAGGGTGGGTCTAAGGGCCACTCGTTACAAGACAGCCCCTAGTCCTGTACACAGGGCTCAGGCCTGATTTGTGGTAAAGCAGATGCTGTAAAAGAGCAATACAAGTTAAAAGAATAACACAAGTTAAGTGCAAGGTGTCTGAAACCTTGAAGCCAAAGGCCTAGGCAGCAGTTGGACATGATGTGTTTGTGACCAGTCTCTGCAGCCTTGATGCAGGCACTGGTGGTATTAGCAGCTGTTGTGAAAGCTTGGGCAGAAGACATGCTGCCTCAGAAATCAAGAGTGATAGAGGAACAAGCTGAAGGCAACAATTCCAAGAGAACAGGTTCTAGAGCATACAAGATGAACCTGCTTCTCAGTATTCTCAGAACTATTTGGAAAACTTGGAAGGATACCTGAGAAAGTCTGGAGTTTTCCCCTGGTAAAGAAGACAAAGCTGCTTTACTTTTCATATTCCATGGCATTTTATGCAGAGAGCCACCCTGTTTTCCCTCAAAATGGTACAGCCTGGAGAGTTGAAGTGCCAGTAAGGAAAGCCAAGTAGAGCTTAGCACAACAGTGGTCGGAAGATAATTAGAACATGGAAATCTTTGTTTGGGTTCTAGCATTTCAGGCCCACTGTCCAAATTGACATTAAATATTCAAACTGAGACCAGCTGCCAGATTTCTAAATTTCCCTCCTCTCTGGATTCCCTACTTCTACACAGATGCTACAGTTTGTACGGATGCCTTTTTACAGAAACACCTGGTGACTGTCAAGGTGTTGAAATGAGATTGCAGACACACATCGATGTAAATGATACTTTATAACCTTGGGCTTGAAATGAGGGAAGGGTGGGTAGGTCAGTTTGTTGGTTAATTAATACTCTCCAAGTCATGGTTATCATTGTTACGTGGTCTATAATTCGAGAATCTGTACTTTATACAACTCAACAACAACAATAAAAAAAACAGCTGAAAAATAGGCAAAGAATGGAATGGACATTTCTCCAGAGAAGACATACAAATGGCCAATAAGCACAAGAAAAGACGTTCAACATCACTAATCATTAGGTAAACACAAAACAAAACCACAATGAGATTATACCGCATAGCAGATGAATAGATCAGCAACATACAGTATATACATACAATGGAATATTGTTTGGCCATAAAAAGGAATGGAAGTCTGACATGTGTTGCAGTGTGGATGAACCTTGAAAACATTATGCTAAGTGAAATACACCAGACCCAAAAGGACAAATCTTATATAGTTCTACTAACTTTGAGGTACCTAGAGTAGTCAAATTCATAGAGACAGAAAGGATGGTGCCGAATGGTGGTTGCCAGAAGCTGAAGGGAAGGAAATGGAAAACTAGTGTATAATGGGGACAGAGTTTCAGTTTGGGAAACTGAAAAAGTTCTGCAGATAAATGGTGGTGATGGTTGAACAACAGTGGATGTGAATATACTTAATGCCACTGAACTGCATAATTAAAAATAGTTAAAACAGTAAATTTTATGTTATGTATATACCAAAATGTTTAAAATGTACTTCCCTTCCTTTTGACATGTCTTTGAACAATGATCATGCATGTTGGTTGAGTCTTTGACTTTTGCTGGCCCTATGCCATTTGTTGAGATGGATGCCCTGTCACCAAGATGTGGCTTAAATCACACTGATGAATAAAGTTTACACTTCGAAGGCTCTCATTTGCAGATGTGACTAAGCGGATTCACATGATCCTGTGCAACCTAGGCTACCACCAAGTGGCAGAGAACAGGAAGAGACAAAGAAAAATTAGACAACAATGTCAAAATGTTAAGCCCCTGCTGTCTTGAGTGGCTGGAGGCACCATTAGAGACTTGGAGCCTACTCCAGGGGCCAGGTATTTTGTCAACAAACTTCTTATCCTGTTCAGTTATCTCTCATAGATGCTGGCTTCATATATGCAGCACATGTGGTTTACAAGAAAGAGAAGCAACAGCAAAAACTCCTCACATCACTCCATATGTTTATGAAGCCCTTGTTTATGAATCCCTCGAAAGGAAAGGAAGTCTATAATATGTCTTCCTTGAAAATTCTTTCCAGGCCTCCTCCAACCTTAGCACTATATAGAGATGCCAAGCTTGTAACCGAAACACCTCCTGTTTTCAATATCTAAACTTATGTTTCTGGAGGTGAAGTAAAGCTTTTGTGGGTAGTAAATTCTAAAATGTCTCACCTTTTTATAAAAGGAACATTCAATGGCATGGTGGACACTGTCAACACTCCTATGGAATATGAAAAATGTTATCTGGTTCTTGTTCCAATATCTACTCTTTTCCTATTGGAGACTTACCTAAGTGACACCACAAGACCATTTTCTTTTAGAGTCTATCCTCTTTACAGTGGCCAAGTTGGAAATTAAAAGATCTTTCAATAATAATAATATATCATATTTCCTGTCATGTAGAAACAACATGCCATACTTCCTATCATGTTGAAAAATTCAGGTACCATGGCAAAGCCAGTAAGGAGCTATTTTATCAGCCTGAACCATAAAGTTCTTCCTCCCTGTAGGTAACTCTACTGTTTAAGTCAATATACCTGGCTATCAGATGTCTGTGGCTGCCTAAGCCCTTATCCAATGCCCTCTCCCATTAAAATGTCCAAAAATTGAAAAGCAGGCAGAAGAGTTATGTGGGATAAATTTTCCAACATGATTAATTGTGGATTGATGAAGGCAACTGGTCAAAATGCTGCATTCGATTCCGTGTTCCATGATTTGAAGGGATAGTGAACAACATCCCACCACTCTGTGTCAGACACAAAAGTGAGCATAGAAACTAATCTCTTTGGTCTACTACAAGTCAAAAGACAGGCTGGGAAACTTGCAGGCCCACAGAGGTGGAGGAGAGGAGAAAGGAGGGGAGGGAAAGGGAAGAGAGGGGAAGAGAGGGGAAGAGGTGGAGAGGAAGAAAGGAAACACGCGTGAGCAATGACCTTTGGTATAGTCAGCCCAACAATTATTAATTTGGGATAATAGTCTATTTTTAAAACATAATTCCATTGAGTCAAGCAGCAGGCTATGAGGTGTAGACCCATTTGACTATGTATTATTTCCTAGTGTGGCAGCCAATATTGGTTGGGTGACTCAAATATTATTTCCAGCCCTTAATGTCTTACCTACATTTTCAAAATTGCTCTAAAAGCTAAAACTTGATCTCCCAGCCTGCCATGCAACTAGGGGTGGCCTCGTGGCAGCACACCTCCAGACAGTGAGATATGGAAAATAGTCCCTGAGGAGAGTGTCTGTGGCAGGCAGAATAATGACTCGCAATGTTGTTCACATTCTAATCCCCGGAACGTGTGAATATGTTACCTTCCTTGGCAAAAGGGACTTTGCAGCTGGAATTAAGGTAAGGATCTTTCAATGGTAAGTGATATGGTTTGGATGTTTTATTTCCTTCGAATCTTATCTTTAAATGCAACCTCCAGTGTTGGAGGTGGGGCCCAGTGGGAGGTGTCTGGGTCATAGGAATGGATCCCTCATGAATGGCTTGGTGCTGTCCTTGCAGTAATGAGTGAGTTTTCTATGAGTTCACGTGGGATCTGGTTGTTTAAAAGAGTCTGGCACCTCCTCCCTTTCTCTCTTGCTCCCTCTGTCACCATGTGACACAGTAGCACCCCCTTTGCCTTCTGCCATGATTGGAAGCTTCCTGAGGCCTCACCAGAAGCCAAGTAGACGCTGGTGCCATATTTGCACATCCTGCAGAACCATGAGCCAAATAAACCTCTTTTCTTTATAAATTACCCAGTCTCAGGGAATCCTTTTTAGCAATGCAAATGGACTAACGCAGGGGGATTATCCTGGATTATCCAGGTGGGCCCAATGTAATCACAAAGGTCTTCATAAGTGGAAAAGGGAAGCAGAAGAGTCAGAGGAAGAGAAGTGACAACAAAAGCAGAGTCGGAGTGCTGTGATGTGAGAAAGACTCAACTGTCCATTGATGGCTTTCAAGACAAAAAAGGTCCACAAGCCAACAAATAAGGGTGGCTTCTAGAGCTGGAAAAGGCAAGGAACCAGATTCTCCCCTAATGACTCCAGAAGGAGCCCATCCCTCCTAACAAAGGACTTCCTGTCTCCAGAACAGTAAGATAACAAATTTGCATTGTTTTTAGCCACTGTTGTTTTGCGTTAAGATTTGTGATAATTCAGTACAGCAGCAATAGGAAACGAATACAGTGTCTTTTACCAAATAAACACACTTCACCCTTTTCCTCCTCCCTTGTTGCTCCATGGCATGCAGACATGGAGTGGATGGCAGCCACCTCGCAATCTGGAAGCCATTTGAATGAGGATGAAGCCTTTGTGCTTGGGACATCAGAGCAGAAAAAAAGAGTCTTGGTTCCTGATGAGCCACCAGCCCTCAGATGCTCATCCCTGAACTTCCTGTCACACAAAACAAAGGAAATGTGTTGTGTTTAAGTCACTATACTAGGATTTTGTGTAGTAGTGTGTCAGAGCTGACTCTCATCAACTTGTGAAAGGTAATTGTTAAATTTTTCAGAACTTTATAGTCAATTGTTAACACAGACATTATTAAAAATTAAGTTGTGGAATCTTACAATTAAATTATATTTAAAATGAAGGTTGTAAATACTCAAAAACTCATTGCTTCCTAAATATTTCACAAAATGTACTATTATCTATAACTGTGCTCTAGTCTGTTCTCTCTGCTCTTGGGTTTATGTGCATCTATTGTGTATGAATGGTGGAGATATCATATATCTTCATTGCTATATACCATATACTAGATACCATATATCTTCCCAACTCTGCATTCAGTGACACCACATTGGTAGCTTGAAATCAGCCTTGGTGGGAGTATTTACTTTACAGAAATCAGTAAACACTAAAAATCACGGATTTATTTTTCCCCCAGAGAGTCCATTATTAAACACTTACTGGCCTGCCACTGGCTTATTGTTTCTGCAGCCAACTACATTCCTAACTGATGCATCCATAATGGTTTGTAAAGTCTTCTTACTGAACGTGCTTCTTATAGTAAAGCCACAATTTGTTAATGCAAATAATATTTATACAAAGTTGGATTCTCCTGGTTTCTCTTTTAAATAAACATTTAGGTATCAGGCACAGGGCAAGGCAGCCTCTTTCTTATTCTACCTCACATAATCCTTGATATTTTCCTGAAAGGTAAATATTATAACCACATTTCACAGATGAGGAAACCAGTACTGAGTCATCCAGGGGTATATTAACGATCTGTGGCCAGTTAGGGGCCAAGAGAGGATTTGAACTTGCTTTCGTCTGATTCAGAAATCTGTGCTCATTCTCCAGGGGAAAGAAAAAAACATGTTTTGAACATGGTAGGGGCTAAATAAATGTTTGTTGAATCATTTAAACAAAAGATAACTCTTCCAGAGCGTTGGGGGACCCAAAATTCTCAGCTCATGTGCAAGGCGGGGTCCTCCCCATATGTGCAAAAGACACTGGCACCGGGCTGCCTTTCCTGAACATCAAAGAGATCCCTGAAATGCTTATGGTTAGAAGATTGAGTTTCATAAAAGTATTAAATTTATGTTTTTTGAACAGCATCACCGGGGGAGGCACCGTGGTTACAACTCTCTCATCTTGAAAGAGACAGAGAGTAATTTCCTCCTTTGCTGGTTGTCAGCCTGGCTCCCAATCATTCCCCCCAGAGTTGGCAGAATTTCAATGACTCTAAAATTAATCTGTTGGTCAGAGACTCTGTCCAGTGCTTGAAATTCTGGGAGCTTTGCTGTGGTCTCAAAGTCAGTGACTGGGATGAGTTGAGAGGTCAAAGGTGAAGTAGCAATTCTCTGTCCAGTTGGGAAATCTTGGACAATCCTGCAGACATGTTTCTCCCCTGGTTTTATGATGAGAAACCCACCAAATTATTCTGAACAAGAGTGTTGAGTAACTAACATAGAATTGCTAGGCACACATATAGGATTTTAAAATGAATGTATTCAACATTTATTTGAATTCCTAAGGAAGACAGACATATAAACAGATAAACAACATGATGTGTGTAGTTAAAAGGAGACGTACAGGCTACTAGGATCACACAGAACCTGAAGCTAAGCCCAGGGAGGTGGGAAAGGAGAGATCAGGAAAAGCTTTCTACAGAAGATGCCTGAGGTTGGGCTTATAGAAAAAAACATGGAACTGGATGGTGAGAAAGTAGAAAAGGTCATTATAGAAAAAGAGGAAATGCATCTAGTAAGCAATAAACTGGTTAAACTACATGTAGTTCAGTGTCACAACCCATAAAGTGTAAGATACAGAAGGCAGAAAGATGGCTAGAGGGGTAAGCCAGGAGAGAACCTGGACATCATACTAGGATAACTGGACTGTATCCCACATGCAATGGGAAGCCACTGGAAATTTTCATTAGGGAGTGGCATAGCCATGTTGGTGTTTAGGAATCATCCTAGAGGCCTCAAGATCCATTAAGAGGTCATTGCAAAACAATAAGTACTGGATGCAGACAAAGGACATAGCTGTGGTGGGAGGGGAGAGGGCTAGCATAGAGATTCAGGAATATTTGTTGACTGAATCATGAAGATATAGGGACTGAGGTTAGAGCTAGCCCAGAATAATCCCTGTGTTTCTGGATTGGGCAACTAGCTAGGTGGTGGTGCCATTAATTAAGCACAGGCGGAGGAGCTGATCTGTGTGGGAGAAGAGTTATAGAATGAGTTCAATGTAAGTCGAGTGTATGTCATTCAATTGGAGATATCCAACCGCAAATGGATGTATGAGTTTTCATGGAGGATTCTGCTTGATTTGTCTTTGAATGCAATCTAGAAAAAATATTGGCACACAAAAGGCTCTTGACAAATATTTGTAAAATGGAAGGATGGAAGCCTGATTATAGGAGAAGGATAAGGTAGGAGAAAGGTTAGAATTAGAAATAGAGGTTTTTAGAGTTAGCAACTCACTGAGTGTGCTGGTTAATTGTATGTGTCAACTTGAGAGGGATAAAAGACACCTAGATAGCTGGTAGACATTATGGGGGTGTGTCTGCAAGGATGCTTCCAGAGAGAGCGGCATTTAAGTAAGTAAACTGAGTAAAGAACATCTGCCCTTGCCCATGTGGGTGGGCATCACACAATCCACTGAGGGCCCAGATAGAACACAGAGGCAGAGGAGAGTGAATTTACTCTCTCTCCTTGAGCTGGGTCATCCATCTTCTCCTGCCCTTGGAGCTACTGGTTCTCAGGCCTTTGGATTCCAGGACTTATATCAGCCACCTCCCAGTTTCTCAAGACTTAGACCAAATGACACCACTGACTTTGCTGATTCTCCTCCTTGAAGACAGTAGTACCTTGGGGTGTCTCAGCCTCCATTATCACATGAGCGGATTCCCATAATTAATCTCCTAGATTATCTGTCATCTATCTATCTATCTATCTATCTATCTATCTATCTATCTATCTATCTATCTAATTGGCTCTGTTTCTCTGGAGACTCCTGACTAAGACACCAAGAGTGGTTGAAACTGAGAATGAATAAAACTCCAGAGAAAGAGAGAACATCTCTTGGGTGAGAAGTAAACCAAGAATGGGATCCTTGGGAGAACCAATATGTAAGGAAAGGCAGACATGTGCAAGGAGATAGAGACTGAAGACACAGAGCCATTGGAGAGGAGCAGAAGCCAAGGATGCAGGGATATCATAAGATGAAGAAGCCAAGTCTTATGATATAGCCTGAGAAAGGTCAGCATGAGCCCTCTGGGGGCCTTTGCAAGGGCAGTTCCCATGGGCTGGAGGGGACAGGAGCCAGGATGCCCTGAGATGCAACCCGGGCTCGAGTGGAGGGTTTCTAGGGTCAAGAGGGAGAATCAAGGCCAAGGGAGCCTTTTATTTTAAGACAGGAAAGCCTCACACATGACTGGAGGTGTTTAAGAGTTGAAAATATAGGAGAGATAGGGGATTGAATACTCTATAAGACCTCATACAGGCAGGAGACTGGCAACACATGTGGAGGTAATGGCCTGAGACAGAATGGGTGATGCAGCTTTGCCTGAGACTGAGCAAATACAGGGTGGGCAGGAAGACTCATCTGTGAGTGTAGAGGATGGAAGTTGCATCATTTACCATACCTAAAAAGTTGAGGAAACCTTCTGTCTCCAAAAATAGGATAAAGGTTGTATAATTATGACATATTTACTCAAAGAAACATTTTAACTCATTAAAAATAATAATTATGAAACTATTTGGCCATATTTAAAAGGCATTACAAACTGATATGAAGTGAAAAGGATGGAAGATTATAAATACAAGTTCTAGAATAAAAATATTAATACCAACTGTGAGGTATAACCATTAAGGTATAGAGGTTTTGTGGGTGCTTCTAGTGCATTTTTGTTTTCTACAATTTTCTTAACTTCATTCTGAAAATTCTAAAAAACAGTTATAATTGGACTGACTCGACAGTCAAATTTTCCATCTGCAATAGTTCTCATTCTTTTACATGAATTTATCCAAGAATCAGAGCTTCAGGCAGCACTTCCCTCTAAAGATTTCCCTAGAAATCTTTCTCCCATTCTTCAAGTTAACGCATGATGAAATCTTCTCTTCCGCCTCGTAAGTTTCTCCTCACCTTTTCCTTCACAGTCCTTCCCCTGGAGAATGTGAAGGTTGCCCTGGCATGAATACAAGTTTTTAGTCAGTGTGTCCAGAGACCCGTGGCCAAACCACTGGAAACCTGTTCTCACCATAGGGCAGGTGGCCGAGGTGCCAGTCAGCCCTGAAGTTAACCTATGTTCCATTTGACACTTTGTTTAATAAATGGCTTTTATTTTATTTTGAGACGAAGTCTTGCTCTGTCACCCAGGTGACACTCCAGGCTGGAGTGCTCATCACAACCTCCACCTCCTGGGTTCAAGTGATTCTCCTGCCTCAGACTCCCAAGTAGCTGGGCTTACAGATTCATATCACCATGGCTGGCTAATTTTTAAATTTTTAGTAGAGACAGGGTTTCACCATGTTGGCAGGCTGGTCTTGAACTCCTGGCCTCAGGTGATCTGCCTGCACCCGCCTCCCAAAGTGCTGGGATTACAGGCGTGAGCCACTGAACCCAGCCTAAATGGCTTTTATTATTATAAAAGTGCCTAGCACATGGAAGAAGAAAAAAAAAAAAAAAAAAGGGTAATACTATGTCTTTTTACAAAACCAATACAATTACAATCAGGAACATAGATTTAGTCTCCAGAGTTAGCAGGCATAACAAGGTTGTTCTCAAGTCATCTTTTATTTTAGAGTCAGAACACTGACTAACACTGACTAAACTAAACTGACTATGCCAGCTTGCGGATGTGTTATAGACCATATCAGCCAGCAGTGAGAATAAAACCCTATAGTGTCAGACTATAAAGGCTATGACAAATTGGAGAGAGGAAGCATATGATAGAGACTTATGCAGGGAAATCTCCCTAGAGCAGGTCAAATATTGAGCTTGGCTGCAAAGAAGAGCATTGTGACACTTGTTATCAATGGCACTAATTATCTTTTGAATATCTTTCCCACTTTCTGGTAATTTCCTACATTATGAGTCCCACCTCTTCAAGTTCTAAGCCAGAAAGCTTATCTTCCCAGGCTTCCTTGCAGTTAGGAGGTCAGCACATGACCTCAGCTCTGTCCATCAGACATGTTCTTTCTATCCGGAGGGAGCAATGTGAGGAAGGAGGTGCCACGCAGAATCAACTTCAGGGTGAGAATAGCAGCATGTGGCAGAGACACTTCAGCAGAGGGGCAGAGATCTTAGAAATAGTGCCCCGTATTCATGTATGGTGTCAATTGTGGTATCTGGGCCCCAATACCATGAGATCGCAGCTGTGAACCATGGAGGGGTGTGATGTGAGTGTTCCTGCTTGCATTATCCCTGAGCATGGCTCTCTGGACCTCCCAAAGACTCTGAAGGCAATGAATTAATGTTTTCTCTGTTTAAAACACAGTGGATTCTGTTGTTTGCAACTGAGATGCCGACTGATGCAAATGGGGAGAGTGCTTCCTTTGGAGCACAGCTCACACTTCACTTTGTTGTGTTGTGGGATAATATTTAGAAAAATGAACTGGGTTTTTATTCTCATATTCTTATTTACATGTGTGCCTTCCTTCTTCGTATTCCATCAAAAGTAGCACCAGTCAGTGTCCATTATTTTAGGGAAGTTATATGAAAAAAAAAAAAAGGCCAAAAAAGTGTCTTTTTAGGTTTTCAGTGTTAAGATCCTAGGTTGTGAAAGAAATTGATAAGATTCAGCATAGATAATAGACTGAGGAGAAAGCAAAATGGACAAAAGGAATTACACAGAGGTGCACACCTGCATGATAAAGATACTCCAATTTAAGAAATTGCAGTGAGTCAGAAGGAAAGTGAGGAGTGCGAAGAGGTGCAGTGTCTCTGAAAAAAGGCTCTGGGTTTGATTCTTGGAATGAGTCCCAAAGACACTTTGTTGGATCCAAGAGAAAGGGAGATTTATTCCTCTTCACCTGGATCAGAACCAGGGTAGCAGCAAGGTCTGAATATAGATATGGTTGTGGAGATGTCTCAGCAATCAGACTGAGACAACCCACTGATTTCTTCAAGTCTGACTGCCTTGGTAGTATCAGAATGATACACATGTGTCATGAGTGGCCCAGGGGTAGAGGACAGAACTGCTGGCTTGAAGGACCCTTACTCAGGGCAATGAGACATCTCCAAGGCAACCTGTTCAGACCAATGACTGAGGATGAAACAGGATAATGGGGGTGTCTCTGTGGATGCTGGTGAAGATGGATGCCTGTGAAGACCAAATGGACCTGCCTCTCTAAAAAGCTTCCAGAACTTGTTCGTGACCCTGGGAAAATAAATGAGACAGACCACACAGGTACAAGAAGGGCTTCAGACAAAAATAAAGGAATATTTCTTTCATTCCTTAGTTTGTGAGTTTGTGCACTGAACATTACATGGTAATTTGGGTGGGAAGGTAGAAGTGGAGTTAGCTGGCAAGTGTGGAGGCAGACGGCCAGACAAAACTTATGTTTCATTCCTAATCTAATGCCCTCATTTTACAAACCAGTAAATGGAGGGCCTGGGAGACGAAGCAAATTGTTCATAATCATATAGCAAACTAGAATTTGGGTCTTCTAACTTTCAAGCCCACACTGTCTCCCAAAATAGTTTGTTGAAGTTTTTCCAAAAGCTATAGAATGGGAGTGCCGTGCCCTAGGTTGTAATGAACCAAAACACTGAAGTTGAGACATTTCCCTAAAATGCAATTGCTTGGTGTTTCAGCCTTAAGGAAAAAGTCCTCCTGGGAAAGCAAAGCTAACAGTCTCTACACTTCATCCTTTAGTTATGTTTGAGGACAGGTAACCAGTGCATCGCAATGGTTGGCCTGAGGAATTTTCATTTCTAGAGTATACTTGTATAAGGTTTGGTTCAAACAAGTGATGGCCTGGGCCTATGACTATCAACTAATTGTTTCAGCTCTGTGGCCATTTAAGAATAAACAAAGTTTATTCTTAAGACAGGACTGCTCTGAGAATCCCTGCTAATGAGTCTGTCTTGAACTCTTGATGCAAGTGACACAGGACCATTTAATAATCTAAATTATTGTGTTGCTTAGGACTATTTTAGTTGCAGTGACGGAAACCTGCCCTCAACTAGCTTAGGTAAGCCTATGAGCTTTTTACATGGCTGCTGGGCCTCACAGAACTTAAGCATAGATATGTGTTTGAACTCCAGGACACAATGGAACCAGAGATTTGAATGCCATCAAAAGCTCTACCTCCATCTTTCATTTCCAAGCCACTGTGTTATTCTTAAGTTCTGTAATCCTAGAGATGGATTCAGCCCTGAGCTGACCACCTTGGCTAGAAAGGGTGAGTCACACTGGCGTACTCCTGCTTTTGCTTCCATTTAAGGATGAGGTAGGGGCAGAGAGGACCACTGTAGGCACCAAGTGCTAATTTTACTATTTATTAAGTACAGGGCTCTGTGCTAGGTTCTGGGAGAGAAGGGAAGCAAGAGAATCGGAAAATTGAAGAACCAGATTCTTCTCTCACAGGGCCTCCCACATTAAAAGGGAAAATGACATAATATGGCCTGACAAGTGCCACCACTATGTTGGGTAGATAGAATGAAATCCAATCTTACACAGGGATTGGATTCTGAAGTTAGCAAGCCAGGCAAAAAAGTCCTATAGCCAACTATGTATGCCCTAAATACTTGAATCACACCCAACACAAGATATTAATGGCATAAGTGACAAGCAAGGACCAAAATTGACTCAGACAACTGAGTTCCACATCACCTCTCATTCCAGGTTATATTGTTCACTGAATAGACTGGAAGTCAAAATCATCCACACTATTTATAGCAGTCTCTCTCCTCACTCTCTTTTACTACGTGCATGGAGTTAAATCCATAGGAGTTAAAAACATATGAGATGTGACTCATTAACTTGGCAAAGCCATACAGCATTGAGCTTGGGAACTAGGATCCAAGGCCAGGGGTGCGTAACTTTTCAGTCCACAATTCCGGCCTTTACACCAGGCAGTATTCCAAAGTTACCACATCTCCCATTATCTAAGTCATTTAAAGCTGGAGGTTCTCTCTGGCTCTCCCTTGGGAACCCCTGACCCCCACCCCAGGAACAGTACAGAGCTCGGCTCAGGTGTGTCCACATGAATTGGACTGGGATAGTCTGGGCTGAGCTGAAATGAGAGGTCATCTGGACGAGCACAGAGGGGCATTGACTCCAGGGCAGCTGGTGGGATGCCATTCATTTTCCTAGGTTGTATATGCTATGAAGAGCTTATCAAGGGGATGTTTACAAATGGGGGACCTTGCTGTTTTTAACAGATTAACTGTAACATACTGGTTCAGTGACCTGACAGCCCATTTACATGAAGTATTAGTTTACACTTGACTCTTTCCCTGTACAGTAGGCAGATAGAGAGGCCACCGGGTTGACAGGGAGGAGGCTGGCCAAGCCCAGAGCTTCCATTAAGCAGTTAAGCATGGGCTCTTTGGAGTCTGGCATAGCCTTGAATACAGCCAGACCTCACACTTCACTCTTTCCTAAATAGTGATAGAAAACCTTCCACCCAACCCTGCCTATGACCCTTTCTGAACAATTCGTGCCAAGGTTCCTGCCTAACAACCCAGAGGAACAGTACTGTTGTTGCTTTGATCATGTATTCAGGTCACAACCATGTCAGACAAGCCAGAGACTCCAGAGCAGGCCCATTACATTTTCTGATCTGGACTAAAAAAATTGGCCCTCCAGGAAGCTTTAGTTTTTTAGCTTTGCTTTCCCAGGAAGACTTTTTCCTTAAGGCTAAAACACCAAGCAATTTCACTTTGGGGAAGTGTCTCAACTTCAATGCTTTGGCTCTTTGCAGCCTAGGGCATAGCGCTCCCATTCTATTGCTTTTGGAAGAACCTCAGTAAACTATTTTGGGAGGCAGTGTGGGCCTGAAAGTTAGAAGACCCAAATTCTAACTGACATCCATTGTGCCCTAATCTGTGTCAGCTGCTCTCATTTCCTTGATCTCATTTAATCTCAAAATTAAGAAGTAGGTATTACTCTCTTGATTGTGTGGATAAGACAATGGAGGCTCAAAGAGATGATGTTAACCAAAATGGTGCAATGTACAGGTGGCAGAACTGGAATTCAGACTCAGATCAGTCAGATTTGAACACTTGTTCTTTTCACAATACCACATGGCCTAATCCAGATATCCTAAATTTTCTAGGAAAAGATGTTTGTTGTTTCCAGAATGCTTGTGGTAATTGGGCTGGCAGTGAAATCCACTAGGCAACTATTTTTAATCATCAGTGAGCATAAGAATCAACTAGGGATCTTGTGAAAAGTGCAAACTCCCAGAGATTTAGAGACTGTGGATTTGTAGTTTAGCCCAGGGATATGCATTTTCAACAATAAGCAGCTTCACTGATTCTAGTGCTGGTTGACTGGAAAGCATTTCATTCCTTTAGGGGGTATCATTCACTCCAGGACTGTACGGTCTCAGTGGGAGAGGTTATCCATTCCTGTCCCATTGCTTCTTTCAGATTCTTTTGGATGTTCACCCAATAGTCATGGTCCTCTTTCTAGAACGGCAATTTGGTCCAGATATCCTGTGGCCATGTGCTTCAGTGAAGGCTAAAATGCTCTCTCTCCCAGAAGGTGAAACTTGGATGGTCTAAACCAATGGTTCTCAATGTTACATGCGCATCAGAGCTCCCCAGAGTGTACACATGTTCACACACACACACATACACACACATGTGTGTACAAGGCCCCACCCAATTAAATGAAATTAAATTAAATCTAAATTTAATTTAACCCAATTAAATCAACCTCTAAGGGCAGAACCTAGACATCTGTAATTATTTTAAAAGGTCCCCAATTTGTTCTCAGCTAGAATTGAGAATTTCTGGCCCTGCCCATTTCCCTTACCACTGGTCTGGGATAAACATTTGATAAAATTCTGGCCCAAAAAACTGATGAGAGATCTTCTGGAAGGTGGGGCTTTGGGGAAATTTATTTCCTGTCTTTGAAAGAGATGTGAGGATAGGATGAGCCATCTTTCCTCTTTCTGACCTTTGCATTTTGTGATGTAAAGATGTGATGCCTGGAGTTATTGCAGCCATCTTGGGATCATGAAGGAGCCAGCCTAACAGCCACAGGCTAAGGATGGCAGAAAAGAAAGGAAAGAAAATGGGAACTTGGTGGAATCTTTGGGCAGGTTAATTAAACAACTCTGGGATCATCTTACCCTGAACATACTTCTTATGAGAGGTGATATATATATATACACACACACACATATTTGAGACAGTCTCACTCTGTCACCCAGCTGGAGTGCAGTGGCACAATCTTGGCTCACTGCAACTTCCATCTCCCAGGTTCAAGCAATTCTCCTGCCTCAGCCTCCCAAGTAGCTGGGATTACAGGTGTGCACCACCACACCCAGCTAATTTTTGTATTTTTAGTAGAGATAGAGTTTCACCATGTTGGCCAGGCTGGTCTCAAACTCCTGACCTCAAATGATCTGCCAGCCTCGGCCTCCCAAAGTGCTGGGAATATAGGCGTGAGCCACCATACCCGGCCGATTAATATTCTTAATTTAAGACATGTTAAGTTGGGTATTATTATTTGCAGCCAAAATAATCTCAACAGATAGCTACTCATGAATTTCACCTGCTTACTGCCTGCACTATTTCTAAGAGGAGCATAAGTACATCAGCAGCTGGGGCTCACAGAACAAGACGACCTAGACTCAGTCTTGATGGCCAAAAAACTTTAAGTTCAGTGAACCCTGGGCATTGCCATTAAATAACTAGTTGCCTTGAGAATTATTCCAATAATAACTGTGACATTTATTATGCATTCACTTCATGCCAGGTATTATACAGTGCAAAGTGCTATAAGTAAGTCATCTCATTCCATCCTTAAAATTACCCAGGGAGATATGTATTATTATCCATATTTTACACATTAGGAAACTGAGAACCAGAAAAGCTAAGGAATTTGGCCAAGGTCGTATAGCGCATGAGTGGCAGAGACAGGATGCTAACCCCAATCTGTCAGACTCTCAAGATATTTCTTGTGGTGACCATGTTGTTTCATCTCCCTATGACTTATGAAGCTCTGTGTGTTCACACATTCACTGAAGTGCTTAACTATGCGAATAAAAGGCATTCATCATTGTAATCCCTAATGGAGATAACAGAAATATTAGCAAAGGCCGAAGTGAAAACAGTTCAAGTGAGGCCTAATTTTTTACAACGCCAAGGAATGATTTACTTTATCACAGCAAAGAATTTTATTTGACAAATGCATACTTTATCATCTCTGGTCTGCTGAAAATGTAAGTTTACATTTTCCTAGCCATAAAATTAAAATAATTTTGGCTCCAAAAATTGAAAAGAAATCCCATTCTAGGTTCAGGTCTTTCTCTGGAAATTTGAATGCTAAATATGGAGCCTGAAAAAATGCCATTTCTGTCAGGTAGGACAGACTCGAATCAGTAAGGTCAGGGTTCAAAATCTGGTTCTGGCTCTTGCTGACCGTGTGACCTTGGACACGACATTTCCCTCCACCAAGTCTCAGCTTCCTGATCTGTAACATGAGAATGACAACTCTCACTTCATGCCTGGGACGGGGATTAAATCAGATACTCTGTGTAAGTTGCCTGGCAAATCAGGAGTGCTATCAAGGTTGGCTGTTATTAAAATATATACAAAGGGTCCAGCTTGGAACCTGGCGCATAGCAGCTACTTGATAAATCTTTCAGCCCTTCCCTCTATCTTCCCTTTTCTGTTCCTCATCTTCAACTGTCTTCAGGGGTGGGCCTCCAAAGACAGAACCCAAACCAAACAGGATGAGGTCCTTCTGTACTTGGTTGTGAAAGGAGTAATGAGACAGCACCCACATCTTGGTTTGCTCTGCATTCTGGCAGCTTTCTACAGCATCATCCCTACACCCTGACCCAACATAGGGAAGCTAGCCATTCTGCTAGTGGGCCATCTGCCAAGTGGAAGACAAATTTGAGAAAAAGTCAGAGGATCAGAGTAAGGGACAGAAGGGGGAGAGTGGAGTGAGAAGAAATGGTTAAGTTGGCTCAAGAGCCAAGTGTCTCTGGGAAGCTGGAGAGAGATAATCTTCCACACCCAGGTTAGAGCGGATTTCCGCAAGGGAGGGAATATTTCAAGGGAATCTGGACTGCTAGTGAGAGAAGCAAAAGACAGGGCCTCAGCAAAGGATTTCCTATCCATAATCAAGGGAGCCACGAGTTCTCAATTAGGGTTGTTTAGTCAAAACTGCACTCCAAGTCCCATTGAAAAAAGCAGACAGAAAAGACCAGCAGTTCACATACTTGTTTAGAACTGCTATGTTTCGAGGTCCTTCCCCCCATAATTAGAACTTCTCCTCAGCCCCATGAAGTTCTCAGGGCAGCCACCATGGTTATCATCCCCATTTTATAGATTTGCCAACTGAAGCTCACTGCTGGCAATATGTTCTTGGTCAAGTAATGGAAAGGTAGATATAAAGATGAGTTTGTCCGGTGGTTCTTAAAAGAACCCAGAGCCCTGCACCCAGTGAGGATTCCAGGTGATTCTGATGACCAACCAGGTTTGGAGACCATTGATATCACTCAACAAACTAACTGCAGAAAGAAACAGAGCCTGACAGAGGTGGAAGAATCTGCCCAAGGTCACTCAAATGAGTGGCTGAGACAAGTTTAGTCCTTCTGCTTACTGTCTCCATGACAGAGCTCTTGCCAGCTCACTCCATGGGCTGTTTAGTTACTCATGACAACCTACAATATAGATAGGTTTTATTCATTCAATAAACCTTTACTGGGGACATCTTTGGTGCCAGGCGCCAGATTTTTGGCCTTAGTGAGTTCATGGTCTAAAAGAAAATGGGACAAGTAGCCTTATGGCTGCAGGATGGCATAACAGTGCTACCAGAGAAGGAGGTATGATATACAAGCAAGGGGGTGTAAGAGGGGTAACTTCTGACAAGCAGGCTTCAGAGGAAGGGAGAAAAACATCAGGAAAACAAAGCCTCCTTATATGGAAGGTTGGTTACCTTTGTTTTAATAAGCCACTGGTGTGCTGTGACTTTATACAACTCAAGTTAGAATAAACGATTTTGAATGAAAGGTTTCTAAGGATATTTACTGGGTGTAAAAGAAACAATCTGACATTACTAAAATATGTTCAGACCAAAATAGAGGCACAAGAAGACGTCCCTCTAGGCATGGATCTTCACTACCGTGCAAAGATCATATCTGCCTCTGCTCACAATTATTGACAAAAGTCAGTTCTCATTAGTGCCGTGTAGGAGACCAAACAAGTCAGCACACCCACTAAACTTTACATGCGGAATTTACTGTTTCTACTGTTGCCAAGGTCACAGGGAAGTGGACACTTTCATGTGCAATTAGCAATATAAGTTAGGACAATATTTCTGAAAGACAGTTTGGCAAAATTTATGAAGATATAAGATACTTTCAAAATACTCTTTGAACAAGCCATTCTACTTCTAGGAATTTATCCTGAGGGTAAATATATAAAAGAAAATATAGAAAGATATACATAGGGTATTCAACAAAACATAGTTTCTAATAATAGTGAAAACTTGGGGACATAGGAGAATGATGAACTAAATTATCATTAAACTATATACTTGAAAACCATTAAGTCAATAATAATGATGGATATGTATACTTAGGGATGTAGAAAAATGCTTGTATCACTCAGTGAAAAAAGCAAATTTCAAATTAGTTATTTAATATAATGCAACTTATGTGTAAATATAGCTTCCAGATATGTGTATTTATATCTAGAGAGAAACCTGGAAGATGGCTTTTAACCAAAACGTCAGTAATATTGAGCAGGAGAGGGGGTGATTCTAATTTATTTTTCTGTGTATTATTTTACAATATTTATGTAATCAGAACAAATAATAGGATTACTTTCATTGGAGACTAAAATTTTTTTGTTCTTTATTTTATTCTTGAGCATAAAGTTTTCATTTTAGGAGACTAACATTTTTGAAGAAATTAGTCCTAAGCAACAGGAAAATTCAACCTGATTTAATGAGATTGAAAATATTCATTCTTTATTTTTATGGGCTCCTTTTCTAAATATATACTTGTGTAACAGATTTATATATTCAGTCATGAAAACAGTTTGTTCGTTCACTTGAAACTGTGTAATAAGCACTTACTCTGAACCTGACAGAGGGTCACTGCAGCATGAGGCGTATAACGTGATGGGTGAGAAGTCAGGCAGACCTGGATTTGCATCCCTTTCCCATCACTCACCAGTTCACAACCTCAGATGGGCTATTCAGTTGCTCTGAGCCTCATTTTCCTCATCTGTCAGAGATAATACAAATACCCATGGTATTAGTTATCTATTGCTGTGAAGCAAATTACTCAAAGACTTAGGGGCTTACAACAACAATGATCATTTATTATCTCATAGTTTCTTTGGATCAGAAATTTGGGGGGCAGTTCAACTAGTTCTGGGTCTTTGGTGAGGCTGCAGTCACATGAAGGCCTAACTGGGGCCGGAAGATTTGCTTCCAAGCTGGCTGTTAACAAAGGACTGGCAAGTTGGTGGTAGCTGTTGGTGGGAGGTCTTCTCTCCATAGCAGTCTCCACATTGCTGCTTCAGTGTCCTCACAGCATGGTGTCTGGCTTTCCTCAGAAGGGGCAATTGAAGGGGCCAAGGAGGAAGTTGACAATGCCTTTTATGATCTCGCCTCGAAAATCACATACCACATCCGTTTCTATGGATGGCAGGTTAGTTCTGATTTAATGTGAGAGGGGATTCACAAAGGTGAATACCAGGAGGCAAGGATCATTGGAACCATCTTGAAGGCTGACTACCACCTATGTGAAATGAGAAAATGCTTACAAAGAGCTCAGTGCACCTGTACTGCACCCATAATAAATAAGCCATACTGATGAGAAAGAGTGCATATAACTGTACTCAACAAATAGGTCCCAGATCCCTGCTCTTGTCCAACGTCCTGTTTTTTTCAGATGAGGAAACTGAGCCCAGAGAGGTTAAATGGTTTGACTAGTCACACATGGAGTTGGTTTTTGAGCTAGGAGAAAAAGCAGGTTTTCTACCTTGCCCTATCCAAGGTCTTTCTTCCCGTAGAGAAAATCTCTGCAAAGATGCAGACTGAGGAACCACTTGCTAGAGCAAAGTGCTCACCAGAGTTGAAGATGAACAGATGTTTTAGAAAGAAGGGTAGGGAAGATGTTAAGAAGATTCTGAATGTCAGGCTGAGGAATCTGTCTTCCTTTGATGGGAAAGGCAGTAGGGAGCTATTGAGGGGTTTTGAATGCAAAAGTGACCTAAACACAGCTGTGTATTCAGCAGATTGTGGAGGTCTCTAAAGAGAAAGGCTGTTGGAGAAGTCCAGGCATCTGGGGACACAAGCAGCAGTAGTGGGAAAGGAGAAGGGGCTTGAGAGTCACAGTATCTAGGAAACATATCCCTGTGTAACCTGTGGATTCCAGATTAATTAAGGATTAAGGGACCAAGTCAAGAGGCTTAGGTGAGGGCAGCTAAAGGCTGGTGTATAGGCTGTGCCAGTGATCTCTGCCCAGCCTACAGGCCTGAGTCAGCCTCAATCTACCATGTGGGAGGCCTAAGAACATTCAATATGACTTGGAAGAAGGGCTTTAAAACAAATAGTCTGCCTTTCCTCGTTTCCAGCTCTCCAGCATGAAAAACTGATGCTACAAAAGGCTAGGCAAAATGGAATGTATGTGCTTCTGAGCTCAGCCCAAAGGGCCCTCCTCTACTGAAAGGCTCACTTCCCAGGAGAAAGGATGCTATGATGTGAAGGTTGTTACACTCAAGGTTTTCTCTCCAAGCCTCACCTCCTCTATTAAATCTGTCCCCCTACTCTTTAGGTAGAACTGACCTGCTGTCTGCCCTGAATACACACACCACAGATGGATTCTCTCTTGATACCTCGAGTGCCACAATGCCCTGCTAACTTACCTGCTTCCTCCTCCAGCCCCAAATCTCCCTGAGGGTAGACGCTGTGCCTCCCATGTTCCTAGGGCCTTCCTAGCCTGAACACTATGATTTTGCTCTCTGAAAATGTTAGACAAATACTTTTCTCTCCTAATTTCATCAGCTTTACATCCAGAAACAGGTTTACAGTCAGAAAGGTTGTAACCTGGGCTCCAGAGGGCTGAATCCAGTCCATCCATAGGGCTACTACCATAGGGCTATGAATCCAGTCCATCCATAGGGTCCTACCAACCGTAGGGCCACCAATGTTGTACTTTTATCACCCATTTTCCAGGACAATAAAATGCCTTGTTTTTAAAAAGAAATAGTCAGACAATTTTCTAAAAGAAGGAAATAAAATGACTTGCGGAAGAAACATACTTTTTCTAACTGGCACAAAAGCTCTGTATAAGCTAGTCGTGGCCCTATCCATACATAGTTTTTAGCTGGTCAATATAACTTTAAAAACTGAATCAAAATGACTTTAGGCAGGGCACATGCTCTCCAGCTTGTCAATCCCCACCACTCCCTATGATCTTACACTCTTAACCTCTGTTATATTTATTTACCACCTAGCCCCGGAAGGCTTGTAAGTTTAAAACCCTGCAACATGATACGAAACCTCATAAAGCAATCCCTTCCATCTTTGGGAAGCAACTGTTTTCAAGGTTCTTTATTAGGCTGAATGGAAATCTTCCCATAGCCTCTCTCTACCCCTCCTATTTCTGGGGTACTCTAGGTCCTATAGTACAAATACAATGTTTTTCTAAAGCGCACTCTCTTACTTATTTGAAGACTATCAGCAGAGTCTGTGTGAGGCCTTCTCTTTTCCATATTAAACATACTGTCTTCCTTCCACTATTTCCTATGACATTGAATCCCCTCACTATAATCTGAATGTGATTTATTATCCCCTTAAAGAGGGGCATCCATACAGGCATGGTCTAATCCCTTGCAATTCAAAGTGTAATCCAAAAGCCAGTAGCATTTGCATCACTTGGGAGCCTGTTACAAATGCACAACCTCAGACCCACCCCACACCTACTGAATCAAGATCCACAGGTGATTCATAGGCACACCCCTAATTAATGCAGGCTACGATTATGCTAGTTTGTGAGAGCAACTGTGTTACACTGTCATCCCTGTTTCCTGTTATTTGAAATTCCTGTTTTTTTCCCACACTCACTGCTAAGTTACATCTTCTTATATTAGTTTGATTGCAGCATGTAACAATCTGATTACATTTTGATGAGTCCTAGACTATGAATTTGTGGGCAAAACACAGATCATATTCATCTCTGTTTCTGGTACCAAGCAAAGGCCCTAGTACATAATAGGTGCCAATATAAGAAGTAACCAAAAAATAAAATAACACTGGTCTAAATGATAAAAATAAATAAATAAATAAAAATTAATTCTCTGCTGAACAGTTCAAGGCATGGCTGGATCCAGGGCTCAAAGATGGTGACAGGGACTTCAATCATCGCCACTTTCCACCTCTGCTTTCTTGTCATCAGCACCATCCTCGGTCGAGCTCTCCCCTTGTGGCCTCAAGATGGCCGCCAGTGTCACTCAGAGCCACAGCCTTTCTCATTCCAGTCCAGCTGGCAAAGAGTCTTCTGAAAACTTATGGGGGCAAACATTTCTTTTTTCTTTCCTTTTTTCAGAAACCTTAGCAAATGTCCCCTCCAATTTCATTAGCTATGATGGAGTTATCAGTTCATTTCAGAGCGAATTACTGGGGCGAGGGGGTTTAATATCCTGATGGGTTTAATTCAGTGAGGACTCCCTCATGAGGAGCTAGAAGCAGTTGAAAATTGAGGGAGGGTTCTATCAGGAAATTAGGAAACTGTTTGGAGAGGCGACATGTGTGCTGGGGAGGTGACCCATGGATGTCTACCGTAATGTTAAACAGGTCTGCATTTCAGTTTCCTTTAAATCTTGCAACTGTTGTTCAGGATATCCGAGATTACAGCAACCACTAGCACAGGTTATGGCCAGAAAACTTTTCTATTTTTAGACGACACACAAACTATTCTGCTCCATCACATTGTTTCAGTGATCAACTTTAAAGGGCCCTGGCTTACCTCCTCCTGGAATAATAAAGCAGTCACAGGAGTTCTTTGGGCCACTCCAAAAACCACTCCAGAGTGGTTGGCCACACATAATAGAGGGTGCACTTGAAAGGCAGCATCCAATGACCAGTTCTGGTTGAAGACTTCTGTGTTTTTCAAAAGCTCAATAAGCAGCAGAAGTGACCACAATGTGTTTGAAACTTTATAGCATGTGTCTTCAGGAGACAAAGTGCCTAAAACTAGATGGAAAGACTTGTAATTTTTTAAATTAAAAACTACAGACAGGAGAGGTAACAAAGTAAAATAAGCATGAATCCTACATTTCTGTTTCAAAAATAAAACCCGAGGTATGGGGAAAATTGTAATATGGAATTCAGAAATCCGCTTTGGCCATATGCTGTACTGCATCTGCTTTCCTTGAGGCAAAAGGCTCTCAACGACCACTCATGCTCAGCTGGGAGAGACATAATGCCAACGAGACTAAAGGCAGGCAGGAGGGTACAGAGGGGCAATTCCTGTTTCATCTGAGTGATCAGAGGGCAAACTTCCCACCACCAGCCCCTGTGGACACATGCTACTGGTCAAGGTAGTCACTGTGCGAGGGCGGATGGACCACACAGGCCCATCGCCACTTCTCAAAAGAACAGCTTAAACTAAGACCTATTTAACTCTCAGGAAGGGCGTCAGTTATGTGATCTTCACAAATGAAAGGCAGCCTAAAACCAGCACCAGCGTAGTCCATTCTGTCACAGAACCAATTTGTGTAGCCCCTGGCTCTACCCCTTACTGAAGGAAGGCCTTTCGTATCATCACTTAGTCTCAGCTTCGGTTTCCTCTAAGAGAGGAGGCAATAATTCCCCTCTCACAGACGGGTGTGAAAGTAAAACAGTCCATGTAACAAATACCTAGAAATGTTCAGGCCAAAGAACGCCTACCAACGTCATTTTCTTCCCTGGCCCCTGCTCAGTCCCACGCAGTGCTCTAAGTTTATAAACACACCACTAAAAAAATTCGGTCTCATAGACCTTTTGCAATTTCTCTCTGAAATTGCAAATTGAAATTCATACATATGTGTGAAGTCATACTTTATCGTACTGTAGTAATTGTATTGGCCGGAAAAAAATTTTTTGAAAATCCTTCAGTTTTCACATAGATGGAGGTGAAATCAACACAAAATGACCAAGCGGAGCATGGCCTCACCTTTTACTAAATGTAAAGCCTTGGGCAAGTTTAGTTTAATAGAAGGCTTCAATCAATCACAGCTTTTAAAATAGCAGCAATAACAACAAACATCTCTCCCACTAGATTGTAAAGTCCTCGAGGGTTGAGAGCTCATTTATTCAACTTTATATTCTATTAACATCCCTAGTCAACTGGCCTGCACATATTAGGAAGATAAGCTGCAATAGCTTGAAGGGTTTATCACTTGAAGGTCTTAAAAGTCTGCTAAATTATTATAAAATGAAAAATATAAAAATCAAAATAGAAAGAGGCTGGACCCACTAACAACTAGAGTCACAGTTTTCAAAATTTTTTAATTAATTTTTTTTTAATTTCTCAGCCTAGAGACAGATCTATCAAGTCTAGCTCTATGATTCAATGATCTCTGGCAAGTTACTTTTTCTGTCCACACTTCGGTTTCCTTAGCCACGTAAGGAAGGGAACAAAGTTTTCCAAAATCCCTTACACCTCTAAAATTAGGTATCCAAATTTCTACACACACTTGTGGCAAATCTATGACAAAGGCACGCTGCCAGGCACCATAAGAGACATGAGAGAGAAGAGACTAGAGCAGCCCTTCAATGAGCTCATGGATTATTAAACAATAAAAAACAGGGGCACAAATAGCAGCGATTCAAAGCAGAAAGGGGCAGTGGCTATCAGAGAGGTACTGATGTGGAACTGTGAGCTGTGGAGACAAGCACTGGCTTTGTGGAAGGGTGGCTTTTGTTCCCACTTCAATGTAGCAAATATGGAGCACCAGTCATGCCAGGCACTGTGTCTTAGCACAAAAAAAAAAAAAAAAAAAAAAAACTATGACCAAGACAAACAGAGTCCTGTGGAGCATCACAAAACAAATAGGAATGAGTCCATAGCTCTGTTTGCAGAGAAGTGATGATGGTACAGTGGAGTGGCATGAGAAGAGGTAGAAAGGCAGGAGGCAGCTGATGTGGAGCCCCTGAAATGCCAAGCTATGGAGTCTGGATTTTAATTGGTCCAACAAAATAACCTAACAATTCTAAGTGACTGACTATATACTAAACTTCACAGAATCACTAATTTTGTATCCAAATGCACACTGCCTTTCTGTAACAAAAAGGAAGATGTCTGAAAGAAAATTGCCAAAAGAAGTAATTTAAATAAGTTTATTTGTGAAAGAAAAACATCTGAACATCAGGTACAGTCTGATCCACAATGTCATAACTCATTCTCGGGAGTACTCTTATGCAGTTTGCAAGAGAAATTCCACGTGGAGCATCAGCTGAACATTTATCAGAATTCAGAAAGCCTTCAAACCTGAGTATTACACAATACATAACGACAACGATACAGTAATAAAAATACAATATCAAATATTACTTTGTGAGTTACAAACTACAATATAAACAATTTAGGCCCTTTTTTAAAAAATGAAAAAATATTTCTATTACAGGCTTATTTCAAGCATTTTCAGTTAGAAACAGCTTTATATACTTTTACTCACGATAGCGAAAGAATGTCTTCATAAGTATCTGTAGGTAAAATATATTACTTGCTTAATGTTTGCACTCTGAAGTATACTTTGACACATACAAGTTCCGATAAGAGAATGAAATTGCTGTGGCAAAATCCTGGCTGATGATCAAGACTTGGAGAGTTTTCATATTAAGTTAAAAAAATTTACATCAATGAAAAAAGAAGCAAGGACATACAAAGAAACAACATCATTCTTTTGCAATGAAGCAGTCTAATTCCAGGGAATGGGTTTTCCATTTTGAATTCAAAGTGTGTGGTCCCAAAGTTGAATTCTTTCAAATCCAAGGAGCTGCCTGCCACTGTGAGGCAATAGCAATGATGAAGCAAGTTGGGAGTAAAGTGTTAACTGAACTACAGAGATGGTCACTGATAAAACAAGTTCCTAGAAGTCCTCGGGCCCACCCAGAGGTGAAGGGCAGCCAGAACTATCAACACAAAAGAAAAATGCGCTCACTGAACTGCACACATAGAGCTTCTAGGAGGGTTAACAGTCCTTGACATAGGTTCCTGGTTGTAGTTTACAATATCTGCCTTCACCACCCTCTGTCATAAAAGAAAACAGAGTTATTATCAGGATATCAGAACATTTAGAAAGAGCTCCTTAAAGTATATTTTTATTTTCTGAACTTTGCTGAACTTCTGATGATGGACACCATAAATGAAGCAGGAGTTGATATTAAAAGAATAAGCCAGACAAACAAACAAAGAGTGGATTTTTTTTTTTCAAGAAGAGAATGGCAACTCAGCTACTGAGTTGTCCCTGGTTTTATGACATTAACTTGAGGTTATCATAAGTCTAATGAAAAACTGACAAATCAATAATGAAAAATTAAACCCTGATAATAATTTAGAGCAAAATAAATAAATCATTCACATATATTTTAAATCATAGAAAAGAACTCATCATTTCAAAGTAAAAAATAGCATTATTGATTAATATTTCCATAAGCCATTATATTTAGCGAAAACTTTTCATTGAATGTTTACAGCAGTTTGTGAGTTTGGAAGAAGACATTTAAATGTTAAAGAGGATTCACATATAAAGCAGAAATATTCTGAGCAACCCATTTTTAAATCTTTTCCAACTTCTAAACCTTTCCTCCAAAATCCCTATTTCCAAATGGCTCACTATTGGTTATGAATACAACTCTAACAAAAAAGAGTATGATGAAAAAATTTAGAAAATTACTTCATATTCATGTTTTTAAAATAATTTAAACCAAAAGATAATTTTAACTCTTCCCTCCTTCCCTCTAACACACACTTCAAGGAACATCTAAAATGATACACTTAGCAATATGCTTAATATTCATCTCTAAGTAATACTTTAAAACAAATCCTTTACTGTTTTCAACTCTACAAAGTCTGCACACACAAGCAGACAAAGAAGGGCAATTCAAAGCAAATTTTAAAAATACTCTTTCAATTACCAAGCTATTTCAGGAAAAATGGTAAGGAATGAATAATGAAATAACTGCCTCAATTCTCCACTTCACTGCACATGTAATAAACACAACCATAAAGACAAATATGTTTAAAAGTAACTGAAATGTTATTTTAATTTGTTCCCAATTTCTTAATTCATGTCTCCTGGCAGAGGACCAATTTTTTAGTTCTAAATCAAGACGTAGACGTGATATTAACTTCCAATAATGTACAATAATCATCTGAACTTCCCTATTCATAGGGAATAAAGAACAAGATAGCATTCAATGGTTCTCCCTTCCCACCTCCCCAAACTGTAATAATTTATCACTTAATACCTGCACTACTGTACTGAACAGATTCTACTCTGAGTAGAGGTGGTATGTTGATTTTCTTCTTCCGGGTACTTCACTATTTCTGCCCTGACAATACGCTGTCAATTCCATACAACATAAATGAGACAAAGAAAAAAGAATTAAAAAAAAAAAGACAAAATGGAAAGTATGTTCAATGACTGAATATAGAAGGAAACACCAAAGTAGAAAAATAAAATTAACATATAAATGTAAACATGTCTCACACACACACGCACACACAAACAGCAGAATGTACACATACAAAAGGAAAGAAAAGGAAAGGAACAAAGACCCAAGAAACATTATTCTTTGTAATTCTATTTAATTACTGAAATAGATATGACCACTGAACTTCCCAAATTGTAAGTTCCATTTTTGATAACACAATTATATATAACATATATAATGCCCAGAATTTCAGAAGACTGTGAAGAATTATGAGGTTTTTCTATGTTAAAGTGCAATAAAAGGATTAATTCCATTTCCATTAACAAGCTTTACTGAAGATATACTATGTGCCAGTCACTCTATACTGTGAAAGTATGGGCGACTTACACAGAATCTATTCACAAGTTGCTGAGGCCCTAATGGAAAGAGAAACACATATACAACTAATTGCCATACAAGTTAAACACTTAACTAGTGGACTTATAATATGCTGTGGGAACACAGAGGAAGGAGTAATTAATTATCTTTGAAGGTGGGGAGAGGAATGAAGACATCAGAGGAAGGCATATGCCATTTACAATTTTTATATTTAATACTATTTATTACTTGTCCAAGACTTCCTTATGATGCTCGCTCCCCCATTCCTCCCGATCCTAACCTCCATACTTCCAAATTCCATACAGAAACAAACAAGTTCAAAATGCAGTTGCAGGTCATGTAAAAAAAAAATCACAAGGTACAATATTTAAGTACAATAACTGTTGCTTTCAAATATCTAAGAGTTTTACTAAATAAGAAACTATTTATTTTTACCTTGTTATATTCTTAATTGCTGCTACCCTTAGGATAAAAAGACCATATGTGACAAATATGTATGACACAGATAACATGTTACCCAAATATTTTAGATTTAAACCTATCCTCGCTATCCATGTGATTGCAAATAACTTATTTCAGGACACATACCCTTCATAATAGCATCTATTAATTTATTAAGATAGAAAAGCATCTTAATATGAGCTGCTGTGTGTGACTACATTTATAAATAAAGATCCTATAAACAATCGAGAGTAAATGAATAGGATGCTGAGGCATACGAACATATTAGCCTTGGGTGGCTTCTGCTTCAGTTCTTTAGCAACAAGCAGCATTAACTTTTGGACAAGACTCATGATTTACTAGGCACTCTGCCTGATGCTATCAACAGAAGCATTACCAACTGCCAAATGAGGTATGAATCGGGGGGTACATCAGTGAAATATTGTATACCATTATCTAACCTCCCCAAACCTAACTGTTTCATGCCAAACTATGGGTTACAATGAAGAGATGGGATTTTCATAATCAGTAAGCAACTCATTAATCCAACAAAATGTTGGTTTAAGTCTTATCCTATAAACACAACCAGATTACTGTCCTGTGCTCAAAACATTTTGGTCCAAGTACTGACTAATGTAAATGACTTGGATTTCATTATTAATTTTCATCAAATTAATGAAGAATTAACAAGACAGCATCATTCTCAGGGGCTTTGACTCTTTGACATAAAGCTTTGTAAAATGTTTCCGAACTGTAAGCCATAACCAAGGCTCTGCAGATTCCAAATTTCACTTTCTATGATTAGAAAAACATAATTTCCATGTCATAAACTTCATGGTAGGTGGTTTCACTGTAGTCAGCTTATTTAAAAGCCATTTATTGATGTTTTTAGAGAAAATGTTACCTATAAAATACCAACCTTTATTTTTAGAGCCACAAAGCACACTCGATTATTCTCTATTAGTTGATGAAATGAAAATAATGAAATGGCCCTAAGAGGAAAAGAGTTATATGGGTGAATACAAGCTTAACCCTGATATTTTCAAAGAGCATTTGCCAAGTGTATACTGGAAATGGAAGTGGCAGCCATGGAGGGCATAAGCAAGAAAGCAACCTATGGGTTGGGGCACAAGGTGTAAGGAGTATAGATGGACTCTGTGCAAAAGCCATAGTTTGTCATGGCCAGGATATGGAGTAAACATACCCTGAAGGCTAAAACATCTGTCACTGTCATTCATTCAAAGCCAACCACCATCCCAGATATTACAGACATTTAGGTAAATAATGCATAATCTCTGTTTTTTTGAGATGCTAAGAGTCTAGCACAGAAAACAGATGTGTAAACTACTAAAGAATATTCTGACTGGCATACATTCAAAGTGCAACAAGATTACAGAACACAATTTAAAGCATGGATATAGGATATAACATGTTAAAAAGCATAGTACTTTGCACAGAGTGGGAGTTTTTTAAAAGCTACTCTTCTATATAACGAATGGGCTATTATATGCTGCCAGTAACAAAACATTGGGCAAGTTATTTCATGTCTTCTGTCTTCGCAATTTCCTAATCTATAAAAACAAGGTCTACCTACATGATCTCTAAAGTCCCATCTGGTTTTGAAATTTTATTTAAAAAATTAATTTAAAAGGTGAATAGGAAAAAGAAAAAATGTTATGTAATATGAAAATCCATTAAGCAACGTTCAATATCTGAGGGTTAGAGTAGTATGTACAAAATGAGAAAATATCCCCCTCAAGAAAACAAGTGGTCTTTAGGATAAGAAAGAAATCCCAGTACAGTTTTAATAAACATACTGGAGAAAATGATCGTAAAAAATTAACATGTGGGTAAGAAGAATCTGAGGAAGATCAACATTCAGGTAAAGCTAAAAAGCAGAAAGGATTCTTAATACCAAAGGTTAAATGGGTACTTGTACTGTACAATAATATGCAAATTAAGGTAACTAAAATCTTGAGCATGTCTATTACATGCCAAGCCTTACATGAGATACTTTCAGATACAGTCTGAAAATAATTTGAGGGGACAATAAGGAATATATATTTTTAGCAAGTTTAATGAATATCTCAGACATGATAGAAATTTTTGGTATTTTAAAAACTAATACATACCTAGTTCAAACCAAGTAGAAATTCACAGTTTATTAATTGGCAAGTAAAAATGCTGAGGCTTAAAAATGTATTAAGAATTCTTAACACCAAGTAGATATGGCAAAACTTCCTTGCAATTCAGACTGAAGGACACAAGACAGGACTGAAAGGACTATGCTTTTTCTTTATCAATTATCTAATGCATTCTTAAAGAGCCGATTGCTGGATTTCCTAAACAACGGCAATTGTAAATTTATTTTTTCTCCTAAAGGTCTATGTACTTTGCAAATAAAAAATCTGAACAATCTGGGAAACTAGAACACTTGTTAACAACAGTATCAATTCTTACACTACCTTAGAGGATAATGGTTGGTAGTGGAGAAGGGGAAGACTACATAAATGATGCAAATGAAACTATTAACCAAATTGGGAATTGTGAAAAATGGATCTATAGTGTTCATTGTTTAAATGTTTGGCTGCCCCACTTATTCTGGGAGCTCCTTGAGGATAGGGACTTTCTCTTATTCATTTCTGTATCCCCAGATTCTAGTGTGGCCCCCTGGCATTACACAGACCCTCAAAATATGGTTACTGTGTTAATAAACTGCATTCACTTTCTTTTCTCTCTCTTCCTCTTCCTTGCAAAGCTTGCAAAGTGTGTTGATAACTCATTTTATATAACTCCCAAATAGGAGCAATCTAGGTTAGAAATAAACTAGCAGAATCTCTTTAAATTGTCAGTGAATGAAACTAGGACTAAAACCTCACTGTAAATATTTATGTCACAAACTAAATTATTATAGTAGAGCATCAACATCAATGGGACTGGTGAGTCTGCCATTTAACTCCTTCTCTATAGAATAATACAAAGTACTTTCAAACATTCCCTTGAATCCCCCCAGTAATCTTTCAAATGTCGCAACAACCACATGCAGTGTGTATGTGTGTGTATATATATGTATGTATGTATGTATGTGTGTGTGTGTATATATGTGTGTGTGTATATATATATAATCTGCACTTCTTAGTCTTTTAGATGAACTTGCCAAAATGTTTCCACTGAGAAATATGAATTGTAAAATCAATAATTTAATTGGCAAAAACACCAAATTCATCAGGATCAAGAAAGACTAATAAGGATTCTTGCTATACACAAAGAATTTTGACAAACATATAGAAGAGTGCTGCAGTAACTTGAATTCACCTTCAAATGAATGCATTAAGAGTAAATGCCACCAACAAACTGAAGATAGAATTAAACCTCAAAGCATAATAAACAAAGTAGATGTGCAGGGAGGGTAGGGAACTATGTAGTTAACACATCTAATATCTCTTTATTTAAAACACACTAGGATATTAAGCCCATATCTAAAGTCAAAATAGTAACCCTGTTGATCTTGCAACATGAGGGACCTAATGTTAATAAAGCTTCCCCCAAATTTTGCCTCCAGTTGTTTCATTTCTCCAGAGGTCTCCTTGTATCTGATCACCACTGCACAGCTCAGGCAGTACAAGGAATCCTTCCTCAGTGCAGCCCTCTCACCTGTGAAGCACCAGCCCACCATTCCCCTTTTCAGAAAGACAACCAATCATTGGGTTTCTCCTGTCTTCATTCCTCCAGGCAAGAAACCTCAGGGTTATCTCAGACTTCTATCCTCTCTTATCCAATAATTCCACAAGCCCTATTGGTTCTTCTTTAAAATCTCCCTTACATCCATCCAACCTTTCCATTCCATCTTGACTTTGGTCTTTTTCACATGGTAGCAGTAACTCAGTCTCCTTACCTCAATCTCCCTCCCATCCAACGACATATAAAAATATCCCATTAGATTAATTCTACCTAAAAACTGCTTTCATTTATTGCCCTACCTCAAAATGATTATAGGTCTAATAAAATTAATCAACTTGGCATTCATAAATCCCCAAAATCTGTTCTCAAACTCTTTATACTCTAACACAAATGGTCATTTATTTTAACCAAACTGCTCTTCTGTTTCCAAAATACAACCTAACCTTTTCTACCCAGGTATATTATTCATACCAGCTCCTCTTTCAGCCATTTTCTCCCTTCCCACTCCAAACTGCCCAGTACACTTTCCCCCAGTATGGCAGAGTGGAAATACCAAGGGCATTGGTGTCAGAGAGACCTGGGTGCAAATTCTGGCTCCACCACTGCCCAATTAATGGTTAGTGATCAAGTTACTGAGTCTCTCCACAGTCTCAGCTTCCTGATCATAAAATGATAAAATTTCACCTGATCCAGGGAGTTATTATGAGGATAACTGAGATAACACAGTCCCCCTGGCACATAACCTATTAATTTTCTTTACTAAAAGCAGGGACATTTTAAAGTCTTTTAATTCTTTTTTAGACCCACCACTATACTGAGTTTACAATGTATGACCAATAAATCACTTATGATAATCATAGACTCTCTAACTAAGCAGAGACAAACATTATTTAGACAGAGAAGCTAAAAAGCAAACAAATTACTTGACCTCTGGGATCCAAGGTCTGTGTGATCAAGCAAATCATGGTGACTTCTCTTTCCTATATTCTCCTAGGCCCAAAACAAGTAACCACTTTTTCTGTGTCTGGGAGCTATTTAAACATCACAAAGTATCTTAGCACTGTATTTGGCCATACCAAGTGCTAAAACAAATGTCTTTGAATGATGGGAATTAAAACTAGCAAACTTTTAGAGTTTCAAATGTTTTAATCAAGTCTTAGAAACAGCCATATCAGTGTAACAATTTCAAATATTTGCTTCAATTGTTTTAAAACACACACACACACACACACACACACAGAGAGAGAGAGAGACCATGAGAAAAAGATACAGAACTAACTCTAAAAGAATTCAAGAAAAATTTAAGGATGGGAAAAGATAATTATACTTTTTTAGTTGCACAGGGTGCGAATGGGGTGGAAGAAATTGAGCAAAAATGTAATTAGTTTGTTACTTCTAACCAAACCACTTCTGAAGCATAACTTTATAGGCTCTTACTCTGATTTTTCATTCTATCAAACATATGAATTAGTGGGAAATTATAGTGGTACTTTAAATTTCTTGGCTGCCGCTATGCATGTTTTTTTCTTAGCCTAAGAAAACTATCTAGGAATAGTGAAAAAACATAGAAATCCTTACTAATTAATAACACTACTAAACTGACAATAAAATAACATCAAAAACTAATATCACTACAGTCAAGGATGTTTTAAAATTGAATAGAGGCTCCAAAAGGATTTAAATAAAGAAGTGCCAAACAATGTGGTCAGCACCTTAACTCATTAGTTAACCACTAATAAAAATTTTCTTATACTAGTATCTTTTTCCCAACAAAAGAGACAAAATGAGGTTTCAAGGGTATCATAATTTGGCAAAAAGTTAACATTCTCCATCTTCTGCAATAAACACTGATTCATACATACAATCTATTCCCAAAGCTTTTAGAGATACGTACACAGAAGGCATAAATGGGAAAGAATTTATGGGTGAAAATTAATGCCTTGTAAGAAATTCATTAATTTTTTAAATATAAAGTTCAAGGTAATCACCTGTGACTGTTCTATTTCTGCTTTGTTTAATTTGATCCCAAGGATTTCAGCAGCAACTTTCTGAAAGCACAGGAAGACCTACATAACAAAAATGGGTTTAAATGATTTAAAAGAGGCATGCTTAAGTTATCTTCAAATAAACAGAATTTTCTTAAAAATGATAAACAGCAATAATTGCAAAAATATGATATAGCAGGTGATTCCAAAAATAGCTTTATTTGTCAAATGTAGCAACATTTTAAATATAATAATTTTTAAATTATAAAGCCATAATTTAAAACTCCATGCAATTCAATGAATTGATCATTTTCTCTAAACACACACATGAAAGATTTAACATGATGATTACAGCTACCACTTTAAAAAACAACAAAACAATCCTACTTACTACTATAAAAACTCCCATAATTCCTGAAGAAAATAAAAATAATCTATACTTTACCAACCTAGTTTTTCACTGTCGGTTTTATCTTGGTCCTTTTAGCCACCTTTGGCCTATCTCAAAAGGTCTTAGTTTCTAACACTTTAATACTCTCTGTGCCTTTCATATCATTCCAGCAAATTCTCCATGTTTCTTGAGTAAAGCAACTTGGTACTGTTTACTATATTTTATCAGTTCAGAGCAAAGGAAAAATATATGCCATTACGATTAAACAAAAATAGACAAATATTTTTCTATAAATAGCCTTTCCACACATAGTTAGCTTATGTCAGGTCTGCTGTAATTACTAGAGTTCCAATCCTGACATTTACTGTAGTATAACTTATCTTTTCTTCATAAATGTCCTACCATATTCTTATCCCTATTCATCACATGCTTATAGAATATTTATCAAAACTTTATTAATTTTTACTTCTAACAAAAAAGGATACATATTCCTGATAGCCTTATGCCACTTGTACCCTAAGAAGCATATTTTAGTTCACTGATGGTCAATGGTCAAGGAACAACAGGAAAAGTACTGTGGTGGAGTGGAGAGAAAGAGTGGTTATAAAAGAAGACGAGCAAAGAGATGAAGGGAGTACAAACCATGTAAAATCTGGTAGGCTACTGGAAGGACTTTGGCGTTTACTCCAAATGAAATGGAAGGCATGGGAGGGTGGCCCAATGTGACTTTTATTTTAACAGCATTAGTCTGGTTGTTTGTATTGAACATTCACTATAGGAGACCAAGTGTACAAAAACAGAATCAGCAAAGAAACTAATGTAAAATATTATGGAGGCTGAACCAAAGTGGTAGAAGTGGACAAAGTAAGAAACAGTCATCAGGTTCTGGATATATTTTCAAAGTACAGCCAAGGGGATTTGGTGACAGATGTGGGGTGTGAGAGAAAAAGAGGAGTCAAGAAAGGCTCCAAAGTTTTTTTGGCCTGAGCAACTGGTAGATCTGCTATTTATTAAAGTGAGGAAGACTGTGAGAGATTTGAGGAGGGAATAGCAAGAGCTCAGTTCTAAACATGTTAAATTGGGCAGCCTATTAGACATCTAAGAGGAGATGCTGAGCGGGCAGTTGGATATAAGAGTCTACAGTTCAGGGGAAAAGTCTGAGCAAAGCCAGAAGACTAAATAAAGCCATTAGGAATAAGTGTAGAAAAAGAGATTATCAAAGGACTGAACCTTAGTTGGCTGGAGACATAAGAAAATTAGTCAAGGGGACTGACAGAGTAGTTAGTGAAGCAGGAAGAAAACCAGGAGGCGTTGTATCCTGGAAGCTAAGTGCAGAGAGTATTTCAAAGAGACGAGAGTGATCAGCAATTATTTATGTTGCTACTTAATAAAATAAGATGAGGGCTGAGTACTGACCATTGGATTCAGCAAAAAGGAGGCCATTGATGACGTGAATAATAGCAGTTTGGGTAAAATACTGAGGGCAAAAGTCTGCTGGAACTGGAAGAGAAACTGGCAAAAGAAGAACTAGAGACAATTCTTTAAAACATCCACTGGAAAGTGAAGGAAGGAAATAAGGCAACAGCTAGAGAAAAAATGTGGCATCAAGAGTTTTCTTGTTTTTAAGATAAAAGAAGTCATAATATTTTCTGTGTTGAAAGAATAATCCAGTAGGTGGAAAAAAAATAATACATATGAAAGAGAGAGAACTGCTAAAGCAATATCCTTGATTCAGCAAAGATAAATGGGACTAGTACACAATGGAGAAGTTGGCCCTAGCTAGAATAGATCCCATAGTAACCACAGAGAAGACAGAAGATATGAGAACAGATGGGGTAAGTAGGATGAGGTTAGACCTGGTAGCAGCAGTATGTAGAAGTTGTCTTCTGTTTGTTTCAAATTTCTTATAAAATAGGAAACAAGGTCATCAGCTGATAGAATAGAGGAGGATAGTTTGAACATTTGAAGAGAGAAGAGAAGCTATGAAATAGTCATCGGCCTGGTGCATTGGCTCACACCTGTAACCCCAACACTTTGGGAGACTGAGGCGGGTGAATCACGAGGTCAGTTCAAGATCAGCCTGGCCAAGATGGTGAAACCCCATCTCTACTAAAAATACAAAAAATTAGCCAGGCGTGGTGGTGGGTGCCTGTAATCCCAGCTATTCGGGAGGCTGAGGCGGAGAATTGCTTTAACCCAGGAGGCGGAGGCTGCAGTGAGCTGAGATCGCACCACTGCACTCCAGCCCGGAGGACACAGTGAAACTCTGTCTCAAAAAAAAAAAAAAAAAAAAAAAGTCACCTAGGTGAGGGGAAGAGGTGATAGACTAGGGATATAGAGCATAATTACTGAGCAGCATTAAGGGCCCACTTGAGATTAGTGATTGTGAACTTAAAGTGAAAACTCCAGCATGCCTCTGTGTTTTTCTCTGGTCATGTTCATGGGTACACCCATGAAAAAGTGGAGACTTGGTTTAAACCAGAATTAAGGTTTAGCCAAGCGGATCTGACAAAATGAAAGAGGGAAAAGGGAACTGAGAGTATATGCATGGCAATGATTTGGACTGGCCATGAGATTTAAGCTCAGAAGAGAGAAAAATGAAGACATGAAAAGAGGTTAAGATTTTGCAAAGGTGTTAGGATCAATGTCTTGTAGGTCTTGCTAGGGTTGAGAATGGTTGTGTTAGGACACTCAAAGGTGTGAAATAGAAGATGGTTGGTGGTTAGTGATTAGGATGCCTGATACTGAGATAATAGAAGAGCCACAGTAATTTGTAATGATGTGATCTGTAGTATGCAAGAGTGACTAAGGTGGCATCAGGGAGAAACAAGGATACTGAAATCACTAAGAATTATGACATAGGAATATCAGAGAAAGTATAGTAACCCAGGAGCTCATCTCCTCAAGCAATGAGAAAGTTACCTGGAGCTAGAAATGATTACAAGTCTTAAAGTAATTTCATAAGAACAAACCATTTCAAAGTACCACTTAAAAAAAATGAAGTTTTTTAATAGTGGTTCAATATAAGCAAACAAAAAACACTAAGTGGCAAAAAAATACTAAGTGGTTAAAAACAAGCTAAAATACTACAAGTTAAAATAATTCTGAAATGGCAAAAAAAGCCCCTGGGAAGATTAAGTGAGGGTAGAAGCCCAGTGAATCCATGGATGAGTTTATCTACAATTATTGACATTACATTTTTTAAAAAGGCATGGATGGGTGAGTATGTGCCCATGTTCACATTGTCTGAGGGGAAAGGATTCCAGGAGGCCAAATTTTTTAATGGGTCTTACCAAAAGAAAGAATAAACCCCCATCATATTATTTATTTTAGGTGTAAAACTATAAAGGATATTACAGAGAAAAACATCAAAAATCTTAAACCACAGAAAAATTTCAAACTTCTTTTAGTTGAAAAATGTCAACTGGAAAAATAGTCAAATAGGGGTCAGTGATGATTATTTGAAAAAATTATGATACATGACTATTAGCACTAATATAAAAATGGTCATAGAAAATTTCTAAATACAATAGAAAGTTATAACAAGTAAAAAGCAGAAAGTGAATAACTAATAAAACTTTTAAAATTTCAACCTCAATTATAATCAAAGAAATTCAAATTTAAATAGTGAAGTATCTTTTTTCTTTTTTGGGGCCTACCAATTTGACAAAGATTTTAAAATAAATACATAGATAAATCCTGAATGTTAAAAGGATGTAGTTATGGCAATCATACAATGCTGGTGATAGCATGAATTTAGTCTTTCTGGTGGTGATTTGGCAATGTTTCAATCTCCTTTCAAGGAATCTACCTAAAGAAAATAATCAAAACACCAAAAGCTTACGGACAAAATTTTACATTAGAACATTATGTTCAAAACTTAACAACCTATATGTTCCACAATAAGAATAAGATTGAATAAATTTCTGAACATTTATTAAATGAATTATTCAATCTATTATTAAATGACATGGGAACAATAAAAATATTAAGTAAAAAGTAAAATATAAAATTATTTCTATATTATAATCTTAATTTTTAAAAATAAATATAGGGTTGTGACTGTGAGCCCCAGAGTGTCACTATTTGCCTTCACAAATCCTCTCTCCTCCACTTATTAGCCGTGTAATCTGGACCCCATTACATAATTTCTCTAAGACTCATCTATAAAATGGAGATAATCAGAGTAGTACAATATCTATAATAAAGTAAGCACTCAATGAATGCCATCTCCTAGCCACAGGCAGCAGCACTAGTGTGAGCATCAGGAAAAGAGACTAGATGGAATCATATGAGGTTATGAGTGGTTATCTCTAGATACTGACATTACGGGTGGTTTATATTCATTTTAATTCCCCTTTTAAAAATAACTAAAATTATGTTAAATAAATTATAAAAGTAATATAACCAGAATAAACATGTTATATCTAATCTAAGGAATTTCATGTTTTCAATAGGAATTAATTTGCTCCAAAAGTTAAATAGTGGAAGTATACTTCCTAGGAATGTTAGTAAATAAAAGGAAAACATCACATACAGTATTCATTATTTTACTTACAGAGTCTCCTGTCTTGGCTGAGACAAAGTGGCTACTAAAACCATTTTCCTGGCAAAACCGTAAGTGTTTTTCAGGTTTTATTGTTCGCATATGCTCCAAATCAACTAGAAAGGTGTTAAAGAAAGAAAATAATTCAATATTAGAGTCTATCAAAACGTTTTTAACATGTTTAAATTTGACTTGCTTTCCAATATTATATTCCAGCTTCGACATCAGCTGTGCAACCTTGGACAATTTATTAAACCTCTTTATGACTCAGTTTCCACATCTATAAACTGGGAATAATAAATATACCTATTTTGTAGAGAGTTATTTGATAATTAATCTATGTATAATGCACAAAGACCAGCACAGAAGTGCTAAAAAAAAAATGTGCGCTATCATTATTATTATCATCTGTATAAGTTCAGGCACACTGATGATGCTCAACAAAGATCTACTTAATATAGTACATTTAAACATGGTGATTAATTGAAGGCAAGTTGTACTTACCCAAGCATATTTGGCTTGAAAGAGTTTAATTACTTTAATAATTAGCTCTGTAATCTCTATAAGCTTGAATGTTAGCACAAATACATAACTTTCTGCTTAAGAGATCAATATTACATTGTGTGTTTACATTAATTTATAGCCATACTTTAATTTCACAAAGACATAGTTCAGTTGTTTTCCATCTAGAGTATCCATTTTGAGAGTAAGGGGCAAGGATGTATTTCCTTAAATAGTTGTAGGTGCTTTAAAGCAAGGCACAGTACTCATATCCAATACTGGTTTTATCCAGCACAGTGTATTTTTCCAAATGTGATCCTTTATTTAACAGTTTCTCTTTTTACAACACTACAGACCCTATAAGGGTGTTGATTCAATGCCGTCAAATTATAAGGCAAATATATTCACAGGATTTAAGGACAACTAGGCTCTTTGAGTCAATATAGGAAAAAAAAAACTTAAACTGATTTCCTGAGGAAGGGACCCAAATGACTTGTAAAAACTTGTAAATTTGCAAATCTAGTAAGCCTACATAATAGTGCCAATTGATTATCAACTAAAAAATGCACTCATACTACATAAAAGACTTTATTTAAAATTATATTGAAAGTCTTTAGTTTGTAGGCTCAAGGGTTCTCTCTCTAGGAGATTTTTTTTAATCTAATGGGGTATTCCTGAGCCCCATTTATATTGCTTACCTTGGAAAATATGGAATTTTTTTTTTTTTTTTTTTTTTTGAGACAGAGTCTTGCACTGTCACCCGGGCTGGAGTGCAATGGCATGATCTCGGCTCACTGCAACCTCTGCCTCCTGGGTTCAAGCAATTCTCCTGCCTCAGCCTCCCAAGTAGCTGGGATTACAGGCGCCTGCCACCACGCCCGGCTAATTTTTTGTATTTTTAGTAGAGATGGGGTTTCACTACGTTGGCCAGGTTGGTCTTGAATTCCTGACCTCAAATGATCCACCCACCTCGGCCTCCCAAAGTGCTAGAATTACGGGCGTGAGCCACAGCACCTGGTCTTTTTGTTTTGCTTTGTTTTGTTTTTTTTGCTCTTCTGGCCAGAGTGCTATTCCTTAAACATCACTATCTCCTTATTTACAAGAACAGGCAAGGAATGTCCAGATACCACAGGCATCAATTTGTGGAAGACTAAAATACTAAGCTATTAGCACTGACATTTATATATCCAATTTATCATAATATTGGAGCTAACTTTTCTAATTCAACAAGAGTAAGAACAAATCTTGTCACGAGGAAAAATCCCCATTGAAATCGCCACCCATTGAAATCACCATCCATTAAAAAATAAATAAATAAAAATAAAAGTTGTGTCACTTAATGTGTGTGTACATTTGTTTTTTCTAATGGTTTATTGCTTTTTATTTCTCTTTCTCCCTCCTTCCTTCCAAATCTCCATCTATCATTTACTACTCAAACAAAAGTTTTTTTCCTAACAAATATAACCATGGAAAGACTAGTAGTACCATTGTTCAATTGAAAAAAAAAGAACTTATTCAACAAACATTTATTGAGCATCTATTATATGCCAGGTATTGTGGCAGGTAGTGATATGGTTTGGCTGTGTCCCCACCCAAATCTCATCTTGGGTGGCTGTGTCCTCATCCAAATCTCATCTGGAAATGTAGCTCCCATAATCCTCACAGGTCATGGGAGGGACCTGGTGGAAGGTAACTGAATCATGGAGACGGCTTTTCCTGTGCTGTTCTCATGATAGTAAATAAGTTCTCATGAGATCTTATAGTTTTATAAAGGGCAGTTCCCCTGCACATGCCATCTTGCCTGACGCCATGTAAGGCGTGCCTGTGCTCCCACAGGAGATTTTAGCCCTAGGGGAACTGTCAGACCTGAATGATGCAGGGCAGTCCTGCCTATCACACAGGGCTAGTCCAACCTCAGCATCCCTTGGTCTGCTGCCCTCTCCTGAGGTCCCAGCCTGGCCATACTTGCTTGCAGTGCAGTCTTGGATGTACTGGGGGTCCACATTATACCTCTGCACTGGTGCACTGCACCTGACTGGTGGAAAGTAGTACTCACCGCCATGCACCAGCCTCCCTCGCCCCAGTGAACCCTGCCAACCCCACCACCTCCAGAGCCTCACCCCTGCACCAACACTGCCGCAAGAGTGAAACTAGGAAGGGAGAACAATGGACCTCCCCTACCCTGAGCAGCCACCCCACCTGAGTGATCATGCACAGAGGGCAGGCACAGACCTGCACCCGCCAGCACCCGACCCCCATGCTAATACCACCACCAGCACAGTAGCCAGCAGGGGCCCTCAAAGCAGTATTGCCTCTGCTGCTGCTGTGAATGCCTGCAGGGAGGCAGGCACCTGCTAGCACCCTGCTGCAGTTGATGAGTGTGTACCCCACCGTGCTGCTGCTGCTGCTGCTGCTAGCACATGCAAACAAGGACAAATCCCACTGCCGCTGCCTTACGAAACACTTTGGCTAGTACCACCTACTGAAGTGTAATGACCAGTGGTCCAGGAATACGTAGGTCCCACCAGCACAGTGGGTTCCTAACCTCGAGGAGTCAGAGAACAAATCTGGGGCTGGATACAAGTCCCCCAGATTTAGAGCATGCAGTCCAGGAGCTGGGAGCTGAGGCTTGGCCCCCTAAAATCTTCCAGAAATGAAGCCAGTTGACTGAACCCACTTTATACCACAATCAAACTCTCAAGGTCATCAAATAGGATAAAAGAAAAAAAGTCCAAAGATCAGCAACATCAAAGACCGAAAGAACATAAGCCCCCAAAGATGAGAAAGAATGAACATAAGAACTCTAACAACTCAAAAAGCCAGAGTACCTTCTTTCCTCTAAATGACGGCACTACTTCTCCTGCAAGGGTTCTGAACTGGACTGAGATGGCTGAAATGACAGAAAAAGAATTCAGAATATGGATAGAAACGAAGGTCACTGAGATGCAGGAGTATGTTGAAACCCAATCCAAGGAAGATCCAAATGATACAGGAGCTGACAGACAAAACAGCCAGTACAGAAAAGAATATAGCTGACCTGATAGAGCTGAAAAATACACTACAGTAATTTCATAATGCAATTCCAACTATTAATAGCAGAATAGATCAACCTTAGGAAAGAATCCCAGAGCCTGAAGACTGGCTTCCTGAAATAAGTCAGACAAGAATAAAGGAAAAAGAATGAAAAGGAATGAACAAAATCTCTGAGAAATAGGAGATTACATAAAGAGAACAAATCCACAACTCATTGGTGTCCCTGAAACAGATGGGGAGATTGGAAGCAAATTGGAACACATATTTCAAGATATCATCCATGAGAATCTCCCCAACCTAGCTAGAGAGGCCAACATTCAAATTCAGGAAATGAAGAGAACCCCAGTAAGATACTTCACAAGAAGATCATCCCCAAGACACATAATCATCAGATCCTCCAAGGTTGAAATAAAAGGAAAAATGTTAAAAGCAGCTAGAGAGAAGGGTCAGGTCACATACAAAGGGAAGCCCATAAGACTAACAGACCTCTTACCAGAAACCCTAAAGGCCAGAAGGGTTAATATTCAATGTTCTTAAAGAAAAGAAATTCCAGCCCAGAATTTCATATCTGGCCAAACTAAGCAAAAAAGAAATAAGATCCTTTTCAGACAAGCAAATGCTCAGGGAATTCTTAGCAGACCTGGCTTACAAGAGCTCCTAAAGGAAGCAGTGAATATGGAAAGGAAAGACCACTATCAACCACTACAAAAACACACTTAAGTACACGGACCACTGATACTATAAAGCAACCACACAAAAAAGTCTGCATAATAACCAGCTAACCTCATGATGACATCCACATGCGAAAGAATAAAAACAGACTCTTATCTTTCACCATAAGCAAAAATCAACTCAAAATGGAGTAAAGGCTTAAATTTAAGACCAGAAACTGTGAAATTCCTAGAAGAAAACAAGAGAAATGCTTACAGACATTGGTTTGGGCAAAGATTTTTATGGATGAGACCTCAAAAGCACAGACAACAAAACCAAAAATAGACAAACAGAATTATATCAAACAAAAACCTTCTACAGAGCAAAAGAAACAATCAACAGAGTGAAGAAATAACCTGCAGAATGGGAGAAAATATTTACAAACTCTGATAAAATATTAATATCAAGAATACACAAGGAACTCAAAAAACCCTGCAAGACAACCTAAGCAAAACCATTCTGGACATAGGAACAGGCAGATATTTCAGGATGAGGATGCCAAAAGCAACTGCAACAAAAACAAAAATTTACAAATGGTACCTAATTAAACTAAAGAACTTCTCCACAGCAAAAGAAACTATCAACAGAGTAAACAGACAACCTACAGAATGGGAGAAAAGTTTGCAAACTATGCATCTGACAAAGATCTAATATCAAACATCTATAAGGTATTTAAACAAATTTACAAGAAAAAAAAACAGCTCAATTAAAAAGTGGGCCAAGGACCTGAACAGATACTTCTCAAAAGAAGACATACATGCATCCAACTAACATGAAAAAAAGCTCAACATCACTGATCATTAGAGAAATGCAAATCAAAACCACAATGAGATACCATCACACACTAGTCAGAATGGAAAAACCCAAAAAATAACAGGTGCTGGCAAGATTGCAGACAAAAGGGAATGCTTACATACTGTTGGTGGAAGTATAAATTACTTCAACCATTGTTGAAAACAGTGTGGTGATTCCTCAAGTACTTAAAACAGAACTACCATTCAACACAGCAACCCCATTACTGGGTATATACCCAAAGGAATATAAATCATTCTATCTTAAAAACACTTGCAAGTGTATGTCCCTTGCAGCACTATTCAAAATAGCAAAGACATGGAGTCAACCTAAATGCCTGTCATTGACAGATTGGATAAAGACAATGCAGTACATATGCACCATAGAATACTATACAGCCATGAAAAAGGAGATCATGTCCTTTGTGGGAACATGGATGGACCTGGAGACCATTATCCTTAGCAAACTAATGCAAGAACAGAAAATCAAATATGACATGTTCTCACTTATAAGTAGGAGAAAAATGATGAGAACACATGGACACATAGAGGGGAACAATAGACACTGTGGCCTACAAGAGGATGGAGGGTGGGAGGGGACAGAGGATCAGGAAAAAGAACTAATAGGTACTAGGTGTAATACCTGGGTGATGAAAAAATCTGTACAACAAACTCTCATGACACAAGTGTAACTATGTAACAAACCTGCATATGTATCCACGAACTTAAAAGTTAAAAGAAAATATAGGAAGTTAACATGATTAGCAAGACAATGGAAATCTAAGCATCATAATTGTCTCTGCTATTCTGGTCATCTCACATGTAATCAAATAGTCATAAAATTACATTAAATTTAATTATAAATTGTGAAGCCTATTTTACATTTTCACATATTAGGGAAAAACATTAACAAAACTTGTACCATTGGAGAAATGTTATTTCTGTTGCCCTTTAATGGCTCAAGTGATAATGGAAAATAGTACAAAAACAAAAATCCATACCTCATTGTCAACACATTTTGTTGGAAGATATAAGGAAAGCAATGCTGAAGTATGAGAAGTAATTATACAGTGTGGAGGTTTGCTACACATTTAGGTAAAAGTACAGATGGCTTGAACATGACATCTTTTGGTATTTGCTAGATTCTCCTTCAACAATGAAATCTGAAGAAAATAGCTGTCTGTGAAGAATTAAAGAAAAAATGTATGTTTTCAACATGATTGATTCTTCAATTTCAAAAAAAATTTTATTTGCATGGAGTGGATACTTTTGACTGGAATGAAAATACAATTCTGAAAATATAGCACCACCATTTTTGAATGCCAGACAAAGTATATGTGCTTCTAAAGACATTGTCCACACAATGCAAAACTTGTTGAGGGATCTGCTTATCTTTCCTCCCTGACTTTCCCCAGGTCAAATTATAAACTTGATAACCCAAGAACTCCCAGGGTCAATTTTCACCCATTACTATCATTCAGTATTTTGTAACCCAGTGTCAATTTTCACCCATCACTATCATTCAGTATTTTGTAAGATCTTTTAACAAACGTGGTGTTATTCTAACATCTCTGCTTTCAGACAGCAAGATTTACTTGGAGAGTCGGATACGCCATAAAAGCAATGCTAATTAAGAGCTACATTTTATTGGTTTAAAATGTAGTCTTCCAAATAGAATAGAAAGCCCAGAAATAAACCTCACATATATGGCCAAATGATCTTCTATAAGGAGGCCAATACAACTCAGTGGGGAAAAGGACAATCTCTTCAACAAATTATGTTGAGAAAACTGGATTTTCACATGTAAAAGAATGAAGTTGGACCTTTATCTTACACCACACACAAAAATTAACTCAAAATCAATTAAAGACCTTAACATAAAAACCAAAAACTGTAAAACTCCTGGAAGAAAACACAGGGAAAAAGCTTCAGGTCATTGGACTTGGTGGTGATTTCTTGGACATGACACCGAATGCAGAGAAACAAAAGAAATAACAGACGAACAGGGCCACATCAAACTTAAAAATTTTCGTGTATCAAAGCACATAATCAACACAGTGAAGACACAACCTACAAAATGGGAGAAGATATTTGCAAATCATATATCTGACAAAATGTTAATATCTAGAATATATAAAGAACACCTACAACTCAACAACAAAAAACACAATTTACAAATAAGCAAAAGGCTTGAATAGATATTTCCTCAAAGATAACACATCATCAGAGAAATGGAAATCAAAACTACAAAGAAATATCACCATTAAGGTGGCTAAATTTAAAAAAACAAGGATGAAAAAGATGTAGAGAAATTGAAACACTAATGTTTGTTGGTGGGACTGTAAAGTGGTGCAACTGCTACAGAAAACTGTATGGGGTTTCTGAGAAAGTTAAACATAGAACGACTGTATGATCCAGTAATCCAACTTCTGGGTATATATCCCAAAGAACTGAATGCAGGGTCTTGAAGAGATATTTGCTATTTGCACATCCAAGTTTACAACAGCACTAGTCATAATAGCTAAGAGGTGGAAGTAATCCAGATGTTCACTGATGAATGACTGGATAAACAAAATGCAGTGTATATATACAATGGAATATTATTCAGCCTTAAAAAGAAAGGAAATCTTGTCACATGCTACAACATGGATGAACCTTGAGCGCATTACGTTAAGTGAAATAAGCAAGTCACCAAATGCAAATATCATATGATTCCACTCTTATGAGGTTAACTAAACTAGTCAAATTCAGAGACAGAAAGTAGAATAGTGGTTGCCAGGGGATGTAGGCAGAGGAAAAAAGAAGTTGTTGTTTCATGGCTATAGAATTCCAGATTTGCAAGATGAAAAAGTTCTGAAGATTTGTTTCACAACAATATGACTACAGTAACACTACTGAACTGTACACTTGAAATGGTTAAGATGGTAAATTTTGTAGTTTTTTAACCACCATTTGAAAAAACATAGCTTTCCAAAGCTACAGTTATTGATAATCCACCACTCTGAAATACTTTAATGGAAAATTTCAAATTTATACAAAAGTAAATAGTATAATGACTCTTGAAGTACTCATCACTTACCCTCAACAATTGTCAAGTCATGACCAATCCTATTTCATCCATACCACCACTCTCAGATTATTTGAAGGCAAATTGAACACATATATCACTACATGCATAGATATTTTAGTACCATGTTTTGTTTTTATTTCATTGAGGTTTACAGCTTTTATTCAGAAGCAACAAATTAAAATTCTGAATCTACCTTCACATAAACAGATCCAATGACAAAAACCACATGATTATCTCAATAGATGCAGAAAAGGCCTTCAACAAAATTCAACAACCTTCATGCTAAAAAACTCTCAATAAACTGGGTATTGATGGAACGTATCTCAAAACAATAAGAGCTATTTATGACAAACCCACAGCCAATGTCATACTGAATGGGCAAAAACTAGAAGCATTCCCTTTGAAAACTGGCACAAGACAAGGATTCCTTTCTCACCAGTCCTATTCAACATAGTGTTGGAAGTTCCGGCCGAGCAACCAGGCAAGAGAAAGAAATATAAGGTATTAAATTAGGAAAAGAGGAAGTCAAATTGTTCCTGTTTGCAGATGACATGATTGTATATTTCGAAAACCCCATCTTCTCAGCCCAAAATCTCCTTAAGCTGATAAGCAACTTCAGCAAAGTCTCAGGATACAAAATCAATGTACAAAAATCACAAGCATTCCTATACACCAATAACAGACAAACAGAGAGCCAAACCATGAAGGAACTCCCATTCACAATTACTACAAAGAGAATAAAATGCCTAGGAATCCAATTTACAAGGGATGTGAAGGACCTCTTTACCTCTTCAAGGAGAACTACAAACCACTGCTCAAGGAAATAAAAGAGGACACAAACAAATGGATGAATATTCCATGCTCAGGGATAGGAAGAATCAATATCATGAAAAACGGCCATACTGCCCAAGGTAATTTATAGATTCAATGCCATCCCCATCAAGCTACCATTGACTTTCTTCACAGAATTGGAAAAAACTACTTTAAAGTTCACATGGAATCAAAAAAAAAAAAAGCCTGCATGCAAAAAGAACAAACCTGGAGGCATCAAACTACCTGACTTCAAACTATACTACAAGGCTACAGTAACCAAAACAACATGGTACTACTACCAAAACAGAGAGATAGATCAATGGAACAGAACAGAGGCCTCAGAAATAATGCCACACATCTACAACCATCTGATCTTTGACAAACCTGACAAAAACAAGCAATGGGGAAAGGATTCCCTATTTAATAAATGGTGCTGGGAAAACTGGCTAGCCATATCTAGAAAGGTGAAACTGGATCCCTTCCTTACACCTTATACAAAAATTAATTCAAGATGGATTAAAGACTTAAATGTTAGACCTAAAACCATAAAAACCCAAGAAGAAAACCTGGGCAATACAATTCAGGACATAGGCATGGGCAAGGACTTCATGTCTAAAACACCAAAAGCAATGGCAACAAAAGACAAAATTGACAAATGGGATCTAATTAAACTAAAGAGCTTCTGCACAGCAAAAGAAACTACCATCAGAGTGAACAGGCAACCTGTAGAATGGGAGAACATTTTTGCAATCTACCCATCTGACAAAGGACTAATATCCAGAATCTACAAAGAACTTAAACAAATTTACAAGAAAAAAACAAACAACCCCATCAAAAAGTGGGCAAAGGATATGAATAGATACTCTCAAAAGAAGACATTTATGCGGCCAACAGACACATGAAAAAACGCTCATCATCACTGGTCATCAGAGAAACGCAAATCAAAACCACAATGAGATACCATCTCACACCAGTTAGAATGGCAATCATTAAAAAGTCAGGAAACAACAGATGCTGGAGACAATGTGGAGAAATAGGAACGCTTTTACGCTGTTGGTGGGAATGCAAATTAGTTCAACCATTGTGGAAGACAGTATGGCGATTCCTCAAGGATCTAGAACTAGAAATACCATTTGACCCAGTGATCCCACTACTGGCTATATACCCAAAGGATTATAAATCACGCTACTATAAAGACATATGCACACGTATGTTTATTGTGGCACTATTCGCAATAGCAAAGACTTGGAACCAACCCAAATGTCCATCAATGATAGACTAGATTAAGAAAATGTGGCACATATACAACATGGAACAGTATGCAGCCATAAAAAAGGATGAGTTCTTTTCCTTTGCAGGGACACAGATGAAGCTGGAAACCATCATTTTCAGCAAACTATCACAAGGACAGAAAACTGAACACCGCATGTTCTCACTCATAGGTGGGAACTGAACAATGAGAACACTTGGACACGGGGCGGGGAACATCACACACCGGGGCCTGTCGGGAGGTGGGGGGCTGGGGGAGGGATAGCATTAGGAGAAATTCCTAATGTAAATGATGAGGCATTTACATTAGGAATTTCATTACATTAGGAACGTATTAGGTATACATTTACCAACATGGCAAATGTATACCTATGTAACAAACCTGCATGTTGTGCACATGTACCCTAGAACTTAAAGTATAATTTTTTAAAAAATTCTGAATCTAAAGTTGTCACTTTTATCCTCCATTTGGCCCTGCTGATTCTAGTGGAACACTAACTCTCTAAATTTATGTGATGGTTCAGAATTTATTCACTTGGATAACTTCCAGGATAAAGTGGCCTGTATATTAGGATATAGAGACAGATTTTGATGAGTAACAGGAAGATTATGATATTAAATAGTAAATAATTCTGATTAAAATTACATTATATCAAATATCTTTATAAAGAAAATGTCCTAACAGTAAAATTTTTTCATATCCCAAGAGATGACCTCTGTTATTATTTTACCAATCCAGAGATGATAGATTATATACAAGAATTTGTCCCATACAAGAAATAACTTTTCTTGACTTTGCATTAAGGTAAATACAGAAGAAACTTGGGTTGAATATAGTTATAGTTCTTCAGTTATTTACAGATTCATCTGGAAAGAAAGTAGTGCAAAGTGATAAAGAATGCACTCTCCAACAGCGTGCAAGCATTCCCTTTCCTCCATATCCTGGCCAGCACTTGTAATCTCTTGTTAATAATAAGGTATTGTATTCTTGGAAGTTGCTAAGAGAATAGATTTTAAGTATTCTCACCACAAAAAAAGATAAGTGTTTTCTTGAACGTTGCTAAGAGAATAGATTTTAAGTGTTTTCACCACAAAAAAATGATAAGTATGTGAGGAAATAAATACGTTAATTAGCTTGATTTAGCCATTACTCAATGTACACATATTTAAAAACATAATGCTGTAAACAATAAATATAGTGAGTGTTCTCATCTATAAAATGAAAACAATAACAATACCTATCTCATAAGGTTGCTATAATGGATAAGATGAATAAATACACAAAAAGCAATGACTAGCATATAGCAAGACATATTGTATGTGCCTGGCATATACTCAATAAGTATTAGCTAGTGTCATTGTGGTTTGTCCATGCATTTATTTACTCACCAACAATTTATGTAGTGCTAAAAGCTGGGAAGGCTAAGAGGGACACAAATAAAAAGATGCTATTCTGAAATCATGAGAGTAACAAAGATCTGTATAAGACAATCTATAACAGGAGTACAGAGACAGGAAACTTCTACAACTGCTTAGGGATGATAGAAGCCATGTCACAGAGAAAGTGATGCTTCAGTTACATACTGAAAGAGGAGAAAAAATCAGTCAGATAGCCTTAAGGATAGAGAGGATGTACATTCTTCTCAAAAGGAATATGTACAAAAGCATCTGAAAGAACCTGGCTTCCAAGAGCTAGTGAAATCAGCAGGGCCTAGGCCTAAGGGTTTTGTGTGCGTTAAGAAGTTTACGTGCGAATAGGTGATCATCTACAAGTTACTCACATATTCCAGCTTACCCAAGAAAAATATATATATAAGCACAAAAAGGGAATTCTTGCAGGTGACATATATCAGCAAACCTTACATTTTCCCTTGTTGGATTTAAATTACTTTCATTGACTACACGGACTGAAAACTCTTTGTTCCAAATTTAGAATCTATTCAAAAGAAAATTTTAAATGACAAAAAATGTTACCCTCCTATAGGTTTTCTGATTATGACATTTTCTTCGGTTTACCCATCTTGTATGCATAATTAACTATATCATAACTTTAAAAATAGAAGATGGCAAGTTTTATACATATTATATACATGCAGCTATTTTTCCTCCTGAAAGTTACTACAGTTCTGCACACTAATCAACCTAAAGTTTATTCAGATTAACTGTAGAGCTATAAAATCACAGGCTACAAAAAAAAAAAAAAAAAAACAGTACATGCACTTCTTTAAAAGAAGTAAAACAATACTTCAAATGTATTAAATAAATATGACCACCTATTATATGTCAAGTACTGTGCTAGTAAGCACAAGGGATAAATTAGGGAGCAATATAGACATTATCTTTACCCTCACATTAATGAGGTAGAAAGAATAAGTGAGCATGTAAATAAATGAGTCAATTACTACAATTATCATAATCTGAAAGTGGAGGAGGCGACCAGATAAGAGAGTAACAGAGTGAAAGAGAGGAGTAGGAATCAGGATAGCAATGACAATTTTACATAGGATAGCCATGGAAGACCTCTTTGATCTGAGATCTAAAGCAGTGGACCCCACCTTTTTGGCACAAGGGACTAGTTTCATGGAAGACAATTTTTCCACAGATGGGGTAGTAGGGGGGCATAATTTTGGGGTAAAACTGCTTCATCTCAGATCATCAGGCATTAATAATGATTTTCATAAGGAACACACAACCTAGATCCCTTGCATGTGCTGTTCATAATAGGGTTCACGCTCCTATGAGAATCTAATGCTGCTGCTGATCTGACAGGAGGTGGAGCTCAGGCAGTAATGCTCACTGTCCACTGCTCACCTCCTGCTGTATGGCTGGGTTCCTAACAGGCCATGTAACAGTAGCAGTCCATGGCCCAGGGGTTGGGAACCCCTGATCTAAAGGGTAAGAATAAACCAAACAAATTAAGAGGTAGTTGGACGAAAAAACTGTTTAAGTCATTGGGACAGGGATGAAAACCTGGAAGAGGAAAAAGACGGAGTACAATTGAGGAAAACAAAGAAGTATAATAAGCAAGAGTGGTACCTATAGCATAATGAGGATATTACTCAAATACAATAATGGAAAACCATTGTAAGGTTGTAACCAACAGCACAATATGATTTTGCATTTTGAAAAAATTACTCTAGCTACCATGAGGAGAAACGATGTCTGAGGACAAAAAAACAAGCAGAGAAACCACTTTAAGAGACTTTTGAAACAATCTAACTCTGTTTAAACATTTACAAAACCCTTTGGGGCCTCATAACAACCTTGGCGAATAGGTAAGCATTATTCCAATTTCACACACACACAAAAACTGAGGTTTAGAATGACTTAACGAAAGTCTCAAATCTAGTCATTAGTAGCACCAGAATTAGAACTATGCTATCTGATTCAAATCCAGCTGGAGGTTCTCAATGAAGAAAGAACATCAACTTTAGGGATGAATTAACAGTCACTTAACAGTCTAAGTTTTATTTAGATTTTTAATTAAAACAATAAAGACAAACTTTAAATAATCACTACTTTAAAAATACGCACTATGATATAGCTGGTTTTATATTTGTAAAACATTAAAAGTATTAATTAGTAACAATAAATCATAAAAACCGGCCCATAAGCATTACAGAACATGATATGCTTTGCCTCATCACTTGATTACACAGTTATTTAAAAAGAACTTGCAGCTGTACATACAAGTTGTGAAACTTTATGTGAAATTACATAAAGTTTAAAAATGATCCATGATTAGCCCAAACATAACAAGCAAAATTCCCTTAATAATTTATTAAATTTGATTCACATGTGGTTAAAATTATATATACACTTTGACTTCTAAAACACACACACACTAATACAAACAGCCAAGTATACAATTACTTTTCTTTTTAGGTACTATTTGTTTACTGGCATTCAAGATTCCTTACTCAGGATCTCCACTGCATCCACCTATATGACTACTGATAACAAGGGAGAGAACGAACAGTCTTAAAAGATACAGTATTAAATGTAATAAATATTTTTAAACTAGACATATCAAATGTATCAGAGCTACTGATAGATTTGTATCAGCTCTGTACATTTCACAGATCAGAGCTACTGATCAGACTAAATGTTATGAAGTTTTAAGTACAATTTCAAAATTCTGAAGCACTTTGTAAGAGTATCTATATTACACTGGCCTGAGGCTTCACAATGTTCCTAGTTTCCCAAGTATTTATTTTCCAACATGCTGTAAGAACATATTCTATAATGAACAAGACTTTTTCATTCAAACCAGAATGTTATTCCATGTATTTTAAAAAGGGAATATATTATCAATTAATTGTATTATTAATGTCTACTTGCTGTCGATGGAAAAAAAAATTAAAATTATAAACTATTTTTGCTCTTCAGTCCATACATAATGGCAGGAACAGAGTATTCTCAGTGAAATGACTGTAAAAAATGTCACTGTCTAACTTAAAAGAAGTAAAAGCAAACTAGTAAAAAATGTCACTGTCTAACTTAAAAGAAGTAAAAGCAAAATATAAATATAGCACTTGTACAGATTTCACAGTAATTTTTAGGTTATCAGGGAAACATCTTGAGTGTTGATCTGGTTATACTCAATTCAAACAAACGACTTGTCACATTAACTACCTCCAGGAAGTTACTCCAAACACAAAATAAACTGTTTATGCCCCTACTCAGATAGATAACATGACAGATTGTTATTAGTTGAAGACAGATGAAATACATTAATTTGATTGTGAGCATGTGTTTAATTTTACCCTGCCATGTACACTCTCTAATGCTGTCTTTCTATGATGACATAGTAAATCATGCCATATTAGAAGAATTGCTAATGCAAGAAAATAAAAAATTAGCAGAACTTGATTTTGACTCTGTAGATTCTTAAACCAACCTTCTTATAAATATAACTGCCTGGAAAATCCACGTGTTCCACAAACAGATGAAGAAAAAAGTTCTCATCAGAGAAAGTACTTTTGTTTCTGGTATAAATTTAAAGACCTCAATGCAGTTTAAAAATTTTCCTGTATACTAGTTTTTACATTTCTTTATAAGATGCCTCTTATTTCCCACTTTCAAAACTGGGTTTTAAGTGTTTACCTTATCAATCTGTGTAAGCACTTTGTATATTAAGGATATCTGCCATATTCACTCCAAACATTCACCTTAGGTTGGCATTCTCCTTTTAAACGTTTCATGAGGGTTTTGAGACATAGAAATTAAGACTTTATGAAGTCAAATATTCTGAGATAATAAGGTTGCTACTTTTAGCCTATACTTATTTGGTTGTTTTGTTACATGCAGCTAAAAACAAAAACCAACAAATTAACAAAGCACATAATAAAACAACCACTCACAAAGTATTTGTTGAGTGAAGAGAAATATTTTTAGGCTCTTAAAATAAATACAAATAATCAATTGTGTCTAAAATAATATGCATGGCTGCATTTTACAGGAATACTACACAGGGCTGAAAATTAATGAACTAGAGTTTCACACCACAATAAGAATGAATCTCACAAAGGTGGTGAGGGCAACATGCAAAGGAATACACATAAATAATTGCATTTATATAAAAATATTAAATGGCAAAACAACATTATTTGATGACACATACACATATTATGAAAATAGAAAAGCAAGAAAAAGATCAAGACTATGGATAGCAGTTACTTCTGAAGGTAGAAGGAGATGGATAAAGGCACCTGTTTGGTTCTGGGGTGCTAGCAATGCTCTATTTCATGACCTGGGAATAGTTATTCTTTAAACCACTTTCCATATTCTTCTGTATGTAAAACAGAAGAACATATATAAAAGTTTCCATTAAAATTTAAATTTAAATCTATTAACATATATTCCTACTAATTATAATAAAAGTCCTACTAAAATTATAACAATATGACATTCTTCTCTTCAAATCCAATTTCTTACATGATCATAAAGAAAGGTCACTGTTGTAATATTTATTCTTGGTTTTTATTATTTTTCACAAGGACCATGATTAATCCTTTAAATCCTCAAATCATACTCTTGTGACCTATCTAAACATGTCATGAAACTTGCGGATTTTCTCTACAATTATTATCACCTGACTCTGCCAGATATTCATTTGTTAATTTCTTTGCTTCTAGCAATTCTCCAGCACTTCTACAGATTTTGCATATTGCTGCAAGGTTTTCCTACTCAAATTGCATTGTGTTTATAGTGTACAATCACATACATATCCACAAACCAACCTATAAGGATTCTAAGGGGATCATAATGAATCTTCATAACTCCAAAGAGTCACCAAAACACCACCAAGAGCAGCAGCCGGTATCAAGCAGACAGAGGAGGGAGCAAGTAAGAAGTCACATTATTTCCTCAATTTCATCAATTAGGTTACCTAAATCCCTTTTAGTAATGGATAATGCATAACTATTTCTCCTCTTGCCTCAGGTTAGAGGAAATAATAGGTCTAAAAGCACTATTGAGTAAGTAAATCCTTTTTATATTTGTGGCTATCTACAACTTTTGTTGCTTGTAAAAAATTTGTGCATATATCATCAAAAGCCTAAAGGAACTGGAAAATTAATAAACTGTCTTTTTATTTTATTCATGTTTTGGGCATTTACCACAAGAATTCCTATCAGACAATTTCAAACTGGCACAGTGCTATAGAGGTTCATTTGCAAACTTCCACATACTAGGTAGATACAATGAGGCCCAAGTTCACTTATACCATTTATACATAGAATTGCATAAAAAAAAGAGTGTATTTGTCTTACCCAGACACTAGCATACCCTGGCATCTCACAAAGTACACAAGCCACAGTAAGACTGTCGGCCGGGCGCGGTGGCTCACGCCTGTAAGCCCAGCACTTTGGGAGGCAAAGATGGGCGGATCACGAGGTCAGGAGATAGAGACCATCCTGGCTAACACGGCGAAACCCCATCTCTACTAAAAATATAAAAAATTAGCCGGGCATGATGGCGGGCGCCTGTAGTCCCAGCTACTCGGGAGGCTGAGGCAGGAGAACGGCGTGAACCTGGGAGGTGGAGCTTGCAGTGAGCCGAGATCGCGCCACTGCACTCCAGCCTGGGTGACAGAGCAAGACTCCGTTTCAAAAAAAAAAAAAAAAGGATTGCCTCAATTAGGCAATTATATTATGGTTATTTAATTCTTCTTTATATTTTCCCATTACCAACAATGACCATATATTATAATTAGCCCTACTGGAAGATGGGGAGAGATAGAACATTATTTAAAGTAACAACAAAGAGTAAACAGAAAACTGCCCAATCACAACAGAATTCAGTGTAATAAGAATTGCACTTACACAGCATCACACTATTCTATAGGCATTTTACACATATTAAATCATTTAATCCTCACTAAAAACATCATTTGACAAATGAGAAAACTGCAGAGAAAGGGATAAAAGACTTTATATACGGGCACACATCTAGTAAGTAGTGGAGCCACAACTCACCCCCAAGGCAGTCTAGCTCCGGAGTCTGTATTCTTAGCTATCACACTGCTTTCTCTTCATATGTGTAGTCATCTGCGTCTGGCATTTTTCGTGCGTATTGTTTCATCCATGTCATCCCAATGAAGTATATACAGTTCATGCATTTGTACTGCCATATAACATACCTTTTTATAAGTCTACCACAATCTATAAATATTTTCTCCAATTGATGAACACAAGTTGTTCCCAACTGTTAAGATACTAACAACAAAGCCATGAATATTCTTACTCAGTACATGTCACCTGATAATATGCCTAGCTGTCTAAGATACATAGCAGAGAACTGCTGAATCATACTCTATGAATGTTCAACTTTGCAGAATGTCAAATTGTTTTCAAAGTAGCTGTACCAATTTATAATCCATCTAGTAGTGACTATGAGTTCCTGTAGATTGACATTATCTGTCACTTGCTTTTCTTAGTCTTCTAGATTTGTGCCAATCTAGAAAGCATAAGAATCTCATGATCTTATTTTGCATTCCTTGATTAGTGATGAGACTCCACTTATATTTATATGTCTTTCTTCTTCCATGAAATTTCTATTTATGTTTTATGTCCTTTTTTTAACGAACGGCCTTTTTCTTGTAGATTTGAAAAAGTATACCAGTCTTTTTCAGTTATTTTGTGTTACACACACCTTCTCCCAGTTTGTGGCTTGTCTTTAATTCTTTACTGTATCATTTCATAGAAACAAATGTTTATCTTCTGTAGTTAATATATCCCATATTTAAATTTAGCAATTATGTATTGTTTAAGAAACCCTTCCACATTCTAAGTAGAAAAGATATTCTTTTATTTTTTTATTCTGTAAAGTTGTGCCATTAACATTGTAGCCCTTAATCTATTTGGAACTGATTTTTGTGCATGGTAATATCCATTTTCTTTTTCTCTATAAAAATAACAGCTATCCTAGGACTACTTATTAAGCATTCTCTTCTTTCTCAAAGATCTTCTATATCACCTCCACTATAATATCCAAGTTCCACTTATGTGAGGATTTGTTTCCAGTGTCTCAATCCTGTTTACTTGGATGAATTCCCTATTGTCTTTATAAAAGCTGTTGCTAGTAAGTCTTGATAACTGGCATGGCAAATGCTTCTCAGAAGCATATTCTTATTCTTGGATTTTTCATCTTCCCTATACATTTTAGATACAGTTTGCTTAAATACCACACACAAATACCATTTGGAGTTTTGACTGAAATTATGCTGAAGGGATAAATCAATCTGAAGAGAAGTGACATCTTTATAATATTGAGTCTTTGTATCCTTGAAAATGGTGTTTGCTGTCTTTCATTTAGGTCTTGTTTTATCATTTGAGAATTTTGTAGTTTTATTTCTTCCTTTTCAATTTGTATGTTTTATATACCTTTTTCTTGCAGTTTTATAATAGCTAGGACCTTAAAAATAGTGTTGAATAGGAGAGGTGGAAGTGAATCTCCTTACCTTGTACCTAATCTTAGGTGGAAAGCAAATTCACTATTTCATCATTAAGTATGACATTAATTGTAGGGTTTTCACAGATGCCATTTATGAAGTTGAAGAAGTTTCTTCTCATTTTCTCATTCCTGATTTGCTGAGACTTTTATTAACTATAAATGGATGCTGAATTTTATCAAATGCTTTTTATGTTTCTGTTGAGATCACCATATGGCTTATTTAGCCTACTGATATGGTAAGCTACATTAAATAATTTCAAATATTACACCAGCACTGCATTTCCAGGATAAACTCCACTTGGTCATAATATAGTACCCTTTGTATTGCTTGATTCAATTTGTTAATATTTTGTCAAAGGAATCTTTTGTATTTATGTTCATGAGGAATATTGGTCTGTAGTTTTCTTACAGTGTCTTTATCTGATTTTAATAGATTATTATATCGGTGTCATAAAATAAGTTGGGAGGTATTCCAACACCTTTGGTTTTCTGGAAAAGTTTATATACAATTAGTATTATTTCTTCCATACATGTTTGGTAGAATTTACCAGTAAAACCTTCTGGATCCACAGTATTCTTTGTAGTATTCTTTGTGGAAACATTCCAAATTATGAATTCAACTTTTTTCATAAATGCAGAAGTATTCAGATTATCTATTTCTAGAGTGAACTTAGTTTGTGTCTTTAAAGGAATTTGTTCATTTAATGAGAACACATGGACACAGGGAGGGGAAAATCACATACCATGGCCTGTTGCGGGGAGGGAGCTAGGGGAGGGATAGCATTAGGAGAAATACCTAATGTAGGTGACGGGTTGATGGGTGCAGCAAACCACTATGGCATGTGTAAAACTACGTAACAAAACTGCACATTCTGCACATGTACCCCAGAACTTAAAGTAAAATAATTTTAAAAAAAATTGTTAAGGAATTTGTTCGTTTAATCTAAATTGTCAATTAACAGAAGTAAATATTTTTGTGATATTTGCTTACATTCCCTTTAATGCCTAAGAATTTGTAATGATTTCTTCTCTTTCATTCCTGACAGTGTAATTTGTATGTTCTCTCTTTTTTTATTGTCATTTTGGCTAGAGATTTATCAGTTTTATTAATCTTTTCAAAGAATCAGCTTTTGATTTCATTGATTTCTCTATTTTTTTAATTTCTACTCTTACCTTTACTTTTTTCTTTTTCTGCTCACTTGCCTTTCATTTTCGATATTCTTAAGGTGGAAACTTACATCACTGATTTTGAAAACTTAGTTTTTCAAGTATAAGCATTTAATAATGCTAGACATATTTCTCTAAACACTGCATTGGCAGCATGCCATAAAGTTTTAAATGTAGTCTTTTTATTTTTGTTCAATTCAATGTATTTCCTCTTTGGCCCACAGGCTGTTTAGGAGGTGTTCAAATTCTTAATATTTGGGAATATTACAAATATGTTTTTCTGTTACTGATTTCTAGCTTAATTCCATTATTGTCAGAGAAGACATTAAATTCTTTTAAATTTGTTAATGTTCTTTTTATATGGAAGAATATGGTCTATCTTGATAAATACTTCATCTGCACTTGAAAGCATATATTCTTCTGTTGTCAGATGGAACGTTCTGTAAATGTCTATTAGGTCTAGCTGACCGATGTTGTTCATGCCTTCTATATCCCTACTGATTCTCAGTCTACTTGTTACACCAGTTATTGATAAAACATGTAGACATTGATAAAGGATTGTTGAAATCTCAGATTCAATGGTAGGTTTGTCTATTTAACCTTTCTGTTCTATCAGTTTTTGCTTTGTGCAAGTTCTGCTGCGTTTATATACATTTAGAATTGTTATACCTTTTTGTGAACTGACCCTTTGATCAATATGTAATGTCCTCCCTTATCGCTACAAAATTCCTTGTTTCTCATGTTAATATAGTTACTTCAACTTTCTTTTGATTAGTCTTTGCAAAATATACCTTTTCCCATCCTTCTATTTCTAAGCTACCTGTATCTTCATATTTAAAGTAGATTTTTATAGACTGTATATAGTAGTCGGGTCTTGCTTTTCTATCCAATATGATTATTTCTATATTTTAATTGATATATTTAGACCAGATATTAGCAAACATTTTCTGTAAGGGGCCAGATAGTAAATATTTTAGGCTTTCTGCCTCATATATTATTATTATTTTTTTATTATTATTATTTTGAAACAGGGTCTCACGCTGTCTCCCAGGCTGAAGTACAATGGCGTGATCACGGCTCACTGCAGCCTTTGCCTCCCAGTCTCAAGCTATCCTCCCGCCTCACCTCTCAAGTAGCTGGGAACACAGGCACATGCCACTGCACCCGGATAATTTCTGTATATTTTTGTAGGAAAGGGGTTTTGTCATGTGGCCTTGGCTGATCTCGAACTCCTGAGCTCTGATTATCCACCCACCTCGGCCTGCCAAAGTGCTGGGATTACAGGTGTGAGTCAGTGCGCCCGGACCCTGGCTCACATATTCTTTGAAGTAACTAATGAATTCTGCTTTTTTAGTGAAAAAGCAGTCCTAGGAAAGACAGAAACAGATAAGTGTGGCTCTATTCCTATAAAACTATTTATGGACATTAAATTTTGATATTCATATAATTTTCAGGTGTCATAAATTACACGTTTTGTTTACATTTTTCCTGTGATTAAAAGATGTAACAAGCATTCTTAGATAGCAGGTCATAGAAAAACAGGTCATGGGTCATAGTTTGCTGACTTGTGTCTATACCTCTGGCTCAAAAACCTTTAGTGGCTTTCTATAGCTCTTGTGAAAAATCCAAACTCCTTAAACGATTTTGTCTATTTCTCAACTGTTCCTGCCTTGCACTCTGTTCCACTTGTCACAAAATGTTGCCAAGTCCCCTTATATTCCAGACTATTTGCTAACTTCAGCAGTTTTATTCGTTCTTTTATTTCTTCTTAGACTGTCCTTTCTCACCCTTCTCTTTATGGCATATTCCTGCATATTGCTTAAGATTCTGTTTCAGTATTATGTATGCTATAAAATCTTCCTTGCCCACTGCTTCCTGTAAAGTGCCCCGGCGTACCAAGTACATCATTTTAAGATAATGCTATCATACTGTGTCTCCTACTATTATGCTTGGTATATAAAAGGCAATCATGAATGAGTAAATAAATGAATGAATACTTTAAAATCTAAGAAAATTGAATGTGTGCAAATGTTTATAATACATAAGAACAAAGTCAAATTCCAACATAGTTATACATGTATAATCATCAAAATGCATTTAGCCAAATTAATTTTAGAAAAGTTTTTAAATTCCCATAAAAATGAAACCATTGTCTCAATTATAAAATATTCCTTAGATTTTAATATTAAACTGTAATGTAACAAACTCTCAGAAGATGGTGCTAGTTCAATATGACAATAAGCCAATAAATAAATAATAAGACAACTGTTCAAGAAAATGATTTCTCTAAAAAAATAATGGATCTTCTTGGCCGGGCCAGTACCTCATGCCTCTAATCCCAGCACTGTGGGAGGCCAAGGCGGGAGGATCACCTGAGGTCAGGAGTTTGAGACCAGCCTGACCAACATGGAGAAACCCCATCTCCACTAAAAATACACAATTAGCCAGGCGGGGTGGCGCATGCCTATAATCCCAGCTACTTGGGAGGCTGAGGCAGGAGAATCACTTGAACTTGGGAGGCAGAGGTTGCAGTGAGCCGAGATCACACCATTGCACTCCAGCCTGGGCAACAAGAGCGAAACTCCATTTCAGAAAATAAAATAAAATAAAATAAATAATGGATCTACTTAAGGAAAAGTTACAAGTAAAGATATTCCTAACAGAAAACCACTTTTGAAAGAGGAACAATCCATTCCTCAATCTAAAATTAAACACAAAATTTAATCAATTTTCACAAATTTTTATAAAAATATAGAATAATGATCAGTAAACTATACTGCATAAAAAGGAAAAAATCCTGAAGAAAGAAGGAGCTTAATTTCAAACCTAGAAATATTCTAGGCTTCAAACATCTCCATTGCAAAGAATTCAGTTCATTGTCTCAATATATTAGCATATCAAATTATAACTTATGGATATATAAATGGCAGTGGTAGGGAGGAAGTTGGAATATGGAAGGAAACAAAATTATACCAATCAACTCTGATGTCCATTTTTAAACCAAAGAATACTTTTTTTACAGAAACTAAAATGAACAAATTCAGTTAATATCTTTTAACAATACTAACCAGTTTTTTTGTTGGTTTTCAGTTACCCACCATTTTGTTTCGTTTTTGTTAAGAAGGAACTGTCACTCTGTACTTTTTTTTTTTTTTTGGTTATTCCCAAATTACAGAAAATTCTAAAACAGAATTTAATAATCACTCCTAAAGATTTTTAAACCCCACATTCAGGTATTTATTTTTAAAAGATCCAACATATTTGTGTAGAATACCTCTGTCTCCTAACGAGAATTTAAACCCATACTTGAGAAGTAAATGGTTTGTGCTGGAAAATCAGCTGAAAATTTTCTAAATTGGGAGGAGAAAAACATAGCCAAAATCCCAATCTAAGAATATCTGATTTAAAACTAGCAGTCCTTCTTTCTTTTACTGGGGTATATTACTAAATGATACATTTTAACTTTGAAACACATATAGCACATTGTGCTTATTTAAAATTAAGCCCGAGAAGTGTATCTCATGGGTGCAATATGTTCTATGAAGCTGAAACAATAAACATACGAGTTGATACTGAAAAGCAGTAAAAGAAAGCTGTCAGCCTATAAGAAATACATAGTAAATTAAAGAAACTAAAGATAATATACTTGAAAACTACAGTTCTTTGGATAGATAACTGTTCTTATGTTAATGAATCATCTAGTCCTAATTGAAACTCATAACATAGACTCCTTTCACTGACTACAAGATTAAAAACTTTAAATCAGAAAACTTGACAAGCGTCTTTCCCAATATTTGTCAGAAATACAATCAGCATTTATGAATAAAATTCATAAATTTCTCAATAAATATTGTAATCATGGGAGAGCAATAAAAGAGGAACTACTGAACCCTGATTTCCATTTTTCAGAATATTCACTATTTGAAGAACAGAGGAAGATTACACTGTGAGAATTCAGAACAAATAAACATTATAGCTTTTCATGATAGAGCACTAACAAGAATTTTCTATTCCTCAACAGCCAATTCTCTCACTTTCTTGGTTTACTGAGATCTATTATTCATTTAAGTTTGCCTTCTGATTCATTTTCACCTTTATAATATATTGTAAAAGTTATTTTTTAAGTTCAAAAATAATTATAAATAGAAAAATGAGAAAACTATGGGAAATCCAATCAATGGAAACTCTAGGTAGCTCTACAAAACAGAACCTTTTTAAAATTATTATTATACTTTTAAGTTTTGGGACACATGTGCAGAACATGCAGGTTTGTTACACAGGTATACATGTGCCATGGTGGTTTGCTGCACCCATCAACTCGTCATCTACATTAGGTATTTCTCCTAACACTATCCCTCTCCTAGCCCCCCACCCCGCTACAGGCCCCGGTGTGTGATGTTCCCCTCCCTGTGTCCATGTGTTCTTATTGTTCAACTCCCACTTATGAGTGAGAACATGCAGTGTTTGGTTTTCTGTTACTCTGTTAGTTTGCTGAGAATGATGGTTTCCAGCTTCATCCATGTCCCTGCAAAGGACATGAGCTCATCCTTTTTCATGGCTGCATAGTATTCCATGGTGTATATATAACACATTTTCTTTATCCAGTCTACCATTGGTGGGCATTTGGGATGGTTCCAAGTCTTTACTATTGTGAATAGTGCCGCAATAAACATAGGTGTGTATGTGTCTTTATAGTAGAATGATTTATAGTCCTTTGGGTATATACCCAGTAATGGAACTGCTGGGTCAAATGGTATTTCTGGTTCTAGACCATTGAGGAATCGCCACACTGTCTTCCACAATGGTTGAACTAGTTTACACTCCCACCAACAGTGTAAAAGTGTTCCTATTTCTCCACATCCTCTCCAGCATCTGTTGTTTCCTGACTTTTTAAAGATCGCCATTCTAACTGGCATGAGATGGTATCTCATTGTGGTTTTGATATGCATTTCTCTAATGACCAGTGATGAAGAGCTTTTTTCATATAACTATTGGCTGCATAAATGTCTTCTTTTGAGAAGTGTCTGTTTATATCCTTTGCCCACTTTTTGATGGGGTTGTTTTTTTCTTGTAAATTTGTTTAAGTTCCTTGTAGATTCTGGATATTAGCCCTTTGTCAAATGGATAGATTTGCAAAAATTTTCTCCCATTCTATAGGTTGCCTGTTCACTCTGATGATAGTTTCTTTTGCTGTGCAGAAGCTCTTTAGTTTAATTAGATCACATTTGTCAATTTTGGCTTTTGTTGCCATTGCTTTTGGGGTTTTAGTCATGAAGTCATGAAGTCTTTGCCCAAGCCTATTTCCTGAATGATATTGCCTAGGTTTTCTTCTAGGGTATTTATGGTTTTAGGTCTAACATTTAAGTCTTTAATCATTCTTGAATTAATTTTTGTATAAGGTGTAAGGAAGAGGTCCAGTTTCAGTTTTCTGCATATGGCTAGCCAGTTTTCCCAACACCATTTATTAAACAGAGAATCCTTTCCCCATTACTTGTTTTTGTCAGGTTTCTCAAAGATCAGATGGTTGTAGATGTGTGGCGTTATTTCTGAGGCCTCTGTTCTGTTCCATTGGTCTGTATATCTGTTTTGGTACCAGTACCACATTGTTTTGGTTACTGCAGCCCCGTAGTAGGATTTGAAGTCAGGTAGCGTGATGCTTCCAGCTTTGTTCTGTTTGCTTCGGATTGTCTTGCCTATATGGGCTCTTTTTTGGTTCTGTATGAACTTTAAAGTAGTTTTTTTCTAATTCTGTGAAGAAAGTCAATGGTAGCTTGATGGGGATGGCATTGAATCTATAAATCACTTTGGGCGATATGGCCACTTTCGCGATATTGATTCTTCCTATGAATGAGCATGGAATGTTTTTCCATTTGTTTGTGTCCTCTCATTTCCTTAAGCAGTGGTTTGTAGTTCTCCTTGAAGAGGTCCTTTACATTCTTTGTAAGTTGTATTCCTAGGCATTTTATTCTCTTTTTGAATGGGAGTTCAATTGTGAATGGAAGTTCACTCATGATTTGGCTCTCTGTTTGTCTATTATTGGCGTACAGGAATGCCTGCAATTTTTGCACATTGATTTTGTGTCCTGAGACTTTGCTGAAGTTGCTCACCAGCTTAAGGAGATTTTGGGCTGAGATGATGGGGTTTTCTAAATATACAATCATGTCATCTGCAAACAGAGACAATTCGACTTCTCTTCCTATTTGAATACCCTTTATTTCTTTCTCTTGCCTGATTGCCCTGGCCAGAACTTCCAATACTATGTCGAATAGGAGTGGTGAGAGAGGAATCCTTGTCTTGTGCTGGTTTTCAAAGGGAATGCTTCCAGCTTTTGCCCATTCAGTATGATATTGGCTGTGGGTTTGTCATAAATAGCTCTTATTATTTTGAGATACCTTCCATCAGTACCTTGTTTATTGAAAGTTTTTAGCACTAAGGGTTGTTGAATTTTGTCAAAGGCCTTTTCTGCATCTATTGAGATAATCATGTGGTTTTTGTCATTGGTTCTGTTTATGTGATGGAATACATTTATTGATTTGCACATGTTGAACCACCCTTGCATCCCAAGGATGAAGCCAACTTGATCGTGGTGGGTAAGCTCTTAGATGTGCTGCTGGATTTGCTTTGCCAGTATCTTATCGAGGATTTTCAAACTGATGGTCATCAGGGATATTGGCTTGAAATTTTCTTTTTTTGTGTGTGTCTCTGCCAGGTTTTGGTATCAGGATGATGCTGGCCTCATAAAATGAGTTAAGGGAGGAGTCGCACTTTTTCTATTGCTTGGAATAGCAAAACAGAGCTTTTTAAAACTCTGCATAATAAGAAAAAAAAGCGGGCTAAAATCCTTGAGGGAAAAAATTGCATGTGCAAAAAAAATGAAAAAAATTCAAGTACTAACAAGTGATTGGCTGTATGAGATGCAAGTATGAGTGATTTTTTTTCTTCATAAGTTCCTGAATTTTCTAAATTTTATAAATTGACTATATACTGATCATTCTCTACTTTAAAATCCTAAAAAAGGCATTACAAAATAATTAAAGAATAATTCCCACTCCATCAGTGTTTTAGAACACATTATACAAATGATGTATTTTAAATAATTTGCCATGCTAACATTTCAATGATATAAATATATTTTGATAAGTTAATTAAAAAGCATATCAATGATATCTTGCATGCTAAGAAGTTATGAAGTTATTCCACAAATATTTAATAGTAATTCTAATTAAAATTTAATATTTTGGGACCTCTCTATTTGCTTTATTATACTGTCTTTTAGACATAAGCACCTCAGAGGAAAATAAAGCATTATACTAAAATCTCATGTGGGGTCAAAAGTGACATTAATTAACCAGTATGCCTACAAACAATTCTGCCTATTTCGAACAAATCCAAGTCACCCTCAAAAAGCAAAATACATTACCTCTGATAGTAAATAATCATGAAAAAACAAGACACTGAAATCAATTCCAACGAAGAATCACTTGTTACTGAAAAAGGTGCTCAAATTTCACACTTGCCAAAAAGATAAGTCTTAGGCGGTACATTATAATTGATTCCATCATAATACATTATATGTCTATAGCATAACGTAAAAATATGTCTGAATGTTAGTTGTTAACAAGAACTAGCAATGACAAACCTGAACTCACACCTGGCTCTCACCAACTCTAATCCTGATACCAAGGGTGACCTATGAGAGAAGCTTGCACCAATCACTGGAGAGCTGCACAAGCAGTGCAAGTACTCAGAGAAGCTGATGGGAGAGATCTGGCAGGAGCTGGAGGAAATGCAGGAACTGCTGGTCCACATGATTTCTCACATCTATAAGGTCAGCTAGCAAATCAGTTACAAGGAGTGAGAGCTACTACCATACCTGTTACTTAGGACTGACCCTCAAAGGGTCAAAAAGTATGCCTAACACTTCACTTCCTCCTTATAAATCATGCAAAATGTCTCTTGTGGCCAATGCTAACCAGAACAATACAGATGAAGAAATTTTGGAAACATATTTCCACTTTAGCCAAATTAACCAAATACAGTGCCACCACAGAAAGAAACAGGTCCCTGCCTGCTATAATTTGGCTTTGTGTCCCCACCCAAATCTCATGCTAAATTGTGATCCTGAGTGCTGGAGGTGGGGCCTGGTAGGAGGTGACTGGATCATGGGAGTGGTTTCTAATAGTTTAGCACCATCCCCCTAGTGCTATCTCGTGATGGAATACTCATGAGATCTGCTTGTTTTTAAAAGTGTGTAGCACCTCCCCCTACTCCCACTGCCATGTGAAGACATGCTTGCTTCCCCTTTGCTTTCCACCATGATTTTAAGTTCCCTGAGACCTCCCCAGCCATGTTTCCTGTACAGCCTACGGGACTTTGAGTCTATTAAACCTCTTTTCTTTATAAATTACCCAGTTTCAGGTAGTTCTTTATAGCAGTGTAAGAACAGTCTAATATAGTATCCCCATGAAACAATAAGCTGATAAACACGTATAAAGGAAGAACAGCTGGATAGAGCAGTAAAATCCCCTAAATCAGTCCAAGGAAATTCCTTCCTGACTCCTACAACGGATAAGGGTCTTAGTTTGCCAATCTAGTACCTACCTACCATTAGAAGCCTGATTGCCGGTATGTTACCAATACTCTACACTCAGGGTGAAATATATTGCAAACCCCACAAGTCAGCATTCAGGAAAAAATTTCTAAGGTAATAACTTAGAAAGTTTGCTTTCAAGATAAGAGCTGCAAAAAAATAAATAAATAAATAAAACTCAACAGGGACCTTGGTAATAAATTTTAAAAGCCTTATCAGCTCCTATCAGATCTTAAACAATCAAAAATATGAATGTGAGGCCACAGAGCTGTCAACCCTCAAGCAAACAGTCAATAAAGAAAATAAAGAACAATGCAAAAGAAAAAACTGTGTGTGTGGTAGCGTTACAATCAACATTGTAAAAATAAGGCAAGAACAGGCTAAGGTAAGGAAAAGAAGGTTCCATCTTCATATTTAAATAGGAATAAGTAAAGTCTTTAGAACTTAAAGGTCTCTGTATTGTTCTGGTTAATTTAGGAGCCATAAAGAATGTCTGTGGCAGCTCAAATGCCTGTGTAATAGAAAGAAAAAATAAAAGAAAGGGAGAAATAATAAAACAAGTGCACCTAAATTTTCCTGCTGATATAAAGACACAGGTTTTAAAGACGGATAAAAGCCATCCAGATACCACAGGCATTAATTTAAAAAAGATCCAAACAACATGATAAATTTCCCAATACTCCAAAGAAACAGAGAAAAAAATCCTATAAACTCAATGAGAGGGAAAAATACATAAGAATCAAGACTACTATCAGATTTTTTTCATTTTCAATATTAAATACCAAAACACAACAGAACAATGACTATAGGTTATAAGGAGAAAAAGATTCTGAACAAAAAAACAGCCCAAACTATTGTTCAAATGTCGGCAAAATAATAAATTTTCAGACAACAAAGACAGAAGAAACATTAATTAATACAACTTTTGTGAATAAATAGCTGATGTACTCAGGCAAAACAAAAAGTTGGTCCATTAAAAAGTTCATTGAATGCAAGCAAAGCTGATGAAAAAAGAAGCCAAGGAAACCCAGTGATATGTGATATGATATGAAGCATATTGTAAAACTAATGTAAACTTAATAACAATCTGACAAGAAAAATTAAGATTAACAAAAATCTAAATATGAAGTAGAAGGTAAAAATCAAAAGTACAAGCATACTTGTGTTATTTTGGCTGAAGGCCATAGACACTGATTGTTTATGTTGCTAGGGAAATTCCAAATTACATATTAAATGTAATAATTTAACACAAATATTAAATGTTATTTAACTAAGAGTAATTTACTGTTAAAACATATTTTAAAAATAAAATCAGATTAATTATAATTGGAAAATAAAGAATATAATTTAAAAGAAAAATTTCCAAATCTCTAGGGGGAAAAATAAGTTTTTAAAATGTTAATTGATTACAAAAACAAGGGAGGAGAAAAAAGAAAAATGTATTAGACAAATGATAGACTGAAAAATAAGATCAAATATACCATGATCTAATTAATGAAATGAATTCAATAACCCACTTAACAGGCAAAGAAAAAACACAAGGCTTTTATCTATATAAATTATGAGAGACAAAATGATTCTAAAATGTTTTTAGGATTTTACTGTGTCAGGGTCAGATAGTTTAGTTTTCCATTCAAAAGTCAAAAAAAAAAAAAAGATAAATGAAAATTTCTCCTTTGCTGAACCTATGAAACATCTACAGCCCCTACACCACAATTTGTTGAAGAAGGGAGCAAATTCAGTCAAGGTAAACAAAAAGGGCTGACACATGTAAAATCAAGAAAGGATGACTATGGTTAAGAGCGTAAAAGCTAACAGAGGAGAGCTATCCAGACTGCAAAACACAGAAAACTCCTTTAGAACATCCAGAACTTCTGAGATCCAGGTGGCGCAAGAGTTTCCCTAGATCACAACAGACCAAAGCATCAATGCTCAGATTGCTAGTAAGCAATCTGTTCATATATTCAGGAGAGCTGGGGGTGGGAGGAGAAGTGGGGATCTATACACCGCAAGCAACTATCTAATGTCAATCTGTGGCTGGGGGGAAGAACAATTAAAATATATATTCTCACACAAACAACCCTGTGTCGTAAGAAAAATTATTCTTAACCTAGAACATGGCCTTGACCTCTCTGTTCTAAGAGCCTCTTTAAAAAGACTGGCAAAAAAGGAGAGAGAAGTAGGGAAGATTTGGGGGAGTAGGAGGAGGGTGAGTTGCTGCGGGAAAAAATTTACCTCACTAAAAAGTGAAGAATAATAATACAGGAATCAGCACAGACTTTATACAAAGGCACAACAAGAAAACAAAAAGAATAAGAAAAAAACTAAAGACAAAGAGACTTACAGGAAATGAGTAGCCATGGAGCAAATGAAAGTTGTGACTAAATATTACCATATATTTTTAAAACTTAATTACACAACTACTTCTATAAAATAAGAAAGCAGAGATACAAAAACTCAGAGAAGTTATGGTAAGATAATAGGAAGTGATGAAACCTGAGCAAATAGCTTAAAAAGATACTGAAGAAATCAAAGCTAAATTAGAAGCAGCAGAAAAAGACACTACTGAAAAGATAAGGGACATGAAAGACAAGATTGAGAAATGCAACTACAAGGAAATAAAAACTTAAAAAGTGTAAAAAGGAGAGAAAAAAATATAGAAGACAAGCAAATATCTAATATGCAGATAACTGGTGTCCCCGAAAAAATAACAGAACAGAAAAAAATAATTTCACAAAAAAATGGAAGGATTTAAATCTATTTGTTTGAAAGGTATATGTTATCCATCAATCTCTCCACCCCAATAAACAGATACAGAATAATCAATACATATCAATGTATCTTATCTTGAAATCTAAGAAAGAATCTTTGGGACATACTGACAAAAAATTTAAGTCATTAATTATAATATTAAAAAATCAAACTTTCCTTAGACTTTTTGAAATTCAATACTGAAAAACAGCATGGTGACACAGACTTCTGAAGGAAATAAAGTGTGGCAAACTAATCTGCTGTCCAGCCAGTATGTTATTTAAACTTAAAACCAAGAATATTTCTGCACATGCAGTAACTCAAGGAATAAAGATCCTAGCAGCCCTTCTTTGTAAAAAGAAGACTACTCTTTATTCGGCTCTTGTCACACTATTTAATAGTACCCGCAGAGAAAAAAGCATAAAGTTTTAAGAGAGAAAATGAACCCAAAATTAATGAACCCGCAGAGAAAAAGCATAAAGTTTTAAGAGAGAAAATGAATGTTTTAAAAATTATGCATGATGTATAAAAACAAAAGATAGTAATAAATAAGAAAAGAAGAGATAGTTTTTTTATAAATTAGGAATGGAAAAAAGGGGATATAATCCCAGATGAGGAAGGGATTTTTAAAGACAGAGAATGCCAAGTATAACTTTATTCCAATAAACTTGTGCTAAAATGTTCAGACCCACAAAAATGACCACAGGCCACATTTGGCATAAGTCTATTCCAAAATATAGAAGACAAGAACTATAGCTTGCCAGCTGGCCAGCATCTAGTCTTTCTCAGAGGGAAACTACAGATTACACAGCAGTCTAGGAGCTATTTTCTCCTCAAGTGACAGCACAAATATGAGCATATGACAATGACACATGGGTATATGGTCAGCTCAGAAGCCCCGTTCCACAAGAGCCAATTTCTCTTGTAACATTCCATAAGCAAAGATTCCAGAGCCCCTCCAAATGACAAGCCACGCACGAGTCTCTGCACTCAGAAAAGCCCAAAAGCTACGGTTTCTAACAGTATTTATAGTTCATCTCTGGTCCCTCCCAGTCCAGCTGTTATTAACTAATCAGGTTTCATTTTTATCATAAAAATGTTCTGCAGTAATGTTATTGACACATACTACCTTAACAGGTTACCACGGGAACAGAGCTACATTGTTTAATTGAAGATCAGACACTTAAGCTGTAAGGGAAAGTCATTTGGCCATGCACCCATAATTCAAAAATCTAGATCAAATCATCCATGAAAATATAAATAACCCAAACTGACTGGGAATAAAAGAAGCAACACCAAATTCTCGTATCAAAGGGGAACTATAACAGGTAGTAAAAGATCTAACTCCAAAAGAGGTACCAAAATCCTGATGATTTTATAAATAAGTTATACCATACCTTCCGAAAATATAGTTCCTATGTCACTTCAACCAACTACAGTAAACAGAAACATATGGGGTATTTCCCAATTCATTTATGAAGCTGACATAATCTTGGTACTAAAACCAGACAAGGCTGGTACAAACTTCAGACCAATCTCATTTAAAAGCAAAGATTGTACATAAAACATTAAATTGTATCTAGCAGTATATAAAAGAAAATATGCTGTGACAAAAAAAGTTTAATTTAGGAATTACAAGGCTGGTTTAACATTAGATCTTTTTATGTAATCCATTATGAATAAGCAAAATGAGGAAAACATCATATATGCCTTCATTAAATAAAATTTAACTCATGTTCTTAATATGAAGATGAATAGGACAGGATGAAAACCAACTTCCTTAATTTGATAAAGAATACCAATTAGAAGCCAAAAACAAAATTCCTACTGAATGATAAAATACTAAATAAGGCAATTCTTATAAAGTCAGTATTAAGGGTTCTTGGTATCACAGTAGTTATTCAAAACTGTTCAAGAATTTTAGACAATTCAGTAAGATAAAAATAAGATGTAAGCTATAGGTAAGGAAGAAGAATCATCATTAATTGCAGATATAATGACATCATCAAAAGAGACTATCAGAGACTGACTTTTTAAAATATGCTGACTCAATTCACAATCACATATAAATGCTGAAAATATGTAAGTAGTATTGAGAGTTGACAGCATGCTGGCAGCCCTCACAGCCCTTGCTCACTCTCGGGGCCTCTCTGCCTGAGCTCCCACTTTGGCGGCACTTGAGGAAGTGCCCGCCGCTGGGCTGTTGGAGCCCCTTCCTGGGCTGGCTGAGGCCGGAGCCGGCTCCCTCAGCTTGCAGGGAGGTGTGGAGGGAGAGGCGCAGGCGGGAACCGGGGCTGCGCGGTGCTTGCAGGCCAGTGCAAGTTCAGGGTGAGTGTGGGCTCAGCGGGCTGCACTCAGAGCGCCCGGCCAGCCCTGCCGGCCCGGGCAATGAGGAGCTTAGCACCCAGGCCAGTGGCTGCAGAGGGTGTGCTGGGTCCCCCAGCAGTGCCGGCCCACTGGCACTGCGCTCGATTTCTTGCCGGGCCTTAGCTGCCTGCAGCCCGCCATGCCTGAGCCTCCCCCGCCCCCTCCAACCACGCCACCCTGGGCTCCTGTGTGGCCCAAGCCTCCCCAACGAGCACCATCCCCTGCTCTACGGCGCCCGGTCCCAATGACCACGCAAAGGCTGAGGCGTGCGGGCGCACGGCATGGGACTGGCAGGCAGCTCCACCTGCAGCCCCAGTGCAGGATCCACTGGGTGAAGCCAGCTGGGCTCCTGACTGGTGGGGACTTGGAGAACCTTTATGTCTAGCTAGGGGATTGTAAATACACCAATCGGCACTCTGTATCTAGCTCAAGGTTTGTAAACACACCAATCAGCACCTTGTGTCTGGCTCAGGGTTTGTGAATGTACCAATCGACACTCTGTATCTAGCTACTCTGTTAGGGACTTGGAGAACCTTTGTGTCTAGCTCAGGGATTGTAAACACACCAATCAGCACCCTGTCAAAACAGACTCGGCTCTCTGTAAAATGGAGCAATCAGCAGGATGTGGGTGGGGCCAGATAAGAAAATAAAAGCAGGCTGCCCAAGCCAGCAGTAGCAACCTGCTCAGGTCCCCTTCCACACTGTGGAAGCTTTGTTCTTTCACTCTTTGCAATAAATCTTGCTGCTGCTCACTCTTTTGGTCCACACTGCCTTTATGAGCTGTAACACTCACTGCGAAGGTCTGCAGCTTCACTCCTGAGCCAGCGAGACCACAAACCCACCAGAAGGAAGAAACTCCGAATATATCCAAACATCAGAAGGAACAAACTCCAGACACGCCGCCTTTAAGAACTGTAACACTCACCGCGAGGGTCCGCGGCTTCATTCTTGAAGTCAGTGAGACCAAGAACCCACCAATTCCGGACACAGTATGTTTAACAACATAGCCAAGTTTAAAAGATAAATTCTAAGAGAATAGAAATACAGAGAAAAATTAAAGGCAGAACAATATAATGGATGATTCCATTTATATGAAATTCTAGAACAGGCAAAACCAACCCATGGAGTAAATAATTAAGAATGGGGGTGGGGATGAAGACTGAATGCAAACTTTCTGAAGTAATGGTAATATTCTATATCTTGATAAGAATTTAGATTATATAAGTATATGATCTGTCAAAACTCATTAAATGCACACAAACGAAGATTCCATTCCAAGATGGCCAAATAGAAACAGCTCCAGTCTGCAGCTCCCAGTGTGATCAACACAGAAGATGGTGATTTCTGCATTTCCAAAAGAGGTACATGGTTCATCTCATTGGGACTGGTAGGACAGTGGATGCAGCCCATGGATGGCAAGCCGAAGCAGGGCGGGGCATCACTTCACCCAGGAAACACAAGGGGTCGGGGGATTTCCCTTTCCTAGCCAAGGAAGCCATGACAGACTGTACCTGGAAAATTGGGACACTCCCACTCAAATACTGCGCTTTTCCAATGGTCTTAGCAAACGGCACATCAGGAGATTATATCCTGCACATGGCTCGGCAGGTCCCATGCCTATAGAGCCTTGCTCACTAGCAGTGCAGCAGTCTGCGATCGACCTGTGAGGCAGCCGCCTGGCAGAGGGAGGGGCATCCTCCATTGCTGAGGCTTGAGTTGGTAAACAAAGTGGCCAGGAAGCTCAAACTGGGTGAAGCCTACCACAGCTCTGCAAGGAAGGCCTGCTGCCTCTGTAAACCCCACCTCTGGGAACAGGGCATAGCTGAACAGAAGGCAGCAGAAACTTTTGCACACTTAAAGGTCCCTGTCTGACAGCTCTGAAGAGGGCAGTGGTTTTCCCAGCACAGGGTTTGAGCTCTGAAAATGGACAGACTGCCTCCTCAAGTGGGTCCCTGACCCCTATGTAGCCTAACTGGGAGACACCTCCCAGTAGGGGCCAACCGACACCTCGTACAGGCAGGTGCCCTTCTGGGACGAAGCTTACAGAGGAAGGATCAGGCAGCAATATTTGCTGTTCTGCAGCCTCCGCTGGTGATATCCAAGCAAACAGGGTCTGGAGTGGACCTCCAGCAAACCCCAACAGACCTGCAGCTGAGGGACTGGACTCTTAGAAGGAAAACTAACAAACAGAAAGGAACAGCATCAACATCAACAAAAAGGACATCCACACCAAAACCCCATCTATAGGTCACAAGCATCAAAGGCCAAAGGTACATAAAACCACAAAGATGGGGAGAAACCAGAGGAGAAAAGCTGAAAATTCTAAAGACCAGAACACCTCTTCTCCTGCAAAGGATTGCAGCTCCTCGCCAGCAACGGAACAAAGCTTGATGGAGAATGACTTTGATGAGCTGACAGAAGCAGGCTTCAGAAGGTTGGTAATAACAAACTTCTCTGAGCTAAAGGAGGATGTTCGAGCCCCTCGCAAGGAAGCTAAACACCTTGAAAAAAGATTATAGACGAATGGCTAACTAGAATAAACAGTGTTGAGAAGACCTTAAATGACCTGATGGAGCTGAAAACCAGGGCACAAGAACTATGTGAGGCATGAACAAACTTCAACAGCTGATTCGATCAAGTGGAAGCAAGGGTATCAGCGATTGAAGATCAAATTAATGAAATAAAGCAAGAGGAGAAATTAAGAGAAAAAAGAGTAAAAAGAAATGAACAAAGCCTCCAAGAAATATGGGACTATGTGAAAAGACCAAATCTACATTTGATTGGTGTACCTGAAAGTGATGGGGAGAATGGAACCAAGTTAGAAAACACTCTTCAGGATATTATCCAGGAGAACTTCCCCAACCCAGCAAGGCAGGCCAACATTCAAAATCAGGAAATACAGAGAACACCACAAAGACACTCCTCAAGAAGAGCAACCCCAAGACACATAATTGTCAGATTCACCAAGGTTGAAATGAAGGAAAAAATGTTAAGGGCAGCCAGAGAGAAAAGTCGGGTTACTCACAAGGGGAAGCCCATCAGCTAACAGCGGATCTCTTGGCAGAAACTCTACAAGCCAGAAGACAGCAGGGGCCAATATTCAACATTCTTAAAGAAAAGAATTTTCAACCCAGAATTTCATATCCAGCCAAACTAAGCTTCATAAGTGAAGGAGAAATAAAATCCTTTACAGTCAAGCAAATGCTGAGAGATTTTGTCATCACCAGGCCTCCCTTACAAGAGCTCCTGAAGGAAGCACTAAACATGGAAAGGAGTAACGAGTACCAGCCACTGCAAAAACATGTCAAATTGTAAAGACCGTCAATGCTAGGAAGAAACTGCATCAACTAACCGGCAAAATAACCAGCTGATATCATAATGACAGGATCAAATTCACACATAACAATACTTACCTTAAATGTAAATGGGCTAAATGCCCCAATTAAAAGACACAGACTGGCAAATTGGATAGAGTCAAGACCCATCAGTGTGCTGTATTCAGGAGACCCATCTCACGTGCAGAGACACACATAGGCTCAAAATAAAGGGATAGAGGAAGATCTGCCAAGTAAATGAAAGCAAAAAAAAGCAGGGGTTGCAATCCTAGCCTTTGATAAAACAGACATTAAAAAAACAAAGATCAAAAAAGACAAAGAAGGCCATTACATAATGGTAAAGGGATCAATTCAACAAAAAGAGCCAGCTATCCTAAATATACATGCACGCAATACAGGAGCACCCAGATTCATAAAGCAAGTCCTTAGAGACCTAGAAAGAGACTTAGACTACCACACAATAATAATGGGAGACTTTAACACCCCACTGTCAATATTAGACAGATCAACGAGACAGAAGGTTAACACGGATATCCAAAAGTTAAACTCAGCTCTGCACCAGGCAGACCTAATAGATATCTACAGAACTCTCCACCCCAAATCAACAGAATATACATTCTTCTCATCATCGCATTAAGCTTATTCCAAAATTGACTACATAGTTGGAAGTAAAGCACTCCTCAGCAAATGTAAAAGAACAGAAATCACAACAAACTGTCTCTAAGGAGCACAGTGCAATCAAATTAGAACTCAGGATTAAGAAACTCACTCAAAACCACATAACTACATGAAAACTGAACAACCTGCTCCTGAATGACTACTGGGTAAATAATGAAATGAAGGCAGAAATAAAGATGTTCTTTGAAACCAATGAGAACAAAGACACAATGTACCAAAATCTCTGGGACACATTTAAAGCAGTGTGTAGAGGGAAATTCATAGCACTAAATGCCCACAAGAGAAAGCAGGAAAGATCTAAAATCAACACCCTAACATCACAATTAAAAGAACTAGAGAAGCAAGAGCAAACACATTCAAAAGCTAGCAGAAAGCAAGAAATAACTAAGATCAGAGCAGAACTGAAGGAAATAGAGACACAAAAAACCCTTCAAAAAAAAAAATCAATGAATCCAGGAGCTGGTTTTTTCAAAAGATCCACAAAATTGATAGACCGTTAGCAAGACTAATAAAGAAAAAAAGAGAGAAGAATCAAATAGATGCAATAAAAAATGATAAAGGGGATATCACCACAGATCCCACAGAAATATAAACTACCATCGGAGAATACTATAAACATCTCTACGCAAATAAACTAGAAAATCTACAAGAAATGGATACATTCCCGGAAACATACACCCTCCCAAGACTAAACCAGGAAGAAGCTGAATCTCTGAATAGACCAGTAACAGGCTCTGAGCCTGAGGCAATAATTAATGGTCTACCAACCAAAAAAAGGCCAGGACCAGACGGATTCACAGCCAAATTCTACCAGAGGTACAAAGAGGAGCTGATACCAATCCTTCTGAAAATATTCCAATCAATAGAAAAAGAAGGAATGCTCCCTAACTCATTTTATGATGCCAGTATCATCCTGATACCAAAGCCTGGCAGAGACACACACAAAAAAGACAATTTTAGACCAATATCCCTGATGAACATCCACGTGAAAATCCTCAATAAAATACTGGCAAACCGAATCCAGCAGCACATCAAAAAGCTTATCCACCAAGATCAAGTCGGCTTCATCCCTGGGATGCAAAGCTGGTTCAACATATGCAAATCAATAAATGTAATCCATCACATAAACAGAACCAATGACAAAAACCACATGATTATCTCAATAGATGCAGAAAAGGCCTTGACAGAATTCAACAGCCCATGATGCTAAAAACTTTCAATGAACTAGGTATTAATGGAACGTATCTCAAAATAATGAGAGCTATTTATGACAAACCCACAGCCAATATCATACTGAATGGGCAAAAACTGGAAGCATTCCCTTTGAAAACTGGCACAAGACAAGGATTCCTTTCTCACCAGTCCTATTCAACATAGTGTTGGAAGTTCTGGCCGAGCAATCAGGCAAGAGAAAGAAATATAGGGTATTCAATTAGGAAAAGAGGAGGTCAAATTGTTCCTGTTTGCAGATGACATGATTGTATATTTAGAAAACCCCATCATCTCAGCCCAAAATCTCCTTAAGCTGGTGAGCAACTTCAGCAAAGTCTCAGGACACAAAATCAATGTGCAAAAATCACAAGCATTCATATACACAAATAACAGACAAACAGAGAGCCAAATCATGAGTGAACTCCCATTCACAATTGCTTCAAAGAGAATAAAATGCCTAGGAATCCACCTTACAAGGGATATGAAGGACTTCTTCAAGGAGAACTACAAACCACTGCTCAATGAAATAAAAGAGAACACAAACAAATGGAAGAACAATCCATGCTCATGAATAGGAAGAATCAGTATTGTGAAAATGGTCATACTGCCCAAGGTGATTTATAGATTCAATGCCATCCCCATCAAGCTACTAATGACTTTCTTCACAGAACTGGAAAAAACTACTTTAAAGTTCATATGGAATAAAAAAAGAGCCTGCATTGCCAAGACAATCCTAAGCAAAAAGAACAAAGCTGGAGGCATCATGCTACCTGACTTCAAACTATACTACAAGGCTACAGTAACCAAAACAACATGGTACTGTACCAAAAGAGAGATAGAACAATCTAACAGAACAGAGGCCTCAGAAACAACACCACACATCTACAACCATCTGATCTTCGACAAACCTGTCAAAAACAAGAAATGGGGAAAGGATTCCCTATTTAAAATGGTGCTAGGAAAACTGGTTAGCCATATGTAGAAAGCTGAAACAGGATACCTTCCTTACACCTTATACAAAAATTAATTCAAGATGGATTATAGACTTAAATGTTAGACCTAAAACCATAAAACCTCTAGAAGAAAACCTGGGCAATACCATTCAGGACACAGGCATGGGCAAGGACTTCGTGACTAAAACACCAAAAGCGATGGCAGCAAAAGCCAAAATTGACAAATGGGATCTAATTAAACTAAAGAGCTTCTGCACAGCAAAAGAAACTACCATCAGAGTGAACAGGCAACCTACAGAATGAGAGAACATTTTTGCAGTCTACCCATTTGACAAAAGGCTAATATCTAGAATCTACAAAGAACTTAAACAAACTTACAAGAAAAAAAAAAACAACCCCATCAAAAAGTGGGCAAAGGATATGAACAGACACTTCTCTAAAGAAGACATTCATGCAGCCAGCAGACACATGAAAAAATGCTCATCATCACTGGCCATCAGAGAAATGCAAATCAAAACCACAATGAGATACCATCTCATGCCAGTTAGAATGGTGATCATTAAAAAGGAAACAACAGATGCTGGAGAGGACGTGGAGAAATAGGAACGCTTTTGCACTGTTGGTGGGAGTGTAAACTAGTTCAACCATTGTGGAAGACAGTGTGGTGATTCCTCAAGGATCTGGAACTAGAATTACCATTTGACCCAGCCATCCCATTGTTGGGTATATATCCAAAGGATTATAAATCATGCTACTATAAAGACACATGCACACCTATGTTTATTGCGGCACTATTCACAATAGCAAAGACTTGGAACCAACCCAAATGTCCATCAATGATAGACCAGATTAAGAAAATGTGGCACATATACAACATGGAAAATACTATGCAGCCATAAAAAAGGATGAGTTCATGTCCTTTGCAGGGACATGGACGAAGCTGGAAACCATCATTCTCAGCAAACTATCTTAAGGACAGAAAACCAAACACTGCATGTGCTCACTCATCGGTGGGAATTGAACAATGAGAACACTTGGACACAGGGTGGGGAACATTACACACAGGGGCCTGTCATGGGATGGGGGACGGGGGAGGGATAGCATTAGGAGAAATACCTAATGTAAATGACGAGTTAATGGGTGCAGCAAACCAACATGGCACATGTACACCTATAAAACAAACCTGCATGTTGTGCACATGTACCCTAGAACTTAAAGTATAATTTTTAAAAATGAAAAAAAAAATAAAATGCCTATCAAAAAAAGTACATAAACTTTATTTCATTTCAATGTAAATTTTACCTCAAAAAAAAAATTAAACTCTAAGTAATGATACATTCGAGGAAGTATTTAAAGTATAGTGTCTGCGACTTATTTTGAAATGCATCAAAGAGAGGGTCAATTACTAGACTGATAGAAGGATGTTTAGATGGATACATATATGAAAAAGCAAACAAAGCAGCCTTTTAATTGTGGACTCTAGATCAGGTGCAGCAAACTGTAGTCTGTGGGCCAAATTTGCCACTTTTTGTTATGGCCCATGAGCTAAGAACAGTTGTAACCTTTAAAAAAGGTGAGAGGCCAGGCGCAGTGGCTCACGGCTGTAATCCCAACACTTTAGGAGGCCAAGGAGGGTGGATCGCCTGAGGTGAGAAGTTCGAGACCAGCCTGGCCAACAGAGTGAAACCCCGTCTCTACTAAAAATACAAAAAATTAGCTGGGCGTGGTGGCAGATACCTGTAATCCCAGCTACTCGGGAGGCTGCACGCCATTTCACTCCAACCTGGGCAACAAGTGAAACTCCGTCTCGGGGGGGAAAAAAAAAGGTGAGAATAAGTCAAAACAATAATTCATGATGTGAAATATAAAATTCAAATGTCAGTGCCGATAAATAAAGTTTTGTTGGAACACAGCCATACTCATTCATTAGGTATTGTCCATAGCTGCTTCTACACTACAATGGGACAGTTGATGAGCTTCAACAGACACTGTAGGGCCCTTGAAGCCTAAAATATCTGTTATCTGGCCCTTTTCAGATAAAGCTTGCCAACCCCTGCTCTAGATAGTGAGAATACAAGTAAGTGTTCACTGTAAAAGTCTTCCAACATTTCTGTATGTTTGATATTTTTAATAGGATACTGAAAAATATCAAAGCAATAATTATAAGCTGATTCTACAGTAGATCACTGGGGAGGGAAGGGGAGTTCTATCAGTTCTAAGTGCTGCAACCAGCTTTTTGAAAACCTATTTGGACAAAGTCATAAGCTTGGAGGTACAAAAGGTTAAAAAAAAAACTATACCAAGACTAGTAAAAAGCTGAGGAAGGTATAACAAATGCTCTGTCCGTTAAAAATAGGCTAAAAACATTCTATTCATCGGCCAATAAAAATGTCAAGGAAGCTTACTATTATGTAAAGTGTTGGATGAAAAAACGAAAAGTTTTTTAAGTATCTATGAGAAATCAAGTATCAATCCTTTCCTCATTTTCAGTTCAAGACTATATTTCGTAAAGTTGCCATAAGAAAGTACTACAAACTGTGTGGCTTAAACCAACAGAAATTTATTTTCTCATACTTCAAATCAAGATGTTGACAGGGCCAAGTGCCATCTGAAGGCTCTAAGGAAGAATTTTTCCTTGCCTCTTCCTAGCTATTTGCAGTTACCCACAAACTTTGGCATTCCTTGGCTTGTAGCTGCATCACTCCAATCTCTGCCTCCATCTTCACATAACTTTCTTCCTGTGTGTCTGGGTCTCAGCCAAAATGTCTCTCTTCTCGTAAGTCATTGGATTTAGGGTCCACCCTCATCAAATATTACCTCATCTTAACTTGATTACATCTGCAGAGACCCTAATTCTAAATAAGATCACACCCACAGGTACTAGTGGCTAGGACTTCAACATCTCTTTTGGAAGGAGACAATTCAACCCATACAAAAAAACTAGGCTTCCTATTTCACTGAGAAACTACAGTCAAGAGACTTTCCAAATGTCACCAGATCTATACACCTAACATAGTATACAGGCAACTGCCTATACTTCTGTTATGAACCAATAAGTGATCCATGTTCCTGAAGTTAAACCCTCTTTTTGTAGACTGGATCCTACCTTCTTCTCAATTACTTAATGACATCACTCCAGCAATTCTAACCTCTCTCTCCTACATCAATTTCTCTCTCTACTATTTCATTTCTATCAGCATGCAAACATATTTTTCCTATCTTAAAATTGAAAGCAAAGCAATTTAAAAACTCTTGACCCCCACCTCCACTTCAATTTACCTGAATTCTTTAAAACAAACTCCTCAGAAGAATCATCTACACTTACTGATTCTAATCTGGCTTTTATTTTCACCACTTTACCAAAATTGCTCTATACAGATAAGAAATGAGTTGTTGCTAAATCCAGCAGTAAATTATTGATTTTCTTTTACTTACCTATCAGCAGCATTTGACATATTGAATCCTTCCTCCTTGGAACATTTTCTTCATCTGGATTCCAGAGTTACACACTCAGTATCAAAGATTTTTGATACCAACACTCCTGGTATCAAAACTAGACAAGAAACATTTTTTGATGTTTTAGAAGTGTACCAAATGTAGTACTTTTAAGAAACTATTTGATGCTACAATATGAATTTTATCAAGAAGATCAGCAAGCAGGCAATTGATTCTGGAATCAAAGAAGTTCCCTTAAACTAATACTAAAATTAAAGACTGAATTCCATGTAAAACTATTTCAACAAACACTGTTTCCTAGAAGTCCTTCACAATAATTTAACACAATATTTCTGCTTCAGAAACCCCAACATTGGTATATTCAATCTAGCATCATGAAAAGGACTCAAGATCCTACATTAAAGTTGTGGCTGGGTGTGTGCATGCATACACACACATATGTACACATGCAATTGAAAAGGAGAAATTCTTAGCAAACGGCAAATTTGGTCCATATGCATTTCTTCAAGATCTTGAAGATACTGTCATTATAGGGGGATTAATTTAACCTCTGGCAAAGTTCTTGGCTTTTCTAGGCCCTGGCAGTCTTGTTCTGTTTTGCTTTAGTTGTACTGTTGCTTTAGTTGCTTATATTTGCTTTAGTTGTATTGTTTGTTTGTTTTGGTTTGGCTGTAACACATGTATACAAAGTTCTGTGGCAACAAAAATATGACAGTACAGCAATCACAGTTTGGAACTGCATCAATTCTAAACAATATACATGTGATTGTCCTCATAGGATTAGCACTTTGAGGTACTACTTCCTGCATCCATTCCTGCTCAACACCTGCTTGTTTTATAGCAGTGAAATATAAAAGAAAAAGAAATTAAAGGTTAGGTTAAAAGCAAGATGAGATTTTAAACATCACATTGATAACTTTAAGTTTTATGGCTGTATTACCATCAAATTTATCTCTGGAGATTTAAACTTGAGATAATATTCTAAAATGAAGAGAATAAAAATTTGCCTAATTGCTTAACTTAAAACTGGAGATCATCTCTGACATTTTCATCTTTTTGACAAAATTCTCATGAGATTTTCATAAAGATTCAATGCAAAAGCCTTACTGAGGAAGGGAGGGCAAAAAGAAATTCATCCTCTTCTTAGTCTCAGGTTACCACCTCATCTCATCCAATTTTATAAGCTTCACATACTAATGAGGATGCAACATCAGAAACGAATCTCTGAGGAGGAGACCATGAAGGGACAACTTGAAACAATGAGAATTACGAAGAAAAAAAAATAGATGCTTTCAAAAGACCTCAAAGCATGCTATATCCATGTCTACAGCTTTGACTTTTGCTCCAAAATATTTACAAAGTACTGATCCTTTACTTTGATTCATATTTAATATCCCACCTTCCATGTCCATAAACTGGCAACTGTCCATTTTTAATACTAAAAATCCAACCTTCCTCATATTTTTATGGCTATACCTTGAAAACTATCAGGCCCTTAAGAATAGAAACTATGACTTATTCATTTTTAATTCCTAGTATTTAGCATGATTCCTAGAAATAACAGGTCCTCAACAAGTATTTGCTAAATAAATATATTACCTTATTATACTGATGAGATTACATTCACATTATTCAACAGGGTTAATCAAAACATTTGGCTGACCTTCAAAATATTTTACTATTAGTTTTAGTGTTGGTAACCTTTACTCTCAAGATTATGACTAATGAGAATATTTTCACCCATACACCTAGTTTAATTTGATTCAGAGGATATAACATGTACTTTAGAGGTTTGAGTTTTCAAGGCAACTGCCTAATAAAAGTTTGGTTTGTGTGGGTTATTAATCATCATTAACATCCTCCTCTACCTCCTTATTTTGCCTGAAATCAGGAGGTGTATAGTGTAAGAAAATGGCTCAGTTTCATGATCCAAATGATCAGAATTCCCCATAGACCTGATATTTTAAAGCAAACTTTTCCATTATTGAGGTTTTTCTCATTGTTTCTAGTTTCTGAAATTCTCTTCATTAAAACAGCTACCCCAAAAGGTGGGTAGGTGAAATCTATATTGTATTTGATATGAACATTCTGAAGATATAAAATATTTGAAGACTTAAGGGCCTTCTTAAAATACTACTGCTTCCAGCTTTGACACAATAACTAGGACAAGATTTTCCTCTTGCTATAAACAAATGGCAAATTGGACAAAATATATAATGCAATTGATTTCACACAATGAATGTCAGACAAGACAAGCATGTGATCCCTGAGACAAGAAACAAACAAGGTAAGCTTTATAGTCACTCCTTCTGCCTACAGGTACTTTCTAGACCTACTAAAGAGGAGAAAACAAGGAGAGTATGTATGAGCTTGCAAATAGAGGAAGCCAAGGTAACAATTAAAAATTAGTGGAAACACATGGGATTGTGCAGCGCAAATTACCAAAAATGAGAGATCTACAGAGATAAAAGGTCCAGAAATCTGTATGGGTTTCCTTCAGTATATTTTTTACTACTAAGCTGCACGTGAATATGGCAGAACTCCATGAGATTGAGCAAATAAGAACCAGGAAGCTGCAATCAGAAAAATTCCCAGAATGCAAACGGACCCGGGAGAGAGGAAGAAACTCATTGAATGCTCAGGGCATTCAGTGGAGAACAGAGAAGAGTAACACTTTTGGAATGGGGCTAAAGTAACCCTAGAATGCAAGTGTAGCAGGACAAGCCGCGACAAAACCCCACAGACACCGAGTTAAAGAACGAAGTGCTTTATTCGGCTGGGAGCTTCGGCAAGACTCACGTCTCCAAAAACGCAGCTCCCGAGTGAGCAATTCCTGTCCCTTTTAAGGGCTTAGAACTCTAAGGGGGTCCACGTGAGAGTGTCGTGATGGATTGAGCAAGCAGGGGGTACATAACTGGGGGCTGCATGCATCAGTAATCAGAACGGAACAGAACAGGGGTTTTCACAATGCTTTTCCATACAATACCTGGAATCTGTAGATAACATAACCAGTTAGGTCAGGGGTCGATCTTTAACCAGGCCCAGGGCGCGCCGCCGGGCTGTCTGCCTGTGGATTTCATTTGTCTTTCAGTTTTTACTTCTTCTTTCTTTGGAGGCAGAAATTGGGCATAAGACAATATGAGGGGTGGTCTCCTCCCTTATAAGCACCCTAACAAAGCATGAAAACAAGCCTTAAAGTATCAAGCCACAAATAAGTGTCTGCCAAAGTAAAAAAGAAGAAAATCCAGTCCTGAAGAGTATAAAATGTTCAAGACTCAATAAAAGGGTATTACACATGTAAAGTACAATAAAATATGAGCAATAAACAGGATAAAAATCAGTCAGAAACATCCAGAAAGGATGAAAATCACTGAACTAATCAATAAGCACTTTTTAAATGAAAGTTTTAAAGAGAGGCTCAACAGCAGATTCTAGAATGCAGATGAAATAATCAGAGGATTTGAAGATAGATCGGTTGAGATTATAGTCTAAGGAACAGAAAGAAAAGAAGTGAACAAAAATTGTCAAAGCCTCAAAAAACTGTGGGAGAGCACCAAGTATTCCTCTCCAGTAGAGGAAAGAAAAAAGCAGAAAGGTTATTTGAGGAAATAACAGCCAAAAACTTCCCAAATTTGGTGAAAAACATTAATCCACACATCCAGGAAGTTCAGCAAATTCCAAGTAGGATAAACTCAAAGAGATTTACACCTACATATATCATAATAACACTGAAATAAAGGGGAAAAAAAATAAATGATCATCTAAATAAATGCCGAAGAAGCATTTGGCAAAAATTCTAATACTCTAATTTCACTTTTTTTTTTTTTTTTTTGAGACAGAGTCTTGCTCTGTTGCCCAGGCTGGAATGCAGTGGCACAATCTCAGCTCACTGCAACCTCCACCTCCCAGGTTCAAGTGATTCTCCTGCCTCAGCCTCCCGAGTAGCTGGGATTACAGGCGTCTGCCACTACGCCTAGCTAATTTTTTTTATTTTTAGCAAAGGCAGGGGTTTCACCATGTTGGCCAGGCTGGTCTTGAACTCCTGACCTCAAGTGATCCACCCGCCTCAGCCTCCCAAAGTGCTGGGATTACAGGAATGAGCCACTGCGCCTGGCCAATTTCACTCTTTATTCAATGAAGCTCTAGCTGGGGCAATTAAACAAGAAACAAATTAAAAGGCATCCATATTGAAAAGGAAGAAGTAAAATTTTCTCTATTTGCAGATGACATGGTCTTATATATTGAAAATCTTGAAGAATCCACAAAAAAAACTATTAGAGGAAATAAACTAGTTCAGCAAGGTTGTAAAATACAAGTTCCACATACAAATATCAGTTTTACTTCTATACACTATCAATGAACAATTCAAATATGAAATTAAGAAAGCATTTCCATTAACAACTTTACAACAGAATTAAAAATGATAAATTACACAGGAATAAATTTAACAAGTGCAAATTTTATACTTCAAAAGTGAAAAAACATTGAAAGAAATTATTTTAAAACTAAATGAATAGAAAGACTCCTCATGTTAATAGATCGGAAGAAAATATTGTAAAGATGGCAATATTCCCCAACTGATCTACAGTTTCAACACAGTACCAATCAAATTTCCAGCTGACTTATTCCCAGAAAAATAACAAGCTGATCCTAAAATTCACATGGAAATGTAAGGGACACAGAATAGTCGAAACAATCTGAAAAAGAAAAGTAGAGAGAACCATACTTCCTGATTTCAAACTTACTACAGTAATCTAGTTTATTCAATACTAATCTAATAAATCTTAAAACTGATACAGTAATCTACAGTAAGTTACAGTAATCAAGACAGTGTTATACTGGTATAAGGACAGACATATAGGTCAATGAAACAGAAGTGAGAGTCCAGCAATAAACCCAAACAACTGTAGTCAATTGATTTTTGACAAGAATGTGAAGACCACTCCGTGGGAAAAGCATAGTCATTTCCACAAATAATGCTAAGAAAATAGGATATCTGTATGCAAAAAAACAGAACCCCTGCTCACATCATATTAAAAAAAATTTTTTTTTTACTCAAAATGGATCAAAAGAGAACAAGGAGCAGAAAACAGCTATCTAGGGACATCGGATGTCAGTTCTCCTCAGAGAGAAGACCAAAGGTATCAGTGAATAGACACATTCCAAAAGGAAAACTAAAGGAGGGGAGCAGGATCTGTTGGAATGCCTAAAGGAAGAAGCTGGGGTGCAAAAAAGGAAAGCAGAATGAGGATAACAGAGATTGACACCCAAGAAACTCAGAGTCCCATGGAAAGGGTAGGTGGGGGTGCTTCTCCACTCCCCTCACCTCTGTGACAGTCTGCTGACCACCAAACTGTTGGGTAGACTCTTTGTCCTCATGACCCAGGGCAACACTATTGGTGGCGATTTGAGTACTTACCGGGAATGGAGAACCAGGTGACCAGCTTGCACAGATGTGCCCACATTCCCTTCAGACCTGAACTGAGACAGTGGGTGTCATGATGGTTGTGTACCCATGGTGCCACAACCCTGCCTAGCAATCTCCACCCATGGTGCCAAGGGTATCTCCACCCTTGAGCCACTGTCTCACCAGATGCACCACAAATACACCCATAACCCACTCTGACTTTGGCAAGCACAGGAGACCAGAAGCTCCCCAGGGAGCTGTGGTACCCCAAAGATCTAACCCTAAGCCTGTGCCACCCCTAAAGGAAGAGGGAAGAACAGCCCACCAAAACCCACCTTGGGACAAAGGAAACGGGTGCAGCACCAACCACTGAATGGGCCAGCAGTGACACCCATGAAGAGACGTGGAGAGAGGGTCATCTCCTGGCCTCCCCCAGTACACTGTTGTGGAGTCAGCAGTGTTCTTCCTGCCACAGGCTAGTGGGCATGCCTCAAAGAAAGTGTCTTTTGTGCTTTTCATGGTAGCTCCACCGTCAGCCCATGACCACTCAGGCTTTCACAAAGGGCGAGCTGAACACCACCCTCTTACAAAAAGTGGCAGCAACCCAGCAACAGAGGACAGAACACAGAGTTGCCTGCCCTAGACTGGGAAAAGAGGCTCTGCCTCCTCAGCCCCATTTTAGTAGTAGTAGTCAGAAAGGCTTATCTGTGGCCCACAGCCACACTGAATCCAGAAACAACTGAAGGTTATGAGCCCTGCAACAAGGGCATGATAAAGAAGCAAATCACATTCCTAAGGGCTCAAGATGAAGAGCTGGTGCACCCGCTGCCCCTTCTCCCAAGACCTTGGTGCACGCCCTCACGATTTTCTCACCAACCCCATCAGGGTGGGCACATCCACATGGCACCAGCCTACCTGCCAGCTCTTATTTTTAAGCGCCATCTACTGGATTATACCCAGAACTGCACCATGAAATTAAAAACCTGCTACCAGAAGAGCTTAGTGTTAGTCCACGAGATAAGATTCTGGAGACCTCCACACCATCAGGCCCACAGGAGACAGTGTGTCAGCCCTTATATCCAATATATCGCTACAACAAGCAGCATCTGAGAAAGCCACCACACAGAAACTACCCACAACCAAGGAGCCCACACAGAGCCTTGGTCCCCTGAAAGCACCCAGAAACGAAGCCAAACAATCATACACAATATACACTACAGTAATACCCTCAAGGAAAAAAAGAATTAAAAAAGTAAAAAGCCCCAAAACAACAGCAAATACAAAAATAAGAAGCGACAATACCTCAGATGAGAAGGAATCAGCAGAAGAATTCAAGCAGTAGAAAAAGGCAGAGTGTTTTGACACCTCCAAAGAACAGTACTACCTCTCTAGCAATGGATCCTAACCAGATTGAAATGTCTCAAATAACAGATGAAAAATTCAAACTATGGATTGCAAGGAAACTCACTGAGATCCAGAGAAAGCTGAAATCCAATACAAAGAAACCAGAAAAACAATTTAGGATATGAAAGATGAGATAGCTATATTAAGAAAAAACCAAGTGGAACCTCTGGAATTGAAAATTTAACTACAGGATTTTCAAAATACAACAGGAAGCTTTAACAATAGACTAGACCAAGCAGAAAAAGGAATTTCAGAGCTTGAATACCCGTCTTTCAAATTAACCCAGTCACACAAAAATAAACAAAAAAGAACTTTAAGAAACAAAGCCTTCAAGAAATATGGGATTATATAAAGTGGCCAAACCTAAGACAAACTGGCATTCCTGAGAGAGAAAAAGAAAAAGTAAGAAACTTAGAAAACATACTTAAGGAAATTATTCAGGAAAATTTCCCTAATCTTGCAAGAGAGGTCAACATCCAGAGAAAGGAATTAAGAGAACTCTTGGGAGATGCTCTACAAGATGACCATCCCCAAGGCATATAGTTATCAGATTACTCAAAATCAATGCAAAAGAAAAAAAATCTTAGAGGCAGCTAGAGAAAGGGGTCAAATTACATAATAAGGGAATTCCATCAGACTAACAGTGAACTTCTCAGCAGAAATCTTTCAAGCAAAAAGAGACTGGGGCCTATTTTTAGACTTCTTAAAGAAAAAACCCCAGTCAAGAATGTCATATCTCGGAAACTAAGCTTCATGAACAAAGGAGAAATAAAGTTTTTCTAGACAAGTAAACACTAAGACAATTCTTCACCATGAGGCTGTCCCTACAAGAAATGCTCAAAGGAGTTCTAAACATAGAAACCAAAGAACAATACTTGCTATCATAAAAGCTCAAAGACACTTTAGAGCAATTACACAATTGAGACTAGAAAGAAACTAGTTAACAATACTATGACAAAAACTGAACCTCATATGTCAATATTAACCTTGAACGTAAATGGCCTAAACTATGTAAAAGACACAGAGTGGCAAATTGAATTTAAAAAAAAAAAAAGAAACGGAATTTAAAGTAACAAGGAACTGAATTTAAAAACAAGAACCAACCTTATGCTGCTGTGAAGAGGCCCATCTCACCTCTAATGACACCCATAGGCTCAAAGTAAAGGTATGGAGAAAGATCTATCATGCAAATGAAAGAAAAAAAAAAAAGAAAAAAAAGAGCAGGGGTTGCTATTCTTTTATCAGATAAATCAGACTTTAAACCAACAACAGTTCAAAAAAAAAAAGACAAAGAACAGCATTATATTTGGCTAAGAATTTATAAGTCCTCAAAAGCAATTGCAACAGAAAAACAAAACTGGACAAGTGAGATCTAATTAAACTAACAAGCTTTTGTACAGCAAAACTATCAACACAGAAAGCAGACAATCTGCAAAATGGCAAAAAAAATTTTGCACACTATGTATCCAGGTCAAATACCCAGAATCTATAGGGAACTTAATTCAACAAGCAAAACAAAGAAACAAACAAACGAAAACACCCTACTAAAAAGTAGGCAAAGCACATGAACAGACACTTTCAAAAGACAGACAAGTAGCCAACAAACATAAGAAAAAATGCCCAACATCACTAATCATCAGAGAAATACATATCAAAACCACAATGAAATACAATCTCACACCAGTCAGCTATTATTGAAAAGTTAAAAAAAAATAATAGATGCTGGAGAGGCTGCAGACAAATGGAAACACTTATACACTGTTGGTGGGAACGGAAATTAATTCAGCCACTATGAAAAGCAGTTTAGAGAATTTTCAAAGAGCTAAAAATAGAACTACCATTAGACCCAGCAATCCCATTATGAAGGTATATAACTACAGGAAAATAAACCATTTTACCGAAAAATATATATATATGCTCATATGCTCATTGAAGCCCTGTTCACAATAACAAAAACATGGAATCAACCTAGATGCCCATCAATGGTGGACTGTATAAAGAAAATGTGGTATATATACACCATGGACTCCTATGCAGCCATAAAAAAGAACTAAATCATGTCCTTTGCAGCAACATGGATACAACTGGAGGCCACTATCCTAAATGAATTAACATAGAAACAGAAAACCAAATACCACATGTTCTCACTTACAAGTGGGAGCCAAAGACTGGGTACACATGGACATAAAGAAGGGAGAAAAAGACACTGGAGACTACTAAAGAGGAGACAGATGGAGTGGGGTAAAGGCTGAAAAACTACCTACTAGGTACCACAATCAGTACCTGGGTGATGGGATCAATCATACCCCAAACCTAAGCATCATGCAATATGCCCATTTAAGAAACCTACACATGTGCCCCCGCCAAATATAAAATAAAAGTTGGGACAACAAAAGGGCATTACATCATGATAAAGGGTTCAATTTGACAAGATTTAACCATGCTAAATTCATATGCACCCAACATAGAAGCACACAAGTTTATAAAACAAATACTACCAGACCTAAGTAAAGTGACAGAAAACTATACAACAGTAGTGAAGAACTTCAACACCCCACTGACAGCATTAAACAGATCAAGGCAGAAAACTAACAAAGGAATTAAATTAGACTCTTGGCATAGTCTATAGACAGTTCACCCAACCACCACAGAATATACATTGTTCTCATCTATGCATGGAACATCCTCTAATACTGCCATGTGCTTGGTCATAAAGTCTCAAAAAATTCAAAAAAATCAAAATCATATCTAGCATCTTCTCAGACTACAATGGAATAAAATTAGAAAACAACACAGGCCAGGTGCAGTGGCTCACTCCTGTAATCCCAGCACTTTGCGAGGCCAAGCTGGGCAGATCATTTGAGGTCAGAAGTTTGAGACCAGCCTGGCATATATGGTGAAACCCTGTCTCTACTAAAAGTACAAAAATTAGCCAGGCATGGTGGCAGGTACCTGTAATCCCAGCTACTCAGGAGGCTGAGGCAGGAAAATCACTTGAACCCGGGAGGTGGAGGTTGCAGTGAGCCGAGATCACGCCACTGTACTCCAGCCTTGGCACAGAGCAAGACTCCGTCTCAAAAAAAAAAAAAAAAAAGAAAAGAAAAAGAAAAAAGAAAACAATACAAAGAGGAACTCTCAAAACCAAACAAATACATGGAAACTAAACAACTTGCTTCTAAATGACTTTTGGGTAAAAAACAAAATTAAGGCAAAAAAAAAATCCAAAAATTACTTAAAATAAATGAAAATAGATAATATACCCAAACCTCTGGGATACAGCAAAAGTAGTGCAAAGAGTATAGCTATGGTACTAAATGCCTACATCAAGAAGACAGATATCTCTCAAATTAACCAACTAATGTCACACCTAAAGGAACTAGAGAAACAAGAACCAACTAAACACAAAGGTAGCAGAAGAAAAGAAATAACTAAGATCAGAGCATAACTAAATGGAATTGAGACCAAGAAAAAAAAATATAAAGGATAAATGAAACTGAAAGTTGGTTCTTTGAAAAAATAAACAAGACTGATAGACTGCCAGATAAATTAACCAAGAAGAAAAAAGATCCAAATAAGCACAATCAGAAATGCCAAAGGTAACATTACAACTGACAGCACAGAACTACAAAAGATCCCCAAAGACTACTGCAAACACGTCCATGTGCACAAACTAGAAAACCTAGAGGAATTGGATAAATTCCTGGAAACACACAACCTTCAATATTAAACCAGAAATAAATTAAAGTCCTGAACAGACAAAAACAAGTTACAAAATTGAATCAGCAATAAAAAATATATTAAACAAATACTGCCGCGGACCAGATGCATTTCACAGCCAAAATCTACTAGACATACAAAGAAGAGCTGGTACCAATCTTACTGAAACTATTCCAAAAAGTCAAGGAGGGATATCTCCCTGACTCATTCTATGAAATCAGTATCGTCCTGATAACAAAATGTGGCAAGAACAACATAAAAAGAAAATTACAGGCCAATATGAACATAGAAGCAAAAATCCTCTACAAAAACAGTGGCAAATCAAATCAAGCAGCATATCAAAAAGATAATTCACTAAAAGGGCTTTATTCCTGCATTCAAGGATGGTTCAGCATATACAAATCAATAAATGTGATTCACCACATAAAAAGAAATAAAAACAAAAACCATATGATCATCTCAATAGATTCAGAAAAGGCATTCAATAAAATGCAACATCCCTTAATGATAAAAACCTGCAACAAACTAGACATCAAAGAAACATGCCTCAAAATAATAAGAGCCATCTATGACAAACCCACAGCCAACATCACACTAAACAGGCAAAACTGGAAGCAATCCCCGTAAGAACTGCAACAAGACAAGGAAGTTCACTGTCATTACTCCTATTCAACATAATACTGGAAGTCCTAGCCAGAGCAATCAGACAAGAGAAAAAAATAAAGGGCATCCAAATCAGTAAAGAGGAAGTCAAACTGTCACTGTTCACCAACGTCATAATCCTATACCTAGAAAACCCTAAAGATGCCTCCAAAAGACTCCTGGACCCAATAAGTGACTTCAGTAAAGTTTCAGGATACAAAATCAATGTAAACAAATCAGCATTTCTATACACCAATAATGTTCAAGCTTAGAACCAAATCAAGAACAAAATCAGATCTGCCATAGTAACAAAAAATAAAATAAAATACCTGGGAATACATGTGACAAAGTAGGTGAAAGATCTCTGAGGAAAACTACAAAACACTGCTAAAATAAATCACAGATGACACAAATAAATGGAAAAACATTCTATGCTCAAAGATTGGAAGAATCAATATTGTTAAAATGACCACACGACCATACTACCCAAAGCAATCTACCAGTTCAAAGCAATTCCTATCAAATTACCAATGCCATTTTTCATAGAATTAGATAAACAATTCTAAAATTCGTATGGAACCAAAAAAAACAGCCTGGATAGCCAAAGTAATCATAAGCAAAAAGAACAACAAAAGCATCACATTACCCAACTTCAAACTATAGTATAAGGCTATGCTAACCAAAACAGCATGGTACTGGTTAACAAATAGACACATAGACCAATTGAACAAAATAGAGAACCCAGAAATAAAGCCACACACCTACAACCAACTAATCTTCGACAAAGTTGACAAAAATAAACAATGGCGAAAGGATATCCTACTCAACAAATGGTGCTGGAAAGCTGGCTAGCCATATACAGAAGAATGAAACTGAAACCTTCCTTACCTCTCACCACATACAAAAATCAACTCAAGATGGGTTAAAGACTTAAATGTAAGACCTCAAACTATAAAAATCCTAGAAGAAACTATAGGTAAAACCCTCCTGAACATTGGCATAGGCAAAAAGTTATAACTAAGACCTCAAAAAGCAAGTGCAACAAAAACAAAAACTGACAAATGGGACTTAATTAAACTAAAGAGCTTCTGCATGGGTAAATAAACTATCTACAGAGTAAGTAGGCAACCTACAGAATGAGAGAAAATACCTGCAAACTATGCATTGCCAAAGAACTAATATCCAGAATCTGTAAGGAATTTAAGTCAAGGAAAAAAAAATAACCGCAACAAAAAGTGGACTAATGACATACAACACTTCTCAAAAGAGGACACGCAAGCAGCCAACAAACCTGAAAAAATGCTCAATATCACTAATCTTCGGAGAAATACAAATTAAAACCACAATGAGATACCATCTCACACCAATCAGAATGGCTATTTTAAAATCAAAAAATAACAGACATTGGAGAGGCTACAGAAAAAAGGAAATACTTATACACTGTTGTGGGAATGGAAATTAGTTCAACCTCTACAGAAAACTGTACAGAGATTTCTCAAAGAACTAGAAATAAAACTACCACTCAACCCAGCAATCCCACTACTGACTATCTACACAAAGGAAAATAATTCATCCATAAAAGATACCTGCATTCTTATGTTTATCACAATACTATTCACAATAGTGAAGTCATGGAATCAACCTAGGCGCACATCAAAAGTGGACTGGATAAACAAAATGTGGTAAATAATCACCATAGAATACTACACAGCCATAAAAAAGAATAAAGTCTTGTCATTTGCAGCAACATTGATGCATCTGGAGGCCATTACCCTAAGTCAAATGTATTGGAGAAAAATTAAAATATTAAGAGAGGATCTTCGAGTTTCGTATGCATGATCCAAAGTTTTGTTGTCCATGTATTAATCCAGATTGGTAAAATACGAATCAAAACACTTTATATCACCCTATAAGACTATAAACCATATTATTTTTAAAATTGTTTAAGGTTATAGTTATAGAATCTTTCAAAATTGAGACATAATTCACATATCATAAAGTTGAACATTTTAAAGCGTACAGTTTTTAGCATATTCACTAGGTTGTGCAACCATCACCACTATCTAATTCCAGAACATTTTCATCACACCAAAAGTAAACCCTACACATATTAGTAGTCATTACCTTTCCCTCCCCTTCTTGCTTTCTCCTCAGCCCCAACCTACTTTTTCTGTCTTTATGGATTTACTTATTTTGAAAACTTCTTATAAATAGAATCATGAAATACATGGGTGGCCTTTTCTACCTGGCTTCTTTTATTTATAATAATCTTTCCAAGATTCATACATGTTATAGCATGTATCAGTATGTCACTCCTTTTTTGGCTGAATAATATTACTTTTTGTTCCCGATTTATCCATTCTTCAGCTAATAGAAATTTGGGCTGTTACTACTTTTAGGCTACTATGAATAATGTTGTTTTGAATATTTGTATATAAATTTTTGTGTGGGCATACATTTTCATTTCTCTTGGGAAGATACCTAGGAGTAGAACTGTTAGGTCATAAGGTAACTGACTTTTTGAGGAGCTGCCTAACTGCAATTTCTTGAGGAGCTGCCAAGTTGTTTTCCACGGCAGCTGCATTTCTACTGGACAATATATGAGGGTTCCAAGTTATCCACAGCCTCACCAGCACTTGTTATTCTATTCTTTTTTTTATTATAGCCATCCTACTGGGTGTGACATGTTGTCTTATTGTGGTTTTCACTGACATTTTCCCAATGATTAATGATGAGTATATTTTCATGTACTTAATGGCTATTTGTATATCTTCTCTAGGGAAATGTATGTTCAAATCTGCTGTCCATTTTTAAATTGAGTTATTTGTCTTTATATTGTTGAGGTTCAAGTATTTTCTATACGATATTATACTCATCAGACATGATTTGTAAATATTTTCTCTCTCTACAGACTTGATTTTATCTTCTTGCTAATGTCCTTTGACGCACACAAATTTTTAATTTTGATGTAATATTTTTTTCTTTGGTTGCTTGTGCTTTAGGTTTTATATTTAAGTATTTAAGACACTTGTTGTTTTAATCCAAGGTCATATTGGTTTTGTTTTTGTTTTTCAGACAAAGTCTCGCCCTGTCACCCAGGCTGGAGTGCAGAGGCACAATCTCGGCTCAACGCAACCTCCACCTCCCAGGCTCAAATAACTCTCATGCCTCAGCCTCATGGGTAGCTGGGAGTGTGCCACCATGCTCAGCTAATTGTTGTATCTTTAGTAGAGATGGGGTTTCACCATGTTGGCCAGACTGGTCTCAAACTCCTGGCCCCTAACCATCCACCTGCCTCAGCCTCCCAAAGTGCTGAGATTACCGGCATAAGCACTTGGCCCAAGGTCATGTTAACTTATACCTATGTTTTCGTCTAAGATTTTTATGGTGTTAGCTCTTAAGTTTAGGCCTTTGATCCATTTTTTGTTGTTGTTATCTTCTTTAGATTCAGAGAACACATATATGCAGGTTTGTTACATGAGCATATTGCATAATGCTGGGGTTTGGGCTTCTGTTGAACCCATCACCCAAAGAGTGAGCCTAGTACCATAATGCCCTCAAACACAACTATATACGTACAATTCCCAAAGCACTAGCTGTTATCTCCATCCATTTCTCTCTTTAGAAATTATATCAGAATACAAAGTAGCATTATTTATATATTTACATCTACATTATTAGTAAATTATTCATAATACAGAACACAACTAATCATAACATATTAAATGTGTCATGACTGCCTTGCTGCACCTAAAAATTTTCTCCAGGACAATCCACTTGGAAAAAAAGTATCTAAATCAAAACCTTTGTTTATATACAGACTGAAAGATTGTAACAATATGAATTTATTGTGTCCAATAGATTCTTAATTTATACCTCATCTTCCAAAAATAACTTAAAGATGATATTTCATATGCTTCATATTTATTAAGCATGATACAAGTCATTAGAAAAGTAATAGTTCAAAAAGAAGAGAAATAACCAAGATTTGGAATCAACTCACTTTCACTCTTCTTTTGGCATCCATTAGAAGTATGAGGATAGAAAAAAAAAGTGAGGAGGCACCATTTACTTTTACATTTACATTTTCTTCTTTAATTTGCACAGCATCTGTATTTGATTCTACTATTATCAAAAAAGTTATTTAAATAATTTAAGTAATCAAATTAATCACAATAATCAATATTTTTATATATATAAAACCTGTCTAAAAATTTAATTCCCTTTTTCATACCAAAGGGCTCTATTTTTGGTTTCCTCGTTAGAAAATAAAATTACAAGATTAGAAAGTATTACCTTTCTACATGCTTCTAGCTTCAACATTCTATGATTATGTGAGATTTATTTATAACATCAGATCACAATGGCTCTGATGTGGACTGAATTGTATCACCCCAGAATTAAATGTTAACACCCTAATACCTAGTACCTCAGAATGTGAGTCCATTTGGAGACAGGGCCTTTAAAGAGGTAATTAAGGTAAAATGAGACCATATGCATGGACCCTAATTCACTATGACTAGCGCTGTAAGAAGAGATAAGGACACGACACATGCACAGAAAAAAAAACATGAGAAGACAAAAGGAGAAGACAGCTACGTACATGCCACTGAGAAAGGCCTTAGAATGAAACCAATCAATTAGGAATGTGGAATAAGGATTAAGATTAGGAATGTGGAACTCAAATGGGAGCTTTGCAAAATTGGTAGGGTTTGAATACATAAGTGGGAAGGAAGGAAAAAATCCTTGATTTTTTCCCTCGCTGTGATACAAAAGTACTAAATTAGATGTTGTCTTTCTTTTGTAGACTTAAAGTCTTGTTGTGGAAGTAAGATGAACATAATGCCATGTACTCACAAAGGAAAGTTAATACGCATTAACTGTGTTAAATAGTTACATAAAGTTTGCTACGCCCTTGCTATGCTTCTTAATTTAAAGGCATTTCAAAGTAGGGAAAACTGAAAACATGCCTTTAATACATATATTCAATCATACACAAAGTTGAAAGCATCCTAAAGAATCACTCGATTTAGCCTAATTAATTACCTAAAAATCCTTTAAAAAGTAATTAAATACAGACCACAATATTTCTTATATTTTCCACTGTAATCAACATAACTTTGTTATAGTCTACAGCAATTAATCTCTACCATTCCTTAAATGATAATGACAATATATTTTCAAAGTAGCCACTGGTGACAATTCTGTAAATCAATGTGCTACAGTGATACCTAAATAAAAGCTTATTTCACTATAATGATGCTTCCAGGCTTCCCTCAAGTCAGGTGGTTACTTGCAGTTAATGATCTGTGACATACCACACAAGTAATCCTAAAAAGACTTATTATCCATTGCATGTGCAACAATATTTGCTTTATGGATGGCTAAATGAATGAAGACATTCAATGTAACTGTAAAAGTAAAATCAAAAGAAAACTTACAAGTAACATGTTTTCTTTAAGTAAAAGGGCTGTGACCATTTTCCATTAATACTTAACCTTTAGCTGGAGCAGTGCAACCACATAACACCCAAATCCATAAAGCCCAAGAGCTGTTCTGGGTTAATGCTAATTAACTGCCCCCAATCAAAAGAGCAGTAACTTTCCAAAAATGTGAGCTCATCGTCCTCTATTGTTGACATCAGTCACATCACGAACTCAATGAACAGTAAAAAAGATAAATATGCTTTATACATAACTTGAGAGCACGTTTTAAAATCAAATTTATAATACATATACCACACAAACTCACCAAAAAAGAACTATGTTATACATAAAACAGGGTAATCTCAAATAGTCAATCCTACATGGCTGCAAGACTTTGTAGGCATTCACGTTCACCATTTACAATTTTATTTCATTTAGTAGACTCAGCTTTTGTCCACCATATGTCCACTGTGGATTAACTATTCCCTCAGGTACAATTAAGGACTTTCCATTTGTTGTAAGAAGAGCTAAGTATGAAGGACACAGCCAGAAATAACATTTGTACCTCAACCAAAAACAGAAGCACATTCAAACTCAAATGATGGTTTATGCAGCATCTTTTTTTTTTATTACACACGTGTCTGCATAGCAAAATAAACTTGAGATAAAAATTCATGGCAATAGCACAAGAGCTTTCACCATTCAGATTAGATATCAAATTATATCACCTCCATCAGCAGAATTTAAGCAAATGTCCAAAAAAAAAAAACTTCTAAACTATAATTTAAATGAAGGCTTGGCTTCTAAATATTAATTATAACCAAAATTTTAATCATTATTTATGTATTTCATAGATATTTCATAATATTTGTCAAGTTTTTTATTTTTAAATCTTTATATTAGAAAAATATATATATTTAGCAGGACCTCCTCCCATTACCCATAAGAGAAGACAGGATTTGAAGCAAGAATGGGAAGGACAATAACAACTAACACATATAGCACTATTATATAACAGATATGGTTCTAGAAGCTTTATATAGTTTAAATTCTTACAATAATTTCCTTATGAGGTAGGTGCTATTATTAGTCCCACTTTACAGATGACAAAACTAAGGTAAAAAGAGGGTAGGGACCTTACCACAGTCACACAGTTAGTAACTGAACCCGTATCAGAATTGATGTGGTCTTGATTAGGAGTCTGTGTCCTTAACCACTATCCACAGTCTCCCTCTGTTAGAGATATCAAAGTGGCAGAACATAGTATAAAATAAATATCCTTATAGGAAATTACAATTTCTCATCTTTTAAACTTGAAATTTTGAATGAAAATTAAGAGATTAGCTAGAGCTAATAATTTAATTTTCAAAACAATTGTTGAGCTTCAAGTTAGGGCTATGAAAGAGAAAAAATAAAAATCTTAAAACAACAACTATGTGTGTAATATAAATGGTTTTTTTTTTTTTGAGACGGAGTCTCCTTCTATCACCAGGCTGGAGTGCAGTGGCACGATCTCGGCTCACTGCAACCTCCACCTCCTGAGTTCAAGCAATTCTCCTGCCTCAGCCTCCTGAGTAGCTAGGACAACAGGCACACAGCACCACATCCAGCTAATTTTTGTATTTTTAGTAGAGACAGGATTTCGCCATGTTGGCCAGGATGGTCTCCATCTCTTGACCTCATGATCCGCCTGCCTCAGCCTCCCAGAGTGCTGGGATTACAGGCGTGAGCCACCGCACCTGGCCAAAATGCTTTTTACATAATCTTATGTGCTACTAAATCATAAGCACTAAGTGAGGTGCTTATTTTTTCCTCAGCTTTATTAAGGTATAATTGACATAAAAATTGTATATATTTACCTTGGACAATATGATGTTTGGCATGTGTATACTTGTAAACAATTAAATCAACCTAATTAACACACCCATAACCTCACTTATCATACTTGTCATTTTTTGTGGTGAGAACATTTAAGATCTCCAAAGAACTACTCTCTTCTCAATTTTCATGTCTATGTTTCTATTAACTGTAGTTACCATGCTGTACAATAGATCCCCAGAACTTATTCATCCTAAGTGATACTTTGTACCCTTTGATCAACATCTACCCACTGTCTCCAGCTGGCCCATCCCCTGACAACAACTATTCTATTCTTTGTTTCTAAGAGTTCAACTTTTTTAGATTCCACATACAAGTCATATCATGCAGTGCTTGTCGTTCTGTGCCTGGCTTATTTTACTTAGCATAATGTTCTCCAAGTTCATCCATGTTGTCAAAAATGACAGGATTTCCTTTTTTTTTTTTTTTCTTTTTTTTATCATGACGGAGTCTCGCTGTGTCACCCAGGCTGGAGTGCAGTGGCGCGATCTCGGCTCACTGCAAGCTCCGCCTCCCGGGTTCACGCCATTCTCCTGCCTCAGCCTCCCGAGTAGCTGGGACTACAGGCGCCCGCCACCATGCCCAGCTAACTTTTTGTATTTTTAGTAGAGACGGGGTTTCACCGTGTTAGCCAGGATGGTCTCGATCTCCTGACCTCATGATCCACCCGCCTCAGCCTCCCAAAGTGTTGGGATTACAGACTTGAGCCACCACGCCCAGCCGCGATTTCCTTCTTTTTTAAGGCTGAATAGTATTCGTGTGCGTGTGTGTATACAAATATATATATATATGCGCCACATTTTCTTTATCCATTTATCCAATGATGGACACATAGGCAGACTCCATATCTTGGCTATAGTGAATAATGCTGCAATGAACTTGGGAGTAAAGATTCTCTTCAACACACTGATTTTATTTCCTTTAAATATATAACTAGAACTAGAATTGCTGGATCATATGTTTTGAGGAACCTCCACACTATTTCCCATAATGGCTGTACTAATTTACATTTCGAACAGTATACAAGGGTTCCTTTTTCTTCACATTCTTGCCAATACTTACCTTTTGTCTTTTTGATAACAGCCATCTAAGAAGTGTGTGGTGATATTTAATTGTGGTTTTAATAAGACATGGGTGTAACCCAAAGCTTAATCTTTAGACCTCATCTCTTTTTAAACTCACTCCTTAAGGTCATCCAATCCCAGTGGCTCTAAATATATTCCCCAACTTTTATCTCTAGACCTCATGTGCCTTAGGGTTGATCTTCTTGTGGAGTATCTTGGTGGTGTTCTCTGTATTTCCTGAATTTGAATGTCGGCCTGTCTTGCTAGGTGGGGAAGGTCTCCTGGATAATATCCTGAAGTGTTTTTCCCAACTTGGTTCCATTCTCCCCATCTCTTTCAGGTAATCCTATCAATCGTAGGTTCAGTCTTTATACATAGTACCATATTTCTTGGAGGTTTTGTGCATTCCTTTTTTCTTTTTTCTCTAATCTTGTCTGCATGCCTTATTTCCACAAGATGGTCTTCAAACTCTGAAATCCTTTCTTCTGCTTGATCGATTCAGCCATTGATACTTGTGTATGCTTCACGAAGTTCTCATGCTGTGTTTTTCAGCTCCATCAGGTCTTTAATGTTCCTATCTAAACTGGTTATTCTAGTCAGCAGCTCCTGTAACCTTTCATCAATGTTCATAACTTCTTTGCATTGGGTTATAGCTCAGCGAAGTTCATTATTACCCATTTTCTGAAGCCTAATTCTGTCAGTTCATCCGTCTCAGCTTTAGCCCCATTCTGTGCCCTGGAGAAGTGTTGCGATCATTTGGAGGAAAAGAGGCATTCTGGCTTCTGGAATTTTCACCGTTTCTGCATTGGTTTTTCCTCATCTTCGTGGATTTATCTACCTTTGCTCTTTGAGGCTGTTGATCTGTGGATAAGGTTTTTGTGGGGTCTTTTTGTTGATATTGTTGTTATCGTTGCTTTCCATTTGTTTTTCTTCTAACAGGCCCCTCTTCTGCAGATCTGCTGCAGTTTGCTGGGGGTCCACTCAAGACCCTGTTCGCCTGGGTATCACCAGTGGAGGCTGAAGAACAGCAAAGACTGCTATCTATTCCTTCTTCCAGAAGCTTCATCCCAGAGGGGCATTGACCTGATTCCAGCTGGAGCTCTCCTGTATGAAGTGTCTGTGAACCCCTGTTGGGAGGTCTCTCCCAGTCAGGAGGCACAGGGTCAGGGACCTGCTTGAGGGAGCAGTCTGTTCCTTAGCAGAGCTGGTATGCTGTGCTGGGAGAATCTCCCTTGTCAGGATCAGCCACTCTCTTCAAAGCCAGCAGGCAGGAAAGATTAAGTCCCCTGAACCTGAGTCTGCAGCCGCCCCTCCCCCCAGGTGCTCTATCCAAGGGAGATGAGAGTTCTATCTGTAAGCCCCTGAATGGAGCTGCTGGATTTCCTGCAGAGATGCCTTGCCCAGTAAGGAGGAATTAAGAGAAGCAGTCTGGCCACAGTCACTTTGCTGGCTGTGGTGAATTCTGCCCAGTTCAAACCTCCGAGTCTCCTTAGCACCGTCGGGAAAACCGCCTACTAAAGCCACAGTAATGGCGGTAGCCCCTCCCCCAACCAAACTTGGTCCTCCCAGTCCGACTCCAGACTGCTGTGCTGGCAGTGGGAATTTCAAGCTAGTGTGGTTCTTAGTTTGCGGGGCTCTGTGGGAGTGGGATCCACTGAGCAAGATCGCTTGGCTCCCTGGCTTCAGCCCCCTTTCCAGGGGAGTGGACAGTTTTCCTGTCTCACTGGAGTTCCAGGTGCCACAGGAATATGAAAAAATTCCTGCTGCTCAGTGCCTGTCCAAACAGCCACCCAGTTTTGTACTTAAAACCCGGGGCCCTGGTGGTGTAGGCTCACAAGGTAATCTCCTGATCCATGGATTGTAAAAATCTGTGGAAAAGCGTAGCACCCGGGGTAGGTAGCACAGGACCTCACCGCTTCCCTAGGCTGGGGGAGGGGGATCCCGGCTCCGTGCACTTCCCACGTGAAGCGATGCCCTATCCTGCTTCTGCTCGCTCTCCGTGGGTTGCGCCCACTGCCTAACCAGTCCCAATGAGATGAACTGGTACCTCAGTTGGAAATGCGGAAATCACCCACCTTCTGTGTTCCTCTCGCTGGGAGCTGCAGACAGGACCCTGTTTCTACTCGGTCATTTTGGCCCCTCCCTCTAGACTACATCTTACCCTGGAATTACAGATACATATATCCAACTGCTTACTAAACATCTCCACATATATGCTTAATAAGCACCTCACACTTAACATATCTAAAACCAAACTTTTAATCCTTACCCAAAACCTATTCCTCTTAACAGTTTTACTCATCTCAGTAAATGCAACTTTAGCCTGCCAGATGCTTAGGCCCCAAATCTTGGCATTACGTTGCTTCTTCTCCCCTCTACTCCACAACCAACTGTGAGAGAATCTATTATTCCTAGCCAACCACTTCTCACTACTTCCACTGCTATCACTCTGGTCCATGCCACCATTATTTATCACCTAGATTACATCGAAAGCCTCCTATCTGGTCTCCCTGCTTCTACTCTTATCCACTATAGCATACTCTCAAAACAAGAGCCATAGTGATCCTTTCCAAATACAAATTAAATCACTGCACACTATTCAAAACCTTTGAAGGCTTTCCATCTCACTTGCAGTAAAAGCCAAAAGCCCATACGATGGCCCACAAAGTCTTTCTTGATCTGTCCTTTTCCTAGATCCCTCCCTCTTTATATCTTAAAGAGCCCTGCCTGCGCCTTAGTTTCATATTTCTGAACCTGGTTTGTACCTCTGAACCTTGGGATAATAAATTTCTGTTATAAAAAAAAGAGAGAGAGAGAGAAAGACCATACCTGTTGAATTGATTTACTTACACTGCAAAACTACACATTCATGTGAAATTTCAGAAAACAATGTCACATAAAGTGGAAAATACTTAAATTCTAACTTCAGGAACAATTTAAATTTTTTTTAAAAAAGCGATTTAGAGCCCCCAAAATACCCTTAAAGTTGGCCATATGTCCAGGGTTTGCCTGGCAAATAGTGAGAATTCAATAAATCCAGATTTATTATTATTAATAGCTATATTTATTATGATGATGTATATGTACCTATCCATCATATACCATACATGCAAACAGGATCTTAATAATCTAACAATTGAATGATAAAATACAGCCAAAAAGTCATCTCTGCAAAAACTAAGAAGACAAGGTTTAAACTACAAATGAAGTTAAAATTAAATGCTCTTAAAACTGTCTGGAAATAACCATGTTCAATTAAGCAACCTTAAAACTAAACATAGTTTGGGTCATCAAATTTTAGGAGTCAAAGATGCTTAGGTATTATTCACTAGTATCCTCTCATTTTATACAAGAGGATGACCATAAGTGGTTAAGGGAATTGTCCAAGCTCACGTAACTAGATAAAATTACAGCACCTAGAAAAATATCTAAAGTTTTCTGATACCCAGTCTAGTATTCCTTTAAATTATTTTGGCTTTTTTCCACAACCACTGCAAATACAGACTAAAATACATTATTAAAGGGGCTTAAATTAATAAAATTTTCCAAATTCCTTTTTCACAAAGAAATGTTTCTATAGCTCTGTGTTCTTTATTTGATACTAACATTTAATAATTTCTTCTAAAATTTAAAATCAAAGATTCATCCTAAAAGAAAACAAATAAGATGAATTATGCTTTTATTAGCATTTAATAAATCTTCTCTATTATGACAAAAAGATGGAGAGATATCATATAAACAAATTGTTATATCAAAATGCTTATACAACTCCTCCAAAACCAATGAAAACATAACCACAAAAACCATAATATTGCTTAGACAAAGTAAATTACAGTACTGTCAAAATGGTTTGGGGCAGGCTATCCAAAAAAGTAACTATGAAATAACAAAATAACATCACTACAACAACTGTCAGATGAAAAACAGTTTTTGATTGATATTATGAAACAGCACTCATTTGCTATTTTATTCCCCAACAGTTGTCAGTAACAACAACAGTCTGAAGGCAAGCTTATGCATTTGATTTGGAGATACTACTCAGCCAATTAAACTTGAAATGCTATCAACATGTCCTTAAAATACAATAAGGAGTGTGAAGTATCATGTGAGGGAACAGCTTTAAGTATATATAACAAAATACTTTCTCTTTCAATATATAGAATGATCTCAGTATGTTCCAGTAAGTAAATGATCACACTTCTATTTGAAAAATTTACATGTGAAAAGAAGTTAAAAAAAGAAAAAGCAGCAGCAGCAGCAGCAGCAATAGAGACAGAAATATTAGCTCCATCTGAAAAAGACACTTGGTTCTGATACTTTGGGATTAGTATTATCTGGAACAAAAAAGAAGCAAAGTACTAAAAGAAATGGTTAAAAGGGCAGAATGTTTTAGCTTAAAATGTATAAAGAGAATGAACTTTTCAAATCCCCGAAAAAGTTTCTGTTTATGCTTCATAAATTATAAGCTCTCTTAAACAAATTGGTAACAATGACTTGTTCACTTTGGTATAATATTATAGGTGATAAATTTTATACAAGTTGATATGAATCCTTCAAAATAAATTAAATATTACCAATTTAATAGTTTCACATGTCTATTTTACAGATAAAGAATTTTTGAAGACTCAAAAGAGTCACAGTATAGGCAAGTAATTTCATATAAATTCCAATGGTTTTCAAACTGGACATATAACCATTTCTTATACCTCCCTATTACTGAGGAAAAAAGTCTCTTTTAAAAGCCTGCTGATAATTGTATTGAGACCATAAGTAAAATTTTCAACTTGAAGTTTACTTATTTTACTAATACATTTTCACTGAGTTCAGGGAACACAACTTATAGGGTACATTAAAACGTAACCTTTAAACTTTCCAATGTAAAACATCACTTCCTGGGCAGAGATAGTACTCCAAGAACTATCAATCACTGTTAAGAAGAATATACACTCAACATTCTTAATTAGTGTTGATGCACTCTTCTCTATGCCCTCATCTGTCATGAAGATTGTTTAAAAATCTGAGTTATTAGTCTTTATTTGCAAAAGGATCTGGTTAACATCTTTAAGAGTAGAAATCATTCATCCATCCACTCTGTACTGGAGCATGATAATTCCCACCCCCAATACAAGTTACCGATAACCACCACCCCTCCACTAACTAAGAAGCTATAAATCAGGAAGAGGGCAGCTTCTATGTAACCCCTGTTAATTCTGTTTATAATCTATCCAACTGAGAATGTTAGCTAGTCAGGAGAGAAACTAGCTGATGGATCAGATAGTATAAAGGCATAACGGATTAAAGATAGAAAATAACAAAATGACAAATTAAAATGCCATGTGGTTATAAAACATTGAACTTAAAATTAATCTTTTTAAAAAGTTAATCTTTTTAAAAATTAATTTTTTAGAAGTTAATATTCCTGAATTTCCACTTCATTTCAATTATACCCTTGCCTGAAACACTGAAAAATTAAAACTGTAATTCAGTACAGATTATGATTTTTTAACTAAACACAAAAAATTGTAAATAAAAAGTCAAAAGCTTAGATTTCTAACATATATGTAAAAGCCACAAGTTAGGATTTAAGAAGCAAACTTCCTAAGTCTTTCATATTTATTTAACCTAAAATTATAACATAAAATCCATGAAATTTTATTTCAAACATGATCTAGTATAAAACTATGATGTATTTCCCAAGGAACTCCCTCTGACATTATTCATCAGGGTGGCATTCAATAGGCCACTTGGCCCTAAAGGCCATCTAATGGATTCCCTATATCTACATATGTATTTTCCCCCATTAAAAAAATCATTTTCCCTGAATAACACATCCAGGGCCATAAACACTTATAATTCCAACAGTCTGCATGAAAAGGCTTTTATTCATTCATTTGGTATTAGTTAAAGCACTGTTGTAAGTGATGAGATCCTTAGCTTTCAGAGTTTAGATTTTAGTGGGGAAATACAGACAAGAAACAATATATCAGATGACAATAAGAATATGCAGATAACTGAAACTTAATGGCTTGACAGAAAGGAAGACTGGGTGGCTCCTTTAGAACGAAACTTTAAAAAGATGATGTTGAAGGTGAGATGTGAATGACAAAATTGAGCTACCTAAAAGCAAAGACAAGAGGGAAAATCATTTCAAGCATAGGAAATTCTAAGTATGATACAAATGAATTTGGAATGTTTTGGAAACAGAAAAAAAAATAAACATGCCTTGCACTTATAATGGGCGAAGAAGCATGTGGAAGATGAAGTCTGAGTAGTAGGTAAGAGCTCAATCCCCTAACATTGGTAAATTTGGGTAAGGAGTTTGGATTTCATTTGATGTAATCCAACCAAAGAGTTTTAAGCAGAAAAGTCTTATAATCTGATCTGCAATTTGGGAACAGAACTGTAGGAAAGCAAGTCTAGGCAGGAAGACCACTTAAGAAGCTACTGTTGTAGTTTATATGAGATGAGATTCCCACTAACAGTGTATAAGAGTTCTTTTCCTTCACATTCTCATCAGCATTTGTTATTTCTTCTGTATTTTTTATAATAGCCATCCTATCTGGGCTGAGATGATACCTCATTGTGGTTTTGATTTGCATTTCCCTGATGATTAGTGATGTTGGAACATTTTTTTCATATACTTGTTGACCATTTCTATGTCTTCTTTTGAAAAATGTCTGTTCAGATCATTTGCCCATTTTTTAAATTGGATTAGGTTTTTGGGGTGGGTTTTTTTTTTTTTGGTTTTTGTCTTTTGTTTTGGTTTTTTGCTGTTGAGATGTCTGCATCCCTTCTATAATTTGGTTATTAATCCCCTGTTGGATAAGTAGTTTACAAATATTTTTTCCCAATTTGTAGATTACTTTTTCACTCTGTTGGTTGTTTCCTTTGTCATTTAGAAGTTTTTAAATTTGCAATAATCCCATTTGTTTATTTTTGCTTTTGTTGCCTATGTTTGTGAGGTCTTATTCATAAAATCTTTTCCCAGACAAATGTCCTGAAGTGTTTTCTCTATGTTTCCTCTAGTAGTGTTAGTTTACATCTTGCATTTAGGTTTTTTATACATTTTAATTGATTTTATATTTATTGTATTTGTATAGGGTGAGAGGTGAAGGTCTAGTCTTGTTATTTCGCATATGGATATCCAATTTTCCCAGCAGCATTTATTGAAGAGAGTGTCCTTTCCCCACTGAGTGTTCTTGAACATTTGTTAAAAGTTAATTCACTGTAAATATGTGAATCTATTTCTGTATTCTCTATTCCATTTCGTTGGTCTATGTGTCTGTTTTAATGCCAGTACTGTGCCATTTTGCTTACTACTGCTTTGTAGTATGTTTTCAACTTTAGCAGTCAGATCTTCAGCTTGCTTGCTTGCTTTATTTATTTATTAAGCTCAAAACTGTGTATAGTTGTTCACTGGAGTCTCTAATGATCCTTTTTGGTCCTATGGTATCTATTGTGACATCTTCTTTTTCATTTCTGATTTTATTTATTTGAGTCTTCCCTTTTATCTTAGTGTATCTAATGGTTTGTTGATTATATCTTTAAAAAACAACTTTTTGTTTTGTTGAAATTTTTGTTTGTTTTTTTAGTATCAGTTTCATTTATTTCTGCTCTGATCTTTATTATTTCTTTCCTTCTACTGATTTTGGGTTTGGTTTGTCCTTGCATTCTATTTCCTTGAGATTCATTGCAGTTTATTTGAAATCCTTCCAGCTTTTTGATGCAGGCATTTATTGATACATACTTGCCTCTTAGTATTGCTTTTGCTGTGTCCCATAACTTTTTGTATATTGTGTTCCTACTTTCATTTCTTTCAAGAAATTTTTAAATTTCCTTTTTAATTTATTCCCTCACCCACTGGTCATTTAGAATATTGTTCAATTTCCATTTATTTGTATAGTTTTGAATGTTCATCTACTGTTGGTTTCTAGTTTTATTCCATATAGTCAGATAAGATACTTGATATGATTTCAATTTTTTTAAATTTTTTTGACACTTATTTTGTATCCTAACACATGGGTCAATCCTTGAGAAATTTCCTGGTGCTGATGGAAAGAAGGTTTATTATGTAGTTGTTGGGCAGGTGAAATGTTCTGTAAACGTCTGTTAGGTGCAGTTTGGTCTATCATGCAGTTTAAATCCAATGTTTATTTGTTGATTTTCTGTTTAGGTTGTCTGTCCAATGCTGAGAGTAGGGTGCTGAAGTCAACAACTATTACTGTATTAGAGTCTATCTCTACCTTTAGATTTAATAATATTTGCTTTAAATATTTGAGTGTTGATATCAGATATGTATATATTTACAATTGTTATGTTCTCTTGCTGAATTCATCCTTTTATTATTATATGATGTCCTCCTTTGTCTCTTTGTACAGATTTTGACTTGAAGTCTGTTTTGTCTGATTTATGTATAGCTACTCCTGATTGCTTTTGGTTTCTGTTTGTATAGAATATCTTTTTCCATCCTTTCACTTTCAGTCTATGTGTGTCTTTAAGTTTCTGGTAGGCAGCATATGGTTGGGTCTTGTTTTGTTTATTTGTCTTAATATATTAAATAAGTCTATCTTTTAAATAAGAAATGTAATTAGTTTAAATTCAAAATTATTATTGACAGGTGAAGACTTATACCTGTCATTTTATTGACTGCTTTCTGGTTGTTCTGTATACCCTTTGTTCCTTACTTCCTTATTGCTTATTCTTATAGTTGAATGGTTTTCTGTTGGGAAAGATTTCTTTCTTTCTCTTTTTCCTTTGTGTATTGGCTCTAGCAGCAAGTTTTAGTTTCACGTGTTCTCATGATGGTGGTTACTGTCTTTGAACTTCCAGATGTAAGAGTACCTTGAACATTTTTTCTAAGGCCAGTCTGGTGACAATGAATTCTCTCAGTTCTTGCTTGTCTAAAAAGGATAGCTTTGCTGGGTTTAATATTCTAATATTCTTGGCTGACGGGTTTTTTTTTTCTTTCAGAACTTTCAATAGGTAATTCCATTCTATCCTGGCCTGTAAGGTTTCTGCTGAAAAATCCACAGTTAGTCCACTAGCAATTCCCTTATATGTGACTTGACACTACTCTTTGCTGTTTTTAGAATTCTCTTTGACTTTTGACAATTTGGCTATAATGTGCCTTGAAGAGGACCTCTTTGGGTTAAATCTACTTCAGGTTCTTTGAGCTTCCTCGATGTGAATGTTCATCTGCCTTTCAAAATTAAGAAGTTTTTGGCTATTAGTTCAATAAATAAGTTTCCTACAACTTGTCTCTTCTCTTTTCCTTCTGGAACTTCCATAATATAAGTATTTGTTCACTTAATAATCCTATATTTTTTGCCACAATAATCCTATACATTTTCTTCATTTTTTTTCTTTTTTTAGTTATTTATTTTTGTCTGTGCTATTTCAAAAGGCTTGTCTTCAAGTTGCAGAATTCTTTTTTCTGCATGGTCTAAATCTGTTGTTGCAGCTCCTGATAGTATTTTTTATTTCATTAATTAAATTCTTCAGCTCTAAGATTTCTGATTGGTTATGGGTTATATCCATCTCTCTGTTAAATTCCTCATTCATATCATGAATTATTTTCCTGATTTTGTTGAATTTTCTACCTATATTCTCTTGTATCTCACTGACTTTCCTTATTATTCTGAATTCCACTTCTGGCATTTTGTATATTTCCTTATGATTAAAGTCTATTACTGAAGTATTATTATATTCCTTTAAAGGTGTCGTTTCCTTGCTTTTTCATGTTTGATGTGTCCGTATGTTGATTTCTATGCATCTGGTAGAAGAGTCACCTCTTCTAATTTTATGGAGTAGGATAAGAAGAGACTTACTCATATAGATGGGCCCTGGGTGTCAGTTTAGTGAAGGTGCATTGGGTTTGTTTCTAGTTGGACACAGTAGTGTTTCTCTATGCAGTTTCTTCAGTTGTAATCCACATTCATGACATTTATGAGTAGCTCGGTGGCCAAGGCTGAGAGAGTATGTGGCAGCGATGGTGCAACTTTGCCATGGGTGGGCTTGCTGGGCTGTTTCTCAGGTCAGGGTGCATACATGCACATGGTAAGTTGGCCAACTTAGGGTCTGGTTTGCAGTCTGTTATTCTGGCTGGGGGCATAAGTGCACAGCTGCTAGTCCAGCCTGGGGGAGTACCTGCCAAGGACTGTTTCTAAGGTCCAGTACATGGCTACACAGCTTCTCAGCTGGCCTGGGTGTGTGTCTGCTGGAGGTAGCCCACAGGGCTATTTCTCAGGCCTGGGACAGGTGCACACAGCTGCTCAGCTGGCCTAGGGGCATTTCTGCCAGAGGTGGCTTGCAGGGTTGTTTCTCAGACCCAGAATATTGATGGCTAGCCTAGGAGGATATTTGGTAGGGGCAGCCCATGGGGCTGTTTCTCAGACCTAAGACAAGGATGCACAGTTGCTAGGTCAGCCTGGGGATGTATTTGCCAGGGGCAGCCTATGGAGCTGTTTCTCAGGCAGGGGATGCAGACACACAGATGCTCGGTCAGCCTGGGGCTGTGTCTGCCAGAAGTCACCCAGTGGGCTGTTTCTCCGGACCTGGGCACAGACACATAGCCACTCTACCAGCCTGAGGGTATGTAAGCCACTCAGTGGTTCAAGGATCTCTCCTGCTCAGGGGAAGGTACACAGCAGTTTGGCTGGCTCAAGGGCAGGTTTGCCCTGGGGAGGACTGCCAGACTTTTCCTCTTACTTGAGTGTGGGCAGTGGGGACTGGTTCCCCTGCTGTGCAGGACCAGAGTCACAGCCGATCATGGGCCCAGGCTCTGAGCAGCTGAGGCTGTGGTGTTCAGCCACACATTTGGGCTTGGTGGAATGAAGATGGAATCCCAGTGCTGGAGAGGTCCAAATGCTACTGACCCCCAGAAGAGTGCACACTCCAGAGGTGGCTCTCGTCTCAAGATGGCACCATGCTGCAGCAGCTTGACTCACAAGGCGTGGGTGGGGAGTGAGGAATGCACATCTTGTGCTAGTAATCCGGAGCAAGGCAGCTGTGTGAATTCCTAGGATCTCTCCAAACTAGAGTCAGGACTTGCAAGAACTGTGGGATTCTCCTGCAGTAAGGAATGTAGATGTTTGTGGTGGCAATGGGGACTAGTAGGAAGCTTCTGCTTACCTTTTCCCCACAAGGGGAAGTCTCTCCTGTCTCTGGACCAATCTGATCTGGACAGGGGAGATGGAGCTGCAGAGGCTGGGTGTCTCCACACCACCCTTCTGGACTTCCGATCACCAAGTGCCAGATGTCTCTATTCACTCATCTTGCTAAAGCCATCTTGCTAAAGTCCATAAGTGTATTTATTAATCTCAACAACCAGACACAGCAAAACAAAGAAATTTTTTTTTAATTTGAAGATGGCAGAGAATAAGATTAAGATCTAGGTTGGCAGGTTCCCATCACTCCTTAAAGACTCTCTTTGTCTCAACCTTTCAGCAAATTTACAATGGCTAGCTTAATACACATAACAGATTCTCAAAAATGTTCAGTGAAAGAATGGCCCTACCCAACACATAATATAAGAACTATCAATCTCTGGTGGGGTGGGGTAGGGGAGAACAGAAATAAGATGGTAATAAGGAAATTCTCTAATAAACATTTTCTCCAGGAAAGTTTCACAGAACATGAATTTTAGCTCTACTAATTTGCAATTTGTGATAAATCAAGTTGAAGCTATCTATGCTCAGTACTTTTAGAAGGCCATTATGGTTAATAAACTAATTCATAGTTACTGGGCACTTACTATGCAAAAGACCACAAGCACAGTGCTTTTCACACAATATCTCATTTAATCTTTAAATCAGCTTTATCCAACATAAACTATTACCCTGATTTCCAGATGCAGGAAACTGAGGCATAAAAACGTAAAGTAACTTGTATGATGTCACACTGCTCTTGAATGAAGAAATTGGGCTTGTAAGCAGTCTGTCTAAATCCAAAGCTCTATGACCTCATTATTTCATTTAATACTTAAATAGTAAAACAAAATAACACTAATTAGCATCTGATAGCCTTTAAAAATAGAACACGGAATAATTCATTTTAATAACTGTACATTTTTAAGAATTATATACTGAAATAGTTAACGTACTAGTTGCCATTCTTTCATTTCATTAAAAGAAATCTCTTCCTCTATTTGCCATTTCATTAACCTACTCTAGTTACTCTGGATAGTTAACCATAAAATTTAACTTTTAATAAAAATAAGTCCATAATCAGAATATCCTCTATCCTCAGCCCAAATTTCTGAAGGTTTAATATATTTTAATAAAAAGCAAATAATCCTGTAACTTGTACGGAAATGTGTATTCACCCTCTCTTTTTCTCTCCCTCCTTCTACTAACTTTAACTAAAAGCTGGCTACTGCTACCAGTATTTCCACAGCCTACACATTTCTTTTCAACATATGCATTCTATCTAAGTTGTAAAGAAAGGGACACAAGGATAAATTTTAAAACCACATTTAGGAAGAAGATCACTATGTTTATGTAATGAGTATAATAACCCAGCTTCACATGTCTTTCCATCACATCTCTTGCTTTGCCTTTAACCAGTGTGAAAAATCTTTGTTAATTGTATTGCCTTTTAATATAATTATATCCCTCCCAAAAGAAAATAAGTACATACTATTATACCATACCAATATAACATTAATTTGGAAATAGAAATTAAAATATATTCAGGAGACTTAGGGTTAAAGCCCTAATAGGCTTAACTGCAGAAGGATCTTTCATTACATGATCACATGAAATTGGGCCAGTGACAGATTATGTAGTAAATAATATTCAGGAAAATATTTATCTATAATCTCTTTATCTTACATATATAACATTCTGTGTGACTGCATACACTAATATATAATCTCATACTGAAAGAGTGTATTATAAATACATACAAAGGGGTTATAGCTATGCCAAAAGTAAAAAAAGAAAAAAGAAAAAAAAAAACCTCTTGTCTTTTATGCTATTAAATCTCCAACATAACACTGTATTAATTTCTTGCATAAATTCAAATAACTTGTACAAATATTTGTTTTTAAAACATGGGCATGCCACCACCAGTCCAGTCCAATAGCCCATCTACTCTAACAGCCTGTCTTTGACAGTGACCAATGATGGATGCCTCACAGGATAGCATACATATAACATAATGTATATAATTATGTACCACTACACATTATCCCTAGTGGTAGTTAGATTATATCCTGAAAAAAATTAAAACAAATCATAACGCCTCTCCCACAAACACTCTATAATTTCTCATAAGGTAATGCAAAACCTCCAATAAAGCACATACTTAACCATAATATAAGCCAACGCTTTGTATGACAACTAAAATGAGAAGCTGAACCCAGAAACAGAACGTAAGCTCATCAAAACATGATTTGTCAAAGGGGGATTTTCAATGAACTGAAAAGCATCTGATTCACTCAATTAAAAAGAATCATTTGCAAAACAAATGAGCAAAATTTAACTAAAGCTTTTAAAAAAGCAAACTACAATTTCTACCCAAGCCATAACATTTTATGATATGTAATACCATTTTCCAGAGTGTATGATAGTATGACAATGCCTGTATTTTTAACTCCTCAGAGAAATGACATTCACACCTGTGTCATCATGGTTTTAAATTAAGCTTGAACTTATTAAATACTCATCTAGTGTGCAAAGCCACATAATGCAAAAATCTTGGTTTGGTCTTTCAGGAAGCACTGCTTCCTAAACAATTACAGAGAAAAAAAAATGTACTACATTTTTAAAGACCTTTGGAAAAGATAATTCTCTTGGTAATGTATGTAGGTATTGATTTAACAACTCTTGTTGTCAGGAAATAATACCTGACCTAAATCTTCCATGGTAAAATCTGAAATCATTTTCTCTTTTTCTGACCTCAAATAAGTTAGAAAACAACGAATCATATAATATTTCACATACATTCATGTGTTGCATAACAATGTTTCTATCAACAACGGGCTACATATATGATGGTGGTCCCATAAGATTATAATGGAGCTTTTATACCGTATTTTTACTGTACCTTTTCTATGCTTAGACAGATAAATACTCACCATTGTGTTATAACTGCCTACAGTATGGGAACATGCTATACAAGTTTGTAGCCTAGGAGCAATAGGCTGTGCCATATAGCTTAGGTGTGTAGTTGGCCATACCATATAGGTTTGTGTAAATACACTCTATGTGATGGTAAATATTAAGTGTCAACTTGATTGGCGTGAAGGATGCAAAGTATTGTTCCTGCATGTGTCAGTGAGGGTGTTGCCAAAGGAGATTAACATTTGAGTCAGTGGACTGGGAGAGGCAGACTCACCCTCAATCTGGGTGGGCACTCTCTAATCAACTGCCAGTATGGCTAGAATAAAGCAGATTTGCTGAGTCTTCCGGCCTCCATCTTTTTCCTGTGCTGGATGCTTCCTGCCCTCGAACATGAAACTCCAAGTTCTGTGGCTTTTGGACTGTTGGACTTACACTGGTGGTTTGCCAGCGGCTCTCAGGTCTTCAGCCACAGACTGAAGGCTGCACTGTTGGCTTCCCTACTTTTGAGGTTTTGGGACTCGGACTGATCCACTACTGGTTTCCTTGCACTTCAACTTGCAGATGGCCTATCGTGGGACTTTACCTTGTGATCATGTGAGTCAATTCTCCTTAATAAACTCCCTTTCATATATACATCTATCCTATTAGTTCTGCCCCTCTACAGAACCCTAATATATACTCTATAACGTTCACACAATGAAACTGCCTAACAATACACTTCTTAGAACATATCCTGTTGTTAAACAACACATGACTATATTTGAAAACCTTTATTAATGTCTCTTTTTCTAAGTCACTGCATTGCAGAACTAGGAACCAAAAACCAGTCATGTACTGAGTTCAGTTTTATAATTTTTCTCTGCTATCTATCATTTGAGACAGGTCTCAAAATTACTAACAAACCCATAATTTTTACCAAGAACCACTCTTCTCCCTAGTACACTCTTTCTCAAAAAAAAAAAATTATATTTCAGAAAAAAAACAAAAATTTAGAAGAGGAAGTTTATAAGAGACAGGAGCAAGAAACAATGCATATAAAATTCCAATGTAGACACTTCTTTCTTCCCTAAAATAGGAGATCATTCAATGAAATGCATCGCTCAAAACCTCTGGGACAGAGCTGAAACTGCAATGCAATATCATAAAATCTGCAGCTGTGTTGCTGTTCTTCATAATCCATGCTGCTTTCCTAGACCACAGGAAGCCAAAACACACACTGTCAGAACTAAACTTACCTTCACAGGAATTGACCAAAGCAGCGGAGCAGTTATAATAGACCACGCATCAAAACAGTTATTGAAAAGATTGTACACACTCTTAGGAATTTTCTACTCAAATAATTTGCTCACTCCAGAAAAGCTGTTTCCAAATATCAAATATTTCTTTGTAGGAATTAAAACTACAGGATAGGCAAATGTCTCAATAAGTCCTCTGTTTGGGCTGCCATAACAAATGGCATAGACTATGGCCTAAACCACAAACATTATTTCTCAAACTTCGGTAAGTAAAGTCCAAGATCAAGGTACTGACGGATTCAGTATCCAGTGAGGGCATTCTTCCTGGTTCGCAGACAGCCACCTTCTTGCCTATCCTCACATGGCAGAGAGAATTATCTCTCTCATGTCTCTTATGAAGGCATTAATCCCATTCTCTTTTTTAATTAAATAGAGACAAGGGTCTCACTATGTTGGCCAGGTTTGTCCGAAACTCCTGGCCTCAAGCAATCCCCCTGCCTTGGCCTCCCAAAGTGCTGGGACTACAAGCATTAGCCACTGCGCCCTGCCAGATGTCATTCTTAAGGGCTCCACTCTCATGACCTAATTACCTCCCAAAACCCCACCTCCAGACACCATCATTTTGGGGATTAGGTCTTTGACATATAAATTGGGGGTGGTGGGGGGACACAAACATTCTGTCCACAACAGCAAGTAAACTGTACCATACATAAACAAGCAGTAATAACTTACTTTTATTGCCTACCAAGGCAACCAGTGGCTGAGTTTCTGACTCCTCGCTCACTTTCTTCACCACAGTATACCAATCTTCTAAATTCTCAAAGCTTTGATAATTTGTAATATCATATACCAAGAGGACTCCCTGTCACAAAAGAGTTACAAAATATCTGTAATGTATTATTTGGTGAAAAAATCTTAATGAATACTTGCGTAATGCTTCAGATATGTCAAAATGGGTATAAAAATACAAATGTGTAGTGTTTTATATATAAACTTCCATTTAAATTGCTTACTAGCAGATTGATAATACTGAATGTTTTCATTCAAGATAAATCCAGCAACTAAGATGCAATGCAAGCTAAAACATAATGTTATCAAAATTGTAAGTGGTCTTCCAATAAGATATCTGGAATATGCTTGGTAAGTTACAGTAAATATAAGAAAATCATATCAAAGAAGTAGAAAAGGCTACAACATCTACAATCCTACCTCTCACTTTCATGAGGTCAAGCATTTAAACCTTTCAATAAATAATCATCTGCTGCTACTCTTTTTAAATATTTTCAAAAACAGAGATTCCATGATATCCCTTGATAGACAATTTAAGTGTTTAACACAATTTTCTTTAAATGAAATGTCGATTTCCTCTTTTAGTCCACTGTGCATTTGGAGAACTTGAGAGTATCTTTCTTAAACTAACCCTTCATATACTTGAGCAGAGTTAAGTAACTCCTTTACCATCTCCTTTCCAGAGTAAACAAACTCAGTTCCTTAAACTTGCCTCGAAGGGCCTATTTTTCTATCCCTTTAATCATAGTTGTTGATTCTTCCCAGGACACACTACATATAGTTTTTTGACATCCTCTTTAAAATAAGCAATGTAAAACTGGACGTAATACTGTACTAAGAGTCTCAGCAATGCCAAATACAACAGAAGGATTGCTTCCTGCCTCTTATATATCATATTCCTTTTAATTTATCTCATTATTTTGTGTGGGAAGGAGAAGTATATATGCACACAGAAATAACTACCACATTCTTGATTCTCATCCAGTTTGTGGTCAAACACTTAATACAAAGCTCTACATACAGTATAAGCCCGGACCCTAATGGCATTTATGTCGACTTCTTAGGTTGTAACAGTAGTAATCAACTACTTTTGTGCACCTATTGTATACCAGACACACGTCAAGGTCTCCTCATTAATCCTCACACCAATCATGAAAGGCTGGTATTATTATTCCCATTTTAAACAATAAACAGAGGTTAAAATAACCAAGGTCATACTGATAGGTAAGTGATGGAGCCAGTATTTGAACCAAAGACTAAATAATTAAAAACATTTGTCTGTCAACTAAACTCCAAGCATTGTGCTGGATTCCTACGGATTTAAGTTCCAAACCATAAGGAACTCACAGTCTTGCAGCAAAACTAAACACACAAACAAGTATAGAACACAGTAGTCATAACTAGTGAGACACTGGTAAATATTAATCAATTGGCTTGGGGTTCAGGGCCCAGCAGGGGTGACAGTTTGCCGTAATCTTTGCCAATTTTCATGGTGTAAATGCTAGCCTGCGGTCATTTTTAAGCTATCAATGTGATACCACTGAACAGAGTTGGGGAGGTCACCATTATAAAACATTTCCACCATATAGATACAGCAGATGTAAACAACCTTGAGAACACAGATAACAGAAATACATAGTAAAATAATTAGTGATAGAGATTAGGCATATAATACCTTTGTTTTAATATAATGTGTGACTTTATACATAATTTTTCATTGTAAAAGTTTTTAATAACTGGCTCACAAAAACTGCTAAAAATTTAACAATTAACTCTCTGAAGCTAGAGCAAGCCAGCCCTAGCATACTTCTGTTATGACCTTCCAGGATTATTATTCTCGTTTATTAAACCATATTGGTCCCCAAGTTACCTAGCTTCTCCAGGTCTCAGGTTTCTTATCTCTAAAATTCGATATTTGAGTTAGATGGTCTCTAAGATCCCTTTCGCTTTAAATATTCTATAATATACAAAATCACTCGTCTGGTTCATTTTGGTCACTTGAACATCTGTCTGTCTTCCAAGACGCTTTGAAATAATGCCCAACACAGAATTATCTAAAACAAAGAGTATCTCACTTTCTTATTAAGAATAAAGCCCCAGAACTGATATCTGAAGAAGATTAATCTTCAAGCTACTGGCCCCACCTCCAACTGCCATGGGTGATATATTATTTGTTGAAAAGAGCTCTACGCTGGAACTCAGGTTGCTGTTGGATTCCAGTCCTGACCCCATCTATTGATCTTGGGCAACATTCGTTACCTCACTTTTAAAATACCTGATATGCCTACATTATAAAGTGAAATAACAAAAGTACTTATTTTAAAATTAACATACCACATGCAATTGTAGATTTTTCTTGTTATCATACTAAGTGAACAAGAATCACATTTTCATGGCAACTTTGAGGTAGGTTTTAAACTCACAAATAAAGCCTAGGCCTATGCCTCTTAAGACTTTTTGAACCCTTCTGATTAATATATGAAAACCTTTATCCCAACATGGGACAACACCTGAATATGGTAAAATATATGCAAATAAAACATGGCCACCATCTACTGATAATCAGTACAGGATGAGAGATATGGAACAAACATTAAAAACTGTTGTTCTAGACCACAAATTGGTAAACTATGGCCCATGGGTCAAATCTGGCCCACACTGTGTATCTGTAGATAAACTTTTACTGAAATATAGTCACAATCATTTGTTTAAGTATTATCAATGGCTGCTTTTGTGCTACAACTGCAGAGCTGAGTGGCTACAACAGAGACAACATGGCCTGCAAAGCATAAAATATTTACTATCTAGCTCTTTTCAGGAAAAATCTGCCAATCTCTGGTCTAGACAAATGTGTCCCAACATTTTTCAGTTGGTGATTCCTAGAAATCTTCCAGGATTCACAAAAAAATATAGAAGGATAAACTCCTGTTCACTCACCTAGCTATCTAGCAACACAAACATCTCCCTGTTCATATTATCAGTACCATTTATAATGTAAAAACTATTATTTTTCCTTGTTCTTGCCATCATAATTAGTACCACTGTGGTGAAATTCTGAGACGAAAAAGTGAGAAAACTAAAAATATTAAAATATAAAAGGAATTATAGGACCTTCACTTTCAGCTCTGACATGTAAAAAAAAACCATGAAAGTCATCACTCCTGACCTTACAATAAGAAAAAGGCAGAACAAACTGAAAAATCAGTGACTTTTCTTGGACTGATCAGAAAACTGATATTGCAAGGCAAATCATCACCCTGAAATCTGGAGAGACAAACAAATCCAAAAAGTTACAGCCAAGATCTGCCTACCTGGAGTAGCAGCCACTAGTAACAGTAATGATAATTTTGACGAACTGCTGGAGGCTGACTGAGGTTTAGCTTAAGAGTGAGGAACTCCTAGGGGCCCCCTCAGTCTTAGGGGCTACCTCCACACTTGCATGGATATACCACCAGATTCCAGATATCCCACCAGATTATCAGTAAAGAGCCAAGAAAGATCCTCTCAAGGCTCTGGCATGAAGAGAGGAAAAAAGTAACCATTGTGAAATATGCCCAGAGCATTATCCATAAAAAAGGCATACTCTGCAGAATAAATGGCTTAATCAGAACATTGTATTCCATCTGGAAAGGGAAGTTCCCAACTCCAGCCCCCTGTAGCCGGTCTGTCTCATCTAACTGGGAGGAGCAAAGAAACACTAGTGAAGGTCACAGTCCCGAAATACAAGCCCACTAAAGACTAAAACTTTATCATAAGAATATAGTATGCTTCTCCTCCCCCATACTTTACCACAACACTACCAGGGCACCAACATCTGAAAGAGCTGCAAGACAGATTTCACCTAAAGAGTTCTTGGAGACACCAAAAAAGACTGTGAGGCAAAAACAAGGATGCTAGAGGAATCAATGCCTCTGGCACCCACAGCTAAAGTAAACACTAAATGCAGCACAGTGTAAAGCCTCACACTAAAATTCTATTTACCTGAATCTTATTACTCAGTATATCATGTCCAGCTTTCAATACAAAATTACAAGGAATTTCAAAAGGTAATTTGAAGAAAGAAAGCAAGCATCAGAACAAGACTCAGATATGAAACAGATTTTGTAATTACTAGACAGGCAATTTTAAGTAACTATGACTAATATGTTGAGGGTTCTAAAGGAAAAAGAAAACAACATGCAAGCACAGATAGGGATAATAAAACAAGGGATAATAAAAACAAAATGCTAGATATCAAAAACACTATAACAGAAATAAAGAATGCCATTGTTGGGTACATTGCTGGACACGGCATAGGAAAAAAACTCACTGAGCTTAAAGACAGGATAATAGAAACTTCTACAACTGAAATGCAAAAAGAAAAAAACAACGAATAAAACAGAACATTAAAGAACAGTGGGACAGTCCCAAGTAGGTACATCATACGCACAGCTGAAATATCAGAAGAAGAGAGAATCAAGTTTAGGAAGTATTTGAAGTAACAGTCACTAAGAAACTGCCAAAATTAATTAGACACCAAACCACATATTTAAGAATCTCAGAGAACACCAATTTGGATAAATACCAAAAACTCTATACCTAGGCATATATTCAAATTGCTCAAAAGAAAAAAAAAACAGAGAAATCTTGAAAGAAGCTAGAAGAATAGGGAAAATATCCTATCTATAAATGAAAAAGCATAAAAATTACAGAGAATAGCTCATCAGAAACCATGCAAATAAGAAGAGAACAAAGTGAAATTTTAAAGTACTGACAGAAAATTTAAAAAAAAAACTACCTAGAATTCTATACCCATAAAAATTATCAAAAGTAAAGGAGAAATAAAGATCTTCTCAGAAAAACAAAAGTTGAGAGCATTCATTGTCAGCAAACCTGCTCTGAAGGAAATATTAAAAGAGGTTATTCAGGGAGAAGGAAAATGATATGGGTCAGAAACTAAACTCTACATAGGAAAAAAATGAGTACCATGAAAAAGCTCAAATAACCAAGGCAATCATGAACACACACACACACACACACACACACACACACACAGCTGCAGGCATCATACTACTTGATTTGAAACTATACTACAAAGCTATAGTAATTACAACAGCATGGTACCGGCAAAAAATAGACACATTAACCAACAGAACATAATTAGAGAGTCCAGAAATGAGCCATACATGTACAGTCAATTGATTTTTCAACAACAGAGCCAGAAATACACAATGGAAAAAGGATAGCCTCTTCAATAAATGGTTTTGGGAAAACTAGATATCCACATGCAGAACAAAATTGGACCCTTATCTCACAACATATACAAAAACCAACTCGAAATTGATTAACAATTTCAAAGTAAGAACAGAAACTACAAAATTACTACAAGAAAATGTATGGAGGAAAACTACAAAATATTGGTCTGGGCAATAATTTTTTGAATTTGACTCCAAAACCACAGACAACAAAAGCAATAAGCAAAGAGGAAAACTAAAAAGCTTCTGTGCAGCAAAGGAGGAAAAAATTAACAGTGTGCAGAGACAACCTACAAATTAAAATATTTTCAAGTCATACATCCAATAAGGGGTTAACATCCAAAATATACGAGGAACTCAAACAACTCCAAAGCAAAACAAAAAACTAAATTTAAAAATTGGCAAGAGACCCATAAAGACATTACTCAGAAGACAAATGGCTAACAGATATATTTTTTAAATGCTGAACATCATCAGAGAAATGCAAATTAAAAGCAAAATAAATTACCCTCTTATACCTGTCAGAATGGCTATTATCAAAAAGATGAAAGATAACAAGTATCAGTGAGAATATAGAGAAAAGGGACCTCTGTACACTCTCAGTGAAAATGTAAATAAGAATGCCATTATGGGAAACTGTATGGAGGTTCCTCAAAAAAACTAAGAATATGATCCAGCAATCCTACTTCTGTGTATTTACCCAAAGATTTGAAATCAGTTTGTCAAAGAGGTTTTTGCACTCCCATGTTTGTTGCAGCACTGTCACAATAGCCAAGCTATGTAATAAACCTAAGTGTCCATCAACAGATGAATGGATAAAGAAAATGATGTATATATGCATAACGGAATACCATAAACCTAAAAAAAGGAAAAGTCTCTCATTTGCAACAGCATGAATGGAATTGGAAAACATTAAGCTAAGTGAAATGAGCCAGGCACAAAAAGACAAATGTTGCATGTTCTCACTTATGTGAAATCTGAAGTAATCAAACTCACAGAAGTAGGGAGTAGACTGGTGGTTGCAGAGACTAGGGGTTGGGGGAAATGGGGAAATAGTCAAAGGGTACAAAATCTCAGGAGATATAAAGATTTTTTTTTGAGAACTATTGCACAGTGTGGTTAAAACAGTTAATAATTATTATGTATCATACATTTCAAAATTGCTAAAAGACTAAATTTCAAATGTTCTCAACATAAAAAAGTTATAAGTACTTGAGATAATGAATATGCTAATTGGCTTGAATTAATTATTTCACATTGTATTGATAAATCATAACATCACTCTGTACTCCATAAATATAACCGATTATAAACTTCCAGTTTACAATAAAATTTAACATTTTTTAAATAAAATCATACAGGATGAAAAAAAAGTGAGTATCAGAAAAGGAAAAAATGAAGATAACATAATATCAATTATTTTTCTTATTGTTAATTGATATAAAATACAACTGTTTAAAGTAATAATAATGCACTGGATGATTATAGCATATAGATAAGTGAGATGAATGACAGCCATGCCATAAGGGACAAAAAGGATGAACTGAGAATATTCTGAGGGACTTGCACTACACATGAAGCAATACAGTGTCATTTAAACACTAAATTTAGTTAAAAATGTATATTGCAAACTCTAGAACAATCACTAAAAAAATTCTGAAGTATGACTGATATGCTAAAACAGGAGAGAAAATACTCAAATAAAACCAGAGAAAGCAGAAAAAGAGGGGATAAGAAACAAAGAACATGTGCAAAGAATAGAAAACAAACATGACAGATGTTAACCCAGCTATATCAATAAACACTTTGTATGTGAATTTAATACACAAATTAAAAGACATATTGTCAAAGGAGATGAGAAAACAAGACTTGACTGTATATTGCCTACGGAAAACTGACCTTACATATAAAGACACAAACAGGTTAATAGTAAAGGGATAGAAAAATAGCATGAAAACATTAATGAAAAGAAAGCTGGAGTAGCTATATAATTTGAGACAAAGCAGACTTCAGAATAAGGAAAATTAACAAGTTTAAAGACTGGCATAATAAGTCAGTCCTCCAAGAAGACATAACAATCCTCTCTATATATGCACCTAATAAGAGGGCATCAAAATATATGAGGCCAAAACTGACAGAACTGCAAGGAGTTCCAAATCTGCAGATCCCCCTAGAGTTGAAGACTTTTTTCATTAAGCAAACAGAAAATCAGTAAGGGTACAGTTGATCTGAACAACACTAACAATCAACTTCATCTAATTGACATTTATAGACTACGGTATTCATTAGAATACGTACTATTCCCTAGCTCTCACGGTACATTCACCAAGATAAACTACATTCTGGGCCATAAAATATACCTTAATATGTTTGTAAAAACAGAAATCACACAAACCACATTCTCAAACTATAACCAGAAATCAGTAACAGTAAAATAGCTTTAAAAACTCAAAGTATGTGAAGATTAAACAACATATTCTAAATAACACAAGCATCAAAGAAGTCTCAAAAATAATTTTAAAATAGTTTGAACCAAAAAAAAAACATATGCAACCTACCAAAACTTGTGGAATACAGCAAAAGCAGTGCTTAGGGAAAGTGTTTAGCATTGAATGCATATATTAGAAAAGCAAAAAAATCAATAATCTAAGCTTCCACTGTAGGAAACTAGAGGAAGAAGAGTAATTTCAGTCAAAAGCGAGTAGAAGAAAGTAATTAAAAATTAGGGAAGAAATCACTGAAATTAAAGAAGAAAACAACAGAGAAAATCAACAAAGCCAAAAGCTGTTTTTTTTTTAAAAAAAAAAGATCAATAAAATTGACAAACCTCTAGTCAGGCTAACCAAAAACAAAGGGAGGGAGAGAGAAGACACATATTAACAACAGTAATTAATATGGGTTTTCACTACCGATCCCATAGACATTAAAAAGATAATATAAACAACTTTGTGACCACAAATTTGACAATATAAATAAAATGGACCAAATCTTTAAAAGACACACATTACCAAAACTATTGACTCTCAGGGCCTCTACTCACCAGCCTCAAAGCCAGACCTCTAAGTACTCACCTCTTCAGGAGCCATAATACAAGCACCCTCAAATCCCTAAGTTTCTGACCACGTCAATCAACCCAGAACTCTTCTGATCCCTTCCAGAAAACTACTGGAATCTTCCAAGCCACAAGAAAGTAAAACTTCCTCAAACATGGAATATATCTTGAAATCTACTTGGGAACTCCTGGATCTAATTTTCTTGGCAATCTTATGGTCATCTAAATCCATCACCATGTCTCATGTCCCAGATAACTTTTGTTATCAACCACATATCTGACATTTATCTCTCTCCTATGTCTTCATGTCTTCATCCCCATACCATCCTTTCCTTCCACTTCTCAATTTACGTTCCAGCTGCTGTTCTTCTTCCCAAATCTTTTACATGACCTTTGGAAATCAGATTTCAAGTTTAATAAATCCCTCTTCAACAATAGTTTCCTTCATTTTATGCCTTAACTGCCTTCCTCCAACTTCAGTTCCAAGAAAATACTACCATCCGTAGTATTTTGTAAACTTCAAGATTTTTAGTAAGTATTATATAATGTTAGTTTATATAGTACTTCGTTTTCATCTATTTCACTTACTACCATATCTAATAAGCATGATGAGTGAGTAAATCAAATGGATACCATTTTCAAGGTAATAATCGACAGCAATTTTCTTTTTTAAGAGATGGGGTCTTGCTCTGTTCCCCAGGCTGGAACGCAGTCATGGCTCACTGCAGCCTCAAACTCCTGGACTCAAATAATCCTCCCATCTCAGCCTCTCTAGTAGCTAGGACTACAGGCATGTACCACAGTGCCCAGCTAATTTTTTAAATTTTTTTGTAGAGAAAGGGTCTCACTATGTTGCTGAGGCTGGTCTCATGCTCCTAACTTCAAGCAATTGGCCTACCTTGGCCCTCTAAAGCACTGGGATTACAGGAATGACCCAATGGCCTGGACTTGACAGAAGTTTTGAAAGAACAAACACTGGTGCCTACCAAGTAACAGTCTTGTAAAGCATTGCATAGATAATAGTTCGTCAGTGTAACACGTACTAAATAAACACAGTACACACACTATTTAACCTTCTCAAAAAATGAAAGGTTCTCCCATTCCCAAAATGCAGGTTATTTGTTTTCTCTCTAATACGCAAGACAAATAATCTGCTTTAGTTATTTAGTTACATATAGAAATGAATTAAATCATACAGATTATATAATAGCCATAACAACATAGATCTTGCTTTATAAGTATAACCCGTAAGAAACACTAACACAAAGAAAGTCTACAAACATAATCAGTTATAAGTTGGCAAATATCCAACTAAAAAACTTACAGTAAAAGAGAGCAGAAGGTCTTGGAGAGTCCAGTTTTGAGATGCACTCTCTCCATAGCTGTCATGTAGGCACCAAATCCTTTCATTGGTACTTAAAAAGTAGGCTCATCTGTGTGGGGCCACTGGCACACAATAGTAGTTATGTTCTACCTCACAAGTGACTACACTTCATTGAGTTTATGCTCAGTGGGTCAGTGTTTGCAAACCACTTAGATTCCAGGACAGAAAGAGCTACAAAAATGAAACATCCAGTCCTTCTCTGAGGTTTGTTATTAGCCTCTGTTAGCCACAGGTTACAGGGCACTAAACACTATGTACTGTGTGTTTGCTCCTAACCACTATGAAAAATCCCCTATAACATCTTTCTAAAGACTCCTAGAAATTTTTAAGTTAATTTAAAATCTGGGAATTTAACTGGGACATATTTCAATTCTTAGAACTAGTTCTTGTCAAAATACCTCACTAATTCTTTTTGGGGTGTCAATTCAATTTAGTTTTCATCAACACTTTCAACAGGCTATTGCTAACATTTAATGTTGCTGGGGGCAAAGGGACTGAAGAGGGTAAAATAATCAGTTTTATTTGGATCCAAGTTAACTCCCAGCCTACATATAAGCTTCTACGCAGATGTTAAGAAATGCTTTAAAGAAACAGATTGACTAGTTTAATGACCCAGACATGTATAATTCTTTCTATACACAATACAGAAGTTAGAGAACCTAAAACAAAACCCTAAATAACACATTAAACTGATATCCTGAAAAAGCTTGTCTCAACATCTCTGAAGATTTCTGTCCTGTAGTATATCAAAATCCAAAGTATTCATGAGATAGGTAATATAAAGCATCTATAACTCCAGAAGCAATACAGATCTACTTTGAAGAATAATTATATGATTATATAAAGATATTGAGCTTATTAAAATGCTATTAGGATGTTTTTGAAAGCACTGGTTTTGAAAAGTAACATTTTCTCCAATTTATAGTAGTAAATAATGAGTCACAGCTTCTCTAGCCTGGATATAGAATTTAAAAATAGTTTAACAAAATAGACCACTGGTCAATGTACTTTATGTACTTAACATAGCATTTATTTGGAATCTCTGGAAAGCAGAAAAAAGTTATTATATTATCATCCTTTTTTTTTCTTCTTTATAAACTGAGTCTCACTCTTTCGCCCAGGCTGGAGTAAAGTGGCATGATCATAGCTCACTCCAGCCCCAAACTCCTGGACTCACGTGATCCTCCCATATCAGTCTCTCAAGTAGCCGGGACTACAGGTGCCTGCCACCATGACCTATCATCTATTTTTGACAATTCATTTCATCATCTCAGAATTCCCAGTTTTGTCAGACAATTTCATAGAAAGATCCATGAATTTCTCAGAAATACTGTACTAAATTATTGTTTAATAAAAACACAGTACATCCTTATAAGAGTCATAGCAATCATTAAGTGTAAACGATAAAATGCACCACCAAAAGAGAAAGAAGTCGATATGTACCTTCAAGACAGAAACTTTATACAAGTTCTAAGAACTATAACATTCACTTTCTCCCAAGAAAAAAAGTACCTTAAAAAATAATGAAGACATTTTACTAAACTTACGGACTTTCAAAAAAGATGGAAATTCTTGAAATTTCTACAAATGTTCTCATTAATGTCTGCTTACTGTAGGCAGCTTTGTAATAACATAAAATATATACTGTCAAAAACTGACTTAAGGAAATGGTCACAAAATATTGTGAGTGTACTAAATGACACCGATTATATACTTTATTTTTTATTTATTTTGTTTTTTAGAGATGGAGTGTCACTTGCCATCTGGACTGAAGTGCAGTAGTGTGATCATAGCTCACTGCAACCTCAAAATCCTGGGCTCAAGTGATCCTCCCACCTGTGCCTCTCAGTTAGCTGAGATTACAGGCATGAGCCACTGCGCCTAGCTGATTATACACTTCAGAATGGTTAACTTTATAATACACAAATTTCACATCAATATTAATTTTTATATAATAGTAATAAATTTTAAATAATTTAAATAAATTAGATAATAAATTTTTAAATGACTTGAAGATAGAATTAACAGAATTCAACACATGGGCATAATACTCCCCTAATTTTTAAGTGAAGAAAAATGTATTAATTGAATTATATATTATTATTTACCCTGAAATGCATAAAGTCCTCCTGTTCTCCACTAACTCTGGTTACACCTATAAATCATAAAAGACTATTCTATTTGACACCAAGAGTCAAATTTCATTAGAAGTTAGATCTAATCTTCATTTTCTTAAAATCATATATGTAGCCTTGAAGACAGATTTTATGGAACAAAGAGAAGAGTGTTATTTTCCCATGTTATCAACCACATGAATGAAACAAGAACTGTGGCTTCCCACAAATCTCTGTCCAGCAAGTTGTCTCTAGCTTAGTATCCACTTTAATCAGTTTAAAACAGAAAATGAATAAATAAATAAATAAAACAAAAAAGCCATACACAAAATTCTGAGATGTACTTTTTAAGAGAAAAATGAACATGCATAAAATATCAAGTCACTTAACCACAGAAGAAAATGCTATAAATGTGAACAGAAAAATTTTGCAGGAGACTAAGAACAATGTATAAAAGATAAGAGCTTTAAGAGCCAAATCTCTGCATCAGCAATGCAAAAAATCAAAACTCTGGGGCCTTTATAAGTGATTCAGAACCATATTAGCCTCTATAGCCATACTGTCCTTCTCCGAATATTTTACAAAATAAATCAGAATCTATTTTTCATCCAAAATCAAGGCAACGGTATTTGACATGAACCAAACTTTGTACAGCAGAGTGCTTAATATACTATATCTCCATCCTATAGAATCATTTATTATGAGCAACATGTTTCCACATAACCAAGTTGTATTTGTCTCACTTAAAATACCAAACTCCAATAAAGAACTAGAAATTTTTACTATTACCCCTAAGTCTCCAGATGATGTAGAAGATACACACTAATTAAAAGTAGAGAAAAAAAGCAAAAATAAAGAAATAGCACATCAAGTATTACATACAGAGCTCAGTAAGCACAACCTACTTAATATTCGGCTATATACCATATTCTCTACTTCATCAGATGATTACTTTCAATGGTATTACTGCATTTCTAAAGTCTGTCATTTAATCAAAAGCAATCTGCCAAATATTAAAAAGACAATTCTTCACTGAACATGCTCAGAGAGAAATGATTAACTTTTAAAGTATATTACTACCCTGCATATTTTCTATTTGTATAATAACTTTATTTAAAATCTTATAAATTATATCAGTATAAGCTCATGGAGAATATAAGCTCATGTTGCGAAATTTATGTAATTATTCAGGTCATTTTTCATTTTCATTTTTCTTGCTCTACATGGATTTTCTTCTGAAAATACAGCATTATCATAGTAAATTATTGTATGTGTTTCACATATACACTGTCATATTTAGTTATCTGATAGAAAATACAGACATGTCTATTAAATCTGAAAAGCTATCAATATTCATTGCACAAAAACATAGACATATAGATATACTTTCAGTCCTTGTAACTTAAAATGAAGTTAAATTTTCATCCCTGTGTTTTTCATTCAGTTTATTTGAAAGCAGTCACTATAACAAAACCAGCTAATACATATCAAAATATCATTTATCACTGCATTTATTGAACTGCTAACAATAACACCTAGTAATGTAAATAACATACGAAAGCTGTTCAGAGTTTTCCTGTTCCCTCACCCAAATCACTCCAAACATAATTAGGAGAGCATGAAACCAAAGAACTAGCACAAATATAAAATTATTCTCTCTACGTATCAGATAAAAAGTTAGAAAGAATGTGTGTGTGTGTGCATTTGGGAGTAGATTTGCATGTGTGCTTGTAAGTGGTATACTTTCAATACTGGAATAATCAGAATTCATATCATACCTGTGCTCCATAGATATATTTATCCAACATTTTGCCTCCTATTGTCTGCCCTCCTATATCCCAAATTTGAAGGGTAACATTCAAGTTTCCTAGAATATAAAAAATGAATATAAAAATAAGAATACCAAAAAAATTAAGTAACAATACAACAAGTGACACAGTATCACAGAATACTAAGTCACAATAAGAAACTCTGAGCCCAATTTGCCTTTATGTGCAGGCTCACATGATATTTGGAATTGCGAAAACAACGTCAAAAGAAATTATAGTGGGGAATCTAGTTTTATCTTTTTACTCCATTTCCATGGAACCATATTTACAATCACCTTCAAAACAAAAGAAAATAAAGTAAGCTTTAATTTGTAAACTTAAGCCTTAGAAAAATGTTTTTCTTAGAGAACAGAATGAAGCACATGTCCATGGAGCAAGAAATATACTTTAAAAATAAAAACTGAAGCTTTATATACTCAACCATCCAATCATACATATGAATTCTGTCGTAGGTTCTAAACTCTATGGCTTCTAAAACTCATGGAATAATAGCAAACTACAAAAATGCACCCATAATTTCAGCTCAAATTAATGAATCTTTTTATAATGTGATTGTCAGCTACTATCGGATATGGCAAACATAGTCAAAAAATTACGTTTTCAAATTTAACCCACAAAATAGAAACGCATTTGATAGCCCTATTCAGAACAAACGTAGGATACATACCATGTATATCACTAAATATTACAATGCTTTCAAACCTGTTCAAAGTATTTCCATTTAAACAAACTATGTATACTTCCAAGCCTTCACAAAATACTGTAACTAATCATCTTCCCCATACAAGCATTGTAAAAGCATTCTAAAAGGCAATCTTTAAAAATCCTTTTGTGCATTTTATAAAATATTTGGTTGATACAAAAATTTATGAGATAAGCTATTCTCCCTTCTCAATGCAACTGATGAGTAAGCTTACAAAAGCCAAACTATGCTTTTTAGTTGAACATTTTAAACTATTCCCCTCATATAATTATGCAGTTTTCTCCAGTTTCAATTAGCACTTTTTGAATGATTTGCAAATCAAAAGAAAATAAAAGATTAGAAACTGAAAAATGATCTCATTTCAAAAAAAGATTATAAAGATATAAATTTATAAGCCAACATAAAATACTAAAATCAGAGAAAGTTAGTCATACCATTTAACTATGCAACTGAAAAGAAAAAGACATTTGATTAACCAGCACAGTTTTCTAAATTTTGGTGGGTTTGTATTACAATCTTTCCATTATTTAAACATAGGTTGTTCCATCTGCCACTGCGCAGAGGATTTCCATGAGGAACTTCCATTAGCATTAATGAGCGCTAATGTTTTATCACCATCATTACCACAGACACACACTTTCAACACTTAGACTAATGACTAAAATGTTCTTAAAGCCCTATGAATATGAAAACCAAAATGTCACAGACTAAGATTTGTCCAAAAACTTGTACAAATCGAATTTCTCAAAAATCTAAATTTTTTGAGATTCAAGGCTGAATTCTTCTATAATGCTGTCTCAAATGAAGCAGATGAGAAAGGGCTAGCCATCACTAAGAAGTATATAAACTAGTTTCAGAAACCCCTAAGCAGGCAGTAGTCTATTCATTTTACTTGCACAACTCTTTAGGGTTATTTGATTACTTCAAAAGACAGTGCTTAACAATACTAACTTTTACAGAGTAAGATTTTAGGCAATACTTAGTAAGTGCTAAAAGGTGTTTAATCCCATTTTTCTCAGAGCCAATGGTCCTTATTGCTTAACCTCACATCAAGAAATATAAAGCTTTTTTAAGTTCTGATATTCAGATCCTATCTGAATTAGGTGTTGTGAACACTTTGACTGTAATTTTAGGAACATGATCTTCATTACATGTTTTCAAATTCTGACTACAATCATATCAAGACCCTAAATCATCTATCTATCCAACTGTCTCCCATCTAAGAGGTTCATAGTCATGTGTTGAGGATACTTTTTAAATGCATGCCTTTCTAAATAAACCCTGTTATCAGTGTTTGCCTGTTTTTTTTAACATACAAATTCCAGTGACTCAGAAATAAAAATAGCTATGAATTACTGATAGTCCACTAATATAGAATGCTAACAAAAAATGACTATCTTTAGTTTCAATAAATGATATTTTAATATTACTTCTTATATCTAGAAATATATTTTTAACTCCACATTTTAATTTTAGGATTATTAACACATAAAACTAAAAATAAAATGTGGATTCCTTATTTGAGGAGCAAAATCCCATGAGGATATGATTCAAATCAATATTCATTTTCATTTTTGCAGGCATAAACATATGAATTCTCCTAGTATATTTTCAAGATGACATACCTATAAAGCTATATAAGAATATTCAAATAATATTATAATTTTGTTTAAATCAAGAATATATCTAATACAAATTTCTAACCAATAAAGAACATTAAGGAAATTGTCAGAAATCTAATCCCAAACACAAAATGCTGCAAAATTCCTGTTCCTCTGTAAGAAATGACATGTAACTAGGAGAAAAAATAAAATAAATGAGGTGACAAAACACAGGTAAGTTGCTTTTGGTATGAATTAAAGCCACCAAGAGGGTTCAACAGTGACCTTGTAAAAGTACACTTGGTGCCTTGGTTAACCTTACTTAAAGTGCTGCATAGTCAAGATGGAACTAAAAACACAAGTCTGCCCACTTCTTGTACTAAAGACTTAGAAATCTTTTTCACAGTAGAACGCTGTTTACTGGACTGTACCCACAAGCTTCCTGAAAGTATTTTGACTAAGGCTCTTAAGAAGCTCTATCAGCAGAATCTCTGACTAACAGATACACTATTTTAAGCAGTAAAATCTGCACAGTGGTTGCATCCAGACTATACAGCATACCGGATCATGAAATATACTAAAATGGATGAGTATTTGCAAAGTAATGATCTTGAAAACTTGCATGAAGAGAATGTAAATAGATGGACAGGAGGTTTACACCCCTAACAATCTAACTGGTCAGAGGACTTACCAGACTAGTAACAAATATTAGATTCACCGACTATGCTATAAATTCAATAAAGCTACCTGTAATGTTTTATTCAGCTAATGATACATTAATCATCCTACATGTGACACTTATAATGAATGTACATTAAAGTATATAAAGGATAATTATAAACCTTGTAATTTATTCACCTCATTTCTTAATATACCTATTAATTATATAAAAACAAAATACATTAAAATATTTTTTCTTATTGAAATTTCTACCATAAGTTTGAGTCTGTTAAGTAGCATAAAACCAACTGCCTTAAAAAAAAAATAGAAGTTTTTTTCTGGAACTTTGCCATCAAAATAAAAACTTAATTAGGAAAATTAAAATATACATTCATTAGTATACATGCCCTAATGTCATTTTTTAACCTAATTACTAAGTCTAAAATATTATACTATAAATCTCGATTTCAAGAATATCAAATATTTTTTACAAAGTAATCAAAATTTTTAAATTGGTAGTGCTGGGCCACAGGTCAGAAATCATCATATCACCTGTATAAAATGTCTGAAAACCAGTCTTTGTTTTTAATATTTGAGTAGGTACTTGTTTATTTAAGCTTTTCAACTAAAAAATGAGAAATAATAAAGTAATGAGACAAGAAGTTGGTGGCTTTTCAAATTAAGCATCAAAACAAAATAGCTAATAATGAAATGCCACATTTGAGATTCTCTGTGTACAACTGGCATCTGTGAAAAAAACTCCTGCAAAAATAAGCTTCCAGCATCTGTATTATGTGATCTGTGTATGTATTCAGCTAGTGACTGCTGTTAAGTATTCTGAATGCAGCATAGATTATCCGTAAGAGTGAGAATAATAAAATTAAAATGACATTTTCAGTTTTGGATACAATAAAAGAAAATACAAATGAAACAAAGTACGCATATGTTTCTCCTTAAACCTCTTGCTGAACAATAACCCAGTAATGGAAAAATTGGAATTCTTTTTTTTCTCATGGGATATCTCCTAATCTATTTTTCACTGGTAGCCAAATACAAACTATCACAAAATATAGCAGAGTATATTACTAAGGAGATAAGAAGAATACCTCCATTACCAAGAGTTTTCATTACCTACTCTAAAACTTTCATGGGGAGTTGTCTGATAGATGGGGTGTCTGAGAGGTTAACATATTTCAATAATAATTGGAATGTATTAAACCCCTTCCCACTGTATCACTCACATTTCAGTACATGAATCTGACATTACACTTGCAACCATTTTCTCCAAATGTGCTTCCTCACAGAGGAGAGAGATGGATGGTTTATAAAGTCAATCAAGATAAACTGCTTTTAATAAAATACTTTAAACATATAATTTAACCATTGAAATTGAAAGGACAGCATTTTAAAGCCCCAATTGTTCAGAAACTAACTTAAAACATAAACCACTCTTTCTTTGTTATTATTTCCCCGTATTTCCCACAAAATGTGCTGCAACTGGCATCTAAATAGTTTCTTTGCATGGTGAAGTGAAACATCTTGAATGCTCAAACTGTATTTTTATGAGTGCCTAGGGACCCTAAATTTTAGTGGTCTATTAAATGCCAGCAATTTCATGCTGCCTTGCATAAAACAGCATTCACATATTAGAGCACAGAAGTTCCATAGCTACATTATACTTCTGTTCCAACTTTAAACAAAAAACTAAAACAGAGGCAAATCAAAATAATATTTTAAAAAATAATCCTTCCCAATCTTTTCACATTTTGTTAATACAATATCTGTTGACAAATGTACAGCACTTAATTTTTTAAAAGCTTTTCACAATTTTATAAGCAACCATTGTTTATCCTCAAAAAATGTATAGTAGCCAAAAACAGGGAAGGAGTGGGAGAGTATATAAACTTTTTCTTATACCCATGGACAATATGCTTTCATGATAGATTGTGATGAAAGTTAACATCCCTAAGATAAATTTACTGTTTATATACATCTTCATGTAGAAGCAGCCCCAAAATTTTACACATTTCTTTCTTATGCCACTTATTGTTAAGATTTTTTTATAATCTTCTACGTTAAGACTTTTTAGTCTCTTACCTGGCAATGTTATCCTTCTCAAAAAGAAATCCAGTCCTATAGTTTGTTTGTACTGTTTCCCAAAAGTTTCTTGAGCAAAACACGTAGTTAAGGAGGTCTAAAAAATTGATGCACAGAATGTCAAAATTAATTCATTAAAGAAATGTAATCATAAGACCACTATAAATCTTAAGCAATCTTAACATGTATATTGCAATTAATCCAACAAGCAAATTTAAGCAGTTCTAATCAGTTACAAGGAGGGGAGAGACTTAACACCACCAGGTAAATTTTACTTGCCAGCAGCTATCGGTAGGGACAACGAACTAATGAGTTAGATCTCTTTAAATCCCCTGCTTGTCAAGATCCTTTTCCTTGCTGAAAATTAGAATTTGAGAGTTATCAACAGAAAAAAAAACTAAAAAATAAATAAATAAAGATCTGAATTATTTTAAAACATAATTAAAGATCTAATCTAACTTAGATCAGCTTCTGAGGTTAAATATTCTGAGGGTAGCTGAGCACTAAGCTAATAATAAGAAGCATTCATTAAGGAGGGAGAAATCTGCTTACAGAATTTTTCTTTTTCCCACAAGAAAAGCACCGTATGTAATTTTTCTTTATTTTTAAAGATGCTAAATGAAAATGACCCTAAAGAAAGACTGTGACAATATGTACCTCTTAAATAAACGTATTTTTAAGATTAATATAAAGCAGACAAAATGAATATTTTCCATCCAAGAACCATAATGCCAAGAAGTCACAAGCTATCATAACCAGAACAGATATACATTTGTTTTTTAATAGAAACTGAAAGTTTTAGTCAAAAACTCTGGAGTTTTCTTTTTAAAGTACCATTTCTTATCAAAGCAAAAGAATAATTATTCTAGTAACAACTGAATAACAATAACTTAACAAATTCTTAAACATTTTAAATGCACTATTTTTATTTATAAACTTCCTCCAAAAAAGAGAAAGGCAACTTCACTAAGCTTTTATGCTCTTCAAGACAGACTCCCTACTTTAAGAGAAAATAGCCGTTTTTTATTTTAAAAGTTAAAATTACATGTCAACTCTTAAAATAATGAAAACTAAGATAAATTTCCAAGATAGCTTATTACAGTTCCTTATGACATAAGCAGTACAATAGTGCAAAAGAAAATTTGGCCAAACTTCAATTCCTTTTAGCAAGATCATCTAAAATTCCTTTTACACAGAACCATATTTTTCACACAAATGGCAATTTGGACACCATAACTCCAAATATTTTTGGGTTTAAATACCCAGCATTTGTAATAAATTTCGAAGATAATTGGCCAAGTATTTGTTGAGCACTACCATATAAAGGGTATTCTGCTAGACATCTAGAAACAAACACATTTGTTATATTTTTGACACATGTAACACTATCAAAACTGAGAGATCAGAATTGAAAAGATAGGTATTTCTTTTTACAGACCATTGTTTCTCATCTACACTATATTATTCTACTGATCTTATCTAACTTAGACCACAAAATCATCTTTGAAGAGGTTCAGAATTCTAGAAAAAAATAACTATCACTACTTATACTATTACAGATATTTCAAAATATTTAATAGACTGATGGTTGAAATACTTAAAGGTCAAAGAGAAACTGAAGGCATGTGTAACATTCACGTAATGTCATTTGAGATAATTTTTCACTTTAAAGAATCTCAGAGTTCAATATTTTCATGTTAAGGAATATTCAGAAAAATTCTAAGAAAGTTTCTTTTCCTGAAAAAGTGACTTCTAGATTTTGAAAGCCCTGCTTTCACACTTTTGAGGCAAACATAAAGCTAGGATTTTCAACTGGAATCGAGTGTAAACTGTCAAAAATACAGGTTACTGGGAACATACAGAGTATTAAAGTAAGTTCTTACTATATCATCTCCCGATGTCTTGAGATAAAAATTGAACAGAGAATCAACTGAATCAGTGGGGGTCACTTTCTCTTCACTTATCTAGACTGCATGCTATCTTTCACATTCAATAATTTCTCAAGTCACTGTATAAATACCCTTCTTAATTACAGGTATTAAGTGAACAACTAGCTCCCATATCAGAAATATTTTTATCTGAATCTTTATATTTTTTGATTTGGAAAATTTCTACTAACATTTTTGACTTGGTAAATTTCTACTAACATTTTTTAACCATGCTACATTTACAAACACTGAAAAGACAGAAAAAAAAAGAATATTTTGCCTCAAAAAGCTCTTAAGAGACTATGTAATAAAAGAAAAAATATGAATCAGAAAAGGAAAGAAATAGAAACACGTGATACTGGAAGGAGGAGCTAAATTTCTCTTGGAGAAACTGTTAGTCATCATCTCAATACTCTATTGCATCTGTCAGTGTGTTGAAAAATGCTCAGAGTTAGATTGAGCAGGAAAAACAAATGCCAGGAAAAAAGAGCCAAGAGTTAAATCAGGATACAAGTAAGAATGAAAGAGAGGCTGAGTTCACAAAGAAAAGAACAATAAAGGAAAAAGAATGGGAATGTTGGTGGCTGCCAAGTATTTGAGAACTGAATAGGGTATGGAGAAAAAAATTCTTGATTTAAGAATAATGAAAGAAGGTTAGGTGTCAGATGTTTGTGTCTGGAAGTTCCTGTTAGAAAAAGCTGTTACAGTTTTAAAATAAGTTATTTAGTCAAGATAATGAAGATTAAGTCAGAGCACCATAAAAAATATTAACTGTTATCCTTTGAAGCAGAATGATAATACTAATTCAAAAACATGGAAGTGAAAAAATTATCCTGTCCTATACAAGAAAAAATTTTAAACAGAGATAAAAAACCATAATTATTCACACTAAATTAGCAACAAAGAGGAAACATGTATGATAGGCTAAATAAAAAACTCAGACGCAAAATTATGAACAAATTTCACTAAGTAATATATGTACAATAAATACTGTTAGAAAAATGAACAACAGTTTAAAGAATTATGATAGCATATAGGATAACCAGCAATTTTTGTGTCTTTTTACAAATGTATTGTTATGAGTTGTCATTATCATTTTAAATGGGAAATAAGATCAGTTATGAATTGAATACAGTAAAATTTAAGAGCCAAAACCTTAGACGGCCTTCAAAAGAAAATCTAAATGATGAGAAAACTATAAAAATCTAACAAACTTTTTATTGAATAAAGGTGTTAGAAACAATGATTTATTTATAGCAATTCATTCATTCGAAAAGTTTACTAAGTATACAAAAATTAATATACTTTATAAAGAAAAGTTACCCCAAGTTCCTTTCTTCCCCCAACGTTTAAAGGTAATCAGAGCATATTGTTTTCCTCAGCTTTAAAAATCTGTAACAAAGGATCCAAGAAGACAAGAAAGAAACAAAAAAATACTTCAAATTTTGCATATAAAATTTTACATCTTTCCCAGGTGACCTCGAAACTCAAATGTCAGAACCAAAGGCAGAAGCAGGTATCTGGGCAGTGCCAACTGTCAGGGAGGATGCAAAGAGAAGTCGTCACCAGAGAAACCAGGGTCCGAAATGCAACCAGCAACAGGGAAATGTGAAGCCTTAAACAGGAAATAAAAGCCTGGGTTTCTTTAGACTATGGTTGGGATAAGGAAGGGGAGTACAGGGGTGATAAACTTTAGCAATATTCCCAGAAAGTGTTGGCGCCTTTGACAGAAGCATGGGAAAGAAGGCATCCGGGTAGAGGCTCTTCACTATTTGCTGGTGGAGGGATCATAGACCCCTCTGAGATCTTATGGACCCTCTCCCCAGAGCACGTACCGGGCAGTATTTACTCCATTTCAGGAGTTCCACAGCCTTGGGGTAGGAGCCCCTGCCTAGGAGATAATAAGACTGACGCTGCCTGATATTCTCACGCCCGCATTCATTCATTCGAACAGGGGATCCCTTTTGTCACGCAAGCAGCTCTACCCTCAGCATCCTACCCGTAACAGGAGCTCCATAAACACTTGTTGACTGACTGCTTGTATCGAGTGCTGAGCTGGAAACAGAGGTGATGAACAGGTATGATATTAAAATAGCAACTAGAGTGTACTGAGTGGACACTGTGCTCTAAAGGTTTTATGTGTATTTTCACATTTAATATGTATTTTCACATTTCTCCCTTTGCGGCGGCCCTTTTCAATACCCATCTTACAGATGAAGCTTAAACTGATTAGCAATTTGCCCTCCAATGACCCGACGACTAAGTGGCAGAGCCCCAATTCTCACCCGGGGAATACTGATTCCAGAGCTACGCTCCTGGGAGCTCACGATGCAGTAGAAGCATCAGAAACGGTAAAGGGGGTGGGAGGGGAGGAGTAAGTGTGACCCAGACTACAAGTAAGAGGAGCTAAGATGCCTTGGCAAATCCCTGCCAGTCCTGAGAGGCGGGAAGCTGAAAGGCTGGCCCGAGTCTTGCAGGAGTTCGCAATCCAGGCGGGGAGTTAGGAAGTGACTCTTTTTTAAGGGGGAGCTGGACAGCTCTCGTCGGCCTTCACCAAGCGCCCACTTCGTGTCCGGCCTCAGGCCACACAACCAGAAGGGCCCGGGCCTAGAAGCCCGAGGGCTCGGGGTAACGAGGCGACGCCGGGCGGCGGGGAGGAGGCCGGGGACCGCCGGGGTTCCTGCAGGCCTGGGACGGCGGGCCTGCTCGAGGACTGACCTTCCCGGAGGCGCCGTCCCCCAGCACGACGATTTTCAGTTGCCGGTCCTGGCTCTCCTCCTCAGAGTCCGACATGGTGTCCCGGGAACCAGGCCCGCCCCTCGAGGTGGGGGGGGAAGGGAAGGATGAAGGCTCCGGGGGCGGGGGAGAGGAGGAAGGGAGGTAGTTGCGGCAGGACCCCCGCCCCGGTGTCTCCGCGCCGGCAGGAGGTATTCGAGGAGAATCACTCGGCAAGCGCCATCTTGCCCACCTCCCCGCCCTCTGCGCGCGGCCCCGCCCCCTACGCGCACGTCGGGCGCGCGCCCCCGCCTCAGAGCCAACCCGCGCCGACCGGCGGCCCCGCCTGACGAGCCGAACCACTCGCGGCCCTGGACTGGTGTGGGGGACATTCCGGCGGGAGAGGCGAGGCGCTGCGTTTCCCTTCAGGAGACAGTTGGCTAGAAGAAGAAAAGAAGTGTTCGTTCAAATTAAGGAGAGAAAACGGGAGCAGAGCAGCTTTCAGGCGTTCCATCAAATTCCCTTTTCTCCTTCCCTCTTGAGAAAGTCTCTGAAGGGAATGGTTCAGCCTGACGGGGTGGAGCAGTGACGCCCGGGCTACGCGCCAGGGTTGCCTGGCAGCCAGGAGTTCGAGGACCGGCGGCGGGGCGGGGCCTGTCTCCGGGCACCCGGGACGCCCGTAGCCTGGCGGAGAGCGCCAGAGAGGGCCCCTGAAAAACCGGACCAGGGAAGAGGGTACCTCGGGGCGGATGAGGGGACAGCTGCTAAGGGCCGAGGCTGCTGGGAAGCCTCAGTAGCGGCCGTGAATACAGTGGAGCTCCGGCGCTGCTTATTTCGGCCTAACTCTTGGTTTCCTCATCTGAACAACCCCAGGCTCCCATGGTTCGTTCATCAGACGCTACTGATCGCCAACCTCCTGGCACCCCATCTTTACCCTAAGGCAGCAGTTCTCATAAAGTGTGGTCTAGGGACCTCTGGAAATCCCGATGACCTCAGAACAATTTTCATAATAATACGGACACCTTGTCTGTCTTTCTCACGTTCCTTCTCTCACTAGTATACCGTTTCCTGGAGGATACGCTTTGTGTACGACGTCATCACTGGCAGCTAAGGGAGCTTGCGTTTGTTGTTTTTAAACATTTCTCAGTTTTCATTTCAATGCAGTAGTGATAGGTGTAACCCACATAAACATAAGCTCTTTGGAGGTCACAGTAATTCTTTAACATTATAGAGAGGCCCTGAGTCCAAAAAATTTAAGAACTGCTGCCCTGGATAATCTCAGTCCAGGAGCGTTAGGTAAACGGCATAAATGAAATTTACAATTTAGTGAGGTAAATTCAAAAATAATAATGCTGTCCTGCTATGGTTGTTTCATTGTTAATCACTTAAAATTTATTGTTACCTTTACTACTATTAGGAATTATGAAGTATAATTATCCCCATTTTGCAGATGAAGTATCTTAAGTTAACAAAATGCTTAGCCCAGAGGCAGTAGTCTTGGAGACCATATGGGCATTAGAACAGGAAAGCAGAACAGTGTAAAGAAATGCCCAGACCTAGAGGCATCACTGGAGTTTAATCTCATGTTTACTAGATATGTGTCCTCGAGCCTCAGTTAGTTCACCTGTAGAACAGACTACTGCCTTTGTGTAGGTTTGAAAATTAAATGAAATAATCGGCATAAAGTAGATAGCACAATGCCTGGTGTGTAGTAAGCACTCAATATTAACCAGTGTAACTATCACCCTCATCATCATCATAATTAGATGATGGTCCGTGTTGGAAGTGTCACTACTTTCTAGCCAATTTACCTTATACAAGTTTCTTATGTAGAGCCTCAGTCTCTTCATCTGCAGAGAGGGCTGGCCCACAATTATAGGTACCCAGTTAAGTATTAGTACCCAATTCTTTCCCCAATCCCGCACCACCATTGCCACCACCAATTTTCTATTCACCAGATTTATTCATAAGAATTAGAAGAAAGAGGATATGTACTTGTTAGTGAGAAGAATCTACTTCCAGTGAGGACAGACTTAACCACTTCTTGTCCATGAGGGCAGTTAAAATGCAAGAAAATTTCTTTTCCAGTCTTCCTTAGATAGCTATGTGATCCACCGGACTAATGAGACAGAAGACAGTGTCCTTTGGAAGACATTTGTAAAAGAACCCTCCCCCCACCATTTAAAAAAAAGGAAAAGAAAAAAGGAGAGTTACAGGGGAGTCCTCCTCCTCCCTTCCTTTGCTGTCATTATTAGGTAAGAACAGGATTTTTGGAACTACTACACTTTGTTCACTCTATCTTCTCGGTTTCTTGTTATGGGAAATAATAATATGGTACTTTGGCGATGAATTGTGTTACCTACAAACAAAAAAATTCCAACTGACATAACTACTTCGGCCAAAAACTAGATTTAGCTGAACTCATAGGCCTGATTTTCATATGTGGTTTTATATGAAGGGAAATCTAGAAGAAAGCTTCTCATTTTCCACTCATCAATTTCTGAGATGACTGCTTTGATTGAGAGACAACATTCATTTGGATATGGGTACATCAATAGGATAGTGTTATATAAAACAAAAAGTTGCACTATTTTAGGGATCATATTTTACACATATGGCAAGTTTCTGGGTTAAAAGTTAGAATTTAAAGACTTAGAGCCATTTTTATAAAGAAAAAGAAAAAAAAACTTTCTATGTGAGGAGGACCATTTTAGCATTGAGAGCTTCCAGTATGATACTCTGACATACTAAAGAAACATAGAGCTGATCCACCAAAAAGAATATATCTTTGTGGATTCTCATGTACAATGCTCTTAACAGGGTCAAAAATTAGAGGAATGGTCTTCAGTCATTTTAAAACTAATAGACAAAAGGTTTATAAGAATTCTAGACATTGTATAAAATATCTTTTATAGCATCTCTAACAGATAATTATTCAAACCTTATTTGAATACGTCCACATTCAAGGAGTTTCTTCCTTTATGAAGCAACCTGGCCTGTAGATGGATAGGCCTGGTTATTAAAATATTATCTCTGATGATGAGCCAAAGCTTATCACTATAAATTACAGCTAATGATAATAGGTATGTCTTTCTCAATAAAACGAAAACTCCCCATTCCACAGGAAGATGATCAAAGTGATTCATTAATACTTAGTGACTGCTAGACATGGTGGCTTATACCTGTGATCCCAGCACTTTGGGAGGCCGAGGCAGGAGGGTTACGTGAGCCCAGGAGTTCATGACCAGCCTGGGCAACATAGGGAGATCCTGTCTCTAAAAGAACTTTAAAAAACAAAAATTACCCAGCCAAGCATTGTGGTAGGCGCCTGTGGTCCCAGCTACTTGGAAGGCTGAGATAGGAAGATCACTTGAGCCTGGGAGGTCAAGGCTACAGTGAGCAGTGATCATGCCGCTGCACTCCAGCATGGATGACACAATGAGACCCTGTCTCCAAAAATAAACAAACAAACAAAACTTCATTAAATTTACAAATATTTAGTGACTGCCTACTGTGTACCAGGCATTCTTGTTCACAACTCCTCGAAACACTGAAAACACATAAGTGAAAAAAAACATACAAAAGCTCTGTTCCCATGGAATTTACATTCTGGTAGAGGGATATGTAGGCTGAATAATAGCCACATGAAGATATCAGGTCCTAATCCTTGGAAACTGTAAATGTTACCTTATTTGGAAAAGCATCTTTCAGGTGTGATTAAGTTAAGGATTTTGAGATGGGAAGATTATCCAGGATTATTTGGTGGGCCCTCAATGCAATCACATGTATCCTTATAAGAGAGAAGGCAATATAACCACAGAGACAGAGACTGGAATGATGCAGCCACTAGCCAACGAGTGCTGGCAGCCACTAGCAGCTGGAAGAGGCAAAAAACAAATTATCCTCAGGCTTCTGGAGGTAGCCCAGCCCTGCTGACACTTTGATTTCAGTGCAGTGACACTGATTTAGGACTTATGACCTCAAGATCTGTGAGAGAATACATTTATGTTCTTTTAAGTTACCAAGTTTATGGTAATTTTTTACAATAGCCATAGATAACTAATATAAGGATGAACACAGATATTTAGTAAATCATCAAGACAGTTTCATATTCTGGTACATTAAAAAGATAGTAAAACAGGTGACAGATGAAATAGAGTAAAAATATCTTAACATTATTATTCATCAATAATGAAGGTGGGAAAATGGTAAACGAATCAAGGAAGGAACTAATTTCAGAAACTACCAGTCTCTGACATCTTCTCAACAAATCCAATGTCATCCATCAGTTTTCATCTTTTTGCACTATTTCACAATTTTGAAGATGTAGATCCTAGGACTAATGTCTGAGTAAGGCTAAATACTGGCCATGCTTCCAGGTTGTACACTTGGTATTTCTGTATTTGTATAGTTCTGCTGAAAAACTAAGAAAAATACAGAACTAATCCCTAGAATTAATTGGTTTGTTAAACTCCTTGAGGACAAAATTTTAAAAAATAAGGCTTTCTTCCTAAAATTCTGTTCTCCCATGGGTTGTATGCACATCTACATAGATATACATGTGCATGTTGTATGTTTAACCACCATCTGAATCAAGACATAGAACAATTCAGAATCCCAGCAGACTCCCTCATGCCACCTCTCGGTTATTACCTCCTCAATGATTACTATTATGATCTCTAGTCCTGTACATTAGTTTTACCAGCTTGTAAACGTCATACAAATAGATTACAGGTAGTATGTTCTCTTTGGCATCTAGCTATTTTCACTCAATAGTATTCTATAAAGTCATCCATGTTGTTATGTGCATCAGAAGTGTATATTTTCTATTGCCATGTACTATTCCATTGTATGAATCCACTACAATTTATCCACTGTACTGTTGATGGACACACAGGTTGTTCCCAATTTGGGAATACTATGATGAGTGCTCCTCAGTACAGCCTACCGCTCTTCCAAAGAAAATCTCTGTCCACAATTAGCACTCTTCTCTCAAAAAAAACAAACAAAAAAAAAACAAATCCTCCATCTACATTTTATACTCTTGAGATGGGTGAGGCATGCAACAACAGTCATGGAACTGGTTCTTGGACATAAGTTTTGACATCTGCATTTGATGATTTAATCTAGGAGTAGCTCATCTACTATATCTCATGGGCTCTACTTGAAACTTCAATTTTCACATATTGTTGTCACCATTATAAAAACGTGACTTCCGTACACAAAAATATATTAAGCCCGGTCAGGTGTCGTGGCTCACGCCTGTAATCCCAGCACTTTGGGAGGCTGAGACGGGCGAATCACGAGGTTAGGAGATTGAGACCATCCTGGCCAACATGGTGAAACCCCGTCTCTACTAAAAATACAAAAATTAGCTGGGCATAGAGGCATATGCCTGTAGTTCCAGCTACTTGGGAGACTGAAGCAGGAGAATCTCTTGAACCCGGGAGACAGAGGTTGCAGTGGAGCCAATCGCGCCACTGCACTCCAGCCTGGGTGACAGAGCAAGACTCCGTCTCAAAAAAAAAAAAAAAATATATATATATATACACATAAATATATGTATATATACACATAAATATATATAGAGAGAGAGAGCCCACTTTCTATCAAAATCTTCCTGACTTTTTTTTTTTTCTGGTTGACAGAATGATGCTGAACTTCATGTGTAAGAATAAACACATGACAATAGCCAGGAGAAGCAAGAGGAGGGGCAAGAAATGAAGGGATCATTAATGGGCAACATATTTTTCTAGGACTATTTATAATTGCAACTGTATTGTGCAATGTCTGGAATTAATCTCAAAGCAAATATTGTATTTTATGGGGGAAAATTTAAAAAACAATAAAATACATTAAATAAAAACTAGATAAATGGAGAGACATCTCATATCCATGGATAGAAAAACAATAAAATATATCAATTCTACCAAATGATCTACAAAGTTAATGCAATTCTAATAAGATTTTTCATAGAATTTGAAATGGCACATATGGAAGGTAGAGATCCAAGGACAGGCAAGATATTCCAGAAGAAGAAGATCCTAGAACTTTCCTTACCGTATATCAAGACTTTGTATAAAGTTATAATTAAGATACAGTATATTATTGGTGCAAGGATAAACAAATTCACCACAATAACATTGGAGAGCCAAGAAATAGGCTGCCAGATACATGAAACTTTATATATGAGAGAGCGTATCGAGTAGTGTATCAAAGAGGAAAGGGGTGACAGTTGGAAACATATAGGAAAAGAAATGAAATTGGAACTCTACATTTCATTAGACACACAAAAAAATAAATTCCAGTTGAATACGAATCCAAATGTGAAAGAAACCTCAAATACCATGAGGAGACTGCCTTTCTTATCTTAGGATGGAGAAGAATTTCATAATGAAGACACAAAGAGTTCTTCATAAAAGAACATCAAGAAAATTTTATTAAAATTTAAAACTGTTCATCAAAATATACAATAAAGTGAAAGTATAAACCACAAACTAGGAGATACATCCAACACATAAAACTTATACCAATTGGTATCCAGAACCTCCAAAGAACTACAAACCAGTAAGAAAAAAAAAATAGAAAAATCAGCAAGTAAAATGAAAAGACATTTTACAGAAGAAGAAACAGTGTGGTCAATAAACATATACAAAAATATTCAACCCGTCTTAATGTAACCAGAAAAGCACAAAAAGGGTTTAATGAGGTACCATTTCATACCTGTAGATTAGCAAAAACTAAGAAGTCAAACAATATCTTTATCAGTCAAAAAAATGAAAAACATAAAGTTATGTTAACAGAGAGAATTAATATGGAGAATTTGTTACATGGTGTTGAAGTACAGAAAAAACAAAAAGGAAATACAGGGGTGTAGCACAAAGTTACTGCAGGAGGCAGTTACTACCTCTTACCTGTTAGACTAGAGGAATGAAAGAAAGTGGTAGGGGTTATCATAACTTCGAAGCTGAAAGAGACAAACTAGAGAGTTAGGACCCAGACTTTTGCCTTACTGCTACTGTTTTTCAGGAGTACAGAGGAAGGATCCAAGGAGCAAGACACAGAATTCTGAGGAGGATGTTCCATTGGCTGCTACTGGCCATACTTTGGGAGATCAGAGGACGGTTCCCACAGAGCTGGAACTCACCTCTGAGAAGAGGATATTGCTCAGCTGCTTCTCGTGCCTCCAAGTGAACACAATAGTGATGCTGATTCGTGAAGTTAGAAAGAATGTGGAAACTAGAAAACCACAGCTATAACCAACTGCTGCTGCTAAGGTGAGATCCCATATTTGGAATTACATTGACAAGAATGCCAAACAAACAAGAAAGAAAGTCCCTCATGCCTCCTCCTACTTTCCAAACTCTCTCATGTACCCAACCTTAGCAGAAACCAAAAGGACGCAAGCTAGCAAACAAACAAAAACAAAAACGAAAACCTATAGTTTTGATCGTACTAGCTCCATCAATAAGTCAGTACATACCTTTACAATCTGCATGATACCAGTTGTTGCGGAGAATGTGGATCAGTGGGAACTCTGACACATTCCTTGTAGAGAATACATGAAACCAGCTGGGCTCGGTGGCTCACGCCTGTAATCCCACCACTTTGGGAGGCCGAGGTGGGTGGATCACCCTGAGGTCAGGATTTCGAGACCAACCTGGCCAACATGGGCAAACCCTGTCTCTAATAAAAATACAAAAATTAGCTGGGCGTGGTGGCGCACACGTGTAATCCCAGCTACTTGGGAGGCTGAGGCAGGAGAATCACTTGAACCCTGGGAAGTGGAAGTTGCAGAAAGCCGAGATCGTGCCACTGCACTCCAGCCTGGGCGGCAGAGCCAGACACCATCCAAAACAAAAACAGAAACAAAAACAAACAAAGGGAATACATGAAATCACTTTAGAAAACAATTTGTCTTGGGCCAGGCGTGGTGGCTCATGGCTCATGCCTGTAATCCTAGCACTTTGGGAGGCCGAGGTGGGCGGATCACTCAAGGTCAGGAGTTCAAGACCAGCCTGGCCAACATGGTGAAACCTCATCTCTACTAAAAATACAAAAAAATTAGCCAAGCATGATGGTGGGTGCCTGTAATCCCAGCTACTCCGGAGGCTGAGGCCGGAAAATTGCTTGAACCCGGGAGGCGGAGGTTGCAGTGAGCCAAGATTGAGCCACTGCACTCCAGCCTGGGCAACAGAGTGAGACTCCCTCCCAGAAAAACAAAGAAAGAAAGAAATTTGTCATTACTTTGTAAAGTTAAAAGATGTGCATAGCCTGGTGACCCAGCAATTGCACTCCTAGGTACGTACCCTGGAAATCTCGTGTAAAAAATGCAGCAGGCGAAACGTGCAAAAATTGTCATAGGCTCATATTCATTAGAGAAATAATCCAAAGGCCATTCAACAACAAAGTGGATAGATTTTGGCATATTCGTACAAGGAAATACTATATAGCAGGGGAAAATGAATAAACTCCAGCTACGGGGATTTATCTTAGAAATACAATATTGAGTTGGGCGGAGGGGGGGTGAAGATTACCTAATGTATGATACCATATTTATCAAGCTCTAAAACAAGAGCACAAAAGTAAATGTATATACACTTATACATGTACATGTATGAGTAATAAAACTGTCCATAAAGAGGAAGGTAAAAGAAGATGGAAAAGAAGAAACAGAAAAAGAGATACAGGTTATAATTTTTTTTTAGGTTGTGTGTTATCTTAATTCATTTTCTGTTGCTTATAACAGAATACCTGAAACTGGATAATACGTAAAGAAAAAAATTAATTCTTACAGCTATGGAGGCTGGGAAGTCCAAGGTCAAAGGGCTGAATTTGGTAAGAGCCTTCTTGCAGCACAGAGTATCACATGGAGAAAGGGCTGAGTGTGTTCATGTGTTTGTGTGCTCACGTATGAGGTCAGGGCTCTGTTCCTCTTCTTACAAAGCCACCAGTTCTCTCCTATGATAATCCATTAATCCATTAACACATTAATCCATGAATGGATAAGTCTATTTACGAAGGCAGAGCCTTCATGATCCAATCACCTCTTAAGGGCCCCACCTTTCAATACAGCCTTGGTGATTAAGTTTGAAGAAGTTTTGGATGGCACAGTCAAACCATAGCAGATGGTGATTTCACAAGTATTCATTATATTATTATGCCATGTAACTTACTCATAACTTTATTAAATTATTTGCTATATATCTAAAAGAAAAATAAGTGAAGCTTCCCTAAGTTTTCAAGTATTGAAAAGAAATAAGAACTTCCAGATATTTTTTAAAGTATTATTAAACTAACACTAAAACTGTGTGGAGTAGGCATTGAAATAGATGGGTTTTTTTCAACAGAAAAGATTAGAAAGGTCTCAATATAGAAAGAAATTAACTGGTTAGTAAAGGCGATATTTCTAATCAGTGGGGAAAACATGGGGGTAATTTTTAAAACAATATTTTCTCATTTCTTCAAAATGAATTCCACATGAAGTTAAATCATATTTCTTAAATGAAGTCACAGCAAACTAGAAAAAAAGTGCATAGATTTCTGTAATCTGAAGTGGAAATAACTCCTCTAAGCATAGCATGAAGGTCAAGTCACTAAATTAAAGACTGATAATGTGTGTACATAAAATTTTAAATATTCATGTGGCCAAAAGCACTATTAGGATCATGTAAACTTCCAGCAAAGACAGAAGATTTGTGCCAGTCTTCTTGCTGAGGAAACCCAGAAAATCTAGACATAATATTTTTTAATCTGCTTGAAATTATCAGAGTTACCAAATTATGACATGAGAATTTATGGGGCTAAGATTTAGTTGAAGAAAAAAGCCCAAAGAGCAGGAGACAGCTTTAGGGGCAACTGTCCCCAGATAGTATCTGCTGATTCAGGAAGTAGAATTGAGACATAGGATAAGTAGCATTTTTAACAGCCTCATAAAACTGGGAGGAGAAGGGGTAAACATGGGAGTTCAGGCCATGTCAAGGAGGAAAGAGCCTTAGTAAACCAGCCTACATTCTTTGGGTTGGGACCCTGAAAAGCTACATCTTAGAAGAAAGAGTGAGTGAACCAGAAATAGGCAGTCCCCATAGGAAGTGAAGCCAAATTTTTGGTTATCTCAATTTTTCATTAAGATAATCTCGGGTTGCTAATTTTCTTAAGTGAATCACATACAAGAAGTAAAAGCGTATTCTTTCTGGAAGAAGATAATATAAAAATATCTCTATAATTTTCCATGATTAATATCTGGCACTCAATCAAAAACGTTGCATTGAAGAACAAGACTTTCTGACTGAAAATCAAAAGAAATTGTGAACAAAAGAAGTACGGCACAGGGACCTAAATTATGGAGATATAAACCATGAACTTTAAACAGCTAATATATTTATGGGATTAAATGACAAGACTGAGAATTTGGTCTGGGAAGCTGAAATTATAAAAAAGAACCAAATGGAAATTAGCTAAAAATATAATAACTGAAGTTAACCCAATAAATAAGTGTTATGCCTGGTTACACATAGCCAAAGAGAGAAATAATAAGGTAGAAGTAAGTCAATAAAATATTCAGACTAACAGACACAAAGACAATGGAATAGAAAATACAGAATATACAGTAAGAAACATGTATGAAATGTATAATTGGAGTTCCGAGAGATATATTGTTTTCTTGCTTCATCACAAAGTTGGCATTTCAGAGCAGTGAAAAAGGGCCCTTTTTTCTTTTCTTTTCTTTTTTTTTTTGAAATGGAGTCTCGCTATGTCGTCCAGGCTGGAGCGCAGTGGCACGATCTCAGCTCACCACAGCCTCCTCTCCCAGGTTCAAGCAATTGTCCTGCCTCAGCCTCCTGAGTAGCTAGGATTACAGGTGCGCACCACCATGCCCGGCTAATTTTTGTATTTTTAGTAGGGACGGGATTTTACCATGTTGGTCAGGCTCGTCTTGAACTCCTGACCTTGTGATCCACCCGCCTCAGCCTCCCAAAGTGCTGGGATTATAGGTGGGAGCCACCATGCCCAGCATAAGGGCCCTCTTTTCAATAAATTGTCTTGGGCCAATTGGATAGTCATTTAGAACAAAAGTGAATCTTGAATCGTACGTGATACCATATTCAAAAATCAGTTCTGGCCATTTCATAAAGCTAAGTCCGAAGGTGAGAAACTTCTTAAAAGATTACATAGGGAAATATTTTTGAGACCTTGCAGTGGGTGAAGAGTTTTTAAAGAAGAAATGAAGAAACCAACCTTTAAAGGAAAAGTTGAGTAAATGAGTTACATTGAAATTTTAAAATTCTTCTCATCAAAAGATACATTTAAGCAAATTAAAATGAAAACCACAGAGCAGAAGAAAATATTTTCAGTACATATAATGCAGACACTTGTATCTAGAATTGGAAAGTTTACCTGCAGCTATAAGAAATCGACACAAATAACCCAATAGAATGTTCGACATGAGGCTTGAATAGGCACTTCATGAAATGGCCAATAACATGAAAAGGTTCTTAACTTCATTAGTAATCAGTTAAATGCAAATGCAAACTATTATAAGTTACCACTACCCATACACCAGAATGGTTAAGTTACAAAGGCTGATATTGCCAAGAATTGGAGAAGATGTGAAACCATTAAATTTTCCATGCACTGCTGATAGGAGTATATATTTCTGTAACCACTTTGTAAACCTGTTTGGCATCATCTAGTAAAGCTGAATATACACAACCTATAGTTGGGCAGTTTGATTTCTTAGTATCTACCCAAACAAAAGGCAACCAAAGGTATGTACAAGAATGTTCATGGCAGTATTATGCATAATACCTCAAGACTGGAACCAGTCTAAATGTCCATCCACAATTGAGATGTTGCATATTCCCACAGTGGAATATTATACAGCAATGAAAATGAATGAATTGCTACATATTACAATATGAAAAAAAAAACAATATGTTAGGTGAAAGAAGCCAGAGACAAGTGAGAACATCTTCTGTGAATCTGTTTTCATAAGGTAAAAACAAACAAACAAACAAACGAACAAACAAAACATTGGTATTAGAAGTAAAGTACTGGCTACCTATGAGTGAGGTACCAGTACTTTCGAATTACTGATAACATTCTATTTCTTGACTTGGATGGTGGTCACATGGATGTGTGTTCTTTCTTATAATTCACTTAGCTATGAAGTTGATGTGTACAATCTTCTGTATGTTTTGCTTATATAATTATAAATATATACATATATAATTGATAGCAAATGCATATAAAATATCTAGACTAATACAAACCAAATTATGAATAGCTATTAATAGTAGTGAGATTATAGAGAACTATCCCTTTCCATTTAAACATTTTGATATTGTATGAAATTTGTTACAGTGAACATAAATTTGATTTAAAAATGGAAAAGAAAGGATAAAAATAGTTCAACAGTAACAAAAGACGAATAATAAACAACAGTCCTTTTCACAGTAGGTAGATGAGAACTTTGTCATATGATTAGTATATTCTGCTAATACATACAAAACCTGCTAGTTTAATAATCATCTAAAAGCCTTTGTTTGAAAAGAAATAACTCTTGCTTGTAACAGAACCCCAAACTGGTTTGTGAGCTGCAATTTTCCATCTGTCCACAGTTCTGCCTCATTGCATGGGGACGTGCTTCATTGATTCCTAAAGCATAGCTCCAGACAAAACCAAAAATCTGTAGAGCAGAAGAGTTCTCAAATCACCTCCACAGCTGTAAAAACCAGACCTATCACAACTCACCAGCAAGGCTGGCATGGTTAGATAAGGTAATATGTGTAGAAGTGTTCTGAAAAATAGGAGTTGTGGTACAAACACAAAACATTATTTGAAGCTTGATTGTGGGAGCTTTGAAGGTGTGAATTTCCTTCACCATCAAAAGCCGGCATAAAGATTCCAGTGGTACTAGGGAAATGGCATTTCCGGAGTCCATGGAATGGCAGCGCTGCAAATGTTCTCTAACTCCTAATATCCTTTACTTTGATCTCTTCTGAAACCTTGTTTTATACAGCCCTCCTCCATTGCATAACTGCTTTATCTATGATGGTCCTTAGCTATGTCATCTGGGTTTTCAGTGTATCTACGTTGTAAAATTTAAGACATTCAGACAAGTGAGATACTGCTATAAAGTATTATCTTAATTTTGAGAGGGCATTTCCCAAAAGTGAGTTCTTTGGACATTAGTCCAATGAATTGCTGTTTAGTTTGAAAACAGCTATAGCTACTCTACTTTTGGAAGGTGACAATACACTTGAACAGACTATATTGTGAGAAATACTGCAATAAATAATCTCCGTTGACCTTTTACAACCCAACATTACTTGAAAAAGGGTTATTTAGTCAAATACATTTCTGGAAATTCCCTGAACTTATTTGACCAAAGAACCCATTTTCTAAATAATATTTACTAATATATAGAACTAATATAACTAATATCACATAAAATATTATTTTAGAAGCCCTACTTTTAAAAATTCCAGAAAAGAAATAAATCATATGCATAGTTAAGAAACTTAGTTCTAATACTTAAATCCTCATTATAGAAGGGCTCATATGCAAAAGGTTTCAATTTCTCCTTAAATATATGGGGAGCTCAGTATTATGATATACAAATGTTTTGATTCAGAATGTTTAAAACTTTCTCAGTGCCTTAGTCATTATTACTAAAATAAATTAGTATCATAAGAACATGAAGAGAAGCTCAAGCGTGGTGGTTAAAGCAGTAGCATAGATTTGAATAGATCTGATTTACATTTGTAGTCATGTTTATGACGTTGGACAAGTAATCTAAATTTTGTGAGTTTCAGTTTTCTCACCTATAAAATAGAGATTATAGTAATAGTACTTAACAGGATTATTAAAAAGCTTATCAATACATATACAGTGCTTAGTATAACACTAAATCTATATTAGAACCTTTTATTAAAGTGTCTCATTTTCATATCAAGTAAGCACATTAGTACATAAATATTCAAATGAATTTTGTCTATAAAGACTTCGCGATGGCAACCTATCCAGTTAAGCCAGTGATGCTAATATTTTGAAATATCTTTTTTTGCGAGATGAGTAAAGGGAGAAAGAGTAAGCTTTCTGACTAAATATGGATAAATTAAAGTTTGGTATGATACAGGAGAATCATTTTCCTGAAGAAATTTAACTGAATTCAATAAAAACACTAGATATAGCCCCTGCACACACAAAGCCATAGATTAATACTACCCGCTGTGTGATAGTTAACATTGAAAAACGAGTTTCCTGGAGAAGAAGAAATTCTACCTTAAAACTGTAACAGTCTAGAAATCCTGCCTGAGTTTCCAGCCAGCGACTTGCCCTACAAATTACAGACTTGCCAGCACCCACAATCATATGAACCAATTCTTTCAAATTCTTCTCTTTCTTGCTCTCTGTCACTACACACACACACACAGACACACACACACACACACACACAAAGTGGTTCTGTTTCTCCAGAGAACCCTGATTGATACATGCTGTGAGGGATACCAAGGTGAATTATGACTTTATTTGATTAGTATTTATGCTGCCTTTGCAAATAAAAGAATTTTTCCAATTCCTCTTTTTTTTGAGTACCCATTATGAAACAGACACCTCATGAGGAAATTTAGCATATATTGTCTAACTTCCTCTTTATAATGATCCAACAAAAGTAAGAAGTAAATCTTAAATATTAGAAACTGCAATTTGTGAATTACTTTACAGAATATAAGACCCCGAAAGAAGGGATACAAATATAGAAAAAATAAAGCAAGAAGTGAGGAAATTCATAGACATGAACAAAATAAGTAGGAAAAAGAAATTACTTTGAAACTGAAATAAAATTTTGAGTTATCCTGGGCTAAGCCTACTTAGCTTTTTCCAAAAAAAAATCTTAATTTTTATATAATGGATTTAGCACATCTTTCCCTAGTTACTTGACCCTCCACTACTCCATGGTATATTCATGACAACTATTTAACAATATATACTTAAATAAGAAAAAATATGGCTATAAGGAGAGAAATAAAACATGAATTTAATTTCAGCTCTACTTATTACTAATTTATAGGCCTTGGGTAGGCTTCTTAGCCTCAGTTTTGTTACCCATAAAATAGAAGTAAGAGTAAACACTTCACAAGGGTATTATGAAGATCAAAATACTAGTATTTTAAAGAAATGCAAGGGAGAGGACAGCACAATGCTGTCAATAAAAGCCAAGTTTCTGAAGTTTTTGCAATTCTGCAAACTGTATACAAGCTCTAAGTTCTTCTCAACACTAAACCAAAAACTTTTTCAAACTAAACCTCTGTTGCTGTTTTAAATGAAACTTTTAGAAATGAAAATTATAATCATTGAAATTAAAATCTTAGTGACTGGATTAAGTAGTAGATTTGAAACAGCTCAGTAACTGGAAAATAAATATGATGAAATTACCCAGAATGTACCACAGATGTATCAGGATATTTTTTAAAAATGGGAGAGACATTGAAAAACATGGAGAATAACCTGGGAAGGTGTAACATGTAACTACAGTTGAAGAAAGAGAAGAGAGAAAGGATATGGAAGAGGTAATATGCTGAAATGTAAAGACTAAGGATTTTCTAGAATTAATGAAAGACATTAAATGCACATAAGCAAAACACAATATTCTAAGCAGAATAATAGAAAGTGACACCTGAATTCATTGTATTAACATTCCATAACCTACCAAAATGTGAAAAAAAAGTTTTTAGGTTATATCCTGTATATGCTAGTCACAGATTAAATCCTCTATATGCTAATCATAAATTAATCTATTTTTCTTGTAACCAGGAAAATACAAAATAATAACATATGTCATAATGATACATTTAATTGCAATTTTAAAGCATTTGTTGTTTTTCTTATAGGTGTGTACGTGCATGCACGTGTGTGTATGTGTGTGTGTATGTTTCTCTCTGTATCAGGCCAATTCATTACTTGCTGGAAGTCATACCACAAAGCATTTTTGCCAACTATTTATGTTCTTTCCTTACTTAGGTAAAGTAAATCCCATACTTTCTCAGTAGGGTTAAGGTCAAGACTCTGAGGGGAGCCACTCCTTCCTAATTAGTTCCCCAGACTCCTCTTTTTTTCCCCCTTTAAATGGCCACAACAGTCTAGAAAAATGTTTGGAGTCATAATCCCCCTGATAAATGAATCCCTGATCAAGCAGCTGGTTTCCAGAAGGGACTCCTTGCTGTGCTGCAATTATGTTGAAGCTGAACTCCAGTAGTTCAGGTCATGGCTGAAGTACTGAAGGGAAAAATACCTATCTCAGAGCTCCACTGTATGACACAGTAAGCTACAAGACTCCTGCTTCTCCTCTCCAAAGCCCTCACCCAAAGATCAATATTCTTCTTAGTTAATGAGAAAAATACTTAATGATGTGAATGCACGTGCAGGTCCTTGACTGGTGACCCACGCAGGGGAGATTCATGCCTTCAGAGTGTACTGGCAATTTAAAACCCATCCTAGAAAGCTTGAAAATGATTTTCTATTTATTCGATAATATACTTAATTTTTCAGTTACTAAATAGTTATCTATTAACAGTGGAGCCACATTATTTGAGATTTCGCAGGTAAAAGGTATAAAGGAAAATATTTATAAATACCAAGTTATATATCATACTAAGAGTTAGGAAAAGTCACATCTTAAATATTAGAAATGAAACGGCTCTTTAAAACACACAGAGGAACATATACAGAATTTTTCACCTGAGGACTGCCTGATTGTATAGATTTTCAGATACCTTTCCATAAATCTTACAGACTTATTTTCCCTCCCTGATTCTGCTAGGATAATAAAAATGTCCTGTTCGTGTTCCACGTCAATGGGCTCAGTCCTTCCTCATTTAATACTGTCAATAATGTTAGGTCAAATATGAAGTTGATTTGTGTTTATGCGGAGACGATGTTAACTTCTCTACTTTAAGTATTTCTAACTAAACATACCCTTCCATGAGATCACTATGTGTCCTCCTTTACCTTAATTTCAGAAAAAGAATTCAAATCATTCCAGAAAAAAAAAGAGATGTTTTAGAAGGCAATGAGACTCTTATTGTATGAAAAGAGATGACAATCACCCCTATGCAAAGTTAAAGGATGACAGACTATAGAAGAGGTTTACAACATGTAAAATAGAAAAAGAATCAATAATCAGAATAAAGAATGCCAACTTCACTAGGCTTTCGTAAGGCTGCCACAACAAATTACCACAAATTGAGTGGCTTAAAACAACAGAAATCAATTCTCTTACAGTTCTGGAGGTAGTAAGTCCCAAATCAAGCTGTCGAAGGCTCCAGGGGAAAGCACCCCTTGGCTTGTGGCTACATCATTCCAGTCTCTGTCTCCATCTGCACTTGACCTTCTCCTCCATCTGCCCTATGTTCTTCCTTTGTGTGTCTCTTGGAAGGACACTTGTTGGATTTACAGCCCACCTAGATAATATAGGATGATCTTATCTTGAGATTCTTAACTGAATCACTTCTGCAAAGACGCATTTTCAAATAAGATCACATTATAGGTTCCAGAGGTTAGAACATGAGTATATCTTTGTGGGGTTGGGTCCTAATTCAACACAATACGCCTATCAGATTTTTAGTTAAAAGCTTATAGAAGCTTTTAATTTGAGGCAATCTCCTCTACTATGAACATGTAATATTAAATAGAGAAAGTATAAAAACAATTCAAGATGCAAATCATAGTGAATCAGAAGATTAAAGCAGTAAATATCCGGGCGCGGTGGCTCACGCCTGTAATCCCAGCACTTTGGGAGGCTGAGGTGGGTTGATTGCCTGAGGTCAAGAGTTCAAGACCAGCCTGGCCAGCATAGTGAAACCCTGTCTCTACTAATTTCACAAAAATTAGCCGGGCGTGGTGGTGGGCACCTGTAATCCCAGCTACTCTGGAGGCTGAGGTGGGAGAATTGCTTGAACCCGGGAGATGGAGGTTGCAGTGAGCTGAGATTACGCCACTTCACTCCAGCCTGGGCGACAGAGCAAAACTCAGTCTCAAAAAAAAAAAAAAAAAGCAATAAATAAAACTGAAACTATGGGTGCAAATGACTTCAGGTCTTCTTGAAAAGACAAATGAATTTAACTCAATATTACAGGGACCAATAATAACTATAGAACAGTGCTGTATAAATGTTGGGCATCCTTGTATCATCTCACTGTCGGAGGGAAGGTTTTCAACATTAAAACATTTTCTTTCTAATCCTAATTCTAAATAAATACTAAATGTTATCAAACTTTTTTAGTGAGGATTTTTCCTATTAATGTTGTTTAGTACATTGAGTTAATAATTTCTGAAATAAATTCTATCTATTCATTAAAAAAAATTACAGAGACCTAAAGTGCATTCAACAAAAGTCTGTATTCACTCATGATTTTAAAAAATAATAACTTCTTGAAAATGAAGAATAGAAGGAAACTTCCTTAATCTGATTTTTAAAAATAACTCGCAAAAGCCTCTGTAAACATCACGCTAAATGGGAAAACTTTTGAAGCATTTCTAAATTGGGAATAAATAAGCAAGTTTGCTTGCTATTATCTTCTGTATTCACCACCATATAGGGAAGAAACGTTGCAAAGGAAAAGACAACACTGTCTCTGTGATGATATGATCACCATGATAGAAAAGACAAGCAAATCTCTTAATAAACTCATAGACCTAAAAAGAGTTCATTAAGCTTGCTGGATACAAGATCAACATACAAAAATTAGTGATATTTCTAAACACCAGCTACACCAGCGAAAGCAACCAGAAAGTATAAAGAAAAACGGTATCATTCACAAACACAAAAACTGTAAGGTAATGAGAAACAAAAGATGTTCAAAAACATTGTGGACATAGCTGGGCATGGTGGCACATGCCTGTAGTCCCAGCTACTTGGGAGGCTGAGGCAGGAGGATCATTTGAACCCAAGAGTTAGAGATTGAAGTGAACTGTGATTGCACCACTGCTCTCTAGCCCAAGCAACAGGGCAAGACCTTGTCACAAAAAAAAAAAAAAAAATTTATTATGGTGAAATAGTCCCAATTCTATATAAAGTCACATAAATTCAATTGCAATTGAGATTGTAATCTTGTTTTAATGTGGTACTGAAAAAAATGATCCCAAATTTTGGTTGTCAAATAATTTTGAAAAAGAAGAAGACGGCCTGCAGACAGTATAGAGGTAAAGGCATCAGTAGAACAGAGTAGAAACCCAGAAAGACTCAGACATACATGATAATTTAGTATTTCAATTCAGTGAGGAAAGGATTAAGTATTTAGTAAACGGTACTTGGACTAATGGATATCTATAGGGAAAAAAATAAAGTTTCTATCTCACAGTGTAAATAAAAATATTTTACAAATGAGAAAATCAAAACTTTGTAATATTTTAGATGACAATAAAGAATATATAACTTGGAGTAGAGAAGGAAGTCTTAAGACATACAAACAAAACTATGAAGAAAGGGTACGTTTAGTTAGAAATACTTAAATACTTTAACATATGCCTATGTTAAAATTAAAAAAACACTTTAGTTCAATTTTTAAAAGCACCGTAAACAAAGTTAAAAGGCAAACTAGGAGGGAGGACATATGACACTTACATCACTGATTAAATTCAAGCCAACAATTAGCTTAAAGTGGGTCTCCAATCTTAATGCCCCTAGACTTACAGAAGAAATAAAAGCAATCATTTCTGGAGGAAGGCACCTTTAGTCTATGCCACAGAGAATCCAGTTAATTTTCTAAGAAAAATGGGCAGTTGACAGACACAGATAGCTCTGAACACATGGAAATAAAGCATTGTAAATGACAATTAGCTGAAACCACAAACAGCATGAACATCTAAAATGACTAATATAATGAAATTGTTAACACAGGCAATGAAGAAATCATGCTTATTATGTTTAGAAGTGAAAGACAAGCTTGAACATACTTGTAAGGAAGAATTTATTAAAAAGCAAGTAGCAGATTTAAAAAATCAAATAGTATTTCTTAACACAAAAATTAAAATAATTGAAATTAAAAACACAAGCCTAGGAAACAAAACAAGACACCGTCTCTACAAAAAATTAGAAAATTATCCAGGTGAGGTGGTACACACCTGTAGTCTCAGCTACTCGGGAGGCAGAAATGGGAGGATCACTCAAGCCCAGGAGTTTGAAGTTACAGTGAGTCATGATCACACTACTGCACTTCAGTCTGGGTTACAGAGTGAGACCTTCTCTTAAAAAAAAAAAATAAAAAAAGGAAACACACACACACACACACACACACACACAACAGAATTAACACAGATGAAAAAAGAATTTGTTAATTAGAAGATGATCTATATGACAGTATCCAGAATGGAGCACAAAAATAAAAGAGAAGAAAAACATGAAATAAATGTTGAAAGACACGTAGAATAAAGTGACTAACAAATATTCAATCTTAGTTACAGAATACAATGAAAGAAAAAATAGGGGTGATGCAATATTTGCAGTGATAAGGGGTGAGAGTTTTTCAAAAATTGATGAAAGATATTGATTTACTTATTCAGTAATCACAGTGAATCTCAAACAAGCGAAATTTTTAAAAATCCGAGTATGGCGCCATGGCTCATGTCAGTAAACCGAATGCTTTGGGAAGCTGGAGGATCCCTTGAAGTCAGGGGGTAGGAAGATCACTTGAGACCTGGAGGTCAAGGCTGAAGTTAGCCATCATTGCACCACTGCACACCAGACTGGGCGACCCTGTCTCTGAAGAAAAAAAAAAAATTAAGAAATCCACACCCAGGCACATCCTACGAAAATGCAGAACCTCAAAGTCAGAGAGGGCCTTAAAGTTGGATTATCATTATAGATGTGGCATACTAACGGTTGACTTCTCAACAGCCACAGTGAAACTCAGACTCAGAAATGGGATCTATAATATTCTACATTTCTATAAACAGAGAAAATGTTATGCAAGAATGGAGATAAAGGTATTTTCAGGCTACTAAAAAATTATTTACCACCATTAGACTCACTCGAAAGGAAATTTTAAAAGATAGATTTTAGATGGAAAAACCAATCCCATGTGAAGAACAAAGAAAGTGATAATTTTGTGGATAAATAAGTGAACACTGAGTATATAAAATAATATCCTGTGGTGTTTGAAAGGGTAGGATTAAAATACATGACAATAATAACATATAAGCTCAAGAAAGAAAGGCGTAAGTGGAGTGAAAGTGGTTTAAAGTCATAGCTGGGCACAGTGGTGGGCACCTGTAGTCCCAGCTATTTAGAAGGCTGAGGTGGGAGGACGACTTGAGCCCAGGAGTTCCAGAGCAGCCTGGGCAACATAGTGAGACCATGACAAAGGAAAGGAATGTAAGATTGGCTTACATTTACATTATAAAATTAAATAATGTGGCCGGGCATGATAGCTCATGACTATAGTCCCAAAGATTTGGGAGCCCAGGGTGAAAGAATTTCTTGAGTCTAGGAGTCTGAGACCACCCTGGGAAACATAGGAAGACCTCATATCTGCAAAAAAAATAAAAAATAAAAATTTAAAAATTAGGTGGGCATAATGACAGGTGCCTATAATCCCAACTACTTGAGAGGCTGAGGTGAGAAAATAACTTGAGACCAGGAAGTAGAGGCTACAGCGAGTTATGATCATGCCACTGTACTCTGGCCTAGGTGACAGAGTGAGACCCCATCTCAAAAGTTTAAAAAAGTAAATAATGTAATGTATTAAAGAATAAAAATTATGACTATCTCAATAGATGGAGGAAATAGTTATAATTCAGTACAATTCAACATCTATTCATGATTTTTTAAAAATTCTTTTAGCAAACTAGAAAAAGAAACTCCCCTAACCTGATAAAAATAATTTACAAAAAGTCTACAACAAATATTATACTTAGTGGTAAAATGTCAGAAGTATTCCCATTGAGATTAAGATGATATATTGGCAATCCTAGCTAGTAACATAACTTTAAAAAAGAAGTAATTATAATGAAGAAATAAAACTTTCATTATCCAAAGCTGATATAATTATGTGCACTGAAAATCCAAAAGAATTATAGATGAATTATTAACTTTAAAAAGTGGGTTTAGCAAATCTCTTGGGTACAAAAATCAATACTCAAAAATCAATGCAGTTAGTTGCTATATACCAGCTACTAAGTAGAAAATTAAATAAAAAGGCAAAGGTAACTTTCACAATAGTGTAATAAGTATCATGCACTTAAGAATATATCTAAGAAAAGATATACAAGGCTACTTTTATATATACTTGAAAATTTTCATAACAAAAAGTTTAAATAATATAGGCTGTTTCAAGAGGGGGTTCAATTGGCTAATCAAATAAAAGAAAAATAAAACTGAACCCCTTACCTAACACCCTACACATAACAAGTAAAAGACTTCAACATAAATAGCAAAACTATACAATTTTAGGAGCTAATACAGGAAAAATATTTGTATTACCTCAGAAGAAAGAAATAGTTCATAAATCAAACATAATAAGCATTGTTATAAATAAAAATGTGATTGATAAAGCTACTTTAAATCATGAACTTCTGTCTATCAGAAGATACCACAAGGAGAGTGAAAAGACAAGCCAGAGTGGGGAAGAACATTTGTAGTGCAGATAGAATTTTTACATCTAAATAAGAAACCAAAAAAAGACTTACTTGTACCCAGAATGTATGACATATATCCATAAGCAAATGAGCAGTAGATTTGGAATGGGTACTTTGAAACAGGAGAAATTCAAATCATCAATAAACATATAAAAATTTATTTATCTTCTTAGAAATCAAGACAATGTAATTTAAAACAGCAGTTATTACTTTGTAACTAGCAGATGGGAAAAAATTTAAAAGTCTAACAATACCAAATCGTGAAGAGGATGTAGAGTAACAGGAGCTATCATACACTACTGATGGAAATGCGAACTGATTTAACTAACTTATATAATAGTTCAGCATTTTATAATAATGTTAAAAATACATTATATTCATCTCCAAATTCCAAATTCCAAAGGACCTGGTCACTCTTTTCCAAAGATCCTATCAGTTATAAAACAAAAATGTGTTGGTTTTCTTTCAGTGCGTAACAAGTGACCACAAACTGTGGCTTATAGCAACACCAATTTTTATGCTCACTGTTCTCTTGGCCAGAAGTCTTTGCACAATATAACTGGTTCTCTACTCAGGGTTTCACAAGGCTGAAATCAAGGTGATGGCTAGGCTACCTTCCCATCTGGAGCCCAGTGTCCTTTTTCAAGTTCCTGTGGCTGTGGCAAGGTTCAGTTCCTTGCAGATGTAGAACTGAAGGCTTCATTCTGTTGCTGGCCGGCAGCTAGGGGCAACTTTCCCAACTGCTTCCTTTACCCTGTGGCTCCCTCCATCTTTAAAACCAACAAGAGAATCTGTTTTTGTGTTGAATCCCTCTCATGTTTCTGAAATCTTTCACTAGGAAAAGCACAGTCCCTTTTAAGGATTCAGCTGATCAGTTTAGGTCCATTCAGAATAATCTGTTCTTTAAGTCAATTGTACCTTAGAACAGAGTCTAATCCCGGGAGTGACTATCTCATCATAGTCATATGCAAGGCGTATAAACTAGGGTGTGGGGATATCGAGAGCCATCTTAAAATTTTAATTTCACGCTAATTTTCCCAATTGTTTAGAATTAAAATGGAGTTTTGAGTTTTCTACTTTTATTTATTTATACTTGGCCTTATTTTATGGACTAGACACTTTGCTAGGTGATGCATATTAGCTTATTTAATGTCTTAACAACTCTATGAAATAGGTACTATCCCCATTTTATAGATGAGAATGGTGAATTTTAGGTTGATGATGAGACTTCTCTAAGGTTACCTTGATAAAAATGGCAGAGCAAAGATTCAAACCAAGTCCTGTCTATCTTGAGAGTCCTCCTTAACCACCCTGCTAAACTCTCTCTGGCCAGTTTTCCTGTATGTAGTCTATCAAGGACAAATTCTCTTAGCTTCCAGCTGGCTTTGCAAACTGGAATCTGTTCTTACAACAAATACTTATTTTTCTCTCTTTCTTTCATTGTCAAAAATCCTCTTTTTGGCATTTGTCCTTGAGTTTGTAGATTTCCCTTCACATCTCTCCTACTGACCATTTTATTTAAACAATTACATCTCTGAATCACTGCCTTCTAAATTGCAGTGACTAAGTGTGATCATTTTAAATAGCAAATTGGCATTATTTATATTTTTACGTCAAATCCCAAAATATAGATGCTATGGTTTGAATGTGTCCCCAAAAAGCATGTGTCGGAAGCTTAATCCCCAATGCAACAATGTTGGGAGGTGGAGCTTAATAGGAAGTGTTTAGGTCATGAGGGCTGCACTCTCATGAAAGGATTAATGCCTGATATACTTTGGATATTTGTCCCCATCCAAATCTCATGTTGAATTGTAATCCCCAATGTTGGAAGTGGGGCCTGGTGGGAGGACTTTGGATCACGGGGGTGGATCCCTCATGAATGACTTGGACCATCCCCTTGGTGATATGTGAGCTCTTGATCAGTTCACACAAGATCTGGTCATTTAAAAAGGTGTGGCAACTCCCGTACAACTCTCTCTTGCTCCTGCTCTTGCCATGTGATGTGCAAGCTCCTGTTCCCCTTCTGCCATGAGTAAAAGCTTCCTGAGGCCTCCCCAGAAGGAGATTCCAGGACTGTGCTTCCTGTACACCCTGCAGAACTGTGAGCCAATTAAACCACGTTTCTTGTAAATTACCTAGTCTCACATATTTCTTTACAGCAATACAAGAACATCCTAATACAGGAAATTAGTACCAAGAGTGGGGCATTGCTGTAAAGATACCTGAAAATATGAAAGTAGCTTTGGAACTGGGTAATGGGTAGAGGCTAGAAGAGCTTGGAGGCCACAGAAGAAGACAGGAAGATGAGGTAAAGTTTTAAACTTCTTAGAGACTGGTTAAGTGGTTGTGACCAAAATGCTGATAGTGATATGAACAGTGAAGGCCAGGCTGATGAGGTCTCAAATGGAAATGTGAAACTTATTAGGAACTGGAGCAAAGGTCACTCATGTTATGCCTTAGCAAAGAACTTGGCTGCATTGTGCCCTGCCCCTAAGGTTCTGTGGAAGTTTGAATGTCAGAGTGATAATTCAGGGTATCTGACAGAAAAAAAAAAGGGGGGGTTAGAAAAGCATTCAAGACCTAAGGTTCTGTGGAAGTTTGAATGTCAGAGTGATAATTTAGGGTATCTGACATTAAAAAAAAAAAAAAAAAAAAGTAGAAAAGCATTCAAGATCTGTCCTGGCTTTTTCTAAAAACCTATGCTCAGATGCAGGAGCAAAGAAATGACTTAAAGTTGGAACTTATACAATGGGAAGCAGAGCATAAAAGTTTGCAGAATTTGCAGCCTACCCATGTGGCAAAGAAAGTAAAAGCATCCTTGGGAGAGAAATTTAAGCAGGATGTGGAGCAACCATTTGCTAGAAATATTTGCATAACTAAAAAGGAGCCAAGTGCCAATAGCCAAGACAATGGGCAAAAGGCCTCAAAAGCATTTCAGAGATCTTCTCAGCAGCCCCTCATCACAGGCCCTGAGGCCTATGAGAACTGAATGATTTCCTGGGCCAGGCCTAGGGCCCCCGTGCCCTGTTCTGGCTTGAGACAATGTTCCCTACATCCTGGCTGCTCCAGCTGCAGCTCCAGGAGTTTGAGACCAGCCAGGGCAACATAGTGAGTGAGACCCCTATCTCTAAAAAAATAATTTAAAAAGTTAGCTGGTGCATACCTGTAGGCCCAGCTACTTGGGAGGCTGATACAGGAGGATCAAGTGGGAGGACTGCTTGAACCCAGGAATTTGGGGCTGCAGTGAGCTATGATCAGGCCACTGAACTCCAGCCTGGGAGACAGAGCAAGACCCTGTCTCTAAAATAATTAAATAACCAAAAAGACAAACATTTGTCTACTTAATAATGAAATATATATTAACATGCCTTTTGTGATAGGTTGAATTGCATCCTCTACAAAGATATGTTGATGCCCTAATCTTTAGTACCTGTGACTATTTGGAAATGAGATTCTTGCTGATGATGGAGTTAAGATGAAGTTATGTGGGTGGGCCCTTAATTCTAGATAACCAGTGTCCTTATAAGAAGAGGAGAGAGAAGAATACCATGTGAAAGAAAACACAGATACACAGGAGGAAGACAGTCTTTAGAATCATAGGCAGAGATTGGAGTTATGCTACCAAATGCCAAGGAATGCCAGGAGCTATCAGAAGCTGGAAGAGGCAAGGCAAGATTCTCTCCTACAGCATTCAGAAGGATTATGGCTCTATTAACAACCTGATTTTGCATTTCTCACCTCCAGACCTGTAAGACAACAAATTTCCATTGTTTTAAGTCACTTAATTTGTGGTACTTTGTTACAGCAACCCAAGGAAACTAATACACCATCCCTTCATTTTTTAACATAAATATTGTATACACCATTCTACACTTTATTTTTTCACTTATATGTTCTCATATTTAATTACACTAAAATGTGAATTTTGCTTTACTTCTTTTTGTTCTTTTTTTAGACACTGCAGTGAATGCATGTTTTACTTCTTATATTTTCTCCATCTGAAGACATTGATATTTTTATCAACTTATTTTCTGAACACTTTTGACCTGAAATTCACTGGATTTTTGTTTCCATATCCAGTTATTTTCTCTATTGGTCTCTATAGGATTATGCTAAATGGTTTTCTCTTGGCATTTTTCTCCTTCCTGTTCTGATCATCATTAGTGAAAATCTGTGAAACAAAATCAAGCTATTTCCCTGGCCCACTCAGGATAAATCCTCATTATTCACTCCTATTTCATATCGTTTCAACTAAGCCAATTCTACATTTTCTTCAAAGGGTTAATGTTTGCAACCCAACCCCTATATACCAATACCCTTAGTTTAAAATCTTTATTAAAGTGGTAGTATATGCTGAGCTCGGTGGCTCACGCCTGTAATCCCAGCACTTTTGAGAGACTGAGGTGGGAGGATCACTTGAGGCCAGGAGTTTGAGACCAGCAACATAGCAAGACCCCATCTCTACAAAAAATTTAAAAGTTAGGCATGGTAGTACACATCTGTAGTCCCAGCTACTCAGGAGGCCAAGGCAGAAGGATCACTTGATCCCAGGAATTTGAGGTTACAGTGAGTCATTATCATGTAACTGCACTTTAGCTTGGGCAACAGAGTGATACCCTGTCTGTAAAAAAAAAAAAAAATAGAGTTAGTAATTTGTCACCAGGCTACAAGAATGTCCTACAAAACCAAAGAACAAGAATACAGCTAAGCCTCACAAGAGACTTTAAGCAGGACCCAGATATCCATAAGGAAACCCAAGAGTATTTTACCTCTCATGTTAATTTTTCTTCATTTATGTAATTTATTCCACTCTCTCTATTCAGCCTGGTATTCTCTGTTTCCTTGTCCCATCCTGGAAGACAGCCATGCCCCAGCTCTCAGACTTACAATACTGTAACTCCAATTGCTGTTTTAATGAATTATCTGTCTCTGAGTGAATCCCAATTCCAAATTATTGATGGAAAGAATCTGACTGGCTGTTTGGCTCAGGGGTTCATTCCAGGTCAAATCAACTTGAGCTGGGGGGCAGGGTTATTAGATAGGGTCCTGTATAGGGAAGAACAGTAGTCTGAGAAGGAGTGATGGCAACATGGTTTAAATTGTTCATTCCATTGGGGACGAATCTTTTTTTTTTTTTTTTTTTTTTGAGAGAGAGAGAGAGAGAGAGAGTCTCGCTCTGACACTCAGGCTGGAGTACAGTGGCATAATGTCAGCTCACTGCAACCTCTGCCTCTTGGATTCAAGCGATTCTCTGCCTCAGCCCCCCAAACAGCTGGGACTACAGGCACCTGCCACTGCACCTGGCTAATTTTTATATTTTTAGTAGAGATGGGCTTTCACCACATTGGCCAGGCTAGTTTCGAACTCTTGATCCCCCGCCTCGGCCTCCCAAATTGCTGGGATTACAGGTGTGATCCACCACACCCGGCCACAAATCTTTTACACTATCCTTCCTTCAAAAGTTGTTTGAGCTTCCCTTCTAACCTGGATCTCTCCGTTTGGTCTTATTCTGTGTAGCAGCCAACTACCCTGTCTTCCTTTTCTTTCTTTCTCATTTCTGCTAGAACTTTAGTTTCCTCTGTCTGTATCCTAAACATTCTCCCTCTCTGTGTTTTTGGTGTCAGCTTACATCTATGTGTTAGAGTTGAGTGTGTGTGTATGGGGTGGGGGTGGGGGAATGGGAAAGCATCACACTTATTATTATATTATTCCTAAATATAGTACTATACCTAAAAGGTATGCTGGTGAACAAAATTTCTCCATCTATTCACTTATTAATATTTGATGTTTATTCTCTCTCTTCTTAAAAGTGATTTGAAGCAGCTTCCCTCATCTTTACATATCCTTTTCATTCTTTATTCCCTTTCTGCACCTTTTCTTCCAGTATTGGCTAAGTCGATGTGTAGCCTTAATGGTGGCTCTAAACTCTACAGGAATTACTCATTCCATTGACATCACCAGTTCGAAACATCATTTCTTTTTCTGTCTTTCCACTTCCAATTCACATTCAGAAAGGCCTATGGGAAACCATCTGGTGTCTTGAATTGTGTTCTCTAGTGTAAGAGACCAAAATATGGCACCGCAAACATGCATCTTTAGCGTAATTGTTTTGAGTTGATTATTTTGACAACAACACAGACAGGAAAAGCTCTGAAAACAGAGTGTAAGTTATCTTTTGTAAAGGAAATTACCATTTGTGAGGCTGTCTCCCTCTCTGTACTCCTCTCTTAAATCTGTAACGCAGTTTTAAATTGGTGCCTTCTTTATGGATAAGAGTCTCAGGCACCGATTTAAATCTGCATTACAAACCACATTCTAGTTTTCCTGGTCACCTTCCTGTAACTTGCCTCCCCACACCTTCTTCCTTTGTTTTAGCCAAAGGTAGTAGTATATAAGCTCAAATTTTAGCTACCTTGTTCAGTTACTCATCCCTGATTTTCTCCCATGTATATTTGAAATATACATGTTAATATACTTCTGTTTGTTTTTCTCTCATCACTCTGTCATTTGTTATAGAGGGCCCAGCCAAGAACATAGAAAGGTAGAAAAATAATTTTTTTTCTCCTCTACACTGGAAATAGACTCTGTGCCAGAGAATCATTTGCAGAAGTTTTATTGGCAAGTGCTCCTGTGAGGCGTTCTTGTAAGAAAGTTCCAAATGGGTAGAGTGAGAAGCTGTTCCTGAATACAGTTATAGCTGAGGTCTCAGCCCTTCTACAAGGTGCTCTGGAGCTGGAGTGGCTCTTCAAAGTTGTTCCAAATAGAACCAAAGGAGCCAGATCTTTCTATTCTTGCATCAGTGAATCATTTATCATGGGAGAAGCTCTGGAAGGAAGCATAACCTTGGCCAAAACAGTGCCCTGCAGCCATGAACAATTCTCAGTGAGGGGTGCACCCATGAGCTATTGAAAGCTGATGCCCCAACCTCTGAGGATAAGGACATTTGCAATAGACGAAGAATATGGGCAAAGCACCAGAGTGGCCACTATACATGATATCAAACAGAAAGTTCAGTAAACTAAATGTTGAGAGATCTGGGCTTTGGTCCTGGCTTTGCCAAAACTGTGTATCCTTAGATAGATCACTTTATCTTTATGGACACTGTTTGCCTCAGTCACAAAACAAGGTAACTGCAGCACAGTCAACAGGTATTTATTCCAGAGAAGTAATACCACATATGCATAAAAAGGGGCATCTGAGAGACATGGTTCTAATAATGAAATATTCAGCAATTTGAGGGTTGGGTGCTTAATAATATGGACGCCCCAATTTAAAAGAATTAGATATATCTATATGTATTAATTATAGAAAGCTCTTTAAGTAATACTGCAACGCACAAAAAAAGCAACTTGCTTAAAAGGTATGGTATGATTCCATTTATCTGTAAAGTAAATCACACGAAACTATGTATGAAAACGTATTTCTGTCTGGAAGGACAAAAACCAAAGAAACCTGTCTAAGATTGGGAAAGAAAGCAGGGCAGGGGAGAGGAAAGTAAATTACTTTACCTTATACAGCTTATGTATTTTTAATAGGCACATATTACTTATGTAATTTGAGAGAAAAATAATAAATATAAAGTAGATTAATGTAAAGTTACTAAATGTGAAATCCAAAAGTTCAGCTCTGAAATGCCATGATTGTAAGGACCATTCCTCTATTTTAACTCCACCTCTCCCTCTTCCACAATGGTCCGCCAAACTATTGGTAACCCTTATAAGATGAGGGGTTCTCCTTGGCAGCCAATTCACCCTGAAGTGATAGAGGAAGGTGAGAAACCAGAAATAGAAATATACTCAAAAGTGGCTAGGTGAAGTGGCTCACACCTGTAATCCCAGCACTTTGGGAGGCCAAGTCAGGCCAATTGCTTGTGCTCAGGAGTTCAATACTAGTCTGAGCAACATGGTGAAACCCTGTCTCTAAAGAAGATAAAAAATTAGCTGGGAGTTGTGGTGCATGCCTGTAGTCCCAGCTACTCAGGAGGCTGAGGAATGAGGATTGTTTGAGCCCTAGAAAGTCGAGGCTGCAGTGAGCTGTAATCATGCCACTGCACTCCACCCTGGGTGACAGAGTAAGACATTGTCTCAAAAAAAAAAAAAAAAAAAATCTCAGAAATGACTCTCCCTCAAATTTAAAGATGTTAGCTAAGGAAACCTTAAGAACTTATTCAGTATGTCCTTTATACTTAACTCTAGTTTCGATTCAGTAGATGTCGCAACAGCAAGAAGTACTAAACTTGTAATAGTTTCAAATAGATGTTAGTTGATCCACACTGGTCTCTGAGAAAGGATTTTGACTTTTAATATGGAAAGGAGAATTAGTCTTCTAAAACGTGATTACTATCTTGGTAATCATATTTTTTAAATATGTATAAATTATTATAAGGGATTTTTGGTTTCCACAATTTTAAAAACAAGCTGTTGAGTCTGAAGTTAAAATAGTTGCTTTACATCATCCTTTAAGGTACCCTAAAAGTGAATATTTTGAAAGAAGAGTCTATGCATACATCGCATAATACTTGTAATTATAGTTACTAAAGCCCTCTAATACTCATGTACAATGTTGAAATTCACTTTGATAATGCATTGTAATACCCTCCAAAAATTTAGCCAAAGAAAGGATGATTGTCTGCTCTCTTTCTGCCAGAATGGGACTGTTTCAAGGGAAGGCTCCTTACAGTGAAGAAAAGGGTCAAATCCAATTAAAATTGCAAAGGAAACTTCGCGAGGACGAATGCCATTAGCCCAAACTGGAATGTGGCCAAAACACGGGGTAATACTTCAACTCTTAGAAAAAGTGCCAGGGGGATATTTAACAACTGCAGGTGGCCAAATGCTTTCTCATAAGTCTCATCAGAAACGTCATTTATAGCAACAGTATTCACCAAGGTAAAGTAATATCACTTGAGAAACTGCATATTCAATTACTATGTTTAAACTCTGACATTTGTCAGGTATCAGTTGAAACTGCTTCTCTCTGGGCAACATAGCGAGACCCAGTCTTTACATTAAAAAAAAAAAATTAAAAAAACTACCTCTCTGTAGGACGAAAAATATAGAAATGAAATGTTCCTGTTATTAACCAAAGCTAGAACATAGAAAACAATCGTAATTTAAATCTAGCATTGGACTTTCCTTAAATGAAAAAATCAATTATCATTTTGGCCAATAAACTGAGCCTTGATACATGCATGTTTTAAATTTTCTTTCTAAGTTTTAGAAATCTTTATAAAATTTTAACCAAGATTTTGTCCTCCACAATATTTTCTTACTATATGCTTATTTTATATGACTTCAGTTTTATATTTTCCAGAATCTGCACAAGAATGAGCTTGACTAGTTTTTTAAAATGTACAAATTAAACCATGCTGTGAAATATTATAATACTGTTTCTTATTTCTCTTAAAATTTATTTTTCTTTTTATCTCATTTATTTTAAATAATTGAATTTTAAATCTCTCCCACTTCATCTCTCTCTCTCTTTCTCTCTCTCTCCCAGAATTGTAAGAGAAACATTTTGTGAACTGTGATATAAAGGTGATGGAAAATGCAGGCCTGTTAGTGACATAACACATCCATTCTTGAATCCTGCAAAGGATATTATGTGAGCAAATGCACATAGTGAAACCTAAAAAGGTTCCAGTTTTTAAATGCTGAATGCTAGAGAGCTCTGCTTTTACCTGCTGTGATTTAAAAGGCTAGAGGCCTCATTTTAAGCCACTAAAATTCAAAGTGACAGAAACCTACAAATTTTTATTGCTGTGCATTTAATAAAATTTACATTTACAAGCTGTCAGTTTGAAATGTTGAATAACTGGTACTTTTGCATTCAGAAGAGCAGATTTGGTTGTGTAGGGGGTTCATTACTACCTACTTACACGTTCCTTAAATACTCAGAATAATCCTTCAATCTATGACTTTTGATATCTCTTAATTCAACACTGCACAAAAACACCATTGAGTTTGCAGTAAGATCAACAAAAGGAATTTATTGTGCTCCTATAAAGCAAGACATAATTAAGAGCCCCTTTCTGCTTGTTGTAGTGCTAATACGAGAACATTAGAACCAAGGTACAGTCTATTGCTAGGTGTCTGCAGCAGCTGCCTGGTTTTTTGGTAATTTACTTACTCAATTATGTCGACTCTCTTAAATCCACAACACTGGTGGGTGGTAAGGTAGAGGGATAATAAAAAAACATAGAGTAGGAAACCCCTTTAATGCATGTTTTATGTGCATCTTGGGTAACATTTTTTTTGTTTGTTTGCTTTTGAGAACAAGAATTAAAGATTGTAACTTTAGGAAACTCTCAGCACAGGAATAAACCTGCATGGGTTTTAGACAACTTTAAAAATTATGAGATGTCTAATAATCCTATGATTATGTGGTCTGTTCTGAAAAAGAATATTAAACTAAATGTTTGACTCAGTATTACAAAAACAGATTATCTAATGGCTTCCAAGGGGGAAATATGAGAAGGACCATTCATAAAGTTCCTTAATAGTAATAAATTATACACACTTCCTTATTTTCCATGTAAATGCAAAGACAAGGAGAAACTCTGACGGGATGTGTTCTCACAGCTTTATAAGAACCACCTTTAATAAAATGTCTTCGAACTCCTGTCAATTTTAATCCAATATTCCTTTCAAATGAGCATCAGAAAAAAATGCTCACTACACTTATGAATATCTAATTTTTTCTTAATATTCAAAGAAAGTTTGAATGCCAAACTCAAAGTTTTAATTTTTAGAATGCATTTGTTTTGTATTTAAGTCAAAATACAAAATGGGAAAAAGAGTCCGAAAGTAGAAAATTCATGCCGATTTACCTTGCCATTATTCAAATATGAAAAATTAAATTATTGTACTAAATGCAAATTAGTGACTTTGAAAATTCAAATTGATTCATTTTAAATATTATTTAAATTATCTCTATAATTGTGGCATTCATATAAAAGGACAAATTATAATGTGCTGATATAAATTGCAACTTGGAGACAAAACAGGTTAAGTAATTCTCTTCATATATCAAAATTTATGTGGCACTCATAGTCCATTTTCTTTCCGTATGTTAAGTCCCACAAAATGTCTTTGATAAACCGAATAATCTCCATTTTACAGCTCAAAAATTACAAAAGAATTTACAAATACTAAGCATTAGTTTTGATTGCAAATTAGATAACCTTAAACTGTCCGCTCTGGAACTTTTTATCCTCTTTTAGACAAGGTGACATTATTTAAAATAAGAAAGAGCAACAACAACAAAAACCTTATTTTGTAAAATTACCTTTTAATCATTGCCTTTGAAATCACTTTTGTATCTTTTGCTTCTAAGACAATTTTTTTTTGATTTTTGTCTCAAAAGAACTGAAGGCATAAAATATATTATAGCCAATTAAGTCTGATGCAATAATATGTTTAGTAATACCTTTCTAAGTTTTTAAAAGCAATTTATACCTCATTTTTTTATTTGTAGTTACCAGAGGTGAATTAAATAGTTTGGAAAGAGGCCTAGAAAATTTTTGTTTTTAAAATGAAAGGTGAAATCTGAAAATGTCTGAGAGGCTACAAAATAACAGGAGAATGTGTAAGTCATCTTTTCTCTCTGTTTTCCTCCTGAATAATGAAATCACTGAGCTAAAGGAACCCTACTGAGTTTTCACTGTGCCAACATCACATAACTGGCCTCTATTTGAATTATGTATGTTCATTCTCTACAACTTAAGTTACTTGATTTTCCTGTTAAAAAGTCCATTCTGAAATAGTACACACTGCTCAGAATATGTGGATGAAAATAATATCTATAACAGAGTAAGATAATCTCACTTTTTCAAAAAGTATGGTAAAAATAGCAGTGACATATCTAAGATAACAAATGCCAATGACTCATTGACTAATAAATGTAAAAAATTAGTTTAGAGTAAAAAATATAATAGAAGAGGATCTTTTGCCCTCAGTCATTAGTTCAGGGCGAGCTCAGGCTAAACATTAATTTGAAACCTTTTCTCAAACACTTGATTTCAATGTTTGTTTAAATGCTAGGTTTATTGGTGTAATATATGCATTGGATATATATGGTCTCTATTAATCTGACTGGTTGCATTCAAGATAAATGAACTTTAAGTAACTAAAATAACATCGATATTAATATAATTGTATTTACTAACCTCCTGCTACTCCTTTCAGCCTGGCATAAGGGTTGGAATTACAAGTCAGACAGGGCTGAGCAGCAATCTTCAAGAAAATTGCTCTAAATTGGCCTTCATTAGCTCTCACGGCACTGAAAAACAACTCCAATGCATGCCTATGGAAGGTAAGCCAGTAGAAAAGCTCCCTATTAAAAAGGCAGCACATTAACCTGCTTAACAGGCATTCATCACATTCAATAAATACTATTCAATAAAGCATCTTCGATGGCAAAATAATTCTGCCATTTCTAAATATTGGGACTGTTAGGACCAAATTTAAAACCCACCCTGCAATGGCATGTATGTTAATTCCAATTACTTTTTTTTTTCAATTGTAGAGAATTAGAGATTGTTGCCAAATTTTTAAATTGCCTTTACATTATGTTCCTCGGGTATAAATAATCAGTACTGCAGAGTAACAAAGAATAAAGAAACTAAAACTTTGAAAGAACTTTAAGAGGAAAATATATTTCAAAGTGAAGAAAAAATTCTTGTGTTTCATAGCTTCGCTTTGAAGAGTATGCTCTTTCTTGACATCTGCATAGTAAAAGGGAGTTTAATTTCCTTGGTCAACTCTCCTTTCTGAAAATCCTGTATTGGCAGACTTGGAAATGGAAGGAATTTGTCTCAGGGATTAATTCGCAGCTCTTCTTAACACTCAAACGCTGAATATCTTCAGTACACAAGCCAGGGAATGTGAACCTTAGAGTTACACTTTTTAGCAAACAAATGTTTTTAAAATATATTTTTTCAATAGAGAGACTACACAAAATATATCGGTGTCATGAACTGTCTGACATGAAATTGATATGCATATTAATTTTCCCAGCTGAGCTCCCTCTGGTTTATAGCTTGAAAAAGTTCCAGCAATTTGTCCTTTATATTGGCATTTCCATTTCTAAACCTTACCATTGGTTTTGTTCCAAAAAATAACATTTCAAAACAGAACAGTAAAGTAAAACATTTTAGGCCTAGCAAATAAGACCACCTTCTTGAAAGCCAGGTCATTTTTCTCAAAGTCTAAGTTCACAGCCAATTCTACCATTTCAACTTGAACCATTTTAATTTAGTAAGCATTTTTTATAAAATATCAAGGTTCTGTGAATTCATTTGTCTGCTCGGTGAAACATGGCTATTCATATCAATGGAAGGATGCAGTTTAGAGTAGTGGCTAAAATTTAGGTCACAAAGTCAATTGATCCTAGTCTTACTATTTACTATCTATATGACCTTAAGCAAGTCACTTATACTCTCTAAGGCTCAATTTCCTAATCTGTTAAGTGGGAATGATCTCAACAACTTTCTTAAGGATGAAATGAAACAATATGTGGAAGACACCAAGCATGGAACCTAGCATGAAGCAAGCACTAGTTAATGGCAGGTGTTATCTCTATATTCAAGCGGACTTTTTTTTTAATTAAATAAGATAATTAGAGCAAAACGACCATTTACATATTTTTTAAAGCTCACTTATCAATATTTAATTCAGATGTTAATTGATTAATCATACACTGCCTATACATACCAGGTAAAAGGTGAAAACCTGGATCATGCAAGAAAATACTCTTCTACAAAAAAATGATGATTTTTTCCCTCCAAAATATTTGGTTATCAAAATGAAAAATGGCATTTTTCACTTTTCTCCCAGCTTTTTGCCATCTGAAAAACAAGTATGTTTTTCTTTTTATGCTACTTGCATGTAAACCAAATGGTATTTTAACGTTTATTTCAAGATTCATCTTGAAGCTGACTTTAATTTTTTTCTTACATGGTCCACAGTTAAGTAGAATTCTAAAGTCTTATTTTTAATTTTAATTCCAGATTCAAACTACTTTTTTGCTAGATTCCTATTTACTAAAAACAAAATAAAACAAAAATCTGTGAAAAATATATATGGGAGATAGTAGTTTGTACAGTTTTTTTTCAGTTCTCTTGAACACATAAGCAATTTTTTTAAATACAGGTAATATAAATTCTTTTACACTGCAACACCCATCATTACCCAAGAGTATTTATTTCTATATCAGGCCTGTTCTTTACCAAGAAATCCATTTCTAGGGATATAATTATTTTATTACAATTATTTTCAATTTTATGATTGAGAATAAAGGAGTATAGAAATCCAACATAAAAGGTACAAATGGCTTTTTGTGTGAGGAGGGGGTGAAAATTATTTCAAACTCATTTGCATTAAGGGAGCAGGGCAGCCTCAATTTAGTTTTCATATTTATAACATAGTTTTGAGTATAGCTCAGGCAAGCCAATGGCAAACGAACAAACAACAACAACAACAAAAACCTTTCCAGTATAATGAAGGACTTGCCATGTGGTCCCTGAAATGACCACTTGGTGAAGGAAGGGACACTGGCCCAGTGTCATGAGGAGTCTAGAGCTTCCTTATGTGTTGGGGCCAGGGTCACTGTGGGATGCAGTTATTATTACGCATATGCAGATAACATAGATTTGGCCAGCTTACACTCAATGCTGCCATTTTCTATTTGCCTCCCTCCATCCATGGAGGTGGGACTCTAGAAGTCAGTGGGAGTTCAGGGCACATGAGCATGTGTAAAGCATGCCCACACAGCCCAACCAGGCCCATAAAAGCCAGGAAATGAACAAGTTCAAGTTCTCATAGTGTGTTAATGTGCCCACAAATGTACCTACTTTATATATTTAACAGCTCATGTAGTAATGAAAAATGCCATGTAGAATATATAGGTGCATGTACAAGGTGGGCTAATTAATATGCCTATATTTGCTCCATAATTGTTTCATTCCCTATATTTTTGGTTAGTGTGAAACTGCAAACTTATATAAATAGTTTATATTTTATATGGAATTTCATGTAAAAGAAACCAAGGGGGAACGACAAATATGGCAAAATTCTAATGGTATTCTTACTGAATTTCATGAGCTCGATATTCCACCTTTTTTCCCCTATAAACTGCCAATATATTAACACAAAACTTTCAATTCTAGCATGATCATTCGGCAAGCCTATAGCTTAGCAAAAGGAAAAAGCCCCATGGAATGTTCCAAATCTATGGGCACTAACATTTCACATTTTGTCATGCCTCACCCAAGTTATCTCTGTACAACAGCCAGATACCGAGTTTGATATTTTGAAATCCAAACATGTTTGTCAGTTTGAAAACTAGGGAAGCCTGGAATAAAGAGTTGAATTTTAAAGTTTTCGTTATTACTAGTGAGCTCTGGGTTTGGGTTGTTTTTCTAGGACAAGCCAAAGGCCACTGAAGATGTTTTTCCATTAATTTTTCATAAGCATTTAAGCTAAAGGAGGGAAAAGGGATGGAAAGATGGGAGGACATGGTTTTCTTTGAGGAAGGAAATGAGAAATCACCGCAAATAATTCACCTGGATAGGTAAAGGCGAGCAAACACTGTCTGCTTGTGAATCCCTGACAACTTCCCTACCTTCCTCCCGAGGGAGAGGCAGAGCCTCTAGCTCCATTTCAGACCTGCAAGGAAAGGGCTTTGAGAAGGGAACTGGGGAGAAGCACGTTCCAGGTGTGGGTTCAGCTCGGCACTCGCCACAGGCCTCCGCAGGTGGCTCTCCTTGGCAGCGAGGCAAGGCGCAAACCCGCTGGCTTGGGAAGCCTGACGTGACCCCCGCCCGCCAAGCCTGGCAGGAAGCGACGCCGGGGTTCTCCGCAAGAAGAAGGCGGCCTCCGGGTGTCGGCCGCAGCCAGGCTACTGTGCTCCGGGGCAAACCGCTGCAAAGTCCTAGTGAGGCAGAACTCGACCCCCAACACTCAGCAGCCTGCCGTCCACCCATCCACACCCCCGTCTCGCCCCCTGCCCCAAGCTGGCAGATGCCTTGTCGCCCCTCTAAGACCGCACCCGGATTGGGTGGCTGCAAAGACGCTCGCCAAAGCGCTCAGAGCCCCAGGGAAGCCGTGGCGCCTGGCAGCTCCCTCTCCTCTGGGAGATCTGGGGGCGCCAGGGCTGCCGGGGCCTAGCACAGCGTGCGCCACGAGGCTTAAGGATGCGAAAACTACTGGGAGGCCGAGAGAGGTCCCGGGAGCAGGGGCTTGAGGAGGCACCTTGGGGCTACGGACTTCGCTGCCGTGGTGGCCTCGCAGGAGAAAGTGGCTTAAATGAAGAGTCCTGGCTCCAGGCTTGACGCCCAGCTAGATAAACGATCACCTCCCTGAGAGGAGGCCTTGGGCATGCCGTGTTCCCAGAGCCCATGGCACAGTGGCCCCCAGAACACGCTGATCGAGCAGAGGCCAGACACCATCCATTCGCTTGCCTACGCGCCCTACAGCCTTAGGCTTTGCTGTGAGGTCCCGAACCACATGCACCAGGACCACCCGAAAAGTAAAAGTGCAGATCTCTGGGCCTCGCCCTCATCTGCTGAAACCAAGCAATCTCTCCACTGTATTTTCTCGCGCGCTGAAGTTTGGGGCTTGCAAGGCCCTAACACTGCACCGGGCTTTTTCATTTTGGAAGCGCCCTCATCCCTCTTTAGCTTCACCACGAGGTAGACATTACCAGCTCCGTCTTCACAGAAGGACCTGCGGCAGAAAGAAGGTTAAGGGCTTTTCAAGGACCCACGCAGGACGTGGCTCCTCCGCAAACGCAGCGTCCGGCACGGTCAAGCGCTGCTAGCATGTGGGAAATTCACGGTCCCCTCTCCCGCGTACTTGAACCAACTTATCTGGCACTTGCCCCCACCCCCATTAATTGCTGGCGTTCGGGGGAATGGGGTGATTGTTGCGGGGCGGAAAGAGAGCTCCCAGTGTCGAGGGCAGAAGCCGGTGACAGCCAGCTTCACCTGGGACTGCTTCTGCCGAGAGGGAAGTGGGGTGGGGGGGTGCGGGGTAGGGGGGCGCGGAACACTGGCCTGGCTGCGCTGTACTGCCAGGTGGCCTTCTCAGGATCCCTCGCTGCGCCTCTCAGCCCCATCCCATCCAAACCACGCCCCGCCTGCGGCCACTAGCCCATTTTATCCCATTGAGCCCCCGTCCTTCCCCATCGCGGGGTTCCACTCCACTGGTGCCAGGGCTATGCCCCTCACCCACCCACTCCACCGGTGCTGGCTACCGCAATCTCTACCCGGGCGTCCAGATTCCTGGCCTTGTCCTTTCTGCTGGAATCATCAATGGGATCGCGCCGCCGCCGCCGAGCAGCCCTACACTCCTGGCTCGCGCTCTCGGCCTCCGGCACCTTGGACATCCCGCGTTTAGGGAATGGAAAGTGTGAAGTCAGTGGTGAGTAACTGGAGCGTGATATAACTAAAACTAAATCCGCATGTTCCTCCCTCCAGGCCGAGAACCCTCAGCGTCGAGGAGCCGGGTGTCGAGTGCAATCAGCTCTGTCTCTATGCGGATGTCACAGATCCAGTGCTCTGCTTGGGACAGAAGGACCCGGGTGTTGAAGGCAAGGTGTGACCGGCTAGCGGCTCTGAGCCACTGTGATCACCGTTTCCCGTTCGAGACGCAGAGGGGAAGACGCACGCCAACGCGGGCTTGGGCCTCTTCCGGGCCTCCTCCCTTTGGAGAGGCCGGGGTTAGCTCAGCAATTCCGCTCACTCGCTCCGTGCCCTGGAGAAAGAAATGTTCTCTTTGCAAGCTGCTTCACCACCTGTAACAGTAGGAGAACGATACCTTCTCTTTCCACAAATATTCAGAGAAGCCTACCAGATACCAGGCACCATTCTGGGTCCTGAAACACAGGAGAAGGTAGCAGACAGGCCTGGATAGGGATGCGAACTCTCAAGCTAGACACGAGTTTCAAATTCAGGGTCCATCACTTGGTTAGCTGTAGGACCACGGAGAAATCCAGTTCCTGGTACCTCGGCCCCCTCAACTATTAAATGGGAGTGGTAATATTATGACCCCCGTAGAATGGACGAGACCAATTATCTAATGGGCATAGATAGCTTGCCATGGTGGGCTGGCCCTATGGAAAGCTCAACAATTATCGTGGTGTTACCTGGCTTCAGACCGCGCATGTGTCCCCCAGTCTTGCTGACAACCTTTCCTTAGGACCAAAGGGAGGAGATGCAGACGAGAAGAACCGAAGGACTAGGCGGCATGCCGAGGTGCTCTTGCGGAAGCCAAACTTGGGCTCTCCGAAACAGGCCGGGAAAGCTGAAAGCACAGTGACCTCCTTCGCTCTCCCAAGCCGCTGGGTCGCCGCTACGCGCCGAGGCGATTAGTCAGTGAGGTCCGCACTCGGCGCAGACTGAAGTGCTCCAGAACTAACCACCTCCGCAGACGCAACGGAGCCAGGAGGGGCCTCAGGGGCCTCCAACCGCATGGCTCTTCCCAGCTTTCCCGGACACCAGCGCTGAGCACTGGGGAGCCGGGGAGCAAGCGCCAAGAGGAGCTTTTAAATTAAAATTTCCAGAGTAGCCTCAGAGAGGGAGGGAAATTCCAGTTGAAAAGCCCCTTCTGCCTCAGGACGTTATTCAGTAAAATGGACAGAAGCTGCCTCACAAGTGCTTTGAAAGCTTTTCTGGGATGGCTTAAAAATACACCTGAGCCTTCTTGTGACTATGTCCCAGAAGGTCCTGTTGGCCGCCTCACCCTTTTTTCAGGCAGTTATGATCTGACTTAATATAGGAACTCCCATTTTTCCAGCACTGTGCACCAAGCACATTGCCAACCATTTTACATGATTTTAATCTCAGTCTACAAAATAGGTAGTAAGCCTGTAGATCTTTCCATAGCTGGCACTCACACAGTAAGTGGTTGATAAGATGGAATAAGCAATCAGGATTTCTGATCAGGATTGCCTTCCCAGAAGGGACATTTGTGAACTCCAAATGAATTCTGCCCTTCCACTGGCCTCTTATGAAGGACTAAGAACCAAATGTCCCACTCAATTTCTCAATCAGACTTTAAGGCAGTCTTTCTGCCTCACCCAGAGATCTGGGGAATTATGATAATTACAATAGGAATGTTAGCATAGCAATTTGCCCTTTAGGAATAGGTTGGGCAGCAAAGGGCAGCTAAAGCACCGCTCCATGTCCTGAAGTCCTTCCAGTAGATCACAAGCGTACAATCAATCTAAGTCAAGAGCCTGTTTTCTCTGCCAGAACAGTTTGAAGACAAGCTTCCAACCATCCCCCAGACCCCCAATCTCTTCCTATAGGGAAATTCTGGAGCCTCCTCTGCTAAGTGGAAATTGTTATCTTCCTTGAACAGGTGGCAGCCAGCTCCGCCAGGCTGTGACTGATGCAAGGCCACCCAGCTAGTGAGTGGTTTTGTCAGTCTTGAACTCAGATTATATCCCTAAAGTCCTTGTCTCTGAGCAATCACACACAATTACCAGAACATTTACTAACTACCTCATCTTTCCCTACACTGGTAATGTCTGTAAAGGCCGCTTACATACCAAGAAGGAATAAGAGCTGACAATAGTGAGCTCTTACTGAATGTCAGGCATAGAGAAAAATGTTGTACATATATATTTTTAAAGCAAACATAAAGCACCCTTTCTGCCAGGTCTGGCTTTAAATGCTTTACATGTATTTATTTAATCTTCACAACAGCCCCTCATTTTACACAAGAAGAAATGGAGGCACAAAGAGATTGTTTATTACTTCAAAATTACCTGGCTAATATGTGGCAGAGCTAAACTTAGCATCCAGACCTCTGACTGGAGAGGCCTCCCTCCAAACTGCCTTTCTAGGCAACATTTAGAACATCTCTCTGCAAGGATCCTTCAGGCTTCATGAGCCTTTGGTAGCTTCCATATTTGTTTGCTTGAATCTCAGGCAAATACCTGAGATTCCTTCCCAGGTGAGCTGTGGTGTCTTTGAAAAATAGTTAATGTATATCGAGTACTTACTATATACACCAGGCGCCAGTAACTGCGTACTTGCTACATGCCAGGCATTATTCTAAGCCATCTACAAGTTTAAACTCATTTAATGCTCAGCAAAACCCTGTGGGATAGATTCTATCACTGCACCCAATTTACAGATGAGCAAACTGAGGCCCAATATCATGCAATTAGTAAAAGGTAGAGTTGGGGTTGACTCTCAGGTTGTCTGGCTGCAAATGATCCTGTGCTGGATGTGAAAATGGAGGTTCCATTTGTTCAGAGGCCTCTGCATTAATATTCATCATATCTTTTTCTCCCAATTTACATACAGGGATTTCTTTGATGGAATTTTCCTGCTTATCTAAAGCTTCAAGCAGCCTAAGAAAACAGCAGAGCCACTATCTTCAGGCTTGACCTCCGTCTTCTTACCAGTAAAATGAGCAGCTAAGGCAACTCTTGGAGGTTTGAGGCTTGAGACGTGTGCCTGGAACCTGAATAGCAGTTCCACAGCTTTAGGGCGCGTTCTTACAGGTGCCAGCGGTGCGACTACATCCACTCACGGTTTTTTGCCTATTTTCTAGGAGTTACAAAGTACATTCACAAACATCCTTGCAAAATCGCAAAGAAGTGTCCACTGCTGCTTTAGAGCTGGCCAAAAGGATGAGCCAAACAGGCTTCTACTCTGTCCTGATAATCAAATGTTTTCAACCTCCCTCCGTGGGCACCTTCAACTTATTTATGTCTAAAAATGTATTGTCAAGACGCTTCTTTTTTGATCAAGGCCCGATTTGGGTGGTGGGGCAGGGTAGGTGTTACCGAGAAGCCAGAAGCATTAGCACTTACACTGGCTGGTTCACCTTGGCCACATCCTCTCCACATCTCCTCCCTGGGCGTCCCCAAAGTCACTGGGTCAGAACCGAAATGGAGGCTTTGGCAGCGACCGCGTGTGATCCACAGCAGACGTCGGAAGCAGGAAGGGGCGTCCTGCGCGGTGGGACCCGCGCGGGGGCAGTGGCGCAGGCGCCAGGAGGCAGGTGCAGCACCGAGCCCGGTGCGCCGCTGCAGGCGGGTGCACGGGTGGCGAGAATGGGGAGATGTCGAGTGAGAGCCACGCCGAATTTCAGACCTTGGCGCGTGATTTCTTCTCCATCTCTGTTTCCCTAATGGGCACCTGGTCTCGTTGACACTCGTGGGTCATCGCTGCTTTTACACAAGGAGAAGTGCTCTGAGACTCGAGCTGCGCCCGCAAATTCAGGGTGGGCTACGCAGGGAGGGCCTGCGGCTCGCCCACAACATCCTCTCAGCGCTCAACGCCCCCCATCACTCCCACATCCCGCCCCCCGCCCCCTCACCCGCTCAGGGGTCAGCCGGGACTACAGATAGCCTCTGGGGATTCCCCGCCAGCCTCCGGAGAGCTCAGGGCTTTGGTCCTGCCTCCTTGCCTGACTGGGGCGTACCTGCAGTGTTCCCCTTCCAACCGCTCAGCAGTGGCGCAAGTGCTTCCTCCACTTGCGTGGGTGGCGTCTCAGCGAAGGTCCGCGCCCTTCGAGTGTCTGGAAAGGAGCCGTGTTGAGCTTGCAACCATTTTTGGAGTGGGGCATCTTTAACCCTATTTACAGAGGCGGTATCTGAGGTTTCTGTGATGTATTCCTAAAAGCAGGGTTAGTAAATTGTGAGCTAACTCCACTGGCCCCCGCGTGGATCTCCCTACTCCCCAAGAAAAAAATGCATTGATCTATATTAGAACTTCAAGTTAAACAGTGAGGCCCTGGTAGACGGGGTTACGTCTCTACTTCTGTATCTCAAGAGCTTCGCCCGGAGTCTAGCTTCAAGTGGGTAGAGGGTGAGGAGGGAGGAATGGGGGAGAGGAAGTGACCCCCAAAACAACCTACAAAATGTTGGTATATAGTAGGGTTCGCAGTATCCCCTGGACCTACTAAATTGGGTAACACGCGGGGACACGGATGTGAGAGTCTTAGTTTCGGCTTTCCGTCTACTAACCTCAGTTTCCTCACACCAGAAGTGGCCATAATTAGTCACGCCTGGTTTGTGTGAGTGCCGAAAGTGAGAGGAAGGTGAATTGCATCATCTCGTATTAGCGCTGTGATCTTGAGCAAATTACTTACCCTCTCTGTGCCTAAATTTCCTGGCACGTTGTCAATGTTTCCCCGAAACACCCCCCAAACCCCCCCCGCAAAACAAAAAACAAAAAACAAACAAACAAAAACCTTTGCCTGTCTTGATGGTTTTGAGGCTTGCAAATAAAAGGAGGGAGCCAGGTCTGCCTTTCCCGGGCTGAAGGACAAAAACAGTCTCACCACTGGGAATGGTTCTGTGCAGAATTTTCTCACCAATTACTAGCCTTGAGATCTTGGATAAGCTGCACTCTCCTCTGCCCTCAGTCTCCATCTATAAAACAAGTCACGGAAGATGCAACAGTCTCTGAGGCCCCGTCCAAGCTCTGGTCTTTGCTCCTTGGTGTAGGGGGCCCTCAGGTTGGAGGAAGTGGTTCAAAGGCTAAAGTTGGGTCCGTCCCGTGGGCCCCTCCCACTCCCCCCTTTTGGGCGCGGCTCGGGGGTGGAAGCCCTGGGCGACAGCACAGCTTCGCTGCGGCGGGGAAGGAGGACCGTCGGGCCCAGAGTTCCCGCCGCCACATATGGTCTGTGGATTTAGGTGTCAAAAACCGGAGAATTAGAAATGGTAATTTTCCGTCATTATGGCTGAAATGCGATCTGTCACAACAACTGGAACATGTCTCCGCGCTAGCGAAAATAATGTTCGTGATTAGGAATCATTACGCACGTCAAGCCGAGTCCATTAAGTTGTAGGGAGAAATTAGCCTTGACGGGCAGAATCAAACTACAAATACACAGGCCTCGCCTTCAGGAGGCCAAGCGGCGGCACTCGGGAGGAGGCAGCCGGAGTCGGTGTTTTCTTAATAGGAAACTGTCCAGAGAATTAATACTCCCTTCCCCGCACCCCTGTGGGATTCTCCCCTCCTCTTCCCACAGCCTAGTCCCCACCCTAGGAGTGGGAGGGGGCGCAGAGGCGTCGCAAACATTAACTGGAGGCTTTGAAGTCCCACAGGTCCCCCGGGCCAGTTCCCGCCTCACCAATTCCAAGCTGTGTGACCCTGCCCAAGTCACTTGACCCTCCTGAACTTTGCTTGCTGCTCTGTAAAAAAGGTATAATCCCACACACTTCATGGGTTCTCCCCAGGATTCACCGAAAGGTATGGTCAGTGCAAGCACGTGGAAACCGCAGAATCTGTTCAACCTTCTTTCCTTTCCTGGAGCTCCAGTCTCTGCCTTACCCTGGTGAAGTGGTGGGGACTGCAGTGTGTGTGTGTGTGTGTGTGTGTGTGTGTGTGTGTGTGTGTGTTGGGGCTGAAGCATTGGGATTGAGTGCCCAGAACTGGGAAACTTGCCAATCAGGCATTGAGCAAGGAGGCCAGAATCTCTGAAACTGAGGAGGGTGAGCACGGAGCAACTGATGTGCCTTGCTGGGCCTTGTACCCTCCTTCCTGTCACCCCAGGTAGGAGGAACGGCCCTGGGTCCTCCGCCTTGCCTGTGAGGCCCGCCAGAGCTACCTGCACACTAGGATCTGCACTGTCACCAAGGAGTGGCACGTGGTAAATGAAGCCAGGATTAAAAGCCTTCCCTTTCAGGCTGCTGCCCCGGTCTCCACTGGAGACAAAAAAAAAAAAAAAAAAGCCATTTACTATTCACAGTAGGGAGTTTTGGAAAGATCATCTCCCTCTTCTGCAGATAGGAAGGAAGGGAAGAAGAGGCTGAGCAGGGTCTAGAAAGGCGGGTTCCATCCAGCCTTGTGTGCCTGATCATCTTTTAAGAGCTTGCTCTGTGCCATGCACCCACTCCAAAGGGCTTTAACTACGTTATCTCCTTTTATCTCCAAGCCAACCTATGAGTCTCCTTATTCCTTGGGGAGAATGAGGGCCTGAGTTTAGGGAACTCCTCCAAGGGTCTGGAAGCTGGGAAGAAGCAGAAGTGGAAGATAAGCCTGGCCCTGCCACCAAAGCCTGTTCACCACTCTGCCATTTGGAGCTGCAAGGCTTCAACCCACCAAGTCTTCTATCTGGCTTTTTCATGGTTCCTATGGGCCCTCAAATTCCACCTCTCAAAGGGCTCAGGAAAATGAAATGCGCTAAAGGTAAAACATTCAGCTCTGTGCCTGACATAACATTGATGCCCATTTAGTCACTTACTCTCTCCGGGCCTCATTTTTCTCCTGTGTAAATGGTACCCTTATCGCTGCCTGGGGAAACCAACGCACGTGTGGCCCGCGCTGAGTAGTTTGGAGCCAGACAGACTAGGTTCGAACCCCAGCTCCACCGGAAATAGCCGCGGCCAGGGTAGTGTTGATCCCCAAAGTGGGGTAATGGAAGTTGAGCTGCTGGAAGGAATGAATGAAATAATTCATGGAAAGCACTTACTGCAGGACAGGAAAGCGATTAGGCGCTAAATAAAGCGCTGGTTACCAGGATGCAAAGATTGGCCCGCACAGGCTTGGAGGTTTGCTGCCCAGGGAGAAGGAGAAGCAGCTCTCAGGCCCTTTCGGCAACTTCTCGGCTTCCCTTGCATCTCTGAACGTTAGTGATCCGGACCTCAGATCCGGTTTCCGAGGGCGCCAGGGTCCTAGGGCTGAGGTCCATTCAAATGCTTAGGCGACTCTGCCGCAGGCCTCCGGAAGAGGCCCGGTCGTTAAGAAAGGGGGCGGGGTAAGGAGGAACGGCTAGCACCTAGAGCTGGGGCCTGGCCTCTGCCCCCACCGCCCTGCCTTTGGCAACCAGCGAATCAGGACTGAAACGTAGGGACACAGAGGGACAGAGACTAAGTCCAGGATAGCGACGATCAGTCAGGCAGACATGGAGACAGAGAGATAGTGACATGGCCTTAGGATCGGCAGCCACGAAAAGCGCTCTTACAAACATCTGATATTCCAGTGACCTTCCTTCACTAACTCCCTAAATAATACTGCGCCTCACAGGCGCTAATCCGCAGCATATTTTATTTTTCTTTTGGCACTGCCATTTCTTGTCTCCCACTAGACTGTAAACTCCACCAAGCGGGCAATCTTTCTTCTCTGCATCCCTGGCACAGAGTAGGCTTTCAGCTACTTTTGCTGAATATCTGAGCACTAAATAAATGAACGAGCAAAGAAAGAAGGAAAGAGAGAACAGACAAGGATTTCACAACAAAGATTTTTCTCTTTAAAGAAATCTCTGTTTACGCATTTCCTCGGAGCTCATTGTTGAGATTTTCCCCTGGCTGGCCACCTTTTGAAGGATAGGACTCCAATTCTCCTTCCTGCATCCTGTGGCCACCTTCCCAATGTGTGCTTGGCTTGAATTCTCCTCAGGCCTGAGCCCTGACAGCAGGGCTCAAGCCTCTTATAAATGAGACAAGTGTATTTAGGAAGTGCCTCACTGCAGGCAGTATTTCATGGAAAACAATTAATAATATAAATAAAATATTAGACATCTTAGGAAAGAATTGTTTTTAAAAATTCTTCTGCAGATTCTTTTGGACAGAGGGAATGCCCTGGAAAATGAAGCTCCCCCTCAATGTATTTCTTTTCTAAACCTTAAAAGCCTATATATTGAATTTATTTTTAAACCACAATTGCAGTTGCAGATGGGATACACATAACCTATTACTTCAAAGAAGGTTTCCAGTGGGGGCTGACTTCTCACTGTTTGGGCTGTTGTTACAGTCTCTCCACACTTTCTGTCCACCTCTTACCATCTTCGTAAATATATTTTTTAAATGGTACATGTCCTTGTTTAACTTTGCAAAACTTATTATCAGCTAGGCTACAAGTATTTAGTGGTGCCAAATACTCAAGAAGCATGTAATTCTTTCACTACCCCATCTTTGTATTTGGAAACGGAGGTATTCATTTTTTCAGCAAAGAACTGTGAACTAGGTCTTCAGGAAAGCCTGGCTCCAAATCCACCTCTGTTTCAATGGGGATTTTTCAGGAGGAAGCTTTCATTGCCTTCCCTCTTGAGAGTATCAAAAAGATGTCAGGCCTGAGTCACTGGGTTCAGCTTTTCCAAATGATTGCTCCTGGACGAGTCATCAGCTTCTTTTGCCTCTCTGACTCTCAGGGAATCAATACTACCTGCCTTCAGATTCAAGAGAACTGGCGGCGGAGAATCTGTTTTGTGTTTGTTTGGTTTTTTTTTTTTTTTTTGAGGTGGAGTCCGTCCAGAGTCTTGCTCTGTTGCCAGGCTAGAGTACAGTGGCACGATCTCGGCTCACTGCAACCTCACTGCCTCCCGGGTTCAAGAGATTCTCCTGCCTCAGCCTCTCGAGTAGCTGGGACTATGGGCACACACCTCCACACCCAGCTAATTTTTGTATTTTTAGTAGAGACGGGGTTTCACCATGATGGCCAGGGTGGTCTCGATTTCTTGACCTGGTGATCCTCCGTCCTAGGCTTCCTGGAGTGCTGGGATTACAGGCGTGAGCCACCGCGCCCGCGTGGAGAATCCATTCTTGAAACATAAAATGCTTCACGTAGGAATATTTCATCTGAAAACATTTCAGGGCTTATTATGTGTCAAACCCTGCGCTGGAAATCCAGAGAGCAAGAGCAATTGCTGGAAAACAACTATTCCAACATGCAGCACTGGCTTAAGCTCATGATCCCAATGGGTACGGGGGTCTAAATCCCTCTAGCCTCAACAAGGCATCTGGGAGAAGCTGCTCTGCCAGGACCCCAAGAGGTCTAATCCCCTCCCTCACCTTACCTCCTTTCCTCCCCCTCCCTGCACCCCCGCCCCCCACCCGCCCCCCACCCACGCCTCGGCCACCCCAGCACAGTCCCCCACTCCACTGCCAGCCACAGCCACTCCCAGGGTGTCTTCACACACCCCAGCTGCCACACTGCACCACAGTATCTTTCCAATTTTAAAACCATTTTCCAATATGAACCTGAAACGGGGAGTGTGTTTTCAGGGACCTTGTTTTTCAGCCCTTAGCTGGTCAGGGGAAGTTATGTGCATTTTAATGCGGTCAAGTATGAAATGATGGCATATGAGGTTTGCTCCCTGCCTAGGCGCCAGGAAAAATTCTGAGGGCTGAGGCCGGAGAACTTGACCCAGAAACAAGCCTGGCTCTTGCGTTGGGCCTTTGCCCCCCAGGACCCGCCCCCAGCAGTCCAGAAGAACAAGAATGAGAACTTGGCCAGGCTTGGAGACTGCTAGCTGGTCGTGCTGCCCCCACACCAGCTTTGCAAGGGTCTCCAGGCCCTCAGAGGGGTAGGTAGGAAAAGGTGTGATGGCAACAGACATAGATGAAGCTGAAGGATCCTGGCCTTATTCGTGTGTTCTTCCAGTATGGTTTGGACGCCAAAAAGCAACAAACCCCGTGCTAGATGCGCTGTGGCGGTAGTAAGTGTATGAGGTCCCATCCCTGTATTCTCAGAGGTCCCTAGGCCAGACAGCACCAGAGCCCGACACTGAGCCCAGGTGATAAGGGTCAGGACTCTGGGACCTGCTCAGGAGGGACTGTTAGTTCAAACTAGGGGAGTGGGTGACTCAGTGAAGACCTAAGACCTGCAAATCAGTACCTGAAGGCATATGGAGAACTTGGCCAAGTGAGGTCCTCCCTGCAGCCCGCTCTCTCTATCTGCTCTGCCCCGGAACGTCTTTTTCTTTCTCACCACCTCTGTGTGGGTGTGTCTCTAGCTTCCTTTCTCGCAGTCCTAGGGTCCAAGAATGCATTGCTCAACTTCTCCGGAAAAGAGGAGGGGCAGTGCCCCCGGCCTCCTCCGCAAACAGGGATTCCTAGAAGCCAGTCACCTTGGTGACAGCTCTGCACCCCATCCAGGATGCACACGGAGGACGTCCTGCTGCAGCCTGACTTTGGCAGGAATACTCTCGACCCGTTTGTGAGCAGGTTTACTACTTGGTTTTTGAATTCTCAAGAGCATCAAATCCATTGACGCCCTTCCCAAAAACACAAGCCAAAAGGAAGTAGACCGGCACAAACCCCAGGCCTGCCGATCCCTCGAAGCTTCGGGGACAATTCAGGGCCATTTATATGGTCACCCAAGCTCCTTAGCGACCTCTGAACCCACGCAGCCTGGTAATCTCCAATGGCCACAGTCCAGCGTGCGGCGCACAATGAGGTTGGACCGCTGGGGGACGCTGAGGTTCCGAGTTGGCATTGTGGGCATTGCCCAGCCACTCCTGCCCGGCCAGGTCCTCTGTGAGGAAAGCGGTGGCACCCCAGCGCGCTTGTGCTTGTGGGTGTTGGTGCGCAATCACCCCGCTGCCCAGCTCTCCCGCGCCTCCCTGGGAGGCCTTGGTGCGCACAAGGAAAGCCACTCAAAAATGTTAATGAGCTTATTAAAATGAGCGGCTTTATTGGCTCTCGTTTTACAGCGGGCTGCCCACCCTCTCTTTCTGGTGGACCACTGGCGAGAACACACTTGGGATTTTTTTTTTTTTTTTTTTTTTTTGTCTTAGCGCGTTTTTCATCTAAGGACAGGGGACTCTCCGGTTCTCCAGAGACTGGTGCGGCCACAGAGGAGGATTAGCCTCAGGCCTTCTCCCTACCGAGCGCAGTGAGTTTGAAGTCCTCCCCGAGGAAAACCTGGACTTTCCGAAACAGCTGACCGCTCAGGCCCAGGAAGGCTGATGGCGGAGGCCCAAAGATACAGTGACCTTCCTGGGGAGATCTGCGGGGCAGCAACTTGGGGCGACCCAAATCTTTAAAATAACAACCCCCCGACCCCCGCGCGCAAACAAAAATTGTGCTCAGGAAAGGCACGACTCAATATTTAAAGTAAAAAGCCTTTGTCCTTTACTCCACTACAAGCCAGAGGTGAGTCTGAACTCTAACCGTTACTCAGGAGTCTTACAACTTTTTTTTTAATGGGGGCCCAGAGAACAGAAGTTAATTGCCTAAAATTCACCAAGTCAGTGGTAGAGCTGCCTCAGACCTGAGGAGCCCGCTCAGGTCCTCAGGCGGCCTTACTCTATGTACCTATGGGGTCTTTGAGCCCCATTCGACCACCTCCCACTCAGGCAGCAGAGAAGTTTCCACATCGTGCATCCTCCCCCTAGGCGCAAGGGCACACACCAAGGTCCTAAGGAGAGAGGCTGAGTGTAGCCACAGAAGGGGGCCGGGACAGAGACGGAAAGAACTCACCAAAAAGCCCCCCAGGTCCGCAGCACAGAACCCAGCGCCGGATCCTCATGCCGAGAGTTTAAAGTCGAGATTGCAGAAGCAGTGCGGATTAATGCAGGCGCTCACAGGGGACCAGGAGGGCTGCAGAGACTAGGTGCTCTTGGCTCCGCGGGCGCACAAACCGCAACTGCTGGCGGCACCAGGGACTGCGAGCAGGGGCATGGAGTGGGAGGGAAAGCTGAGGAGAGCGGGCTTTGAGCCTGGAGAACTCGTCACGCACGTTCACGCAAGCTTGGAGGAAACATTTGAGCTCAGGAGCGAGCTTACCTCGCGGGAGGCTCAAGGGAAGGTGACACCCTCACTCCCGCAGCTACCGTGCGTTCCCTTTAAACCGTTAAATTCCAACACGAACAGAGTGGTGCGTTTCGCAGTGGCCGCAGATTCCGGGTCGGCTCTGGGTGGCCAGAAGCCACGCTCCTACCTTTCCCCGACCGCCTCCAAGCAAAAAGCAGAAACGGCAGGACTCAAGGTGGAGTGCGGGGCTGCAGGACCATTTGCCCAGTTCTTACATTCCAGAATTGCCCCACATTTAGACTTTTGACGTTTTCTTCATAGCAGGCACAACCTCAGATATACACCCAGCATGTTTAAAAGCAATTTATGGTTCAACTTAAACCTATACCCCACACTAGACCACCCCTGCCTGCAGGGGCCTGGGAATCAATCTTTTATAAATGCTTTAATAATTTGAACGACCCAATTTATGTTGAATAACTCCTGTATGTGACTACAAAACCCCCTGTTTATTAGGTGATGTAAGCATGTATAACACAACACAATTTTTTTGCACCGTACTTTGGCATTTCTTCCTTTCTAAAACGTATCGGGAGAGCAAAAACTGGCAGAGGCCAGGGCCTCTAGACCTTTGAGAGATCCTAAGCTCAGCAACCTACAGGACCCTTGCAATCCCCTGAAGGACACAGGAGTTCGAGGCAGATTGCTTTACGCCAGCCAATCCAGCATTGCCCAGAAGTTCATAATAATAATAATGGTAAAAATAACAATGAGCTCATACCAGTTGTACAGTGTTTGATGGTTTTCAAAATGTTTGCACACTTTTGTGATCTGGCCATTCCAGAAACAAAGCTGGCAGATGCCAGCACTAAAGGACAATCTACCCTGCCATACGCTTTGGACTACCATGACTTGGCTTCTAAATGAACTGCGGCAATGGATAAGTTACATCACCTCGTTAAGCCTCCGTTTCCCCATTTGTAAAATGGATGTCATGTGCACCAGGCTACAGGGAGCCTCTGCGAACCGGATCCGAACAGGATTTGGAAACGCATCACCTGTAACGTTCCAGACAAAAGAATGGAGTTGTTTTTGTTGTTCTTCTTATTGTTCAATATTGTTTGGTTGCTCCCCCGGCCCTCCCTCGGATTAGAAGCCTCTGCTGCTGCTTCCTTCGAGGCTACGGTCGGGCCTTCACCCATCGCGGTGGTTTCCGCAGCAGCTGTGAGCCCAGAGCGGTTGCAACCAGCGGCGCAGCTACCTGCCTTCAGCGTTTTCCGACTTACAAAGCACCACCAAGCATTTGGCATCTCTTGGAGACCCCACGCAGGTCTGTGCGGTTGCCAAGTAAGGTGGCTGGCAGGCTGAAGTGGGTGGCCTGCAAGGTTGAAGCCCTGCAGTACCAGGGCAGCTGCCTGGGCCCTTGCCTGGATCTGCCACGCTTCTGGGAAAGAGTGCTGCCCAAACGCCCCTTGTTCCTCCGTTGGGGTCCAGGAGCTCCTTCGACAGTTCCCCGGTTTAGGAGAACTGTCTGATTCTCTCTGTTGTTCATATTCCCTCTGCAACGCAGGAGCCTTTCTGTAAAGCGAGTTAAACTTCGTGAACTTTGCGTTGAGAAAGCCATATTCCACATTTTCTTCCCAAACACGGACTGAAATGTGGGTAGAGGAGAGTGGATTGTTGGCCTGGCTGGTGCTGAGCTCCAGCGGCCGGTTAGGGAGTTAGAGCCCTAGAACCCCCGCTTGGCAGGACTTCTGAAGACCCGGGATGAGGTTCTGCCTTTATAGGATGCTCAGTGTGCCATTGCCGGGGTCTGCTCCAGAGCGCTTCCCTGAGAGGAAACCAGGAGCCGGCATTCAGCACACTCCCCACTCCTCAAAAGCCCCCAGATGTCACCCTTCCACGGGCCCAGTTTCTCAGGGTTCTGGGCACTGACATGCCTGAGCCCCAACTCAGAGGGCAGGCACTTGTGTTTGAGCCCGATTACAATCTTCTCGAATGATGCTTCACTGTCACCCTGTCACCTTTACCAGCGTGGGGGAGCAGTGAGGGTGCTGGGATTCGGTGCAGCCTGGAAACCATTTATTTTCTAAACCGGAACCCAGTCTCAACTCAGCCTGCTCATCTAAGATACTCTCTGGCGATCCAAGAGGCCCTCATACCCAATCTCTTGAAATGAGATGTGGTTTGGGACTAGCCAGGTCTGTCTCTCTCTCTTTTCTTTTTCTTTCTTTCTTTCTTTCTTTCTTTCTTTCTTTCTTTCTTTCTTTCTTTCTTTCTTTTTCTTTCTTTCTCTTTCTCTCTTTCTCTCTCACACACACGCATGCGCACACACATACACACACGCAGACCCACCAGCTACATTTGGCAGCTGGTTGATCCCAAATTTGCTGCTAGGAGTAAGATTTGTGGGCTCGGCCTGAATCCTTGGGACCAATTTCAGTGCAAGTGACATGATGTTCCGCCCCCTTTACCAGCCATTCCCCTCGCCTTGGTTTACCCATCTGTAGAGTGGGTGGATCTAATTCGAAAATCCCCAAGGCCAAGTTCTAAGATTCGCTAAGCGCCAAAGGGACTGAGAACGATGAAGAGGCCCAAGGTTCATTGGGCCCAGGCGGCAGTTGCTACTGCTCCGGGGACCAAGCCCAGAGAAGGCCGAGAGGGCTCAGCGCAGCACAGGGATGCAGGCAGTGGGTGAACAGAGATACCCTCGAGTAGGGAGCAGGACTGTTCTTCATCTTTCCAAAAAAAAGAAAAAAGAAAGAAAAAAGAGAGAAAGGCGGAGAGAAGATAGAGGAGAAAGTAAAGAAAAGGAAGAAAGTAATACTGCAAATTTTCAACGGGAGCCGCGTCTGCGGCAGAAGACCCAGGTAAAGACATTGGTCTGGGTCGCAAAATACGGCGAGAACTCCTTGGAGGACAGGCTGGACCCAGAGGTCGCCTCCAGCTCCCAGAATCAGACCTCAGGGCATTCTCGCCAAGGCAAACCGCGGGACAGCTTGGAGGGAAACAGCCATAATCTGGATCAAACTGAATTCATTTGAGTCATTTTCCCCGGGCAGCCGGAGCCAGTCCGCGGAGCTGGCCCAGGCAGGGGGCCCGAGAGTGGGAGAGAAAGGGAAGGGGCGCCCGGGTCCGCAGGGTAGGTGGAGTCTGCGGTGGAAGATGGAGCCGCCAGGGGTGCGACCGGGACCTCTGTGGCTTTTCCTACTCTAAAGAAACTCCCGGATTCTTTCACCGCCCAATCGGCAAAGATGGAGAACAAACTACCCTCTTAAGACGCAGCAACAAGCAACTGCCTTTTCAGAAAGGGAGAAAATCCCTCCTCCTAAAAAACCCCTCAGTAAGTAGTGATCCCTGGGGAGAAGAAGGGAGGAGATTCTAGTATTATCGGAAATGTTCCAACTCTCTACAAGAAAAACACAGTCATGATTAATTGTATAATTTAAATAGAACTGTAAAGCATTTTATAAAGAAACGAGATGATTGCATTTATAAAGAAACGAGATGATTGCAAGAACCATATGGAAGGTAGTTGGACTCCAGTGGGGGACCGGGTGGGAGTGTGCATATCCCGAGGGCCTTTGCTTCTCCCTTTACATTTTGCTGTTTCTGGAAGCGGGGATAATTTTGTAAAACGCTGGTCACCACGCTCCGCCCGGGCCAGATCCGAGGGCTTGAGGGACCCCAGGCCAAGGCCTTTAGGGTACCAAAGCTTGGAGGCCCGGGGGCTGGGAAAAGTCGCGGTTGCCTTGGAGAGCTAATCGACCTTTCGGCCCCAGGTGAAATTGAAAGAAGCCTTGGCCAGGGTTTTGGTGTTTCCCGACTCGGGTCCAGCGGACTGGAGGCCTCAACGCCCGCAATGTGGCATTAACTCTTCCTTGCTCGCCGGGAACTCGGCTTGAGCTGCCAGTGAAAGTGAGCATTTAGCTCCAGTGAATCCGTAGCATTCTGGGGAGTCTGGGAGCGCCAGCTGCGTATGATCATCTGTAAAATGGGGTAATAAATAACGGTGCCCTGCCCATTCTCTGCTCCCCGGGTGGGCTTCGGTGTGTACCAAATGACGCCCTTTCATTGAGTGCGGGGAAGCGCTTTGAAACCTTGTAGAGCCCCAATTGCACCCGTCCGAGGAAAACGCTCGGGTGACCCTTCTCCGAGAGACAGGTTATTCACGCCTGGTTTGCAACTAATCGCTTCAGAATTTTAGCGGGAGTTTTCACTAAACCACTCTCAAAACTAAACACTAGATAAGGTAGAGAAACGCTCCTAAAATCGAAAGCAGAGAACAGGGTGGGGTGGGGTGAGGGGAGATGAAAGGGTCGGTACATTGGGATGGGGGATGGACATTGGCTGGGGGTTCAACCATGGACTCTTACTAGGCTCTGAAACCAATGCTCACAGGGAGGATGGGGAGAAATCCTAGGAATTTGTTCCCGGTTTCAGTGGGATTCATCCATTACTCCTGCAAAGCCCCCGAAGTCATGATTTTTCTGAGCTGCCCAGGTTTATAACCTGCCTGAGGAGTGGGCGGGCAGCAGGGCTGCTCCCAGGAGAGACTAAGCATCCTTGGTCCGAGACTAAAAGGAGGTTGGAAAAAGCCCCAGCTATTTCCAGCTCGCCTTACTGGTTCCCCAAAAGTCGGGAAAAGACAGTTTCAGAGAAAACGCGGCGTCCAGGAGGGCATGTTAAACTAAAAGTTTATAAATTAAAGAAAAAATACAGCGAATAGAGCTTCCAAACTTCACAAATCTTTTTACAGTTAATACTCTAGTTGAGTGCACAGTGCCATTAAGGAGGCGAAAAGCGGCGAGGTTGACAAGACAGGTGGGATCACCTGTTTAAGGGTAAGTGAGGGGCGGATAGGGGAGTCCCGGGCCAGAGCACTGGAGTCGCAGAGGGCAGAAGGTAGACACTGAGGGCCAGGCAGCGGCACTGCGGTGGGCGCCGTGGAAAGGCTGGCCAGGGATATTCACATTGAGTAGAAAAATAATCGTCATTTGAATACAAACAACTGAAAAGTGCGACACGTCTTAACCTCCTTTACACAAATAAAAAGAAACCAAGGAAAGTTTCCGCAGAGGGCTGCCTGGGTGTGCGCTCTCCTCCTTCCGGGACTCCCAGGCGCTTCCTGCTTGTGCAGGTACCTGGACTTCAGAGAAGGAAGATGTGGAGACCCCCGGCTTGCACCACACTTGGAGGCTCCCCTCCTTACATTCAGCACCCGAATCGGGCACCCCCACCCTAGCTCTGACACACAGGAGGGGTGGAGCAGAGGGCCTGAAAACCCAATCCTTCACGTTTCAAATCAACCCCTGGCCTGGTGCTGCCTGGGACTGCCAGGGTTTCGCACCCCTTGGTTACAAATGCAATTTCCAAAAATAAAAGATATGTAGATACACATAGATTGGTAGCATGGATACCATGAACTAGTGTGGCCTAGTGCAGAAAGCTCCCAGCAGGCCTGAAATTCTGAGGATTCAGGCTATGTGGTCTCCAGGAGTTGCCGCTCAGGGAAAACCCCACCCCCAGGCAGACATATTCGAATCAAAATTTAATTCCAACATTGTCATGATAATAAATAGAGCCCAGGGGCTTCCAGGCAGGTGGGCGATCAGGGCCCCTAGGCCATAGGGTGCCTCTGTTCAAATTAGAAAAAGGCGCCCCCTCAGGGCAGACTCAGCCCAGCTGCCAGGGGACAAGTCCTGGCTAACGGGAGCTGGAGCTGGGTTTCACCTCCAGGTGCCTCCTTGGCGGGGCGCCCCGTGCAGGCTACAGCCTACAGCTGTCAGCGCCGGTCCGGAGCCGGAGCGCGGGAATCACTCGCTGCCTCAGCCCAAGCGGGTTCACTGGGTGCCTGCGGCAGCTGCGCAGGTGGAGAGCGCCCAGCCTGGGAGGCAGTAGTACGGGTAATAGTAGGAGGGCTGCAGTGGCAGAAGCGAGGGTGGCCGCAGCACTTCGCCGGGCAGGTATTGTCTCTGGTCGTCGCGCACCAGCACCTTTACGGCCACCTTCTTGGCGGCGGGCGCCGAGGCCAGCAGGTCGGCTGCCATCTGCCGGCGCTTTGTCTTGTAGCGACGGTTCTGGAACCAGATTTTCACCTGCGTCTCGGTGAGCTTCAGCGACGCGGCCAGGTCTGCGCGCTCGGGCCCGGACAGGTAGCGCTGGTGGTTAAAGCGGCGCTCCAGCTCGAAGACCTGCGCGTGGGAGAAAGCGGCCCGCGAGCGCTTCTTGCGTGGCTTGGGCGCCGCCGGCTCCTCCTCCTCCTCCGCGACGCCTGCCGGCCCGCTGCCGCCCCCGCCGCCGGCCCCGCTGCACAGCGCGGACACGTGTGCACCTCTGGGGCCAACACCGTCGTCCTCGGTCCTTGGGCTGCGGTCGCCTGCGGACCCCGGTGGGAACAGAAACAAGAGACTGTCAGCGCCACAGACGAGGTGAGGCCGGGCCTCAACTGCAGGGGTCACGGGAGTGGGGCGGAAATACACTTTGATCCCACTCAAGCGGAGCGGAGGTCTGGGAGGCCCTGGGCCCGGGAGACCAGTCTTAGACTCTTGCCCCACTGGGTATCCCATCTAGGCCTCTTCTGGGGAGGGCGGCAGACTCAGCCGCTGTGTCAACGCTGTGTTGTCGAGACCAGCTCCCCACCCTCTCTGGGCCCCAGGCTCCCCTCAGTAACTTGGGGCACTCGACCCGAGCATCCGCGAAAGCCCTCCCGGCTCTCAGCGTTGAGCATTGGGATTCTAGACTGCATTTCCGTCTCTCTGCTTGGGTTCACGCGCCTCTCCACACTTAGTTCACACGCACACACGCGCGCGTCCTCGCAGCACACACTTGTCTGGTGCAGGTAAGGGAAGGTGGAGGCGGATCCTGGGGCCAAAGGTATTTAGAATCTTTCACCCTCAGCCGCCTGGGATTGCTGTGAGAGACATGGAAACAGGCTGAGCCGAGGCCTTAGATGAGAGGATGGACTGGAGAGTAAAGAGGGAGGGTTGCCCCTGCATCGAGTTTTTGGACCCTGATCCCACACCAGCTTCTCGGTCTCGTACCCGCCCTTCCGAAGAACTCCAGCAGAAAGGTCCAGCGGTCCCCTGTGCTTGAGGCCTACAGAAGCTTGTACCCAACTAGGGCAGGCACCCGGGTCTTCCAGACCACAGGACAGGACAGGCCACGGCTGAGGAGGCCTCTCTCCTGCCTCCAGGATGAACTAAAGACCCAATCCGGGATCTTCGGCCTAGGGCTGCTCTCCCAGACCTGGGGTCTGAGAAAGCCAAACCAGCCCTTTCCCCAAAGCTCTAGTTCTGCAGATTCTCAGCTCTGGCCCACTCGGAGGTGTTCTTCACCACCTATCCACCTACTGTGGGGCCCGGCCCTGGGACCTTGAACTGGCAGGTCTCTGGTCCAGAGCTAGGTCACTGGCTACCTGAGGTCTCTGAACCCCTCACTTTTCCGCTTCCCTGATTTTGGGGATTTGGGGACAGACACGGCAGAAAGCACTGGCGACGAACTCAAAAACTCCCGAACGCAAGGGGCAGCGGTTCTCCCAACCCAGTCTAATGCACATTGGCCCAGGATGTCTCAGGCCTCACCCCAGGACGTAGGGCTCTGAGGAGCTACTCCGGTCTCTCGCGGGCTCAGTTCCCGAAGTGATAGAGCAGCTCGCGCCAGAGCGCAGAACTTCGGGATTTGGCCAGCCTCCGAGCCCCAGGGCGCAGGGTGCTCAAGCCGACCACCCCACTCGGCGTGGTTGCCCTCCGCGTCCATCCCCTCAGCCCGGCCCCCATCCCCGCGAAGCCGCAGCAGACCTGAGACGCTGGCGGACATCTCGCTGTCGCTCCGGCCCGCGGCTTCCTCCTCTAGGTCTTTGGAAGCGGCCAGCTCACAGACCGGCTGGCCGAGGCTCAAGGATCCCCCCGCAAGGCCGGCCCCGCTGGCCCCCCGCGCGTCCGCGCAGCGCCGCCTGCTCTCGTTCTCCTCGCTGAGCGCGGAGTCCGAGTCCCAGCCTTCCGGGCTCTCCGCAGTCCGCCCCGCAGCTGTTCTGGTACCGGCAGGAGACGCCAGCAGAGAGTCCTCGGCGCCCCCCAACGCGCCCGCGTCCCTCTCCCCAAAGAGCCGCCAACAGCAGACAGCGGGAGCCGCGGCCACCGATGCCGCTGTGCCCCCGGGCGCCGGGCGCCCCTCTGGCGCGGCCAGCCCGCCGCGCTCCTCTTTCTTGTTGAGGATCGCCTGGATGGAGAAGGACGTCAAGGTGTTGGCGCCGCGCACAGCCATCTGCGCCGCGGGCAGGAGCGGCCGGCGGGGCGGGCAGCTGGGGCGCCGAGCAGCTCCGAGCGGGACAGAGAGCGCCGGCGGCCGCAGCGCGAGTGAGCTGGGTGTGCGAGGCCGCCGCCGCCCACTGCTGCGCGGCCCAGCAGCTCCCGCCCCACTCCGTCCCAGGATCAGCGCCGACCCTCGCCCCCACCTTAGAGGCCCACCCCGCCCGGAGACCCCCTCCCCCCGAATCCAGAGCCAGACGCTCTCCTTTCGCAGCTCAGCTGGATTATCTCATCGCTTCTCGCCCTTAGGGGCGGGCTGGGGTCTGCCCCCTCGGGGGACGTGAAGGAGGATTGGCGGGGGCCCCTCCGTGGCAGCAGTCCCCTCCCGAGCGCCGCCGGGGCGCACAGCCCGAGTCACTTTTTCTTTGCGCGTCTGTCCCTTCCTCGCCTGCAGGATTTCGCTCCTGGCCCGTCCTCCCCTTCCCTGCTGGGCAGGCTCTTCCGGAGCCCACCCCCGGCGGCGGCGGCGGTAGCCGCGGCCGCGGCCGCTGGATTCCGAGAGGCGCGGGGAACTTTTTTACCCCCTGCCCTGGTTTTATCTGTTTCTTTTCTCTTTCCTTCCCTTGCGTTCCACTGTACCACCCCCCTCCCGCCCGGGTGTCATTCCTCACTGCTGAGTGACAGCCTGAGGCCACACCCCTCCACTGGGCTGTCCCGGGCGCTCCCGGCCGTCCATTGGCTGGCTCCAGTTGGGCGACGTTGACTTTAACAGACAAAACTGGGCACGTTGCGCCGCTAAAGACAGGGTCTGACTTAACCCCTTCTCTCCTAAGCCTGGTCCTCGAAGCACCCTCCAGCAACAAGGAGGCTCATCCGACCCAAACCACGTTTCTTACCTCTGCAGATGTATCCACTTATTCCAGCGCTTTAACAGAACACTGATACTAAGTTGAGTCAAATCTGCGGAGAAAATCCAAGATAATGCAGTTCCATAAATCATGCTCGTAGTTTCTGTTCTCTAGGAAGGATTATAAACACGAAGAACAAAATGCATCCTTTTTTTTCTCCCTACAGTTTCGCCGCTTCTTCATTGCTAATGCTCTTTGCTGAAATGATCAGTTAATTAAGATCACTCTAGAAATATTTTTCTTTCCTCGTCGTCTTTGATTTGATTCGATTTTTATAGAGGAATTATAAAAAAATGGTATAGTTAGAACTAAAGTCAGGAGAAGAATTGAAAGGCATCTTTGGGAGAATTTCTGTAAATTTTATGGTCGTTTCCCTGGCAGACCAATATTGAATTTAATTGGAGTTTGTTAAGTTTTGCATCAGGAAGAAAAAAAAAACTTTCAATTTGTTTTTTTTAAATATCTCTTACTTGTGAGTTGAATAAAATTATAAATAGATATGTTTGTTTGCTTAGAAGTATACCTAGGAATTACCATAAAGTGATCCAGAAGTGACAACACTTTTTGCTCTTTAAAAAATAAGAAATGCATTGTATTATGTAATAGTAGGAACCAAGCTAAGAAACACAAATATTGTGGGTATATAAAAACATTTTAAAATGTGTTATTCCTTTTTTAATATAAAATTTGCTCAATTAACGTACTTCACTGTTTTCCATAAACTTTACCAGAGAGTTAACACCAAATACACAAACTTGAACCATTAAATACATTTAAAGGACTATGATTTTAATTTATTAAATTGCTAGGATTGGTAGTTTTGGTGTCATTAAAATAAATAACATCTCCCCTTGTTGCTTTCTTTTTGGTTGTTCTTTTTCTGCACCGCAGAAGGAAATACACTGACTATTCATAGTTCTCAGTCTCAGAATGAGGTTTTGCAGCATCTATACTTTTCAGCATTTCGGTTACATGATGCTTTCTTGCTTTGTGCAAACCTTGTAGGGTACCTGGGAAAAAACATCCACTTGAGGTCATTGCCCTTTACAGCTCTTTACAATTACATCAGTTTTGAAGGAACGCCATTTAAATTTGGTGTCAGTGCTCAGCAAGTGTAAGGACGCAGAGTGGAACAGCAGAATGCTTACAGTCTTTCAAAAACAGTGTGTCCTCTCCTCCCCCGCTGTATTATTTAAATTACCGTTCTCCTCACTTCGGGCAGGGATGTTGGGAATTATGTATAGTGAGGAGATTGACACTGGTTGCCTGGAAGGTAGGGGACGGGCAGGTATGGGTTTGGTGTCCCGTACAGCGATCGCTTTGTGGGTTTAGTACTTGGTGCTGACAAATAATGGAGTGAGATCCGAACATAAAGGCAGGCAGAGATGTTTTGGGGCTGAATCACCGAATACTAGAGTAGGTTTGGGGCTACGTAAAGACTTGCTTGAAAACAACTACCATTTAGTTGCGAATCCCTCCCCTCTTCCCTTTGATTCGATGTTTAAAAAGAATCCCAAATCACAGTTGGACATACTCCTGCCACAGCCTTGGGCAGAAGTCTTCAAAGCATGAAAAGATGTGGTTTGGCGACTTTGAGTTGTCGGGTATTTTTGTGTCCCAGGAGTGTGAGAAAGGGGCTACGTTCCGCGTCTTCCGGAGGCGCACAGCAAGGGAGTCTCCTGGTGTCATCTCGGGCCATTACGGCGCTTAGTCGATCATTAGGTCTGTGGGTGACTGTAGGCAGAGCCGGGAGTTGGGTGCTTGGCGCGGAGGGTGAACTCGCGGGTCTTGAGCTGCAACTAGAAGCTGCTCCTAGCAAGGGGTCGGGTGGAGATGAAAAGACTGTGGGGAAGGGGAGGTGGTTGTATGCCCAGAGATATCCCGGCGTAACTACGGAGTCCAGGCCCAGAGTGGCGGTGTGTGGCGAAGGCGCAGCAGGCCTGCGCCTGTCGGAGGACGGCAGATCTGGACGCGACCGCGCGGGCGTGCCTGGGTCCCGCTTCCTGCCCATCGAGGGCGACTTCCTTCGGGCTCAGCTGTGAGCTCCAGGAACTCTGCAACCTCCCGACGGGCGCCACGCTCCGGCTTGGGCCGGCCCGGGAGTTGGCGGAGCTGCGCGGCCCGGCCGGGCGGCCGGTGAGGCTTTCGAGAGGCACCGGGCTCGCTCAGCGTCCGCGCCTCTCTACCCCGCCGCGCCCCCTCCGCGCCCACGGGCCCATTTTTTCCTAGTCTTCTGCCTCTCTTCCTTCTTCCTCCCTCCCCTCCTCCTCCACACCTTTGTCTTCTTCCTCCTCCCTCCTCCTGCTTCTCCTCCGCAGTTTGGATCCTACGGGCCCCCTACGTGCCGCGCCCTTCGGTCCCCGGAACCGCCCGGGCTGGGGGTGCTGCTGCGCGGTGAGACTTCCGCGGGCGGCGGGCGGAGAGCGGGATTTGACTGCGAAAGCCAAGGGGGCGGGGAAGGGGAAGCCCCGGCCCTCGGGGGCGCGCAGTAAACTGCTGCACACGTGCCCGCGCTCCCGAGGGGGGCGCCCAGTGGGCTCGGGATTTCCTGGCTGCGCCACCGCGCGCCTCGCCCCCGACGCCCGCCACCTGTGCCCTGGGCCGCCTTCCCTGACGCCAGCGGCCGGAGGTCGCGCGCGCCGGGTGCTGCCCAGCAACGAAAGGCCATGCGGGGTTCGTCCCTCAGATGCCGGTGACCTTGATTGAAGTCACCTGCCTTCTCTAGCTTCCAGTCCTTTAAAACGAGGGTTTGGACCCGGTGCCTTCTGAACCCGGTGCTTCACTGAGTGAGCAAGTGAAGGGTGTGTGTGTGTGTTTGGGGTGGGGGCGGGGGCGAGGGGAGGGAGGGGCAGCGTTGCCGGCTCCCCAGAGCCAGGTCCAGGCAGAGGTCGCGCCCAGCACTGACCGTCGGTCCCAATCCGCAGACTCCCGAGGGCGATCCAAACCGCCTAAGCATCCCAAGCGTCCAGCACCCGCGCCTGCGTTCCTGAGTAATCCAGCGCCCTGCAGCGTTTTTCATGCACACGATCAAAATATATCAGACTGCAGAGAGAGGCTGTATTGTAACTGGCCAGCTTATAATACTATAAATAATAATATAAAAGGTAGTTTTATATTTTAACAAATATTGCTCACTGACAGTGTGCCAGGAACCAAAGCCTATTGTTTCATTGAATGTACACACCCCTGGGATTGGAATGAGTAGAAAACATTGTTATGCCCGTTTTACAGATGAAGAAACTGAGACTCCTGACTATCAGTAAGTGGCTGTCAGGATTTAAATCAGGCTTTGTCTGATGTCAAATCCAGTTGGATTTTCTACTCTAATCGGCTTTTCTCATTAACCTTATTAATTGTTTCCCATCATAGACCTTACCCATTTTTAATTGCTTATTCATTGGAAAAGGAGCTTCGTTCGGATTTAAGGTAATCAAAGAAAAAATTTAGTCAGACAAATCTAATGACTTTTTTTCTGTTCCACGCATTTGAAAACAAATCACACCAAGGCCTGCGGATCTGAACGTAAACCTCGTTGTGTAGAAAGAAGGAAACACACCATTTTATTATAATCAACAAACTAAACCGTGTGTAGAGGGAGACAGCCAGGTGATGGAAACTCATTAGGTTCAGAAACCAGATTGTGCGCGCGGTTCTGAGACGTAGCCAAGCGACCTCACGCAAGACCCTCTTTGGGGCTTAGTTTTCTTACCTAAAAAGCCAGGGTTGGAGATCACCCCTCAGGGTGTTAAAAAGACGTGCCAGCCTCGAACCCTCCTGGGTATGGTGGAGGACGAGCGCCACCTAGCGGGCATCCCTCTAGGGTTGTGCGTACTTTTATGGGGAGGTACTGGAATAAGTAGTACACGAAACGGACTGTTTTGCTTCTAGTTTCGTGTACACAGCCTCGCGCTGCCAGAGATCTAACAGCGGAGATGTTTCATTTTAAAAACTCACCCAGGCACGATCAACACCTCCATTGAAGACTCACCTCGCTCCAGGGCCAAGGGGAAGGGACTGGAGCAGGACGCGGGCGTGTTGGGATCGGTTTCAGAACGGAGGCCACAGCAAGCCCCTGGCCCACCTCCTACCCTATCCTGCATTCCACAGCTGCTTGCTGTGAGTATATAACCAGAGCTCTCGCTGGATGATCATTTAGGGCACAGGCATCCCTGTGTGTTTTATTGGCGCCAAAGGAATGTTTTGTTTTGTTTTGTTTTGTTTGTTTTTGTTTTTGTTTTTGAGATGGAGTCTCACTCTTGTCACCCAGGCTGGAGTGCAATGGCGCAATCTCGGCTCACTGCATCCTCCGTCTCCCGGGTTCAAGTGATTCTCCTGCCTCAGCCTCCCGAGTAACCAGGATTACAGGTGCCCGCCACAACGCTTGGCTAATTTTTGTATTTTTAGTAGAGATGGAGTTCCACCGTGTTGGCCAGTCTAGTTTCCAACTCCTGACCTCAGGTGATCCGCCCACCTCAGCCTTCCAAAGTGCTGAGATTACAGCCGTGACCCACCGCACCCGGCTAGGAATGGTTTTTTAGAAACTAATTTATTCATGATAGAAACTGAGGTATTTCACCCTAAAGATCAGAAATTTCCGGCACTGAAAACAAACCTCAGTTTCACTCTCTCACCCAAGCTGGAGTGAAGTGGCACAATCTCGACTCACTGCAACCTCTGCCTCCCGGGTTCAAGCGATTCTCCTGCCTCAGACTCCTGAGTATCTGGGACCACAGGCATGCACCACCACGCCTGGCTAATTTTTGTATTTTTAGTAGAGAAGGGGTTTCACTACATTGGCCAGACTGGTCTCGAACTCCTGACCTCAAGTGATCCGCCCGCCTCAGCCTCCCAAAGTGCTGGGATTACAGCCACCGCGCCTGGAAGGGTTTTATTTTCTTATTTAGGTTGTCTATTTGACAGTGGGTGGATGGCATTTGTATTCGGGGGCTTGAGGAGGAGAGCAGGGGGAGGAGCCAGCTTGAATAGGTAAAGAGAAACATGCTGTGGTCAATTGCTTGTGCTGAGTTTCAGATGCTTGTGAAACAAAATGAAAGTCTTCTGGATTTATTATATATTTTTTTCTCTAAAACACTATTCTGAAAGCCCTTGCAGTGCTAAGCCAAGTTCTCCTTGGGAAATTTCCAGCTAGTTCTTATTTTGTGTTAGGCATTATTCTAGGATCTGTAGTTCAAGGTCTTGTAAACTCCTACTCTCCACAGGCTACATTCTGTTGGAAGAACACCTATAAATAGACAAATGCCTAAACAAAACAATGAAAAAAACATCAGGTGGTAATAAATACTATGAAGAAAATTTAAAAAGAGTGATGTCAGCTGACATCATACTGAATGGGCAAATGCTGGAAGCATTCCATTTGAAAATCAGAATAAGACAAGGATGTCCTCTCTCACCTCTCCTATTTAACGTAGTATTGGAAGTCCTGGCCAGGGTGATCAGGTAATAGAAAGAAATAAAGGGCATCCAAATAGGAAGAGAAGAAGTCAAACTATCCCTGTTTGCAGACAACATGATTCTATATTTAGAAAACCCCATAATCTCTGCCCAAAATTCCTTCAACTGATAAACAACTTCAGCAAAGTCTCAAGAGACAAAATTAATGTGCCAAAATCACTAGCATTCCTATACACCAACAACAGCCAAGCCAAGAGCCAAATCAGGAATGTAATCCCATTCGCAGCTGCCACAAAAGAATAAAATACCTAGGAATACAGCTAACTAGGTAGGTGAAAGATCTCTATGATAAGAACCACAAAACACTGCTCAAAGAAATCAGAGAGGACACAAACAAATGTAAAAACATTCCATGCTCATGGATAGGAAGAATCAATAGCATTAAAATGGTTATACTGCCCAAAGCAATTTCTAGATTCAATGCTATTCCTATTAAACTATCATGAGATTCTTCACAGAACTAGAAAAAACTATTTTAAAATTCATATGGAACCAAAAAAGAGCCTGAATAGCCAAGGCGATCCCTACGCAAAAAGAACAAAACTGGAGGCATCATACTAACTGACTTGAAACTATACTACAGGGCTACAGTAACCAAAACAGTGTGGTACTGGTACAAAAACAGACATATAGACCAATGGAACAGAATAGAGAGCCCAGTAATAAGGCCACACACCTACAATCATCTGATCATCAATAAAGCAGATAAAAATGAGCAATGGGGAAGTAACACCCTATTCAATAAGCGGTACTGGGATAACTGGCTAGCCATATACAGAGGATTAAAATTGGACCCTTCCCTTACACCACATATAAAAATCAACTCAAGATGATTAAAGACTTAAATGTAAAACCCAAAACTACAAAAGTCCTGGAAGAAAACTAGGCAATACAATTTTGAACATAGGAATGGGCAAAGATTTCATGATGAAGATGCCAAAAGCAATTGCAACAAAAGCAAAAATTGACAAACGGGATCTAATTAAACTTAAGAGCTTATGTACAGCAAAAGAAACTATCAACAGAATAAACAAAACAACAGAGTAAAGAAACAACAGAGCAAATCCTACAGAATGGGAGAAAATATTTGCAAACTATGCATCTGACAAAAGTCTAATATCTAGCATATATAAGGAACTTAAATTTACAAGCAAAAAACAAACACTCCATTGAAAAGTGGGCAAAGGACATGAACAGACACTTTTCAAAAGCAGACATACATGCAACCAACAAGCATATGAAAAAAAGCTCAGTATCACTTATTAGAGAAATGCAAATCAAACTCACAATGAGATAACATCTCACACCAGTCATAACGGCTATTACTAGTCAAAAAACAGAAGCTGGAGAAAAATGAACACTTATACACTGTTGGTGGGAGAGTAAATTAGTTCAGCCACTGTGGAAAGCAGTGTGGGGATTCTTCAAGGAGCTAAAAATAGAATTACCATTTGACCCAGCAATCCCATTACTGGGCATATACCCAAAGAAATATAAATTGTCCTAACATAAAGGCATATGGACCTATATGTTCACTGTTGCACTACTCACAATAGGAAAGACATGAAATCAACCTAAATGCCCATCAGTGATAGAATGGACAAGAAAATATGGTACATATACACCACGGAATACTACACAGCCATAAAAAAGAACAAGGTCATGTGCTTTGTGGGAACATAGATGGAGCTGGAGGCCATTACCCTTAGCAAACTAATTCAGGAACAGAAAACTAAATACTGCATGTTCTCACTTATAAGTGAGAGCTAAATGATGAGAACACATGAGCACAAAGAGGCGAACAATAGATACTGTGGCCTACTTGATGGTGGAGGGTGGGAGGAGGGAGAGGATCAGGAAAAATAGCTGTTGGGTACTAGGCTTAATATGTGGGTGACGGATTTGTGTAACAAACTTCTATGACATGAGTTTACCTATATAACAAACCTGCACATGTACCTCTGTATGTAAAAGAAAAGCTAAAAATGAAAATAGAAACAAAAAACAGAGTGATATGATAGAGGGTGACTTAAGGCTACTTTTCATGGGTGAGATTCAAATCTGAAAGAGATACCTTGTGAAGACTGAGAAAGAGATTTTCAGAGAGAGGAAGAAATAGTGCAATAAACATTAGGTGGGAACCTCCATTATGGGCTGAAAGTGTTCTCCTCAAAGTGATAGATTGAGATCTTAATCCCCAGTGTGGTGGGATTAGGATATAAGGCTTTCAGAGTATAATTAGGTCATGAAGGTGAAGCTCTGATGAGTGGGATTAGTGCCCCTACAAGAAGAGACAAGAGAGAACTTGTTTCCTCCCTCTCTCCCCCATCTATCTGTTTCTCTCTGTCTCTGTCTCTCTCTTTTTCTCTGCCATGTGAGGATACAACAAGAAAGCATCTGTCTCCAAACACTGGATCTACCAGCACTTTGATCTTGGACTTCCCAGCCTCCAGAACTGTGAGAAATAAATGTTAAGATTCCAGTCTATGGTATGCTTGTTATAGCAACCCTAGCTGACTAAGATGCAGTCATAGTGTTCTCACAGACATAACAGCTTGCTCCTGTGGCCGGAGGACAGTGGGAGAGAGGCAGAGTGATGAGAGTTGGAGTCCAAGATCAAGCAGGGTTTTTAAGCCTCAGTGAAGGGCATGAACTTTATTCTAAGTATATGGGAGACCATGGAAAATTGTACACAAAGGGGAACCAGACTATGATTTACATTTTTAAAAAATTACCTTGGCTTTTCTATGACAAGATGATTGTGGGGTGAAAAAAGGAAAATCAGGAAGACAAACTAGAAGCTCGTGCAAGAGTCCAAACAAGAGATGATGGTGGCTTGGATTAGGTAGTATTGGAGATGGAGGGAATGGCCAGAATTGCCACCTATTTTGGCACTATTCTTTTTAAAATATCCTAAAAGTAAAAATATATATATATATAAAATTTACCATTTTAACCATTTTTAAGTGTGCACATCAGAAACTAAGTACATTGTTGTGCAATCATCACTGCCATCCATCTCCATAACATTTTCATCTTGCAAAAAAATTCTTTCCCTATTAAACACTAACTGCCCATTTCCCCCTCTCCCCAGACCCTGGCAACCGCTATTCTATGTTCTGTCTCTATGAATTTGACTACTCTAAGTACTTCATATGAGTAGAATCACAGAATATTTGTCCTATTGTGATTGGCTCATTTCATTTAACATGATGTTTTCAAGGTTCATCCATGTTGTAGCGCGTGTCAGAATTTCCTTCCATATTAAAGCTGAATAATATTCCATTCTCTACGTATGCCACATTTTGTTTATCCAGTCATCTGTCAATGGACACGTGTGGCTTTCACATTTCAACTAGTGTACATAATGCTGCAATGAACATGGATGTACAAATATCCCTTTGAGACCCTGCTTTCATCTGTGTGTGTGTGTGTGTGTGTGTGTGTGTGTGTGTGTGTGTGTGTGTATACCCAGAAATGCAATTGCTTGATCATACGATAATTCTGTTTAATTTTTTGAGGAACTACCATATGATTTTTCGCAGCAGCTGCAGCATTTAGCATTCCCATCAGCAGTGCACAAGGATTCCATTTCTCCACATCCTCCCAACGCTTCTTATTTTATATTTTTTTAATGGTAGGAGAAAACATATGACATAAAATTTACCATCTTAACAATTTTTGAGTGTACATCTCAGTGGGGTTGAACCTATTCAAATTGTTGTGGAACAGATCTCTAGAACTTTTTTATTTTGCAAAACTGAAACTCTATACTCATTGAACAACAACTCCTTATTTCGCTCTCACCCCAGCCCCTGGCAACCACCAAGCTTATACTTTCTGTTTGCATAAGTTTGACTACTTTAGATATTTCATATGCATGAAATCATACAGTATTTATATTTTTATGACTGGTTTATTTCAGTTACCATAATGCCCTCAAGGTTCATTCATATTGTAGCATTAATATGGCCGGATTTCTTTCTTTTTGAAGACTGAATAATATTCTATTGTATGTACATATCACATTTTCTTTATTCACTTTATTCACTCATTCATCCATTTGGGTTGAATTAATGCCCCTTCTACTTCTTGGCTATTCTTATTTTTTTTATTGCATTATCTCATTTATATGTAGAATCGTAAAAAAAATTGAATATACAGAGATAGAGAGTAAAACGGTTGTTACCAGGGGTGGGGTTGGAGAGGAGAAGAAAGTTTATGAACTGGGTTAAGACTTCTAACTACACTATTTATCAAAGTAAATTAATATGAAATATTAGAATGGAAACTTACAGCAAAATGAAAGAAGGAGCAAGGTTGCAATATTACCATTTAGGATATTTTGTTGAACTAAAATAAATTTTGAAAGATTCCTAAAAACGAAAAATGGGTTCTATTTTAGAACCCAGTGATGTTGTTCAAAATGCCATAATATATGTATAAGCGCTTTGAAAAAGTCTTTTGCAATGATATATTGCTTTTAGCCTAATTAATATTTGTTATAGTTTTAAAGCAAAGACCTATTTCAGAATTCAAGTGATAGAAACATTAAAGAAGTTTTACATTCTATAATCTTACATCCATTTATGAAGGAAAATAAGTTGCTGAATACATTATAATTATGTAATAATGGCACCACTTAATAGCTATGCAACCTTGGACAAATTGCGTAAATATTCTAAGCCTTAATTTTCTCATTTATAAAATGGAGGTACCTCGTATGGTAGCCAGCCTCCAAAATGGCCCCCAGTGGTCCCTGCCTGCTAGTATTCAGGTTCTGATCTAGTTCCCTCCTATGGCTGTTCTGAATAATGCTACAATAAAAATGTGTGTGAAAATATCTCTTAGAGATCCTGCTTAATGTTCTTTTGGATATGTACTCAGAAATGGAATTGCTAGATCATATAATTTTATTTTTAATTTTTTGAGAAACCTCCATACTGTTTTTATAACGGCTGTATCATTTTACATTCCCATTTGCAGTGCAAAAGGATTTTAATTTCTCTACTTCCTCACCAAAATACTTGTTATTTTCTGTTTTTGTGATAGCAGTCATTCTAATCATTATGAAGAGCATCTCATTGTGGTTTTAATTTGCATTTCCCTAATGACTGGTGATGGTGAGCATCTTTTCATGTACTTTTTGGCTATTTGTATATCTTCTTTGGAGAAACGTCTATTCAAGTCCTTTGCTCATTTTTTTCTTTTATTTTTTATTTTTTATTATACTTTAAGTTCTAGGGTACGTGTGCACAATGTGCAGGTTAGTTACATATGTATACATGGGCCATGTTGGTGTGCTGCACCCATTAACTCGTCATTTACGTTAGGTATAACTCCTAATGCTATCCTCCCCCCTCCCCCCACCCCACAACAGGCCCCAGTGTATGATGTTCCCCTTCCTGTGTCCAAGTGTTCTCATTGTTCAATTCCCACCTATGAGTGAGAACATGCAGCATTTGGTTTTGTGTCCTTGCAATAGTTTGCTGAGAATGATGGTTTCCAGCTTCATCCATGTCCCTACCAAGGACATGAACTCATCCTTTTTTATGGCTGCATAGTATTCCATGGTGTATATGTGCCACATTTTCTTCATCCAGTCTATCATTGATGGACATTTGGGTTGGTTCCAAGTCTTTGCTATTGGGAATAGTGCCACAATAAACATATGTGTGCATGTGTCTTTATAGCAGCATGATTTATAATCCTTTGGGTATATACCCAGTAATGGGATGGCTGGGTCAAATGGTATTTCTAGTTCTAGATCCCTGAGGAATTGCCACACTGTCTTCCACAATGGTTGAACTAGTTTACAGTCCCACCAACAGTGTAAAAGTGTTCCTATTTCTCCACATCCTCTCCAGCACCTGTTGTTTCCGGACTTTTTAATGATCGCCATTCTAACTGGTGTGAGATGGTATCTCATTGTGGTTTTGATTTGCATTTCTCTGATGGCCAGTGATGATGCCTTTGCTCATTTTTGAATTTAGTTGTTTATTATTTTGTTGTTGAGATTCAGGAATTCTTTATATATTCTGGATGTTGATCATTTATTAGATACATAGTTTGCAAATCTTTTCTCCCATTCTGTGAGTTGTCAGTATTCTTGAAGGACTAGATAGATTAGATGGAGATGAGGGAAAGAGTCCTTCACTCTGGGAGATCCAAGGTATCTCCTGGATTTGGACTTAGGAGATTGGGTGAGTAGTGGTACTATTGATCTAGGTAGGAAAGACCTGAGAAGACTTGGTGGGAGCGAGGGTGGGAGGCAGGTGTTCAGTTTGGGATGTATTATGTCTGAGAAGCTTATTAGACATCCATTTGGAGGTGTAAAATAATCAGCAGTGAAAATGACATTTCAAGAAAAGTTCAATGCTAGAAATATAAATCTGGGAGCACTAAGATGATAGGTGATATTGATAGAACTGGATGTGGTCACCTAGGAAAATGATTGTAGCCTGGCCAGAGAGAACTACAGGTGCAGGAACCAGGGTCTTTCAACATTTACAGATTTGTTAGTAGAGGGACATTCACCCAAAGGAACTGGGAAGGAATCATTAGTTTTGTAGGAAGAACCAGGGGAGGTTGGAACTTGAGGAAGCTGAGACCGGAAACTGTTGCCATAAGGAGAGAATGATCAGTGGTAAAATGTGCTGCTGTCAAGCAATGTGATAGAGAAATGGCCCTTGGGTTTGGTCAAATGGACGTTATTGGTCACCTTGATAGAAACCATCTTGCAGAGTGAAGGGAGCATATCAGATTGGAATGCATTGAGGAGAACATAGTACAGGTAGAAGCAGAGTTAGTGAATACAGGTAACTCTTTAAAGAATTTGGCATGAAGAGGAGCAAAGCAGTGAGATGGAAGATGGAGGGGATCCTGCTTCTAGAGATTTATTTTTAGATAGAAGATACTATAATATACTGTTATACATGCTAGTAAGTAAGCCAATAGAGAGTGACAATTGATAATCCAGGACAGAAGAGAAAATTGCAGTAGCAAAATCCTTGAGAAGGTGAGACAGATGGATCTTTTTAAATGACTTACTTTTAAAAACTGCCAGATGAATTGATATACCTTCAAGTTTACTGATTCTTTTTTCTGCCATCTCTAATTTGCTGTTAAGTCTGATAAGAACTTATTTCCTAAGGAACCTTTATATAAATAACGTATGAGTAATATAGATATATTTATAAATAATAAGTAAATAGAGTACAATTAATCTCTTGCCATATGTAATTTAATCTTATAAATAAAGCAAGCTGGAGGAGGCGGTTTGTGCCTGTAATCCCAGCTACTCAGGAGGCTAAGGCAAGAGGATTTCTTGAGGCCAGGAATTTGATACTAGTCTGGGCAACATAGCAAGACCTCATCTCTAAAGGCATAAAAATTAGCCAGACATGGTGGTCTGTGTCTGTATTCCTAGATACTCGGGAGGCTAAGATGGGAGGATTTCATGAGTCCAGGAAGTTGAGGCTGCAGTGAGCTATGATCACACCACTGTTCTCCAGCCTGGATGACAGAGTGAGACCGCCGACTCTAAAAAGAAAAAAAAAATGCAGACCAAACAATGTTTGGGGCTGGGTGTGGTGACTCACGCTTGTAATCCCTGCACATTGGGAGGATTGCCTGCAGTCAGGAATCCGAGACCAGCCTGGGTAACATAGCGAGACCCTATCTCAAAGAAAAAAAAAAAAAAATTAGCCGGGCATGGTGGCACGTGCCTTTAGTCCCAGCTATTTGGGAGACTAAGGTTAGAGGATCCCTTGAGCCCAGGAGTTCGAGGCTGCAGTGAGCCAAGATCAAGCAATGGCACTCCAGTCTAGGTGACAGAGTAAGATCCGATCTCAAAACTAACTAAATAAATAAAACAGTGTTTACAATCTCTAGCTAGCTACAGTGTGATGCTGAAGGCTCTGGACATGAAGTTGGCTATTTGTTATAAGGACACATTGACAAGGGCTACAGAGATGTCACCGAATGCTAGCACCAACCTGGACCTTCCTTTGACATGATTAGCCAGATTAAAAGAGAATTGACACAACAGAAATGCATACATAAGTTCACCAAAAGACATATGCCAGAATGTTCATAGCCTCATTTTTTGATAACAGCTCCAAATCTGGAAATTATGCAAATGCTCAACAGTGGAATGGATAAATCAAGTGTGGTATACTCACAGAATAGGATATTATATAGCAATGAGAACAACCAGTCTAAATCTACATGCAACCATATGATGGAAGTTCATAAATGCAATGTTTTAGATGACTCAACTGTCACGTCCCTAGGGCCTAGAATGGGCCTGGCACATGGTAGGCTCTTAGCAAATATTTGTTAAATGAATGGTCTTATTTTACCCTCAATACAACCCCATGAGATTGGCAGGGCAGGTATCAGAATTTCTGAGAGGTAGAGAGGTCAAGTGATTTGCTCCCTTTCACCCTGATCATGGTCACTACATTAGGATCCCTGCTAAAACAGCTAGCTCTGTGAAATGTGTGTTAACTCGCCATCATTCTAAGTAACATTGCTGTTCCCTCAGCCTTTTAGCACGAATAGCGTATTTTAGTTTCTTTTGTTGTTGTTAAATCATATTCTGGGGCCTAACTTGGAGATGTTTATTTCCATTATGGGATATTTTGGACTGGGATTTGAAAGAGAAAGGGCCAGAGGGCTGTGCTTTCAAAAAAAAAAAAGGCTTAAGGTAAGGGGAGAGAGCTCACTGGAGAGATTTATGTCAAGGAATTTGCAGCAAACTCTGTCATTCCATCTGAGTAAGTGTGGCTAGAAACAGGAAGGGAAAAACAGGATATTGTGGTAACGCACGGGCTTAATGGAATGTCAGATGAACAGATGGGTTGGAGCTGTCCTGGCAACTGTCAAAGGAGGAAGTCTGAGGAGCCTTCAGAGGAATCCTTACACAAATGCAGGTGAAGTGGGGATGGGGATGTGTGTTTCCTGTAAAGTCAAAAAGAGTTGTGAGTGAAGCATCAAAAGGACAAGCAAAGGCACCTCTGTCCAAGTCATCTCTTTAAAGTCAGTCTGCATTTGGGTCCGAAGGAAGTAGGGGCCCAGTAGGTTCCCATCGATTTACTTTTAGGAATTAGAAATGATCAGTTATATCCTCTGACACTCCATCAGTGTTTACTGGAAAATAATTTTTTGAAGAGCCGGAGAACCCAAAATGACAAGGATGAAATTAACATCAATGTTCAAAGAAGGAAAGGGAAGCTCTTCTTGTACTTATTTTTGGCTGAAAAAAAAAAGTTTAACTATTTTAAGTAAGACTCATTGAAGACTGACAAGTTGGTGTCTTCAAATAAGAACGACTAATTTTGGAAAGGATAACTTTATTAACCTGTTTCACACTGCTATAAAGATACTACCAGAGACTGCGTAATTGATAAAGGAAAGAGGTTTAGTTGACTCACAGTTCTGCATGGCTGGGGAGGCCTCAGGAATCTTACAGTCATGGCAGAAGGGGAAGCAGGCACGTCTTATGTGGCAGCAGGTGCGAGAGAGCATGTGTAGGAGGAACAGTCACACACTTATAAAACCATCAGATCTCATGAGAACTCACTCACTATTATGAGAACAGCATAGGGGGAAACCACCTCCATGATCCAATCACCTCCCACCAGGTTCTTCCCTTGACAGGTGGGGATTGTGGGGATTACAATTTCAGATGAGATTTGGGTGGGGACACGGAGCCAAACCATATCAATGACATTTTTTAAAACAGCATTGAACAAATTCTACTAGTGGTCATAAGGAATGCATTACTTAAAAGCTAATTGAGAAGCTGATCCTTCAGATGTAAACTGAGCAAATGAGGACACAAATGATTTCTGGAGAATTTGGAAAATGTATTTGGAGTTTCCACTTTACATAGCATGGCAATATTAGGTACTTATAATGACCCTACTGCAGCGAAACACCCATATGCTGGATTAATTACATACTTGAATTGCACACTTAATGTGCACTGCTGGGTTTACTAAAGAATAAGCGATATCCACTAGCCACAGGTTTTTTTTTTTTTTTTTTTTTTGGATGGAGTCTTCCTCTGTCACCAGGCTGGAGTGCAGTGGCATGATCTTGGCTCACTGCAACCTTTGCCTCCCAGGTTCAAGCAATTCTCCTGCCTCAGCCTCCCAAATAGCTGGGACTACAGGTGCACACCACCATGCCCGGTTACTTTTTGTATTTTTAGTAGAGATGGGGTTTCACCATGTTGGCCAGGATGATCTCAATCTCTTGACCTCGTTATCTGCCCGTCTCAGCCTCCCAAAGTGCTGGGATTACAGGCGTGAGCCACCGTGCCTGGCCGCCACAGGTTGTTCTTGTTATATTGAAGTTGAAATATGTATTGAAAGATGGGATAGATGAGAAGAGTCAGAAGTGTGGCTGTGCTGATTGTTAAGCTATTGTCTCTTAACTCCAAACTCACTCTTCTGTATTCTGCTTTACAGTGCTAGGATTGGGATTCTGCAAGCCAGATTTCTCCCTAGCCAGCAGGACCACTGTTAAGTTCAGTCAATAGGGGATGCTGAAGAAGTCCAGAAGGCTGAGGTTGAAAAGACGTCTTATTTCTTGTTTGGTCACTCTTTTGTTAGCATCACTCCAGCAATAGTTCTTCATCTCAGTAATGGCAGATGATGGCAGTTGCACTTTGTTCCAGTTTCCAATTTTCCACCCACTCTCCTAGGACAAGCCACGTTGTCCTCTCTCAAAGATAACCAGCACTATCTGGGTAGCACCTCTCCTTAGGTTCTAAATCCCAGCCCTGGAGCTTCTCCTTCAAACTTCTAATAACCTCAATTTTTTTCTTTCTGTTCTCCAAGCCCGGAGATAGTCCTGGTTGCTTTCAGAAATAACTCTGTATTATATCAGTGTTACCGTTTCCCCTCTTAGTTCTCTAATAGCTATTTAACTAGTTCCCATTAAATGATTGTCTTAATCCATTTTGTGCTGCTATAATAGAATACCACAGACTGGGTACTTTGTAAAGAACAGAGATTTACTTATCGTTCTGGAGGCTGGGAAGTTCAAGATCAAAGGGTTGGCATCTTTCAAGGGCCTCTTTGCTGAGTCATCTCTTGATGGAAAGTGGGAGGCAGAAAGGAAAGAGAGCATGAGCTAGCAAGAGGGGGGCTGAACTCGCTTTTATAACAAACCCACTCTCACAATAACGAACCTACTCCCATGTTAATGACATTAATCCATTGCCCTCATGACCTAATCACCTCTTAAATGTCCCACCTCTCAACACTGTTGCACTGGGGATGAAGTTCCCAACCTATGAACTTTGGAGGACACATTAAAATAAACAGCAGTTATTTATTCAAATAGCTGGTGCAGTTTCTAATAACTGACTGGACCATAACTGAAACAAGGTCCAAAATTTATTTCCTATAATATGGTAACATGAATATAGTTAGAATCAGGCCTTGCATCCAATACCAGGGGTACACCCCTCTGAAAGAAAGGTGACCTTTAGTTACGAATCCTTGTAAACTTGCTAATAATGATAGACCTCCAGGAAAACAGCTAGTCGTGTTTACTAGTAGGAGAGTTGGCACTTATGAAATGCTTTTAGCAAGATATACCTGTCTGTTCAGAATTGCTTATGGTAACAAAAAACCAAATAAAATCCCTTAGAATCTATTTATATGTGGGACATGGCTCCCTGGAAAGTATCACACAAGTTATATAACCATCTGAATAGAGAAGTTCTGTGACTGAAATGGCTTTCTTCTAAGTAATGGAGCTCCAGATTTTTTTTTGAGACCTCAGGTTTTAATCTAGGCACATGTGTATCCTGATGAGAAAGGGCCTGGCAATAAGTTGGCTAGCTTGGACCTGTGTGCTTCACTTGTGCCTAGCAACTACTTATATCCTTGAACTTATTTGTAAAGCTTGATGCTGGGTAAGATCTCTGATTCAAGAGTCTGATTTAACAGTTAATCCTTTATGCTATTGCATAGACCTTTGCTCAGAATGCTACAGGTGCTTCAGTAAAATACAGGAGTACACAAGCAAGAGGAAGACATAGGATACAGGTATTAAGAGATCCAATGGGAAGAGAAGTGAAGGGTAACCCTAGGACAATGATTAGAGGAGCCTCCAGGATGAGATGGCAGCCAGTCCAGACTGCATGAGGAGGACTCAAGAAACAGGTGGACAGTTGTCTTCAGCAAGATGCCTTCTGGCCTTGGACCATCTTTTAGTATCTAGGGGTACCTGGGAGAGTTTGACATAGATTCTTTTATATACTTGGCTTGCTGCCAAAGCTCTTCCTTTCCTCTCTGTCTACTAAATGTGAGGCAAAACATTAAAACTTTTAGAATATCTATTTGATCTTAAGTCTTTAGGACTCAAAAAAAGCTGGCCACAAGACTAAATTTATATCAATTACATTAAAATTAAAAATCATTCATCAAAAAGTACCATAAAGAAAGTGAAAACATAAGCCGTGTGTGTTTGTGTGTGTGTGTGTGTGTGTGTGTGTGTGTGTTTGGGGGAGGGATATGTTTGCAACACATATACATGAAGGATTAATATCCTGAATATATAAAGATATATAAAGAACTCCTAAAAGTTGATAAGGAAAACACAAATAACCAAATGGAAAAATAGACAAAAACCATGAACCGGCATTTCACAGAAGAAGAAATAAGGATGGAAAATAAGCACATGAAAGCATGCTCAACCTTCTTGTAACCAATGCAAATAAAGGCCACAATGAGATATATTATCCCTACTAGATAGGCAAAAATCAAGAAGTCCTGTACTGCTCAATATTCGAAAGCGAAGTAATTTTTAAACACTACTGGTATGAGTACAATATGGTACAAGCATCTGGGAAAAATTTTGGCATTATTTTCCAAAACGGAAAATATGCTTATCCTAGGAATTAGCAGTTGTACCATGGAGCAGAAAGCTGTATATATCTTAGTGCAAAGAATGGATGCAGGTGTAAAGATATTTTAATTCCCTAGCTTCAAAGTAGCTGAGTGGCCTGCTTTTCTGGTTAACAGGCTGATAGTCTCTTTAGGCAGCAACCAGCCTGGTCCTTCCACTTATATCCTGTGCCTACAAATACCACTTTCTATATGTACCACAAAATTTGTAAGTTTAGGAAACTGTACCATAGAGAAGCTTCATAAAAATGTTTAAAACAAAGCAAATTAATCTGTGAATAATCCAAGGACCAGTAAGAGGTGAATGGCTTAGTATACTGAGATAATATATATATATATATTTTTTTTTTCCTTCAATGGAATACTATACAGCAGTGAAAATGAATCCAACTGGAGCTATACATATTAACATAGATGAATTTTAAAACATAATGTAGAAGACAAAAGCAAGTCTCAAATGATCCAAAAAATGATTCTATTTGGAAAGCAAAAAAATTTAAAACTGAATATATTGTTAGGGATATATACGTATGTAGTAAAACTGATAAACAGCTATAAAATAATAAACCTTTATTTAGAATGGTAGTAATCTTGAGGGGGAAAAAGAGTGGTACAATTGGGATAAGGGATGGACATACATATTTTATTTTATTTTTATTTTTTTCAGTAGAGACGGGGTTTCACCATGTTAGCCAGGATGGTCTCAATCTCCTGACCTCGTGATCTGCCCGCCTCGGCCTCCCAAAGTGCTGGGATTACAGGCATAAGCCACTGCACCCGGCCCCGGGATGGACATATTTTTTAAAAGGGCAAAAAGGTAGATATGTAAAATCTCATTTATGTAAAAAAGAATCTACTATTTCATCAATTCAAAGGCAGCTTTTTCCCCTGTATTTTAACAGCTCTGAAGTTAGAATGTGTCTTGAAATTGCTATTGAACAAGTGACAATTATGATATAGTTGTCATTGCCATGCTTGATATTGTTCCTAACTATTCATATATCACTTCAACTGAATTATGTGTATCATTGGTTCTAGATCCTTTGATTTTAAACACCAATTACAGTTTTTTAAAAGGTTAGAGTATGACTTGGCATCAAAACAGAGTTACTGTATACTTGGAAAGTCACAGGACTGAGAAATACATTTTATATCAATGAGGCCAATATTCAGTGTTGGAAAGGAGAAATAAGTATGATTCTATGTTTTCTCAGAAAGCAACAACCAAGTGCTTTCTGTGACTTAAGAAAGGAAGATATCTACAAGTAGGTGATGTTGTTACATTTTGTTCCTGAGATATATGCAAGGAATTGCCTAAAACATGACAAATCATACAGCTAAAGGTGGAGAAATCACCAAATCCCTTGTAACTGAGGAGAAACATCTTAAAGCAACAAGCTGATGTAACTGATTCATGCATGCCATTAAGAATATCATTAATTTTTGTGTTACGGTGTTTCTCTTTCCTAATAGTATACAAAGTAATGGTGCATGGGCATTTTATAGTCAACAGCATTTTAGATTCAATGATTTGTAGTATATGAGTTCTGCATATAGGTAAATAGAAAAAGGCCTGGAAGAATTACACATCAGACTGTTAATAGTGATAATATCTGACTTTGGGACTACCAGTGATTTTTTTCCTCTTTATTGTTTATTTTTAATTTTCTACAATCAAAACATTGCTCACATAATTAAAATTAAGATTTTATAACATTTGTTTTGTTTTGTTTTGTTTTTGAGACGGAGTGTCCCTCTGTCTCCCAGGCTGGAGTGCAGTGGAGCAATCTCAGCTCACCGCAACCTCTGCCTCCTGGGTTCAAGCAATCCTTCCACCTTAGCCTCCCAGGTAGCTGGGATTACAGGCACGCACAACCACGCCCGGCTAATTTTTGTATTTTCATAAGAAATGGGGTTTTGGCATGTTGGCCAGGCTGGTCTCGAACTCCTGACCTCAAGTGATCCGCTTGCCTTGGCCTCCGAAAGTGCTGGGATTGCAGGTGTGAGCCACCATGCCCGCTACTATTTTTTTTTTTTAAATCAAACATATTCCAAGAGAATGTCAAGGGAAAGCTGTTTCCACTTAGATCTGTTGTGGGCATTAGCTAGGTGAATGAAGTGGAGGATATCCTCAAACAAGACCTTGGTTCCAATCCTAGTTATGCTTCATATGTATGTTCTTAAGCAAGCTATGTAACGGCCTTGTGCTTAAATTCTCCCAACTATGAAATTGGGTGTATGATACTCTTTCACAGGGCTATTCTGAAACTCTTAAGGGTTTTCAAAGTTTTGTGCAACATCAGTTTCCATGGATGTTAAGTTTCTGTGTGTGTGGTTTAGGGAAAGAAAGCAGGTATTCTAAGGTTTAATAACCTTGGAAAATTCTGGGTTCAACAAAGTTAACCTGATTCCTCTCATAATTTCTTAGAATTTATATTTGCTAATGTGCACAATGAACTTCCAAGAAGGGCTATCGTGAGGAAGCATCTCTTGGAACTAGTGTTTTGTGTAATGCCAAGATATATTGATAGTATTGTCTGTATCTTCCTCCAGGAAGTTTCTGAAAGGTTGACTTACTGGTAAAAATGGCATCCATTATTGTCTCCAGTCGTCCCCGCTCTTCAGCTTCTAAAATACTCTCTTTAGGTTCCAACCTTGCTTGAAACTCCATTTTAGACTTTTAAAAATAAACTCCTCCCTTGATCTGCCAGGAGTTAGTCCTTTGTCCTGCTTCTCTAAGGAAGGTATTCTTCTCCCGTTTGCTGTTCTGTGACAATGCAAGTGCAGCCCAGCTGTTTGCTTCATGAGGTTGTGCCCTTGAGACTTGAGCCAACATTTGAGTCCCTAGTGCTGGGCAGAGTAGTAGCTCAACAAATGTGTCCTTTCCCAGCACAGCAGTTTCAGTGGGAAAAGTGCTGGTTCTAGAACTATTTTCTTCCCCTGAGAACAGTATCTGTCAGTGTATTCTGAAAAGCATCTTGTTCTTGATTTAAGTCATACAAAGATGGCTACACAGTAATTTTAGTAAATGTAAGGTACTCTTGTACAAATGATGAACAAGACATCCTAAAATCCAAAAAACCAAAAAATAAAAAAGCAACCTTTTCCAGCATTTCTTCTAGTTAGAACTATCTCCCTCTGACCTCAAATCAGTTAGGTTTTATCATTGGCAGAGATATTTGGGGAAGGGCTCTGATATATTATGGTCCTAAGAGCAGTGAGCTTGCCGTTGAGGTGGAAAGATCAATGCCTCCCTCCCGTGGGCTTTCATATAAAGAGCCCTGGCCTGGGGGTTGGAAGACAAAGAGTTCAGTCTGTGTTGCCACCAACTTGCCATGAGATCTCATTGGGAAGAGGAGTGTTACCTGATGGCCATTCCTAATTGGTGTGGTTATGGTAAACCTCAGTCAGTAGATTCTAGTATTTAAGTAAAGTCTAGGTCGTAGGGGTCAAGTGGTACCACCCTGAGGAAAGAGGCCTGAAACAGGCAGGGAAGGATTGTGGTTGTGGATGACCAACTTCAACTGAGGAGGAACCGGCCATCGTTGTAAGCCACATCGCCCTCAGTCACAGGGCATGCTGCTGCCTTCACTAAGTCTTGTGTGATCCTCCTAGCCTTGTCTCAACTCCGGGTTGGGAAGAGCAGATGGGCTCTTGTTCAGGTTGCTCATGGAGAAGCAGTGAGGCAGTGGCAGTGGTAACAAGCCAAGGCCTGAGAAATGTCAAATCTGGAGATGGTCTGCAAGTGCTTCTCAGTGAGTTAGTGGAAGCTACTGGATTTTAGGCTGGATATTTTTTTTGGAGTCAGGGACTGTCCTGTAAATTGCAGGATGTTTGGCATTCCTGACCTCCTTCCTTCTGCTCGATACTAGTGGTAGCAAATCATTGTGATGACTAAGAATTGCTTCCACCTGTTTCCAAAGTCTTGTATTAGAACCATTGGAAGGTATGTGGTCTAACTGACTTCCCCATCATAAAATTTTTCATTTATTTCCACGATTTAGTTCCAGTTTTATCGAGAGGCAGCATTTCTTCACACTCCAACTACTCGGTCCCTATAGGGTCATGCCCACAGCAGCCATTACTAAACTGAATAACATCAGTGTCACAGTAAGACTGCAATTTCAGCATGCACTCCTGGTGAACCAATCTAAAACTGACAGTGCAAAGACTGTGACCAAAGGAATCAGGAACCTTGGAAACTAGTTCAGCTTCTACCCTTTTACTTTTTACATTTTTTACTTATATTTTGTATTTTAGATTTGGTTTTCTGTTCCTGAGTAAATTCACTTAGAATAATGGCCTGCAGCTGCATCAGTGTTGCTGTAAAGGACGTGATTTTGTTCCTTTTTATGGCTACAGAGAATTCCATGGTGTGTATGTTCCACATTTCCTTTATCCAATCCACTGTTGATGGGCACCTAGGTTGATTCCTTGTCTTTGCTATTGTGAGTAGTGCTGTGATAAACATGTAAGTGCAGATGTCTTTTTGGTAGAACAATTTACTTTCCTTTGGGCATATACCTGGTAATGGGATTGCTGGGTCAAACGGTAATTAATTTTAATTTTTTGAGAAATCTCCAAACTGCTTTTCACAAGAGCTGAACTAATTTACAGTCCTACCAACAGTGTATAAGCATTCCCTTTTCTCGCCAACATCTGTTATTTTTTGACTTTTTAATAAAAGCCATTCTAACTGGTGTGAGATGGTACATCACTGTGGCTTTGATTTGCATTTCTTACTTTTAAGACAAATCACTTTAGATTTTTGAGTTTTGGTTAAAAATCATCCATATACATAAAAATGAGAAACTCTCATGTTCCTCATCTCTAATGGCCTTTCTGGATCTAAAGTTCAGTTCTTCCAAGTTCAGTTCTACCGAGTTCAGTTCTACTGAGAAAGGCCATCACTGACTCAAATTTGAATGTGAGCATGGAATGATACAGCTAAGACCAATTATTTAGAGAGAAGAAATGGTTTTCATGCAGACACATTTTAAAACACACAAATAAAATTCTTACCACTCAAATTTTGGTAAACATTTTATAATTTATATATAAAATCTCAGTAAGAAACCATGTAAAATGACAGAAATATCCACCTTACATTAAGAGTCAAAATAAAAAAAAAAACCCATACACACTGAATGTAAATTTTAATTATAAAACAAGAATATGAACAAAACATTTTAAAATAATCTCAATTATTTGGCAACTCATCACATCATTGCAAGAGACAAATTTGATCGTAAGAAGTTTAATCTTATGAAAAACTGAAGTTGGACAGTTTGCTCATATGAGAGTTAAAACATGTTTAAAAAAACACTTGGCAATAAAGCCAGTTTCTATACTGAAATAACTGTGTATAAAACAACATAAAATCCTGAAACTGGATAGACAGGAGGGACCTAATCTTGAATGCATTTCTCTTCACTGAAAAAGACAATATGGAAAGAGTATTGGTAGAAGCTTCAGAACAGCACAGAAGAGGAATGAACACAGAGAAGAGGAATGAAGAGGGATTTCTGCTGCAGGTGACTGACGCAACTTTACCTGAACCAGAACCTGTTTTGTGTCAACGTGGCTGGTAGTAAAGTCACAGATGCAAGTATAATCTAAAAACAAGTTACATTCTTAAAAAACAGAGCCACAACTGTGAACAGAAAAGCAATGAAGAACCTTTCTTTAGCTAAACTACTTTACTTGGATACATGCGAGTTTCTGCCAGATCATATTAAGATAGTTACAGAGCAGGCAGAGTCCTAAAAAATTTTCTACTAATGACTGCATAGCATTTAAAACCCTTTTTATTTAAAAAAAAAATAAAGTAAAATAAACAGATATATAGTAAAGTTCACAGATAAGTTTTCTCTGTAAAATAAATAAAGTGTTCATTGATTAGCATCATACATAGAGTAAAATACAACCTATTTTTACATGTTTATATACTATACACAGATTACCAGTAGGCAGCCTGGCGTCTGATGGGCTGGAGGGGTTTGCATTCATGATGTGTCACATTGGGAAATCCCAATTTTGAATGTTAAAATATACAACTACTTTGTTTTGAGTTCAGATACAAAGTAAACTTATTGTCCTTTATCTGAAATAAATGTACATAATATCTTCTATGAACAATAGTTTATAAAGCTGTTTAAAACATAACAAGAAAAAGCTTGCACCTAGGGACTTACAGCACATGCATATCTTTTTCCTGGTTAAAGAGAAGCCTATGGCCACCAAGGCATGTCTCTTTCCTCTCCACCGTGTTCCTCCATAAGCCTAGGGCAGCAGTGGTCAGGATTATCGCTTCGCTTTTTTCACAGGGGCTTCCTCCACCCTTTGCTGGCCTCTTGTTCGGGCCCCAGGAGGGCTGACTTCTCTCTTGCGCTTGATAGAAGGGGAGAGCTGTGTCTTTGATCTGCATTAAGCAAAGTCAAGGCAATGGTGAGGTTTAAAAGCAGCTGCTTCAAATAACTTGGGAGTTCCTTAAAAAACAGAAGAGTTTTGAACTTGACAGCTAAGAAGAGAAAAACCCAGTAACATTTATACATGAAAAGGAGCTACCTCGCGAAGAGCTTGAACTAACTGGTTATTTGCTGTCAACCTCACACACAAACACAGGACACTGGAAGAGAAGTTTGAAGCCTGTGCTCTGGTTCCAGCTCTACCACACTCTAGGTGCTGATGGTGCTCAAATCCACTTCCTTCTCTGGGCCCTAGTTCTTTCATCTAGAAAACAAAGACATCAACAGCGGGTCCCACCAATATACAGACTGTCCCAAGTTCAAACAACTAGCAAGAACACAGCAGGACTGCAATCTAGGTTGGACCAAGTGCAAAATCATGTTTCGTAGCACAGTATTACAGAAAATACCTGTGTTAGAAAAGGCACGGGAATTTCAGAAGAACATTCTAACCAATCTCCCTATCACCAGCATACCCTGTTGATATAGTCTGTGATTAAAATTATTTGTTGGAAACTCCAATTAATCATGTTACTGTCCTAGAGATGTATGAAGTTCCTCTTGGGTCTCTGATGCTTTCAGGAGAAAATCATCCAGAGCCTTTTATAGTTCTGCCTTCTACTTGTGCACCATCTGGGCCTGTAGTCCTGCACCTTCCACATCACAAAGCAAGATGCCCCATCTTTGGAATCCCCCACAGAGAAATGTGACTTTATTGATATGAAGACTTTAGGTCTTTACCACAGCATTTACCATTGTGATTCATCTGCTGTGTTTTTTCAAACTGCAAGTTACAATCAATATTTTAAAACAACATGTTAATAGGACACAACAGAAAATACCACTCATATCACATCTATTAAATTTGACTCATGAAATTTTGTTTCAGTTACAGCAGCAGGAATGTGAGCACCAGCTGTATTGCAAAATATTCTTATAGTGGGTTGTTGCCAAAAAAGTTTGAAAGTCTTATACACATATATCTCCCCCATTAGACACGATGATTCTCTAGGGCAGCTGCTGAGATTTATTCATTTTTCTAACTCCAGTGCCTAGTGCAATGCCCAACACATGGCAAGCGGGCAGTAAATGTCCTGTCAATGAATCAAAGAGTTGGAAAACCAAAATTGCAGGAGATGGAGAAATGGGACTCTTAGTGATATGAAGACACGTCTTCCGTTTCTTGTTTGACAGCAAAAGTAAATAAACTGAGTCAAAAATTGTTGCAGATGATGTGGTTTTGACATGTGTTGACAATGACTGAAAATGTGTTTGTTGATAATCCATTTCAAACTGTTTCCATGGAAAGCCACCAGCCACTCAATGAACACCTCTTCAGTAAAGGTGCCGTGCGCAGTATTGTGCTGGGGGCCAAGTGGCAGCCAACAGAAGCTCTGAGTCAGGCTGCTTCTCCCCAGCCATGTGAGCTTCGTAGTTTATCCAGGCCCTTCTAGTCCACCCAGAATGTGGTCTGTGAGGAGGGGCATTGGTCACTGAGGAGCTTGTTGGAAATGCCAACTCTCAGGCCCCAGCCTAGACTTACAGACCCAGGATCTGCATTTTACCAACAGCCTCAAGTGATTTGACTGCATGTTCAATTTTGAGTAGTATGCATGGAAACCTTCCTGAGATTCTTTCCCTCACATATAAAATAAGAGTAACTATTACAATTCACTCACTGAGGGTTAAATGAGAGCATGTATGTGAAACTGCCTGGCACTATAGTTTGCTTTCGTTTCTAGAATGTGCGGAAAACAGCACATACATACAAGTATGCTGTGAAGATGAAAATGTGGTAAGAGGTCAAAACAGTTTTTGTGTACAGTGAAGAGTCTTTTATTTTTGAATATGATAATGTATAGAAAGTATGACAAATTCCTATCTCAAGAAAGAAACCTAGAGCTCAGAGGGGTAAATAAAAGGAATATACCAAACCAATGCTATGTGGCATCTCAAGTGCCCAGTACTGACCAGAAGTGCAGCAAGAAGAGATGAAAATGGGCTGAAGCGGGACGGAAAGGATCTGACTTACTAGGGGTGCTGGTGGTGAGGACACTCCTCACTGGCTCAAGCAAAGGCAAGAAAGGAAGGCTCAGGACCACCTCTGGGAAGCAGTAAGACCAGTAAGGCTGCAGTGAAAGGTGTAAGCTGGCAGGGGCCGTGCCTGAAAGAGGAAGCTTTATCACCTCATCACCTCTCCAATGCTCTAGCTAAAACAGAAATGATTCTGGGCTGTTAAATGCTTTACCACACTGCCTTGCCTTTGGTCTTGGTGGATGGGAGAAGGCAGATAAGGCTCACAGGTGTCAAGGACAAGCCTGTGTGGCAGTCCACTGCGGCAAGGCCAGACTGGTGAGGCCACACAGACACCTTCTGCAGCCCTTCCTGTTCTTCTTGGAAACCAATGATCCCCAAAAACAGTTATTTGGTGAGACAAAATCTTAAAGGAAATTAGGAAGAAAGCATTATTGTACCAAAAATAGTCTTAGGGGGTTAAAAATGGCTTGAAGTGTAAGCAGGGACTTACCTTCCTAATGGGGGAGAGTTACTAACTTTTTCGCTGGTAGGTAACTTCTCTTTTGCTAATTTTTGGCGATTTCTAGGAGAAACTGTGTCTGGGCTGCCAAGTTTGGATGTTGCACGTGCAGATGGCTTGCTATGTTGCTTTCTGAAACAGATTATAGAAACACTGGGCAATGGTAGCACTGAATACTCCAGTCCCTGGAACTCTGTAGGAAGTATGAGGCTCCTTGTGGGCAAGTCAGAACAATAGGAACTAAAATCAGAAAAATGGTTGGTTTTCCTGACCACTGCTGATAAGTCGATCTTAATGTCATCTACAACTACCTCTGCTTGTGTGACACTATCTTTGTTCTTACTGTGCATGATATTTTATTGTGATTTAGAAAAAAGATGTATCTGCGAAAAATAGAAAATATACTGGCCGACAAAATAAAGATTACAAAAGAGCTCATCAGGGTAGAATAAAGGGCCAAGATTAACGAAAGTACAATTCACAAGGCTAAGTGTTAAGGCCCAAGTAGTCAACTGCACAAGAATCAGATAAGGAATTCTGATTCCAGTAAAAACTCTGAAAAAGGAACTTGTTTAGCTGGTGTATTTTTCAATTTGAGGCTCAGTAATGAGGATGCACACTGAAGAACAATATCCAGAAAATAAGGTAGAACAGTCCTCTTCTGGATTCATTAGACCACACTTGGTATACAGAGTTTGCTTCTATCTATCTGTCTGTCTGTCTGTCTGTCTGTCTATCTATCTATCTATCTATCTATCTATCTTTCTTTCTTTCTTTCTTTCTTTTGAGAAAGAGCCTCTATCTATCTATCTTTCTTTCTTTCTTTCTTTTGAGAAAGAGCCTCGCTCTGTCACCCAGGCTGGAGTGCAGTGGTACAATCTCTTCTCACTGCAACCTCCACTTCCCGGGTTCAAGCAATTCTCCTGCCTCAGCTGCCCAAGTAGCTAGGATTACAGGAGTCTGCCACAATGCTCGGCTACTTTTTGTACTTTTAGTAGAGATGAGGTTTCACCATATTGGCAAGGCTGGTCTTGAACACCCGGCCTTAAGTGAGCCACCAGCCTTGGACTCCCAAAGTGCTGGGATTACAGGCGTGAGCCACTGTGCGTGGCCTCTTTTATATTTTATTAATTTAATTTAATTTTTTCTTTTAAGAGGGTCTTGCTATGTTGCTTAGGCTGGTCTCGAACTCCCAGCCTCAAGCAATCTTCCTGCCTCAGCCTCCTGAGTAGCTGGGATTACAGGCATGAGCCACTGCGCCCAGCTGCACATTTGCTTCTAAAAGAGGATAAAGGTAACTGATGAGCACAAACAGGGATGATGAAGGGGCTCAATAAGCAAGCAGAGAAGACCTGGAAGCTGCCCTCAAATATGTAAGGCAAAATTAGACAGAAGGTTCTGAAAGTCGAACTAGAATCAAGAGTAGAAGCCACAGGGAGGCCGGCTTCTACTGAACACAAGTCAGAGAATGCTAAGGAGGATGTGGCTTTCCCTGCCACTGAGGTCCATGCAAAAGCAGGAAGACCCTTTCAGAGGAGCTGCAGGTGCAGTGACTCAGGCACTGACTGGCTATTGGTACTACATGACCACTGAGAGCCCACCCAACTCAGACAATTTGTAAAATTATGAAGACACCAGAGCCCTGGGACTGATCAACCAATGCCAAGGAATCTAAACTAGAGAGAAAACAACTCATTTGTAAATCAAAAGTTTATATTATAAAGTGCATGAAGGAAGAGCTTTGATAATCCAGGTGATTACAGAACCATATAAATCAAATAAGATTTATTTTTAAAGAATTTATAAAAGGCAAATCTGAGAGCAATTTCTAGACACTCACTCGAAGATGGCTAGAAGGCCTATGGAACTTTCTCTGAGTTGAGCCCTACTTTCCACAACTGTTTTAAAGGGAAGCAGTAATTCTGGTGGGATGGATGCTATACCCAAATGCATGGGTGTTGGGCTCCAGCACCCTCACCCTCTCCTAGCAGCAGCAATTTGGATTCTGTGACTTCTTTTCTATTTATGTGAGCTGCTCCACCTAAAAAAACAAATATGAGACCACCTTATAACTTTAGCCGTGTGAGCTTCTAGAGTCCTTTGGCTCTAAAATCTGATTCTTTGAGAAATCAAACCATGGCACAAATGGCTAATACTGTGTTAAGTCTGGAGGAATTAGAAACAGATTGATTTTAAGTTTTTGTTTTTTTTTGTTTTTTTTTTTTGAGACGGGGAGTCTCACTCTGTCACCCAGGCTGGAGTGCAATGGCGTGATCTCGGCTCACTGCAACCTCCACCTCCCGAGTTCAAGCGATTCTCCTGCCTCAGCTTCCCAAGTAGCTGGGATTACTGGCACGTGCCACCACACCCAGCTAATTTTTTATATTTTTAGTAGAGATGGGGTTTCACCATATTGGCCAGGCTGGTCTCGAACTCCTGACCTCGTGATCCGCCGGCCTCAGCCTCCCAAAGTGCTGGGATTACAGGTGTGAGCCACTGTGCCCAGCCCCGATTTTAGTTCTTTATGTAAACACAAGATACTATTATATTATGCTGTTAGTGTTATTTTTGAAATAAATCTTCCTGAACTTTTTGATCAATCTTGAATAATGAAATTAAACAAGATGATACCAAGATTAATAGCTTGTAAATCACATTAATTAAAAATTAAAAAAATATATATTTTTTCAGAGACAGAGTCTCACTGTCACCCAGGCTAGAGTGCAGTGGTGCGATCACAGCTCACTGCAGCCTCAAGCTCCTGGGCTCAAGCGATCCTCCCATCTCAGCCTCCCAAGTAGCCGGGACTACAGGTGCATGCCACCATGCCCAGCTAATTTTCTAATTTTTTTGTAGAGATGGGGTCTCCCTGTGTTGCCCAGGCTGGTCTCATAAACTCCTGGGCTCAAGTGATCCTCCCATCTTGGTCTCCCAAAGTGTTGGGATTACAAGCATGAGCTACCGTGCTCAGCCTGGAAAATATTCATGTTTGGGAAAGTGATTAACGGTTAGGATGAGACAATACAGTTATGTACCATTTCTCAAATGTGCCATGGGGAAAGGAACACTGGATGATGTGAACAGGTATAATGATATAGGCCAACAACAGAAAAGTGGTATCAGCAAATAATGCTTGTTTAAACAAAGTTCAACAGGCTTCTTTCCTTTAGGAGTTTGCCAAACCCTTTTTTTTTTTTTTTTTTTTTTTTTTGAGATGGAGTCTTGCTCTAACACCAGGCTGGAGTGCAGTGGAGCCATCTCAGCTCACTGCAACCTCCGCCTCCCACGGTTAAGCAATTCCCCTGCCTCAGCCTCCCGAGTAGCTGGGATTACAGGCACTCACCACCATGCCTGGCTGATTTTTGTATTTTAGTAGAGACGGGGTTTCACCATGTTGACCAGGATGGTCTCGATCTCCGGACCTCGTGATTCGCCTGCCTTGGCCTCCCAAAGTGCTGGGATTACAGGCGTGAGTCACCGCGCCCAGCCCTGGAGTTTGCCAAACCCTTAATATTTTAATGAACATGTAACTGAGGAAGGAGAGAGAATTCAATGACATTCCCAAACTCATCTGACCGTGGTACTCTTTTTCTCAGAGGTTTCTGGCTACAATAGGGTTTGAGAGAACACATTTTGGGAAATATATGAAATTACCTCAAAAATGGTCAAATTTGGGCACTTTCCTATGATCAACCTATTGCATAGCACTGGTGAGATGCATGTGATGACGGTGCGTGGGCCTGGTTCCTCCTGCTTTCTGGGTTGAATTAAGTATGCTGAGAGCAGGGATGATGTTTTATGTATGTCCATATTCATGAATGGTGCTCAATACGACATCTGAAGGATGGCAGATGCTCAAAAAATATATTTGTAAGGAATTGAATGGGTTCCACCAAATAGGCATTTAAAACCTGGTAAAGACTTTGAGGCAATCCCCCAAAATGGTTTAGGACAGAAAATGTGTTCTCCAAGAACTATGTGCCCACTGCTAACAATAAAAATGAAAGGGAAGAACTTCCACTGCAGCATGAATGATTCAGTTCAAAGAGAATCCCAGAAAACCCAGAGCAATTTTCAGATGGAGAAGCTGGTGAAGGTCTCTGGCAGCTCTGTGCTGCCCCCATTACCTCTGAGCCTCTGATCTGGTGGTGGATCTTGTGGTGGCTCCTGAAGGCTCGTCCTCTTCCTCTTCTTCCTCTTCCTCATCAGACTCCTGCTCTTTCTTGTCCTCCACTGGATCAGAAACTGATTTCTGGCGTTTTCTTTCTGGCTCTGAGGATTCTGTTCAAATAGAAGGGTAACACCTGGATTTTACAATTCCCAAAGATACTTCCAAGAGAGAGAGTCATGGAGTTTAGAACTTAGGATATTAGGGACTTGGAGGCAGAGAAATGGTTTTCCACTTCCTTTTTGTTTCAGCACTTGCAATTCACAACTGTTTAACTTAATCTCAAACACATTTTGGATAGTTTACATATGCAGTTCACAGCCAGCGTTCATAAAAAATTGACATGTACTCAGAAAAGCATCTGGGATGTACCATTTCTGACACGGGATTAGACCTATTTCACACATATTTATATAATATTAATATTAGCTGTACCCATTGGATTTTTCCTCATTCAAAGAAAAACTCTTTAAAAAGGTGGTTTTGAAACAATAAGACTTATTAAGAATTTGCTAGAAACATACCAGCATCATCTGATACAGTGAGAGAACGTTTGGGTTTTCTTCCTCTCCGACGCACACTTGTTACTATTTTTTCTTCACCATCATCCTAGAAGCAATAAAATTAAAGTCAAAAGGGTGGTCAGCTGAGCATTTAAGTTGATTTCTAAACAACATATCTTGATAAGAAATTTAACACTTACATTGCTTATACTTCTTTCTTGTAGGTTAGCTGTTTCTTTATTGGATTCATCTTTAAGAAAAGGGAAATCTCTGCATTAATATTTTATTACTGTAAATTTAAATTTCAACAATCAGCCTGGCTTGTCTGTCAATGTATCAGTATTAATACATTGTTATACATTTCATCATTATCTTGTATCAGTCAAGCAAAGATAGAATCAGAATACCTAGCAGAGATCACATTGGATTGTGAGTCACGAAACATAAGTTTTCATTTCAGATTTTATTTAAATTTGCTGACCCTCAGTTTTTTCAGCTGCAAAATAAGAAGTTGGATTAGACTACTTTTTTTTTTTTTCTAAGACAGAGTTTCACTCAGTCATTCAGGCTGGAGTGCAGTGGCGTGATCTTGGCTCAATGCAACCTCCGCCTCCTGGGTTCAAGCAATTCTCCTGCCTCAGCCTCCTTGAGTAGCTGAGATTACAGGTGCCCACCACCATGTCCAGCTAATTTTTTGTATTTTTAGTAGAGACGGGGTTTCACCATGTTGGCCAGGCTACTCTTGAACTCCTGACCTCAGGTGATCTGCCTGCCTTGGCTTCCCAAAGTGCTGGGATTACAGGTGTGAGCCACCACGCCCGGCTGGGTTAGACTACTCTTATTCCCTTTCAGCTTAAATGTTCTGACCCCAAAAAAGAAGAAAAAAGGGGGCATATAAGGAGCCCACAATATGTACCAGTAACTGCAAGTTGGAATGATATACAGGCGGAGCATCCCTAATCTGATGATCCAAAATTTAAAATGTTCTAGAATCCAAAACTTTTTGAGCACCAACATGACCCTCAAAGGAAATGCCATTGCAGCATTTTGAATTTTGATTAGGAATGCTCAACTGGGAAATGCAAATATTCCAAAATCTGAATAAATTCAAAATCTGAAACACTTCTGGTGTCCTAGGCATTTTGAATAAGGATATATAACTGGTACTTTTGTTTTATTTTTATGAGACAGGGTCTTGCTCTGTTGGCCAGGCTAGAGTGCAGTGGTGCAATTATAGCTTACTGCAGCCTCCAACTCCTGGGCTCCAGTGATTCTCCTGTGGAGGCCTCTGAAAGTGCTGAGATTACAGGTGTGAGCCACCACACCTGGCTAATATGGACTTTTCAATTTCAGTGTAGCTCTGCAAGTATTATGATCCCAGCCTATAGTCTGAACAAACCAGGCTTGAGTAATCTGTTTAGAGTCACATAACTAACAAGTAGAGTGACAGGTAGAATTCTTTTGACTCCAAATACATCATGGTAGCTAAAAAAGTACATTTTATGACCTGTTTGTAGGGTGCATACATACATTCTTTATGCATTTGCTTTCTGCAGATGTTACAATTTTCTGAGACTGTATCATGGTAAGAAAAGTAAAGATTAGTTCAATGCACTAGTTGAAGCTGAAATTATGGGGATGTTCATCAGGCACTCAAAAACTCAAAGGTACTTCTTTTTAGTGACGGTAGTAGTTGTCCTTTTTTGCAAGTTTAAAATACCAATGAAGATGAAAAAGTTAACCCAATAGAAATGTCAACAAAGAGGACTGTCTTAAAATGGTCATCATTTTACCCACATTCAGAAAACATTCTGAATAACACAGCTTTAATTGGAGTCCTTAAAGGGGACTGAAGTTATAAAGATTTCTTGTATGGATTCAAAATACTACAAAATTATTAATAAAAACTGGTTAAGACCAAACGTGCATAATCTCCTTCCTCTTTCAAAAAATAAATGAACCTTAATTTACCAAGACACAAGAAAAAATGAAGTACGATCACACATAGTTAAATGTGGAAACAACTATATATTACCTATTTGCTTTATTTGCTGATGAGAATATGTACTTTCTCAGTCTGACCATACTATTTATTTGATACAAAATAGCTGTCACATTAATCTTTGTTGTTGATATCAACACTTCAAAGCTCACTAATGGCACCTCTTGTTTTATGTAAAAAATTTTAGACCACAAAATGCATACATATACATTGCAAAAAATATCTGGAAAATGCAAGCAATATTGACAAATAATATGGAATGCTCCCATTATTCCACCCTCCAGAGCTAATCATTATCAACATTTTGGAATATATTCTTCTCCTTGGAATGAGGAGAAAAATAGTCAAAACAATTTCAATTCTTGAGTCCTGGGCTCTGTAAGCCAATAGATACAGTCTCTCCCAGATACAAGGACAATTATTTTTACCAAGGGGGCCACCCACTTCAATGAGAGGCAGAATGGAAGTTCCAAACCTTCTCCAACAGCCAGCCTCTCCTGCCCCTCCCTCAGATAACACACAGAGGAATGCGGTAGGTACATACCTGTTTGCATTACTTTCAGTTTGCTGCTAGATGGAGATTGTTCTACCTATGTTTAAATAAACAAACAAAAAAAAATTTTAAATCAGCAGTTTATAATCATCACATAGAAATGCAATCAATGATGTAAAGGTGGTATAGGATCTTTATTTACATAGGCGTATTTGAGACCTATTTTCTGTAATTGATTAAGTATACCTAGCAAACATGGATGCCTGAGCTTCTAAATACAGACTTTCCAATAAGTAACTTCCCTTTTGTGATGCTACAGGATGAGAAGTGAGGCAATGCAGCATGGCCACTGTGGTTAATGTTTCCCAAGGCAAACCATTTTACATGTTGCTAAATGCATTCACATGTGCTTCTCTGGTTTTGTCTTATAATAATTCTATGAGATAAGTACTGCAGGCATCATACCACTTCACATTCAAGGAAACTGAGTCACCAGAGGGTCCCATGATTGGCCCTAAGTCACAGGTCTCGGGATAAGTGACAAAGCTGAGGCTTGAATCCCATGTTGTTTTGTTAGGTCAGTGAACACACGTCTGTCCTCCTTACAATGCTCTTCTTGTAATGTCCTCCTTATAATAATCCATTGAAATGCATGCGATGGAATCCTGATACAATGATTTTGGTGGGTATACGTCAGGGTCAAAGATAAAGAACGTTCAAACATAAAATATCACTAAGGAGTTTCCTGCACTGAACTCAGTGAATATTTTAGGTCAAAAAGAATTCCAAAGAAAGTAGTAAGATGGTAAGACAACTCACAAGTCTCTATAAAGAAGCCACTATCTCAAAATCTTATAAAATAGCTAATTTGTATATTTTAACCAAGGGTGGCCACAAGAAGTTAAATCCCTAGATAATTTTTAAATAATCAAACTCCTGAATTAGAATGGAATCAGAATGAAGAACAACTAATGTAACTCTGTTTACACAAAGATACTAGTAATCAAAATATATGAATGGTTACTCAGTCTTTTAAAGCTTTTCAAGTAAAAAAAATAAAGTTCAAAATACTAGATATTGCATTATACCGTTTTTCAGGTTAAGAGCAAGTATTTGAAATTGTCATGTTTTGCAATTACTTACAGTGACAATGCCAGTATCTGTTTTGGAGTCGTCTTCTAAAAAAAAAAAATTCACTTAGAAAATCGGTTCGAAAATTTCTTGTGTGTGAACTGAAAACACACCAAGTACCTACTCATTTTTAACGTTGTTTCTACAGGGTATTTGCGAGGTCTTCCTCTTTTCCTTTTAATAATTATTGGCTGATCTTCCTAAGGGGGAAATAAAAAACAACAACAGCAATAAGAAAAAAAATTTTATCCTTTATTATATAAAGTTTTCTCAAAAATCAGATTTAGAGTTCCTGTCTAAGAGACCTCAAATCCTAGCTTTGTCACTTTAAAAATATGTGATGTAGGGCTTAGTGTTTTATTTACTGATCTCACCATTGCTTCTTCAACCTGATAAATATCACTAACTGTCATAAATTAATGGAGCCATGAGGATTTTGAGACAATGAAGTAATCAAAGTGTAACCTTTTACTTCTGTAATAAGTATGTATGTCCATTTAATTTGGGATTTGGCCCAAGTTAGTTGTGACCAAATGATACCCTTATAAAAAATAAAGGGGTCCACTGAATATATCATACAGACAGAACAATAACAAATGATTTAACAATGGGCAAACCTGGCAATGGTTATCTAGACCCGGCTAGTGCACAGGCTGTGTCTCTTGATTTATGGTGCTCAGTCTCAAGCCACTGCAATTCTCTGCTCCACAGGCTCCCTGAAAATCTATGGGCTTACAGCAGGCAGGGCTGGGATGCTCTGTCTGTGCATGCAGCCTCCAGGAATCCATGACCTTGCCTCATGAACTAGGTCCCCTCGAGTATTCCCTGCATGCCTTCTGCACACCCTGCTGCTGTTCCTATTTCATCCTAGCTGGACTCCATGGCTCAGACAGCCTCCTGTTTGCTGCCATGTGCCTGGCCTGGCAGCTCAGCATTGCCAGGCCAGGAACCTGACATTGCCGCTGACGTAGAGCACTAAGCTGATCCTATCTGGCTATGACATAAGTGGGTCTCATACAAATGTTTTGAAGAAACAAAGATGAAGAGAAAAAAATTAATCAAAATGACACTGATAAAATGCACTGTATGAAATGGTGTTCCATTGCACTAAAAAAACCGCAGCTTCTTCAAAGTACTTAAGAAAAACTCAAGATAACAGTATTTAATGAATTTAATTTGGTTAGTGCTTAAATAATTGTGAACAAACAAATACGAAAAGCACATCTCACCTCCTGAGATTTTATGGTGTCATCATCGTTCTGCTCTGGCTTTTCACCAGTAGTTTCACTGCTGCTATATTCATCTGTAGAAAAGGAAGAACTTTGTTCAATGCTAGTGACCATGGTCAGCCTTCCCCACCTTTACCCAGGTGACCTACACAGCTGCAGCCACACATAACCACACACTCCATTTTCATGTTTCTACCATCAAAATTAACAAGCCTGAGTTTGGGTGACTAGTAAACAGCACACTTTGAGTATAGCAGGATCCAAATTAAAAATGATTCCCTAGCCCTATTAATCTTAAGCATGAGGCACTTTATTACACAGGAAAAGTAAATGAGCAAAATAGACGTTTCGGTTGAGAGACACGCTGGCTGCTTTGAAGGCTCAGTCAATTTACCCAAGCAGATATTTTACTCACCTTTTTCTTCCATGACCCTTGAGGTAGTGCTATTTGTCTCAGAACTGGTTTTAGGTAATTCTTCCAAATCTCTGGAGTTCTCTTCCTATAGAGAAGTTGAAAAAGACTAGAACCTTCTTCAAACTGAAGCCTTCGTCCATTCATCCTCCCCACACAAGTTTGCCTTTCTATTTCAAAAAAACTTCCTAGCTCTTTTTAAGGATAGTTTTTGGAAAATGTTTTTGAAGTGTAACTATTATTGCTGCTAGTGAGACCATAAAAAAAATAAACATTCTGAGAACAGAAAAGCATGAGATAAGGTTCAAGTACAACATATCAAGGCCATTTTCTTTCCTGCAAAATAGAAATTGTTCTTCTCCTCCCTCTACTTGGATTTTGTCTTTTTAAGACAAACTCCAAAGGAAGAATGGACAGATACTGGCAACAGATATTTATCTTTGTGGAGTGATGGAGGGGAGAGATGTGGGGAAGCAATAATTTGGGAGGTGCCAAAGGGAATTTCTGGGTATCCAGATGGGCTGACTTGGAGCAGTGATCTTTCAGCAATTAAATTATCCCCCCATAGTGGCAAGAAAGTTCTCAGCATGAAATGCCAAAATGTTTCAACTATAATACTAATATAGTATATAAACAAAAATACATAAAGTAGAATAAGATCAAGATGAAATAGGAAACTAAAGCTTTAATTTTACTTTAATGGCCCATTATAAAAAATTGTAAATCCTCATTTCTATTAATGTTAATTTTACTTATTTTTTAATAGAAATATATTCTTGTGGTTCAAAATTTAAAGGGGTCTATAATGAAATGCCCTCACCCCCGATTTCCCTACTTGGATGCATTCAATGTCATTGGGTTTTGATATAGCCTTTCAGGGACTGGAAGGGGATGGATATAAAAGCAATTCCACATTTCACACAGTCTACTGAAACAGTGGAATTTCTGGCCCACTTCATGTCAGATATGATTAGATCTTCATTCTTTTTTACCTAACAATGAGGATGACACAGAGCTTCTGCTACTTCCTAGTAAAAGAAGTGTCAGCTCAGCCATTTCTCTTATTATTTGTTTGTATCTGCATTACAAATATTATCTTTGTCTTATGGGGTTTTTTGTTGTGGTTATTTTTGCCGAAACCTCAAACCAGTGTCGGTATTGGGAGGGTCAATTCAATTAAAACAAGGTAAACAAACTCTGCAAATTCATTTAGTTGAGCATCTGTAAACTATTAAGTCATATAATGCTGAAAGTGAACAAACAAGTGAGGGGCTCATTCTCAAGTCCTCTGTGTTGTGGGACTCCCAGCTACCCTTAAGGTACTTTGACAGTACTACATAACTAGGTCCAAGACATGCAATAATGTGCAAGACTAACAGGTGATGTCAGAGGAGAGCTCACTTTCAGTGATGGCACCAGGGCCAACAATCTATACAGTAAATATTAGTAGAGATTACTTTTTAAGATTTTTAGATAAAAGGCATATATAAATCGTGGTTCTACCATTTCTTCTCACATTCTGATGGCTTGTCGTACATCCAATTTGGGAGGGTGTTGATTTAGAGGATGGAAGGTCAACTCGTTTGGGAAAGCCAAGGAGAAACCTATTTGCTCTGTTATCAGCACATCAACACTGAGGCTTCACTGAGACACTCATGCTGCACTGCCATTTTCAGCTCAGGACCTCTTCAAGTGCTCTGTGTGTGTGTGTGTGTGAGAGAGAGAGACAGAGTGTGTGAGATGGAGAGAGTCAGCATGTGTGCGTGTGTGGCGGGGAGAGAAAGAGAGAGAGAGTGTGTGTGTGTGTGTGTGTGTGTGTGTGTGTGTGTGTGTGTTGGAGCGAGTTTAGGAGCAGGCAGAAGTTTTTGGGGTCTTCTCCCTCATTTCAGCCAGAACATCTACACTTTTATCTGTTTCATATAGTGGGCTGAAGATGTCCTGCACAAAAGTCTTCAAACCATTGGACGAACTGCATTTCTGTTTTTGAACTGGCTCTTTCAGAGCCAACACTTGGTCCTGTAAGCACTTAATCAGATCCTGATGACACGCACGCAACTCACTTTTTATTTCCTGCTTTTATTTTTCCAGTGCCTGGAATTTTTTCACGTATTCAATTTTGGTCTTTTGGTCTTACTATACACATTTTAGAATAATGACTTTATTGATTTTATAAAATGGCACATATTTACTACACAGAAAACTTTAACAGAAATGATGAAATCACTCCCAATTTACTGTCCAAAAATTACTAATATTAAGATGATATTAAATAAATGCTATTGCAGACAGCTTTCCATGTAACATTCTTCTGTAGTAACTGAAAATACTGTGTCTATAAAACTGCTTAATGAAAATAAATTGATTTTATTTAAATTTAACATTAAAAAATCACGAAATTTAAGAGAAAATGAAATGATACCCCTTCAATCTGCTTTTCTTCAAATTTAGAAGTATTGTCTCAGGATTTTTGATTTTGGACAGGGCAGGGTGAGGGATAGTTTAAGAGCCTGTTTCTTCCTTTGGTCAGAACCAACTAAAATTCATGACAATATGCCACTTTCCCTCTTAGGTTATTAAACCTTTTCCTACTTTTTATTTAGTTCTTCGGTTACTGGGGAAAAAAAGAGACCAAAGTCTGGTTTTAGAGAACTGGAAGTCAGCTCAAATATTTTCATAACTGGACTTAAACACTTTTGGAATAAGGCGTCTAATAATTTATAAAAATATAAATTAGAGAAAGAGAGAGGAAAAGATGGAACTAGTTTAGACAGATAATGAGAAATTTTAGAGTACTGAGTCTCAGAAATGGAAGAACACCCAAGAAGAGGTATCTAGTAGGGAATGAAAAAATCTGGGCCTACAACAAGAGACGGCAGAACACAAATACAAATTTGTGAGGAGGTTCTGTGAGTCATAAGATGAAAATAAAACCATAGGAAAAAAGGCAATGGGTGAGGCCAATCCTTAGAGTACCCAGATTTTAGAGGCAGGAGGTGATATGATTTGGCTGTGACCCCACTCAAATCTCATTTTGAATTATAGGTCCCATAATCCCCACTTGTAGTGGGAAGGATGCAGTGGGAGGTAATTGAATCGGGGGGCAGGTTTGTCCTGTGCTGTTCTCCTGACAGTGAATAAGTCTCCTGAGATCTAATGCTTTTATAAAGAGGAGTTCCCCTGCACATGCCCTCTTGCCTGTTGTCATGTTAAGACGTGACTTTGCTCCTCCTTTGCCTTCTACCATGATTGTGAGGCCTCCCCAGCCATGCGGAACCGTGAGTCAATTAAACCTCTTTCCTTTATAAATTACCCAGTCTCAGGTATGTCTTTATTAGCAGCATGAGAACAGACTAATACAGGAGGTAAGCTAGAGAGCAGAGTACTAATAATAACTGTATTTCAATATTTTGGTGCAAGTATATCTGTGATAAAGCACATTATACTTTTGGAAGAAAGCATTTAGAAACCTCAAGAAATCAATACTACTACTGAACAAAAACCTAAGCAATGTTATATCTAAATTGTAATAATTAACACGATCTTGCAGTTTAAGAATTATAAAGTGCAACATTTGATTTTTGGGAGGAGACTAAAAAATAGACACCTTTTATAATAAAGTGATTATTATTAGAGACATTTAAAGAGGGATAGTAAAATGAAAAAAATATTATACTAAGTATTTACAATGCTGTAATTAGGCCTCCCTACCCCCACCCAAAACTTAAAACTAATATGTGGAAAAAATACCTTTGTGTCATGTGGCTCCGTTTCAGGACACTGCCTTTGTGCTGTTTCTATTCTGGAATCCAGGACATCTGGATTATCATCTGTAAATCAGTTTAGACAGAATCACAAAGGAACAAAAGCTAAATGAAAAATGAAATGCATAGTTCTATTTTAAGACTGTTTGAGCCTTCTTTCTTAGGCCTGTGATACAGAGAAGCCAAAAGTTACTCTATATTTATAATATCATGTGATTTGAGCACTGAACACTTGCCTTTCGCCCTGGCAAAGTAAAAATAAAACAAAATACAAAAATCCCCATATGTTCACATGACACCAATGAAGTAGTGGGTTCTATGGGAAGGGCTTAGCGTATAGTTTCCAGAGATACTTTAACTTTCTAAATGAGTTACCACCTAAGAGGTATAGCTTAGTAATTGAGACCATGGGCTTTGGAATCAGATTTATGTGGTGAAGATAAAGTCGTAATTTTTCAGAACCTTAATCTCTTTATCTATAAGATGACAACACCACCTAACTTACAGGTTTATTGTAAAGATTAAATGGGAATGTGTATAATGTACCATGGATAGTACCTGAATACATCAGGAACTCATTAAATTGCTACCAAATAATATAAAATATAAATATTTCATTCTTCACTCATTCTTTCTCATGTAGTCATTCAATAAGTATTGAACTTCTCCTTTGTGTCAAGTATTAAAGGTCACTGCACTGTTCAACATGATAGTCACTAACCACATCTGGCTACTGAAATATAAAATAATTAAAAAACAATTAAAAATTCAGTCTTTCATTTCCACTGACCACTTTCAAGTGCTCAATAGTGACATGTGGCTAGTAGCTTCTGTATTAGACAAAATAAATGTACAAGACTTCTATCACTGTAGTTCTACTAGAGGGCACCGTTACAGACCATGAGAAAATCAACAGTATGAAGCACAGAATGGGTGTTAGAGGCACTTTTGGACTAAAGTGCTTCACTAGCTCTGTAGGGTATCTGCTTATGATATAAAATACAGACTGTAGTGGCACCTGGCTGGGCTCCAGGGTGTGGTTCCAGAGAGAGCCTGTCTTTGTCTGAGATCCAGCGGTTGGGTCTTCTGCAGGAAGCAATCTAGTTTCTAGATTGGGGTCCAGAAAGGACTCCGGAGGTATCAAGCCAGTCTAGAAACAAATTAGCCTCAAGACTTGTAAAGTAGAGAGTTACTATCCTCAAAAATTCTCTATGTTTTTGGCTCACTCTTTTGGATATAAAAATAATGATTTTCAAAGATGTCTAAAACAGAAACATAAATATAAATACCTGGTTCATCTTCTGAAGAGAGATAATGCTGCTTTCTTTTTCTTTTAGGCATATGCCTTTCTTCCTCTTCAACCTGGAATTAAGAATGACTATATCAAAGGCCATAGAATCTTGATTCAAATAAACTGAAAGAGGAGCACACTGTACTAGATTCTAACCTTTGGAATAAGTTGATATATAAATTTTTTAAAAATCTAGAACACTTGGCCGGGTGCAGTGGCTCACACCTGTAATCCCAGCACTTTGGGAGGCCCAGGTGGGCGGATCACGAGGTCAGGAGATCAAGACCAACCTGGCTAACACGGTGAAACCCCGTCTCTACTAAAAATACAGAAAAAAATTAGCTGGGCGTGGTGGCGGGTGCCTGTAGTCCCAGCTGCTTGTGAGGCTGAGGCAGGAGAATGGCGTGAACCCCGGAGGCGGAGCTTGCAGTGAGAAGCGTTCACACCACTGCACTCCAGCCCGTGCAACAGGGGGAGACTGTTTCAAAAAAAAAAAAAAAAAGAAAAAAAAATCTAGAACACTTGATATTTAGATTTGGATTAGACTAATTTTGTAAACTTCAGTCTCTTTTCTGGGTTTGAATGCAAATTCATACAACACATGCTGTTTCTAGCTACATACTATATTTCAATAATTCTAAAACGCATTTAAAAAAATTATTTATCATTTCACCATTTCTGAAGTCAAGCTATATATATCTTACAACTGATGGCACATCACAATTAGTATTTTTCTACTGTCTTAGTGGCTTATTAAAAATGGACTTCTTATGGTTGATGAAAGGTGCATGAAAAACCATTCTGACTGTACAACGTGGGCACTTCCAAACAGTCCTGGGAACTGCCAAATTGCCTAAACATTGAAAGGGCATATACAGGTAAAAGTGACATGTGGAACTCTCAGTATACCCATTTAATATTTAATTTATACAAAGAAATAAAGCCTTTCTAAAGCCCTTCTTTGTGTACAGTGAAAATATTATGTATAAAATATCAAACACTTGAGTTTATTAAAATGCACCTCTTTAGGATCTGCTTCAACACTGTGACCGCTTATGGCTTCTGCGTTGTCTTTTCTACCACTGGATATCTCTGAGTAATAAATACAAAAAAGAAAAAAAAATCTTAAATATTTTTATATTCCAATACTTACTTAGGTATGTGTTAGGGGGCTGGGAGAAAACTGAGTTAGTAACTTTATTGAGTACCAGTTATATACAGGGCATTGTGGTAGATAGTCACAAATGATTTTTGATGGGATCCTCCACACAACTCTGTCAGTTAAATTCTCTTTTTTCCACTTGTAGATGTGAGGGAATGGGGTTCAAGAAGGTCAGTAACATGTCTGGGGTAACAACACTGGACTTTACACAGAAGACTTCAAGGCCCTTCCCCCCAGTTTGTGTAGCAACACAGTATTAAGAAGCATCACTGAAAATAATGAATCATTGCATCATAATCATCAGGCTAACAAACAGTCACCAAACAATACCAAATATGGCAGATGGTGTGGAGTGACAACTGGTACACCACTTGGGGTCAATTTAGCACATGCAGTAAAGTTGAAGAGGTGCCTATAACTGAGCAATTCCATACCCAGAATTACAAGTACACTACATAAGCACTGGGAAAGGTATGAGAACATACACAGTAGCATTCTTTGTAATTGGGAAAAGTTTCAAAATACCTACATGTGCAAAATAATGTACAAATGAAGCAAAAAATACTAACTGTGGTATATTCAAAAGCAATTAAAATAATTAGAGTTAATATAAATCAACAGAACAAAATCTTAGAACGCTGCTGAATGAGCAAATAAGGTGGGGAGGGTTTATGTAACGTGAGACCACATATTTACCTAAAGCAGGCAACATAGGTTACATATTGTTTATGGACCTATATATAATTAATGCAGAATAGTGGTTCCTTTTGGAGTGGGATTAAAAGGAAAGAGATTGGGATTGGGAAGGGGTAAATGGGGATTCCACCATAACTGTTAACATTTTTTAAAAGGTATGTGAAGCAAATATACTAAATTGTAAGATAGGGCAAAACTAGGTTGGGGGCACATAGGTGTTTATTACTGCTTTACTTTTGTTTGAAATATGGTATACATTATAAAAATAACTGTCTAAGTAAATAAGCCTCTCTCCCCACTCCTATAATAGGAAATTAACAAAATTAGTAGGCATCAAGAAAATTCTATGTTCTGTTTGAGAAGGGAATTTTCTGTTCAGAGTTGGCAGCCTGCACGGGTTGTGTGGCCACCAGACCTCACCCCTGGGAGAAGACCCACATAAATGTGACATCCTTGATATGCTACCATCCTAAACTGCCTGTCAGAAGTTAACACATTTCACAGTTGGGTACTTGCAATCCACAGGGGGCTATTCGTTTTGTATTTATGTTGGATTGAGTCAACTGGGAGATTAATGGCAAAGTTCTAGTAGCTATTTAAAGCAAGACATCACTTTTAAGCTGTATGGCTTGGAATAAGTCACCTGGCCTAAGACTCGTTCTCCTCAACTATACTCCTGATGCTGTTAACTATCACTTTACTGAATTTTTATGAATTAAATGAGAGAAAGTATGTAAAATAATTAACACAAGGCCTGGTATACAGACCACACTCAATAAATGTTAACTATAATATTAAAACTATAACTATGAAATTCATTAACTTACCTCCTTTGTTATAAGATTCGCTATGAATTTCTTCATTTGTTCTGAAGCCTGAATTTTCAACCTAAATATACAATATAAAAGATATTTATGGATAGTCTCACAAAAATTTAAAGGCAAAAAGAAAGAAGAGAGAAGGTAATTTACATAACCTGGCTATTTGTACAAATGCCAAAAGGAATTGGGGTACATATTCTTTTTAATTTCACCCAGAAGCTCAAAAGCATGCAGCATCTTCTTTTTGAAAAAATTTCAGTTTAACAAATTATTGTGCTTATTCTGCCTGTCCTTAAAGCAGCCAATGGCAAAAGAGTAAGAATAAATAAGAGAAAAATTTTCTGAATTCCATAAATTTCCCTTCCCATCCAAATCCTGCATGATTTTCTTTTTTCTTTATTTAAAAACTCTATAGGATTCTGTAATAAGATTTCCTATTTGGCAAATCTTATCAATTCTACTGTTTTTCTTTTTTTAAACTGAGGGGAAAGGCTCAGAATATCCTATAATATCCTAAGTCCTAGCTACAGACTTTTGCACAAATTTGGAAAGGACATTTATGCTCGACTGGGGAAAAGACAGCTGCTGGTGGACTCAAGGGACTGAGGTAGGATGGAGAACATGCCAGCTGGCTCGGTAAGCTCCAACCCCATTTAAAGTCTTTTTAAATTTTAAAGTGTATTTTATTAAAAAAAAAATTTTTTTTTTAAATAAAAAATTATGCTATGTTGCCCAGGCTGGACCCAAACTCCTGGGCTCAAATGATCCTCCCACCTCAACTTCCTCAGTAGCTGGGACTATAGGCCATGCCACTGTGCCCAGCCATAATCTTTTTAACTCTTGGATGGCAAACTTGAACCACACCAAGTGGTGCTTTTCTCTTTCTTCTTATTCAGCATATGGTGTATGAGTTTCTAGCTACAAAACAGAGTGCTTGATGAGGAAGTACTCTGATCCCGCGGTTCACTGATAGTACCCCAATTCCTCTAGGAGCATTGGAAAGAATGCAGTTGTCTGCACATTTGGAAACATTTTATAAAATGTTCACTCCTGGTACAATACAAGGTTCCTTATAAATACATTAAGACAGAAAGACCAAAAACAAGACTCTTTCAAGAATGAACGGGATTATGAGAGCCACATCTGGGAAAAAATATGTACACATAGCAGTTACAGGTTAGTATCTTGAGAAAAGCTTTCTAAAAACATAAAGTGAAATTTAATTCTCAAACTAAAATCTATTTTGTCTATAGCACCAGGATGATTTAAGACATCAAAATCTAATTTTCAATCCCGTTATAATAATAAACAATAGAAAGTTCAAAGTTCTTTATCAGTGGGTATAGGTGAACATGGAAAAGAGCTAGTGAAAGCTGCTGTCAGGATGCTGAACTCAAATGAAGAGTACACTACCAAATGCCTCCTGGCTACTACAGAAATACACAGGCAACCCCTTCAGATGGCTCCTCCTCAATAGCTCTCCAAAAAAATAAAATTAAAAAACCCAATAACCACAAAAATCAAAACCATTACAGTGACTTACATTTAGTGATTCATTCACCAACAAAGGCTCCCTCTGGAGTTCAGCTGTTCAAAAATAAAAATGAGATGTAAAGAAACTGAATATTGTTTCTGAAATGCAGAGAAACAAATTTGAAGATTTTTAGGATAGGGAACCTATCCTATGTCACCAAGTGGCTTAGCTGCTTTCATAAATTATAAAAATCTGACCAGTTATTTCCCACAATCAATCCATGTTGTACTACCAGAATATACTACCAGAAAAAGACAACATAAATTAATGTTGCCTGCATTTTTTATAATAACGGCAGTGGTATATTACATCACTATGGTGATTTAACTATGTTGGTGATCTGAAGCTTAGAAAAAAAGTAAAAGACCTTAATGTAGCTGTTAAGCTGCAGTATAACACTGGTTCATTTAAAATAATAGCGTCAAATGAAAAGTTAGATCCTATCCCCTCCAACAGCAATGGTCTGTTTATATGCTTTGGAAACATGAAGTACAAAGTCTACTGTTTCTACTCAACAATGACAGAACACACATTTTTCTTTTAAACAACTTCCTTTTACGTAAGTAGATCTCTTACTGAACTGTACCTAAACACAGTAAAGTTATCTGAAATATAACTGTGGGAACAACGGACTTCAGAATCCAAAAATGTTAGCTTCTTGACAATTAACAAATGAGACGTTAATTATTTGTAGTATAAAACACCCATGCACATTTTAATTAATGTATCTTTCCAAGTTTTGAATAGATTAGTCATCTTCAGGGTTTTAACATGTCAGTATAAATGACTTACCAAGTCTTGGTGTGGTCTTCCAGGACTGGCTGACACTTCTTACGAGTCTTCTGAGACCCTTTCAGATGGTTTTGTGTAAGAAGGTCCTCAACTGCTCCCACTCCCCAAACCTCCCCAGATAGTCATGGGTGAGGATTTATATGCACTATTCACTTAATCTGAATCATTCCACATCTACTGCCCTTCTCTTTGCCTTGTACACTTAATGCATACCTACTCATTATTCAATATTTAGCCTCAAATGAGTAACAAGTACTTATAAAAATTCAAAACGTATACAGGTTGAGCATCCCAAATTCAAAAATGAGAAATCTGAAATGCTCCAAAATCTGAAATTCTCTGAGTACCAACATGACTCTCAAAGGAAAGGCTCACTGGAAGTTTGACTTTGAATTTTTAGATACGGGATGCTCAATGAGGTATAATGCACATATTCCCAAACCCTAAGAAATCTGAAATTCGAAATACTTCTGACCCCAAGCCTTTTGGATTAGGGATACTTAACCTGTATATTCTTTGACCCTCCCTCCCCCAATCCAATTTTATGAAAATACTTGGTAAAACACATGTAGTGATATGCATTATGAAAGTTCGTTGCAGCCCTGTAACAGTAGAAACCCCGAGGCCATTAAAAGACCTAAAATTGGTATTAGGGATGATTATTTAGCTATTAAAACAAAGAAAGTGGATCTGTATATGCTAATAAAGTAATGATGGGTGCCTGCAATACATGATCGAGTGAAAAAAAATTCTATAACAATATAAATATAATTTTATTGTACTGAAGGTGGTTACTCATAGGGAGTGGGAAACTTTTTATGCATTTCTGTATATTTTACTTTCTATAATTAAAGAAGATGGGGTGGGGGAAGAGATTGATTGAGCCAACACAAGTCTTCCCTGAGGCCCTACCTCAGGGAAGCTGACTCCCACAGTCAAGTACGTATCTTTATTATAGTACCTTACTTATTTGCACGTTGATTTCAGTGAATGACTTACTTCCATCAGTCATTTCCATGTTGATTTCCCTAGTACTCACAGGTAGCAGACTTGATGTTTGTCAGGGAAATAATTTAAAGAGCCAATCCAACTACAGTAGACATTACAGTTGCCCTCCTGGCACCTTTCCCAAGAGCCCAGACTGTGGTCTGGAATACCATGTGGATCCAGGAACACAGCACCTGACTTAAGTCAACTAGTAAGCTACATTCCTCTGGTCACAGTAATTCGTTTAGGGTGGACACATGTACTTATGCTAAATCAGAATAAGTCTCAGGTTTTTGGCCAGGAATGGTAAGCCAAAGCTAAAAGTAGAGGCTATGAATGAGAAAGCAATGACCCTTATTCAGGGGATGAGGAAGAAGACATAAAATGGAGTTTCTACTAGATGTGTCTTTGGAGCTATCTGCATCCTCTTGGATTATGCTTTACCTGAATTTTTCAGTTTTGTGAGCTAATAAAGTCCCTTTAAGCAAATGCCTATAGAGTTTTTTGTTATAAGTATTTACAACAAAAATCACCCTGACTGTTTACTCCACCTGACTTGCATGGACATTTTAACATTGTGGAAAAAAATTGAGGACTGGCTTAAATTTGGTCACATACTCTATAGTTCCTAGTACTTAGAAAAAAATATTGTGGGAAACAGAAGAAAATACACAATCATGTTTGTAATACAAATTAGAAATAATTCCTCACTGTCACAGTTCTTCTCATTTCCATTTCCTTAAGCCAGTATGGTCCAGCCTCTCTGGGGAATTCCTGAGGCTTTCCATCAAGGAATCCACAAGGGCCAAACTAACATTATTTGTCTTACAGACTCATGAGTGCTCAATGGAATTTTCCAGAGGCTAAGATGTACCCATAATTATCTGAAAAGGCTACTAAAACCCAACCATTGGCCGAGCGCAGTGGCTTTCAGTGGCTCATGCATGTAACCTCAGCACTTTGGGAGGCCAAGGCGGGCGGATCACGAGGTCAGGAGATCGAGACCATCCTGGCCAATATGGTGAAACCCCATCTCTACTAAAAATACAAAAATTAGCTGGGCATGGTGGTGTGTGCCTGTAATCCCAGCTACTCAGGAAGCTGAGGCAGGAGGATAGCTTGAACCAGGGAGTCAGAGGTTGCAGTGAGCCGAGATCACGCCACTGTACTCCAACCTGGCAAACAGAGTGAGACTCCATCTCAAACAAAACAAAACAAAATAAAACAAAACAAAAAACAAAAACCCAACCGTCTATCTGTAATGTTGGATTTTCTTCATTTACTTTAATCAAAACAATAAACAGCAACAGGACTGAATGTGAAAACAGATACGAGAAATAGCTGTTTTTTATTAAGCCAGACTTAAAGGGATTTGCAAAAATGCAAAACAATGTCACTTTTATCACTTAATTGGGTTTTTTGGAAAATCTAGCCATTTTTCATGAAAAAAGAGTTGTTAACTTATAGTGAGTTAATTATATTGAATTAATAGTGACTTAATATTTACTTTTCTCAATTTTAATTTCTTATTTGGCAAATGTCAACAGGTATAAGCCATATAACAAAATCTCTTTGGGGTCTTCGGTAATTTTTCAGTAATTTTTGGTCCTTGAGACCAAAACGTTTAAGAGCTCCTGCCTTTATCCTTTCTGATATTGAGGATCTCCCTTAAAATCTGTAGTCCACAGTGAAGAATGTTGCACAGAGAGACTGAGATGAGGTTATACAAGCTGAGAGCAGTATCTGTGCAGCCACTGGGGAAAAGCCTGAGCAAGAGACAAGAGCAAATGGTGTAAAGTGGGCCCTTATCCTCAGACTAGCCTTTTGGAAGTAAGCTGCAATAGCATCTGGGGACAGGCAGGGGTATGGAGAAACATTTCTGGGATAGAGCAAGAGTTTGCTCCAAAACAACTTTCGTTTTGCATTATTATTTGGGGGTAATCAGATTTAAACAATTACCCTACATAATGTTGATTGACATTTCATGAGGAAAAGTGTATGTTAAAAATAAAATAGTAAAGAATTCTCCCTAATCTATTTTAAAAAGTGAGAGGCAAGTTAATAGAGCCTGTATGTTACTATGCATCAGCTATTGATTTTTAGAAAGGTAAAACCACATGCAAGGCAAAAACAAAAACAATGTGAACAACCATTCTAAAGAGCTCACCTATTCCACTTGGCTTTCCCCCACACAGACTTTCTGGTGGTGCCAGAATTTCACCATTTTTCTCTTCCTCTGAAGGCACATAAGCCTAAAAAATCCAAAGCACCATAAAAATAAGTTAACCAGGGTTTTTACAAGAAGACTAACCTCAAGTGAATTAAACAAAAAAAAACCCAGCATCCTGAAACAATATAAAAGCCTATTTTCAAGAGTACACAAAACTTAAAAATAAATACATCAACCTTTAAAAACAAAGCCAAGTAAAAAATCAATTTAATCTCGTATTTCATCCATCAATGGGTATTCTATTGCTTTAAAGGTAAAAACCCCAACTCAGCACACCACACAAGACTCTTCCTGATGGGCTCCCACTCCCTTCCAGGCTCAAGTCTCATCACAGCTCACCGTGAACCACTGCAGCGCCTGAGACACACCACGTGCCCTCCTGTCTCTGAGTCTAGAACACAACATTCTCTTTGCTTGGAAGGCTCTTTTCTTTCTTTTCTGGGAAATTTCCACTCTACTTTCAAAATTCTATTCCAGTGTCCTCCTTGCAAGCCCTCCTGTCTACCTGCCTATTGCTACTATTGGGCAAGTTGTGTTTCCTCTGTAGTGTTCATAACCCCCATGTTCACTGCTGTTTTGTCACATATACTTGGATGGTGCCTTCAGATCAGGCTAGAAAGAGGATATGGAGACTAAATTGTGTAAAGCACCAAAGCCATGCTTAAAAAAAAAAAAGCAGATTTTATTCTAAGCATGATGGGAAGCCACCACAAATTTTAAGCAGAGCAATGACAGGGCCTAAGTTATGTTTCTAATGACTACCTGCAGGACTGTGTGAATCACACTGGAGGAGGGCTGGAGTGAACTAAGCCTAATGGAGAGGCTACTGAAGTAGTGGCTTAGCCTAGGGTGATGACTGTAGAAACAGAAATAGATGGACTCATGTTATATTTTGGAAATGGAACCTGTAAGAAATGGCGATAGATTAAATGTGGGATGACGGAGAAACTGAGGGTGACTCTTGTGTTTCTGGCTTGAGTAAATGAACTGATGATAGCACTATTTACTAAGATTACTGAGGTTCTTAGCTTTCCCCCCACAGGATATGGCAATAACAACACTAAATATCATAAGTACAATGAGAACAGGACCTATATACCACATAAGTATATATATGTGTATATGTGATGAAACAGTATTTAATCACTTACAGTTCAGCACAGCTGAATTATAAGCCATACCTCCATTTTCAAGTTGGCTTTCAGTTTCAATCCTCCCAAAACATTCAATGGAGACTCTTCATTGCCTAATAAAATTCAAGCCATTTAGTACAGTTTAAGAATTTGCTTGCAAAATACATCTGGGGTCAAAAAGTAATGGAATGTGGTTATCTGACATGCTGTTGCACCTTCCTTTTCTGGTTTATTTTGCTGTCAGTAGAAAATGATCAAAAGGAATATGTTGTATAAAAGAATCTGGATGAAAGGCAGGGATTATTTGCTCATTTTGGGTGAGTGAAATTCTTATTTGCACAGTAAGATAACTGCCCAGAAAGAATGACAAAAGTATTATCTGTGGAGACATCTTCATTTCCAAGTATTTTTCTGCAGTGATCTCCATCAAGTTTGTCCTTAAAAATATTCTGAGTCACTAAGGTCTATTCTCAGTAAAGGTGATTTATTAACAGATTCACTTTACTTGCTTCACACTGAACACAGAAAAATTGAACACAAAGTTAAACTGTGAGGTAGACAAAAAGAAAAAATTTTCTCAGGTGCAGAGATTCAGTTCTACTCTGGTCTTGCCTCTTATATCCTTCTTTAGATTGTGTAGAAGCTTCTGTGGAAACCCTTCTATTTTCACTTCTTCAGGAAAAAAGGAGGAATGAGTAATTGTAGCAATGATTGAGTCATAAAAACTTCTGGAGCATTCAATTTACTCCAGGCTAAATTCAACAGAAACTTGTAAAGTTACTTGTTTCAACCCTTGGAGCATTTCTTAAAGTCTCCTAAGTCTCTATAATGAACAAGACTAAATCTATTAGCCTCAGCTTCCTGAGACTGGGTTAGATGATGGCTAAGGTCTATTTCAGTTAAAAGTCCAGGATGCTACAATTTATATAGCCAGAGTGGAAAAGAATTCCTCTGTCCCTTCAAGTCCAGCCCATGAGGACCCTTTTGTTCCTACAGCATCCTGTGCTTAATCCCAGTCTATGCAATTGTCATGCTTTAAAGTGTCACTGTCCACTTTTCTCCAATCTGGACTGGTATAAAGTATCTGAAGTTGGACGGTATAAGGCATGACTGAGATAATATCTTTGAAAGTTATTAACTATTTCTAAAAGACCAGCACTGTCCAAAATCTGTCAGCAGGGAAAAATGTTTCTTTTCACTTTCAAATATATTCTAAACTAGAAACTCATTTCACCTGAAAAATAAGCTCAGTTAAAAATAACATGCTCCTTTGATTCAAAGGAACTAACAGACTGAACAAACAAATACTGCAAACCTATGATCAGATGAGGGTTGGAATCGTGTTTGCCTTTGTATTATCATCCCGTCTTATTATCCCCATTTTATACAACAAGAAATGGAGGCTCAGAAACTGATTTTTCCTCTAAAAGTCACCCGAGGACCATGAATGCTATTTAAATTTTCTGACCCTATTTCCTCGTTTGTAAAATGAGGGTGGTAAAAAAAAAATGTATTGCTTTCATTGGGTTGTGGTAGGGTATTCTTCTTTTTGATTGACAAAAAACCTGTAGGTCAAAAAGGTTTAGTAAGTTGCAGCAGTCATGTAAATAACATGTGGACTTCCCATGCCTCAGCCTCCTGCTTTTTCTCTCCCCACACATGAGAAATGGGCCAAAGGCTTTAAACTTTTAAACACAAGTAGCTTTTAGAGAAGTTTGACCTTCAAGTTTGATGAGAGTTATTTTGCAACATTATGATATGAGAAAAAAATTTATAGATATTTTATCTTTCTGGAACCAAAACCATCTTTTGGAAGACTGTCCTAAATGCACTCTGTTGTACAATCATCCTTGTAAATATTAAAATTTGCAATTAGGTACAGATTCTCACCTATGTCACACACATTTTCTTCAGAAGACACAGTAACCATTATGTCTCCTTCCTCAGGGAATGATTTCCTTGTGCTGTTATCATCTCCTGTTTTCTCAGCAGATGCTTGATCAGTCCATTTGCCACTATAATCATTCTTTATAGTCAAGTCCTGCTCACATTTAGGAGCCAACAGAGCTACACTGTAAGTAGCTGGAGGGATCATTGTGTGGGAAGGAGCAATTTTTGATTCTTGGCCAGTAATACATTTGGTGGTACTGGTTTTCAAGTTGTCTTCAGACCCCTGCTGCTCAGCAGGAAGAAAGGAATGCTCAGCCACGGTCCCTTGAACAGGTGGCATGTCATCAGCTTTTATAGCACCGGTGTTTACTGCTGCCAAATAGCGAATGCTGACAGAGGGATCCTTAGCCGTCTGCCCAGACGTCTGTTCTGGTCCTCTCAGGTGGGCAGGTGAGTTAGCATTCCCCTCTAAGCCCCTTCCTGCTGAATAACTTGCTGTGCTACTGCCCCCTGCTGTCCCTGTCTCTGGGCTCTTATCTTCTTTCTGAAGGGAGTTCAACAATACATTCTTCTCTTCTGCATTTATGAGGTGTAAAGTGCTCTCTTTCTGTCCTCTTCCTGCAAATGGTCCTATTTCGGGGCACTCCTTGCCATGCTTCTCTTCTTTTTCCGCACAAACAGCACTTGGATGGCCTTGCCCTGCAGAGGGCTTGTGGACTGATGGCCCGTTGTGCCCCTCCTCGGTGCTCACTGCCAACACGGGACCCGGTTCTTTGCCTCCCCTGACTGGCCCAGGACACCGACAGTTATTCTCAGCAATTAGGCTGGGCATGGGGACCTTGTGCTTGCTCACTTCTGTGGCTGACAGGTCACCGTTCCCTTCTGGGTTGTCTGCAGTCAGCTGATTCTCTTCATGTCTGTCAATGCTGGCGGAAATTGGCATACATTCTGCTGTGCTGGTGGAGATGATGGCAGCATCGCTCAAGTCTTCTACTCTTGTGATGGTGAGCCGATCTTCATCCTGGAGGACAGCACCAATCATGACTGCTTCACACCCTTCAGAGGTGCTTGTGGAAATCATGGCGGTGTCACCCATCTCTTCCGCTGGTGTGACTGAGGGGTCGCCTTCCTCTTGAGGGACAGCACTGGACACTGGGCCCTCACAGTCTTCCACCGAGCTCGTAGAGATGATGCCACTCCCGTCTTTTTCTTCCATGACTGTGCCAGCTCGCTCATTTTCACTTTCAACAACTACACCGGAAACAGAAGCCTCACATTCTTCTGCTATGCTAGTGGAAATGAGAGCACATTCATCCTTCTCCTCCTTGCTGGTTGAGGCAAGAGGACTTTCAGCTTCTGGGGGCGCACTGGGCATAGGCCCCTCAAAGTCGGCGGTGCTTATCAAGACTGGACCTGTAGCCCTTTCTTCCACTGCTGCAGCAACCGGCTGAAGACTTTCAGCACACTTGATGGTTGTTGCACTGGAGATAGGCAATTCGAATTCTTCCCCTATGCTTGTGGAAATCATGGCACACTCATCTTTCTCTTCACTTCTGCTGGCAGTGAGTTGGCTGTCATCTCCTGAGACTGCACTGGGCATGGGGGCCTCAAATTCTTCTGTGGTTACTCTGGTACCTTCCATATTTTCTTCAGTTCTCAGAGCATCTGAGAGACCTCCTTCCACATCTGTAATTGCGCTTACCTGAGGGGTGTAATCATTTGTGGTACTGGTGGAAATAATCAAAACTTTGCCTTGATTTTTACCCCCTGCTAAGCTATTCTGGTTGGTAATATCACCACTGGCTGTAGTTGCCATGAGACCATCACACTCTTCATTTTCTACAGAGGTGATGATGTCCTCATCTTCTTTTTCACTTGGTGATGTGTGAGCAACTTCACATTCTGGGACTTCACCAGATACAAGAACATCGTAACTACCCCCGACCAGGCCAGTGGAAATAGTGGTATCTTCAACTTTTTCGAGCTGACTGTCACTTTGATCAGATGCAGCACTAGTCATAGGACCCTCACAACCTCCTGGAACTGGTGTCACTTCATCCTTTCCTGAGACTGCACTGGTCACACTGCTTTCTACAATCCCTTTTGCACTGGAGCAGATATCTGTGTCTTTACTTCCTTTCTCTGTGCCACTCATGCTGTCAACATTATTTTCATTTGCATTCATGATGGCAGCTCCAGCCTCAGCTTCCACATGCTCTACCACAGTACCAATCTGACTGTCCCCTTCTGCACTTTCACAAATCAAGACCCCTTCACTTTCTTCTCCTAACCCTGTACAAGTTGAAGCATGCCCAATTTCATTTCCTCTTCCAGTACTAGTCACAACATCCTCCCCTTCCTCGTCTTCCTCTTTTGCGCCTGTGCTAGTCACAATGCCTTCATCATCACAAGGACCAGCAGCAACTAATGGTACATTAGTGCCTTCTTTGGCCACTGTGCTGTCCATTGCACTCTCTCCATTTTCTTCCGATTCAGAACTTATAGCAAAGCCTTCGCTGCTATCTTCTGAACCTGTGCAACTTGCTGGCCCCTCTCCATCTTCTGTTATCCCCGTGCTGGTGACTGCACTCTCACCTTCTGTACCATCATTCACAGAACCATCTCCTTCTTGGCTGGCACTTGTTCCTGGTGGTGCATCATTATCTCCCAGGACAACACCTGCACCTGTAACCATGCGTTCCTCCCGGGGCCCTGCTCCAGTTACTGAGCAGATCACAAAGTTATCACTTCTGCCTTCTGCTCCTGTACATGTCACAGTGCCCTCTGTTTCTTTTTTGGGACCCATTCTCATCATATTTCCCTGGGAGCCATCCACCTCTTCACTGCTTATAGATCCTGCTCTTATCTCTGTTCCAGCACTTGTAACTGCTCCATCACTTTCAACTTCACTAATAAAAGTAATAGTTCCTTCAACTATTTCTGAGTCTCTACTTAAAGAACCATCACATTTTTCTTCAGAGCCTGCACTGGTTACAGCATCATCCTTTTCCTCTGTCACAACGCTATTTACATTGGCTTCGATTTTAACTGCATGCACAGCCAGTAGGTCTGCTGCTCTGTCCTCAGATTCAGCCACAGCACACTCCCCACTTTCCCCTTCCTTAGTGCTTGTGAGGAAGGTTTCACTTTCAGCAAATCCCTCTGTGACAACAGCCCCACCTTCTTCAGCTGCAGCAAAAACAGTGCATTCACTGGCTTCTGCACCAACATGAAGAGGATTATTTCTGGAATGTGTTCCTATTATGAGGCCTTCATCTGCCTCAATGCTGGTGCAAGGCAAAGCCACCTCACTTTGTCTTGTTTCTGAAGAAGTGGTTGTGGCAGGCCCAGCCTTCACTGGACTTAAGGTGACATCTTTGTCCTTCCCTTCAGTACTAGTGGCAACAGAAGTCTTTTCTGCTCTCCTAGGCCCAGTTGCCACATCCTCAGTTTGTCCGTTCCTTTGGTGTAAAACAGAGGGTGCAGAGCCACTTCCAGCACTGGTGTCTACCTCACTGTTTTCATTCCTTCTTTCAACATCAATTGATATGTCTTTTACTTTACCTGGGCTTCTTTTATGCTTAAGTTTGACAGTTTCAGCATATTTTTCTGTATTCAGGCCTACAACATGATCAACAGCAATGCCATCCTTCTTGCCATTCTCTACTGTTGCTTTAATTGTCTGCTTTAAATTGGGCTCTGCATTTAAGTCATTTTCTTTCTTGGCCATGTCCACTAAGCCACCTTCTTTGGTAATATTCTCATTTTCCACAATCACGCCCGTTAACTTACTTCCAAGAGGCATGATTACCTTTCCTTGTTTACCATCCAATAAAGTAGCCTGGTGAGCTTCTGGAATGTGTCTTTTGCTAGTGATGCTTGCTTTTGCTGGTGTATCTACTGTGAAACCTTCACCACCTTCTTTGCTGTCACTTGTCTTAAGGACTTCTGATTCCCTAACAGTCAGACTTTGGTTAGGGAGAGCAGAGTGATCCGCAGGGGAGGTGCTGGCTGTGCTACCTTCCAAAACAGTTCTTTTGTCAAACAGAGGAATTACATCTGGATCATACGATTCCCTCAGAGGCACAACAGTCACTGAACTTAAGGATGGTGAGGAGTCTAAATTTGTGGAATGTTCAAGAGTGGCATCTCCTTGAGCAACATGTTCTTCAGCAGCTGTGTTTTTCAAATTCTTCTGTACCCTATCATTTTCTGATGGGGCACTCAGTAACATTCTATGAACAGTTTCAGAATCTATATTCACTTCAGTAGTTCCTCTATGAATGGGTTCTTTCTCCCCAGGGTTCATTTTGGACACAGCACTTTGTATATGCATTTTCTTGGTCAAGGTGCTTCTATGATCGGCATGCTTTTCAGAATTACTATTAACTCCTGTTCCACGGCCTGGCTTATAAGCTGGAGCTGTTGCTTTTGAATCTGCTGTGCAAGTTCTCAATTCATCCTTTTGAACAGTGGCAGAAGTTTTTTGTTTCATATTTTCAGAGTCAATGTCTTGCTGAGAATTATTATTGCGGTTGTCTTGGGTTTTAGATACTTCAAACACATTTTCAACACCTGGCTCAGAATCAATTTCCATTGGCTCTTGTTCAGGGATCAATGTCATATCACCACTCTTTTTTGGTCTCTGAAGGGAGGAACCGCTGGGAGTGCTCAAAGTGTTTGCTGCTAATTTTTCTTCTCCTTTGGCCATTTCTTGTGACAAGCTTCCTCTCCGATTTTCGCACAACCTTCTACTTAATTTCTTTTCCATGAGTGAACTATTACCTCTGGCCTTTTCATGACTACTGTCAACTTCTTTACCATCCTTGTCATCTGATTTATTTTCGTCCTTCTTTTTTATGTCTTTACTACTATGCTTTAAGCTTCTGCTTTTGTGGCCATCTGACAACTTTCTCTCAAGCCTGGTGGAAGTGGAGTCTTTATCACTCTTATATTTCTCCTTTGCTAATGGTAACTTGGCTCTATGACTAGAATCCTTCTGTGTACTATGTGCTGAAGAAGAAGCAGTCTCTAATACAGGTTCAACACCAGTTTCTTCAAAAGGTTTGTCTTCAACTTTAGACTTACGCTGTTTTTCTGAGTCATTTTCTTCTGTGTTCTTCTCCTTGTCTGGTTTTGGAGTGGTTGCCTGTTTTGTGGCACCTTCTTGTAATTCTGTTTCTACAACTTTTACCTGTTTGCCTTGAGTTTTTGATTTAGACTTCAACACAAGTTTCTCTTCTAACAAGCTCTTTGTTCGTCGTTTCTCCTTGTGAACAACCTCTTCTGGTTTCAAATTACTATCCATGTTAGTGGAGTCCATATCACACTTATCTTCCGAATAACTTTCACTTCTTCTCTGTAATGTGATACCATGTTGCTTGGAACCCAGAGAATCTTTCTGAATTTTAGAATCACTTGACCTTCTTGATTTGTGCTCTGCCTTAGTTTTTTCAGCTGACAAGCGTCTCTCTTTTTTGTTGTTTTCTTTACGAACATTCTCATCTGTTTTTATAATATATTCAGAAACTGGCTTTCCATCTTTGCCTAATACTGATAATTTCCTTTCATTCCTATGTTTACTTTTTCGTTCGGTTTTATCATCTGAAGAAAGCTTTGTTTGTTGACTTTGCTTTTGAATATTTTCCTCTACTTTTAAACCTTTCTCAGAAGAGTGAAGCTCAGTCTCATCACCTGTTTTATGCATACAATCACCTTTATATTTATGTTTCACAGACAATTTGTCTTCCGATGGAGTTTTCTCTCTTTCAGGCTTCTCCTTGGAGGATTTCACCTCTTTCTTAAGTAGGCTTTTCAAATGTGGTGTTTCAGAATCATCTTTCTTTAGATGCTTTTCGTTTTTAAGTGTGCTTTTCTGTTTCTGGGGCTCTTCGGTGCAAATTTCTGAGCGTTCTACTTGCCTTTTTACATCTCTTGTGTCAGTCTCTTCCTGTACCCCCTCCATGATAACAGGGGTAGATGTCCGTCTTTTATGTTCTCTTTCTAATTTGGATTCATTTTTGTTTTCGTCAACTACATGCAAAGACTCTGAAAGTCTCCGGGCAGGTTTACTTGGTTCACTTTTTGCATGAACATGCTTCAGCTCCTTTGAAGAAGAAATTTTTTCCTTTTCACAATGCTGAAAGAAAACAAAGGTTAAAATATGAGAAATACCAAAATCAATTTTTAGATTAAAACATAACATTTGGGTGGATTTAATATGTTGAGTGCTGTCACATATGTAACATCTCACTTAATTCTTACAAACAGCCTGTGTAGGTGTCAAAAACTCACCTGATTTTAAAAAATAAGTATTATTAACTTGATTTTAAGAAGCTAAATTCTTCAAAGAACTAACAGGAGTTTGCAACAACCATATTTTACAATAAAAAAACTAATTCTAAACAATATGAACAATTTTATGAGATTATTTCTCATAGAGATTTATCACAAAATAAAGTTAAATACTTAAAAATATGCCATTAAAACATCAGGAAATTGTAGCTCAGCATGATTCTATAACTTGACACTCAGACCACAAGTAGGTGTGTTAGGAATGAGTTTAGATTATTTCATTCCGAGTCTAGTACTCCTTCCAGTATATCACAGGCACTGATTTGTCTATGAATTCTTCAATTCTGAATCACTAGAACTCACTAATGCCCAGTACTCAATAATAAATATGAGCTGAATAAATGACAGTCAAATGTCCTTTTCAGTCAAAAACATAATACATGAAGGCAATTTAAAATTGAAATATACTGAAATATAGATTTCCTATATTTTAATTTAAAAAGCTGAATTATGTATGGAAACCTCATGAATTTAGGCTACTTGTACAATATTCTACACATGAAGCTTCAAATGTACACAATAACGCACAGTAACCATATCATATATAACATATGTATATGTTTATGTATTCAAAAAAAGATACGGAGAGACAAGAGCATCTAAACCTTCCTTCTGGCCCTGTGGTTTGGCACTAAGTAGGCGATTAATATTAATGAGTGGAGGTTGACTAAATCCACTTCAATAATACTCACTGACTACTAGCTATAATTATTCTTATGCAAATAATGGGCCAAAGTTCAGACGGACCTTTGTGCCTCTAGGTCAGTTTAACACTTCATCTCCTTAAATGTCAACACAAAGATTAATGTACTTCTACTAATAACAGGGTCCAGGACATAACAAGACCTTATTAAATAGCTTAAAATAAAATTCCTCAAAGAACTAACAGGAGTTTGCATCAACTTCACAATAAAAAACTAATTCTAAGCAATGTGAATACTATTTTATGAGATAATTTCTTATAGAGAATTATCATAAAAGAAAGTTAAATATTTAAAAATATGTCATTAAGCCATCACTATATACTTCTAAATACGCCTTTAATTTCTGAGTAAATAAATTAAATTTATGTTTGCTGATGATGAACAAATAATCACTAACATTGCTTTTTCCCTCTGGAAATATTAAGATAGTTTAGCTACAGAACTACAGATAATGTGGTTTTTGTAAAAAAGAATTTTAAAACAGTGAAAGCAAAAGTTTGTCCCACGAAAATAATCCTGAAAGGGGGAAGAAAACATTGTACGTTACTTTTACTGTTTAAAATGATCAAATCTTGGAAACAACCTAAGCGCTAAAATATAAGGACATGCTTAAATAAATTATGGTATGTACATTATATGTAACACTAGACAATCATTAAATAATTAGGATGCCTAGAAGGTAACATGAAATGAGTAAAATGTTAAAAACAGTTTGCCAGATTACTTGTACTCTAAAAAATTATGTGGACCCGTGGATAAGGAATGAGAGGGAATAAAAAGGATAATTTGTTATAGTGGAGGGATTTTAGATTTTAATTTTAGCCTCCCTTTTTCTTTTTTTGTCATTACTGGCATTTTTGTTATTGCAATTATAAGAAATGGGAAAAGAGAAGAAGAGTAGCTATTACCTAGATAAACGACAAATATATAAATCAACTCAACAAAATGGGCAATTTGGGACATAACAAAATGGGGTTTCAAAAATGCTGAATGTAAGTTGACTTTTTATTTGACTTGAAAAAAGTCAAATTACATTCTAAGTTTTACTCCAAAGGAATAAACAGCCTATATCTAACAAAACAGCATTTGAAATGAGGTTTTATTAAGGCATACCTCACTTGTTTTAAGGGTTTCTTTGGAATCTTCTTCATATTGCTGTTTCTTTTTGGAGTTCTCTTCAACATTCCTAAGGGGGAAAGAGTCAAATATAAAGCATGAATCAAATACGAAAATTTTTCAGGAAGGTTGAAAACAATAAAAATCTTTCCTTTACTATAATTTTTATTTATCTTATTTTATTATTATTATTTTTTGAGGTGGAGTCTTGCTCTTGTTGCCCAGGCTGGAGTGCAATCACGCAATCTTGGCTTACTGCAATCTCCGCTCCTGAGTTCAAGTAATTCTCCTGCCTCAGCCTCCCAAGTAGCTGGGATTACAGGCATACGCCACAATGCCTGGCTAATTTTGTATTTTTAGTAGAGACAGGGTTTCACCATGTTGGTCAGGCTGGTCTCAAACTCCTGACCTCATGTGTTCCACCCGCCTCTGCCTCCCGAAGTGCTGGGATTAAAGGCGTGAGCCACCGCGCCCAGCTGTTTACTATAATTTATACACTTGATCGACAAATGCAGACTTGTTACATTTCAATTTAAATCCTATCAATTATTGGTCAACAAAGGAGAGCACAATCCCAAACATAGCATTAACTGTTCTTGGTGCTAAAGGAAAGTACAGCTGAAACAAAAATTCCTAATTTGTTGCTTAAAGATGAATGCTTTATGGGCTATAATTACACTTCAAAATTACTATCTTTTGAGTAAAGAGGGCAGTCTTATTTATTCAGATCAATAAGGATGAGAGGTAATAATAGTAAGAAATTTGAGAGCTTACTACTCTTACCAAGTTCTGCAAATTATCAAATCAGTTATCCTGAAGTCTGTGATAAATTTACATAAATGCAACTTGATGGAATAGCAAAATTGCAGCCCATGGCTCACATGACTTCATAGCTACCCTCAAGAGTCTCTTTAGCTTTCTAATTCTTAAAAAGTTAACGATGATAATGCAGGGTTAATAAGGAATCTGGCCCAGATTCTGGGTTGGGGGAGAATCATGGAATACTGGTAAAAATAACGGCATGGAAAGACTGGAAATAATAATTGAAAATAAGTGGTTACTGAACACCAACAAGAGGAATACCTCCAGGGAACTTCTAGAGGATTCATAAACTCTTAAAGTCTAGGGATAATTGTTAGCTTATGCATGTACATTTTTCAGGGGAGAGGGTCTAAAGCTCTCACCAAATTATCAAAAAGATCTGGGACGCCCAAAAAGATTAGGATACACTACTTAGAAATGTTATAGATATTAACATTTTGATACTAAATATGAAACCCTAAGGTCCTTCATAAACATGCAGTAACATACACAACCAAAGTACAACTCTTTACTGTCACTTCAATTCCTCTCTTCTGAAAGCACCCAGGGGAGTGTTATAAGGGAAACATGACCAGATAAAATATGTACCTTGAATCTTTTTTTCTCTTTTTGCTTAAGGCTACTTTTTTTTCTAAAACTTTCCGTTCTTTAAGGACTTCTTTAATTCTGGCGGCTTTAGGTTCCAAACTCTTTGTTGATGATTCTTCTAAGTCCACACTACTCCTGCCTAGAAAAGAAGCAATCAATAAAACGTATTTCAGAAAAGTTTTACAAACAATGTAATATTAATTTTTCATTAAGATTTTTCTAATCATTGTTAAAGCCAAAATGGCTTTAATATTCTTAAGTTGTGCTGGAATAGATATAATATTTTGGATGAAGAAGTCTTATCTCTCTTATTTCAAATGATCACATAAGTGTGTGTATGTGTGATTTCATATATTACATAGGATTAGTGCCCAGAGGGAATACAATTTTGTTCAACACAATATTACAGGGAAATGTTTGACATTTTAGTTAACATAAGCATAGATTAATTTCATTAATCACCAGCAAGGGTTGATAACTCATGTGTTAACAATCTACTTTCCAGTGATTCAATCATTACAGAAAAATATACTGCTAACAAATGAGTTGCATAAGCTGGTTTCTGGTAAAATGTTTAATTTAGATTTAGCAATTTAATAAAAAAGAAAAATGATGAAACACATGAGATTAAAACGTAAGGAAATCTTCCACATTTGAGACTAGATCATTTTATTTTATATTCATGTCTCATAAGTAATATAAGAGTACCCAGAAAATAATGAAATATATGAGATAGTTTAAAATATTAAAAGTTGACATCTATACCTTGACCCTTGGTTTTTGAAGACTTTGTCTTTTCTGCTTTCTGTTTTCGTTTTTCTTCAAGTTTTTCTCTATTGATTTGCCTTCTTAAAAGCCTCTCTTCTTTTTCTTTGGCCTAAAACCACAAAATACCCTAACAGATTATTAGGCAAAGGCAAAAACACACTGAAAAATTGTATTTTTTTTAAAGTTTTAGTTTACCCTTCAGATGTTCTTACAAATTAACGGGCTCTGAAAAAATGCACATACACTACATATATATACACACATTTATCTCTGTGTGTATACATACATATGTATGTGTATGTTTCAATCTAGAAGCTACCAGAATAGAAGAAACAGATGTGAAAATTTGCCATTACTCTTTAAGAATGCCATTAAAGAAAGGGAAAGGTATAATTTTGGGGAAAAGTGATTAAATAAGCTGGTTGTTTCAATTAAAATGATAGCTGTGAAAATATCTATGAACATCAAGTATATATAGGTAGGTGTTTATAACTTTTCAACTGTTCTTATAGAAAACAGTTGAAATAAAAATTCAAGTGATAGGCTAGTTCTACAACATATATGACTTGCTGGTTATATGCTTGGGACCCAAGGGACTCAGGACTTGCAGGTCTTTTACAGCAGAAAGAATTCACAGTCATTGTGCTATTCCTACTATCTCTTTCTGGCTCAGAGTGCCAAAAATCCTAAGCAGGTGCATAACTTCTAACCAAGTAATGTTTTCAAAAGATAAGCCTGAAGGGAAGGCTAATCACTACTAGCATTTTGGGGTAGTTTCTTCAAATCATTTTCCTATGTGACAATATTTCCTGATTCTGAACTTTTCATATTTTACAACTTTTCATATTTTAATGTTTCTGAAATTGTAAGCTATCTTAAAACCAATATACATATGTAACAATAAGGTAGTAATTTTCTTTAAAAAGCTGTTATTAATTCAGTGGTACATTTTATAATTGGAAATATTTTTGAATCCAAGAAATAGGTAAATAGCATTTCCATATCAATAGTATGTTAATAGCTGCATACTGTATTTTTGCAGGACTGGATCTACACTTGATTTAAACATTTCCATACTGTGAAGCACTCAGGTTGTTACCAGTTTCACTACTACAGGTTGAGCATCCCTCATCTGAAAATCTTAACTCTTTGAGCACTGACATGCTGTCACAAGTGGAAAGTTCCACACCTGACTTCATGTGACAGGTGGCAGTCAAAATGCAGTCAAAACTTTGTTTCATGCACCAAATTATGAAAAACATTGTATCGAATACTCTTCAGGCTATGTGCATATACATATAAGAAACACAAAGGAATTTCATGTTTAGACTTGCATTCCATCCCTAAGATTTGTCACTATGTATATGCGAATATTCCAAATTGTGAAAAATTCCAAAATTTGAAACACCTCTGGTCCCACCCATTTCGGATAAGGGATATTCACTTGTATTAGTAATGATGACACAAACATCTCTGTCACATGTTTACATCTACTCTACCTAGTTAAATGACAAGTTTCCTGAAGGCAAATCCTGTATGTCTCTGCTTCATATGCACATCAGTACCTTGCAGATAGACTATTTAAGTTTGTTAACCTGATGTAGTAGGTTAAAATAACAGAACAAACTGGACTTACAATGGACTGTCGTCGTTGTTCTACAGTAAGCTCATCATCAGAATCACTATAGTATTTTGAGTAAAGATATGGTTTGTGGACATACGCATGCCGTACACTTTTTGTTTTTCCTTCACTAGAATCACTAGTTTGAGTTTTTGTTTTATTCTGTTTGTTCTTCTCTTCATCTGTAAGAAAGTTAATAGAAAGAGGAGTATGTCTGTGAATTAGCATAAAATCAACATTATGCTGTACAAGCAGTAAAGGCAAGATGAATTGGAGGTCCAAAAGGGGAAATATCAGGATGTGAAGATTTCAGAAATTGACTTTTAAAAGCTATAATTCATATTTTTATTTCTTATCAGCTTCTCACACATAAATAAGACAAAGAAAAATTAGACATTATAGTTACTTATGCTATTAAAAGGAAAATTTCAGACAAATTAAATGTAACAGAGTTTTCTGGAGCAAAGAATGATTCATGACTCAGGCGTTGGAACCAGGAGAGGTTCTGAGAGCTCTGCTTCGCAACACCAGCAGTGTGCTTTCACAGGCTGAACACAAAAGCAGAGGAGACACATGACTGGACTGGCTGCAGCCAGATGTTTGCCTTATTTGAATATGATCTGGTGGAAAGTCCCTAGTTAGAGGTTAATTGGAGGTTTCTGATGAGCTAAGTTTAAATTCTGTTTTACTATTTAGACTGGGCTTCAGTTTGCCTTTGTAGGAACCCAAGGCACTGGAGCTATCTCTCAGCCTAACAGCCTCCATCTGCGCCTCAGAGTTCTCTTGACAAACAATTCTTATTTGTCACTGGACTTGATATTTATGCTTTACCATTGTTAAGTTCAACAAATCCACTGGAAGTTGTAGTTTAAAATAAACTTGAGATTTTAATGACCACCTCTGAATTTCTCATTTAGGGAAGAGGTGGGAATTAATAACTGGAAGGTAATTTGCTTTGCTTTGACACAGCAAGAAGAAAAAAAAAGTAAACAAGGTTTTCACTTCCTACCATGTACTCTTAAAATAGCCATCTTCTTCTCACTTTTTAAATCCCATACATATAAAATCTAGTCTTACCAGGAAAAAACTTAAGAAGACCCAAAAAGGCAACAAGAATTAATTTTAGTTAGGGCAGAGAAAGTGGAGTGTTCACAGAATAGGGAGCACTCTTCCTACACAGGTAATGCAGAGCTGACCTCATGAGGACAGATATGACAATTAGGAATTACTGCTGCTGCTTTTTTTAGTTTGTGAAATTGAAGAAAAAAAAATGGGAGGCATTGAGAAATACCTCTATGGTGTTAAAAGCTTATACTTTTTCTCCTCTATGATTTTCTCTCTAGGTAGCCTATCCGAAAGCTGGCAACAAATTTATAAGATGCTCTCTACAGGCAGTTGCAAATAAAACTCAATATTTTTATTACTCCTAAACTAATAGTCCTAAACAGAATTTAATCATGTGGTAAGAGCAACATAAGATATTGGTAAGAAGCACAGACTCGGGTTTGAAATCTGCACTGGTGCTCACTAGCTACATGACTGGACAAGACATGGTCTCTCTGTGACTTTGTCTCCTTGCCTGTACCTACTTCCTGGGGTGGTTCTGAGGACTATAGGAGTTATTACATGAATGTCCTTAGCACAGTGCCTGGAAGACAGGAAGTGCTCAGGAGGGGTTTTCTGAAAAACAAACTGTATTATAAAGAATTCAGCCTTGCCCAGAGAGGTCTGGCCTTTACCATTAGCTTCTGGGAGGTAATCTCTAAGCCTCTGGAATGCTATGCCTGACTGGAGTGTTTCAGAGTGCGAAGGCTCTTGAGTCAAGCTAAACAGTCTAACGATGTGATTTAGGGTCGGAGTGTTGGGTCATGGAGTAAGAGTTTGACCTCTAGAGGGGGTAGAGACTGAGATCAGCCATATGGGCAGCCAACTCTGACTACATGCTAGAGCCTCGGTTAAGAACTTTGGATCCCAAGGCTCTGGTGAACTTCCCTGGTTGGCAATATTCTGCATATGTTGTCAGACATCAATGCAGAGGAAGTAATTCAAGGGGGAACAATTGGAAGTAACTGTCTGAAACTTTCCTGGACTCTGCCCTGTGTGCCTCTTCCCTTGGCTGATTTTAATCTGAGCACCTTAACTGTAAACAACCATAGCTGTGAGTATACCACCTTTCGGTAAGTTCTATGAGCCCTTTTAGCAAATTATCAAATCTAACGGTGGTCTTAGGGAACCCGGAACTTGCAACTGGTGCCATTAATTGAGGGCAGTGTTGTGGACTACGCTGTCCCCAAATGTGACACACACAAATAAAAAGCATCTTCATATATTTATCTCCTCTAAATTTTAAATTAATAATAATACTAGGGGATAGAGTTAAGGAATGAAGAACCAAGGGTTGTTGAGATTTAGTAACTTACCAAGCTTGCTCAGACAGACAACTTTGGAGCTGGGACTCAGAAACAAATCTTCCAACTACAAAATCCCATGCTCTTGCTACTATACCACACTGTTTCTCAGGATATAGCCATCAGAATATACAAATAATGCTTGACAGGATGCTTCAGAGGCATTATTATGTAAAATGCTTTACCATCTGACGTAATCTCTCCTTCTTCCATGCTATCAGACGTTACAACTTCCTCCTCAGTATCTTCTTCAAAAGATGAAAGGTCACTGGTATGAACAGAGCTAACTGTGATGTCTGTAAGTCCATCCACATCAGAATCTATCAAAGAGAAATCTTCAAGCGGAAAATAAAACACAGAAAAAAAAATCATCTTATTATAAGAACATACTCAGAGCTCAATTACTAAATTACACTTAAAATTTTCTGCTTTAAATACGTGTCAAACTATCAAACAAGGCAGAGTGGTTTCCAGAAAATACAAAGGCAAAGTAGACTTCTGTAAAAATAACTAAACTATTAATTTATAATGTATGATATAATAATAAAATGAATTTTAAGTAACTGAAGTATTTACTACCTAATAAAAATTAGGATATCCAACTATGAACTAAGTTGCTTAAAATAATGTATGTGAATAAATTATAAGACAAATTATAAATTAATAACTTCTGTTAATTTACTCTGTGAACAGATATATGAGTACACAAAAATACAAATATTTATTGCTTTTTTTCTTAAGCAAAGGGGATATAAGTTTCCAAAAGTATTAAATAAACTTATTAAAATATGAAGGCAAATTTGATACTTCCCTGATCCCAAAACACTCTGTTCTTTAAACTTTGTAGATGTTTGCAAGTTTTTATATACCTTCTTTTGTCCCTTCAACAGTTTTAGCTTTATTACTGTTCTTTTCTGAAGGAAGTTTTAAACTCTCTACTTCTTTTTCCTTTGCTTGTTTTTCATCTTTAACTTTCTGTGTATCTTCACTCTTTTTTGAGTGATCAAATTTCTTTTCAGTCTTTTCCTTCTTTTCTTTCTTTCTTTCTCCTTTCTCATTGCTGTCTGGCTTCTTTTCACCTTTGTCTGTTGATTTATTTTTTTGCTCACTGCTTTCCTGTTGAACATCCTTATTTAGCAGAATTAAATTATTATGCTCTTTTGTGTAATTTTTAATTTCTTCGACTGGACAGGGGAGGTCGCTGAACTCTTCAGACTTTGGGGCTGTTTCCAGTCCTTCACCTCCAGAGTCAGCTGTAGATTTTTCTTTATCAGCCATGTCCTCTGAAGTTCTTTCTTTGTCAGTACTAGTATCAGTGGTTGGCTGAGATGGAAGTTTTTTTGACGCTCTCTCACTGGTCTTGGCATTTGATGTTTCTGTTGAAGCCCTAGCAGCACTGGCTTCTTGGTTAAGAGAAGTTATGGTTTCCAATATCGACATGGCATCATTGGCTACATTAGCACTGGGCCCAGGAGTAGGAACACCTTAAAGAAAAACAGAAGTTTTAGAATACATTTAATCAGAAGGAAAATACCTCTGCTAAATCAATACCACATGCCATTGTCATCTTTATATGATGCATATGCTGTGCAGACCATCTGTATATTCTTTTAGACTTTCAGGTACCAGTACTAGTATATACCATATTCTGAATTATCTACCTCTCTAATATATTATCTTAGCGAGGGCACCATGCAAATCTGAGGAGTTGTCTACTTCCTAGAAAAAGACTATATTCTCTAATTATTTTAGTTATTCCTTCTATTATCATACTCACACTCACATCACATTACTACAATGCTTATTATTTTTATTAATCTAGAAAACGAAATGTTATGGCAATTGAGGAATTTAGGTGATATTTAAAGTACAATTTCATTGGAATAGCCAAATTAAAAAATGTGTTAAAGAGCCAAGTATCCCTAACTTGATATTCAGTTCAAGAAGAAAAACAATGGAACTGACCAAGAGTAAAAGCAAAGCACCTTGTGTAATAAGGGAAGTGTCTGGTTTCTCATCATCGGGAGCTGTGTTGCCACTTCCTTCCTCTTTGTGATTTAGCGTGGCCAAAAACTCATGCACAGCTTTCTCTACCTGAGGTCTGAATGTGTGGTTGATCTTTGGGTCCACAACCTGAGAAATAATTCGGTCAATACCAGACTCCAACATTCCTGATCTGAAACACAAGATAATTTATGGAAAGGTGAAAAAATAATATATTATTTGCATTAATTACTTTAAAATAACACTCTACAATCTGTCATCTATCTATCCATCCATCCAACCTTAAATTGTCCCAATCCATTTACTTGGATATAGACAATGGAAACTAAGTTTCATGCTACAGTAGCATTTAGATATACCATACTATACAAGTCTGTAAACTTTTCTACCACTGTGTCACTAGTGGAAATACTGAAACAGACAAAACAAAACACCCTTAGAACTAGACACAGTACACTGCCTAGGGTCCAGTATAGAGGTGATGCTTATCTCACCCCTACTCTGCTCATGGCATATAGGAATATGCTCATTAAAAAGCTGAGTTCTGGGTATAAAATAAACCTATGGTCTCTACAACTTTTTTTAACAGAAAAAATGTAAGCTTTTTATAAGCATTAGAGTCCCCAGAAAAAAAACAACACATACAAAATATGATTTCATCAAATTGCAAAATCAAAGAAGGAAAACTTTAGAGAAAAAAATTTGGAGAAACAAGACTTCTGGCTTTCTATTATCTTCCCGCTGTAAAAACTGGATGATTTATTCATTCAACAATTACGTTATAAGTGTCTTCTATATAACAGGCACTATGCTGGCCACTGACAGCTACAAATTGACCTGGTCCCTGTTCTGGATGGGGATGTAGACACAAACAATCAAGACATGAGATGACAGGCACTAGTACACAACATGTACTATAGGAAAAGAGAGGAGTAAGAAATTATTTGCTTATTAGAGGAATAAGAAATTATTAGATATGTCGAAGATAATTTAGGAGTGCTTCATAAAGGAGAAGACATTTGAGCCAAGTCTTCATTTCTACAGAAGAGAAGGGGAAGAAAGACACATGGAGTTAAGGAAATATCATATACAAGAGACAAAAGAGCGATGAGGACAACAATCTGTGAAATGTGCTTCTGCACAAAGGCATCTGAGTAAAATAAGAGAACGTGAATTTATTTTAAGAAACACACTTAAATCTTGTTTCTTCCTAAAAAAGAAGTGGAGGAGTCAAGGTAGTCAGGATAGTGCTGGAAGATCAAAGTGCTCGTCATTTTTAGCTTCTAAGCCTCAACTGCTCTCTATGGAATGGATGAGGAGCCATCTTTCCTTACACTTTACAAATGCTATTTTTGAGTGCACTTCCATCTGGAGTGCAGGATGGATTAGTTTTTCATTTCTGGAAGCACCTTGTCGCCTTGTGAAACTATAATTCTACTTATGTGGGCCATAGAGAAAAATGAGCCAACTCAGCACAAAGTAGGTTACCTGCTTTTTAAAGATTAAAAAAAAATGCAAATCTTGCAAACACTGTTACATCTTAGAGGTGTATTTAAAATGTAGTAGGTAGAAAAGAAATAAGAAAAAGCAATCTTAAAAAAGGTTTTAGGGTACAAGTAAAAAGGTACAAAAAGGACCGGGCATGGTGGCTCACGCCTGTAATCCCAGCACTCTGGGAGGCCAAGGCGGGCAGATCACAAGGTCAGGAGATCGAGACCATCCTGGCCAACATGGTGAAACCTCATCTCTCCTAAAAATACAAAAATTAGCTGGGTGTGGTGGCACGTGCCTGTAATCCCAGCTACTTGGGAGGCTGAGGCAGGAGAATTGCTGGAATCCAGGAGGCAGAGATTGCAGTGAGCTGAGATGGCACCACTGCACTCCACCCTGGCGACAGAGCGAACTCCGTCTCAAAAAAAAAAAAAAAAATAGAAAATAGAAAAAAAAGTACCAAAAAAAAATTAAACTATCCACTCCCAAATTTTTGCTTCAGTCTCTTTCTCTGTTTGCCTATGTTCCAGCCTCTTGTTTTGCAAACAAACAAAACACTTCTGCTTTAGTCCTTTCTCACACAGAGGTCAGCTCTAATCTTACAGAAAAATGGAGTCCAGTACCAATGATCATACTGCACTTAGCGGCCATAACTGCCTCACCCAAGTGGGGAGAAGCTACAGCCCTAGGTCAACGGCAAAGCCAAAATGCCAACAGCTGGCGTTTTTCTGGTTAAAGTTACTTCCTTGTCTTCCTTTCAAATTATGTTTAGCTAAGTTCGTTATTCAGTTACCTAGGATTTTCAGATTCTGTTGTACAAATAAAAGCTTAAGTAGAATAAAATTTTCCCTCCTACTGAGTCAGCAGATCAGCTATTAAGTTGAACCATCTGAAATTACTGGTATTAGACCATTTTTGTCTTACAAAAATGGCAAGTGCAGATAGCTCAACCTAATGGAGTCAAGTGAGTATGTCTCAAAGCATACGTACAAAAAACTGTTTGAAATTATATTTATTTACAGGGGCTAGTCCACCCCTATACCTTCAGATTGAACATAACTAAATAATCTCTTTAAGGAAGCTTTAAAATGTTATTATCAGTATCATCCAAGAGAAGGCAGCTGTCTTCCCTCTTTCAAAATGTCTCCAGAAAAAGAGATTCCTCATTACTCATAGGCAAATTGCTCCAGCATTTAATCACTGACACAGCCACAAGAACCCCTGACCTCGCACCAAACATGATTTTGTGATCACAATATCTTACTGGTACAGCAATAATTTTAAGTGCTTAATTTTCACATGTGTAAGACTTAGTTCCCTTAAATAAAAGAATGACTGCTCCCTTACCTTATAGATTTTATACGCTATAAAAGTAAATGCAATTCTAAGAAGTTTGCCTTCAATCTGAGTGTCAATATATGAAGAAAAAAAATGCCAGACTCCCAAAAAAACATGCTTTTAAAGCAATGCAATCATTTGTGAACAGGGAGGTGGCTATGCAAATCACTGAATGAAAGTAATCAGTAGGGCTCTGTATAAATGTGTGTGAAGGGGTGCTCTACCCTACCTCCACTCCCTTATCCCCTAGTCCTAAGCTATTTTGGTCATTGTTCTCTTTGAAAGCCTTTGTGGAAACTACAGGCAGCGGGCCTGTCACCCAACAGATCTTTTTTGTTTCTACTTTTTCTAGAAACAGCTTTGACCTTTTCCCACCAGGTATTATTATGCAGCCTTCTAATGGCATCTTTTGATCTCACCTGGACTCTTTTACAGGTTCCTCAGACATCCTTTAAAATGTAGACAACAAAGCTATTGTGAATTTCCCTCTTCTCTTATGCACAAGGAGACACTGTCTGAGCCCCCAGGCTTCTGGTTTCTAGTATTACCTGTGGCTAAATAGGTTTGTCTTTTAGTCAGGGTGTGAATTTTGATTTGTGGGGCTTCCTGTTGGTTGAAACTATCAGACTAGATAGGCTTTCGAGAGGTTCCTATGGGACAAAAGGAAATTAAGAGGTGGCAGGTATAAAACAGATTTGTTTAACTGTTAAAAAAAAAAAAAGCTACACTTCATTCTCAAAGATGTACTTGAACATAAATACTTGTCAAGTCAGGGAGACTGGATGATCTCTAAATAACTTAGTCACCCTTTTTTTGAGGGGTATAGCAAGGGTAGAAGGCTTTCTTGTCTTTGCAAATATTTACATTCAAGAACAAGTAGTGGCCAGGTGAGGTGGCCCATGCCTATAATCCCAGCACTTTCAGAAGCCAAGGAGGGAAGATCCCTTGAGCCTAGGATTTGGAGACCAGTCTGGGCAACATAATGAGACCCTGTCTCTACAAAAAAATACAACGATAAGCTGGGCATGGTGGCAGGTGCTCAGGAGGATGACGTTGGGAGGTCTGCTTGAGCCCAGGAGATTGAGGCTGCAGCAGGCTATGATTATGCCACTGCACTCCTGCCTGGGGAACAGAATGAGACTCTTTAAAAAAAAAAAAAAAAAAAGTAGAAGACCGTAAATCTAGTTTCCTAAGGATGCTCCAAATATTCGAGTTCTTATAATTGTCATTACCTTATGTTCACTCAAAATGGCTCTGACAAGTCCAAACACTTTGAGGGGAGGTGGGGAGCTATATCATTCATAAACAGCAGTTAAAAGTCATAGTAAAATGCAAAAGACGGGGGCACTGTATTAAAAGAAGACGTGGCCTCAAATCAAGAGAGAATATTTTAATTTCAGTAATCTTTAATGTCTTTATTTGTAAAATAAGAATAATAAAGCCTGCTTGCTCTCTTAGGGTCAAGAAAATAGTTGTGAAGGCAACTGTATATATCATCTATTAATATTATATCTAGATTTTTTAGAAAGTCATACTGTTATTTCCTTCCTTCAAATATTTCCAAAGGTCTATAGGAACAATCAGACTGTTAAAATGTATAAGAACATGTGAAGTGATTAGACCCAAATCCAAAATTATGCTACATCACACGAAATAGCCACACCAAATCCAGTAAAATTGTCAACATCATTAGGTGAACAAATATGTATGTAATGCCTCCGCTTTCAGGCAAAGTAGGTTAGGACATTTAAAACCTGCCCAGAACTCTATCTCTGAGACTTACTTGAGGACTTGTTGTCTAATGTTGTTTCTTAGCTGGTTCTTATTGAGATGCGGACTCCATGTGTGAGTTGCCAAGTGATTTGCAACAAAGTTGTCAACACGCTGTCTCAGATTCTGATACGCAGGCTAGAGAGAAAAAAACGAAGGTAAGTCTTCAAGGTTATACAGTATCAATATTCACCTCTCAGAAAAGTATTTTTACCATGGGACAACAAAGTTTCACAGTTTCTGACAATTCTGCTTCAAGATAACTTACACTCATTCAAATACTACTTATTTTGTGTAAGACAAGGTGTTTGGAGATATGAGGAATATAAAGAAGAAAGATACACCTCTTATTTATAGACAAAGGACTGGAAAATAAGACACGAACAAGTGTTATTATTAGATGATTTGGAGTAAAAAAGGGAGAAGAGCTGAGGAAGCATGCCTTCACTGAAAATGTGCCATTTGAGCTGGAAAAATCAATTGCACAAGGAAGCTGGGAATGAGAATGGCTGGCTTTGCTCATACAGTCAATGTAAACAAAGAGCAAGTGGATGAGCAAACTGGAGGCCAGGAGCATTTAGTGAGCCTCCAAATTGGTGGTCCAATTTGGCTATAGAAGAGAATACAAAAAGCAGAGAAATGAGGTTAAGACAGAGAGGTTGGGGCCAGGTGCTAAAAAGCTTTGGTTACTTGTACAAGTTTGGAATTACAGGGTAGAGAATGGGAGCCCACTGCACATATGGGCAGAGTGATAGAACAGCTAAGCTTTCTGATGGTTAATCATCCTACAGTGCAAGAGTAAAGAGACACAAAATACTTTAGGAAAGCATGCAATAAACTACAGTGAGGAAGGTCTTTACTGGGGTGGCAGAAACCAGCTAATGGCATAGACCCAAGAGAAATTATTGAGGGACAACTACTTGAACTAGGCATTAAATCTGAGGTAAGGCAATGGTTCTCTACCAAGAAGGATTTCACTCTCATCCCCCAAGGGACGCTTGGCAATGTCTGGAGACATTTTAGGTTGTTACAACTGATGAGAGTGCTATTGGCATCTAGTGGGTCAAGGGCAAGGATGCTACTGAAGATCCTACAATGCATAGGACAATCCCCCGACAGCAAAGAACTATCCAGCCCCAAATGTCGACAGTGCTGAGTCTGAGAACCCTTGATGTGCTCCCTGAGGGGAACATGGAGGGGAACACATATTACATCATCTCTACCTGAAGGGGCATTGCCTGGAAGGAATATGTGACCAAGCACTCAGCACTGCACTCCATTTCTAGAGGCTGTCTCCCAACACTGATGTTCTTTCTACCTTTCTTCTATACAGCTTTTAATGTGGATGAGTTTGAGTGTCCCTGACTGATATTAAGCAAGCACTGTATAGCCTCACCTTCTGCCATTTGCCTCCTTTTAGCTTCAAAGTTTACACTCCAGTGAGAAATTCTCATATCTGCACCTACCATCCTGCAACTACCATTCCCTCTGGTTGTCCATCTGACAAACTTCTCACCTTCAGAGCTCACCCTAATCTGTGAAATCATCTTGACACCGAAGGTAGGCTTATGGGCTCTTCATCCACGCTCCTACTGTTTTCTATACATGCTACCATTCGAGCAATTCTTGCACTACATTGTATTTTCGGAAGCAAGGCATATTTATCCTCCATTGATGTGTAAGCCTCCTCCTCTATCTCTCTTACAATTTGTTTTCATATAGCCTATCACACTGCTTGGCAAATGAGCAATTAAAATATACTTGTTAGCTGAATGGGTAACTATCTCTAACACAGAATGACAAACATTTTATCCCTCTGATGCCCTTTCATCAGTTCCAATTTTCAGGCCTTTGCTGATACTTATTTCCTGTCCTACATGATCATTTCCTATGTGCCTGTCCATTTATCCAAAATCGATATGAACTAAAATTAATTCTTTTTTTTTTTTTTTTTTGGCAGAGTCTTGCTCGATTGCCCATGCTAGAGTACAGTGGTGTGATCTCGGCTCACTGGAACCTCCACCTGCCGGGTTCCAGTGATTCTAGTGCCTCAGGCTCCTGAGTAGCTGGGACTACAGGCATGCGCCACCACACCTGGCTAATTTTTGTATTTTTAGTGGAGACAAGGTCTTGCTATATTGGCCATGTTGGTCTTGAACTCCTAACCTCAAGTGATCCACCTTTCTCGGCCTCCCAAAGTGCTGGGATTACAGGTGTCAGCCACCATACCCAGCCCTAAAACTAATTCTTAATTCTTTCTCCCCAATGATTCTAAAGCCTAATTCTTCTTTCCGGTATTCCCAAATCTAACACACATTCATTAGGCTCTAACATCACAATGCATTTGGCATTCTAGTCTAGTCTTCCCAGAACAAGTTCAAATCTGAACTACTCAACAGGTAATTTTCCTTGTTTTCAAGCTCTCCTTTCAGTAAAAAGTTGAGCAACTAGAGAAATATTAAGTATTCATTGAGAAGTATTCTCCTAGGAACATGTATGTACCCACATGTACACATATATACACACACACATATATTACACATACTTCCACCCTTTCTTCCTTTTCCAGTGCTTTGGTGAAAAGCCTTAGAGTTATCCTTGAGTCCTCCCTTTGTCTTCTACTTCACATGCATACTATTAGCAAATTCTCTCAACAGTAGCATGAAAATACACCCAGAATCTGACCACTTCCCACTACCTTTACTGACCTCAATCTGTTCCAAGGCATTCTCATCTGTCTGAATTATAACAACTGGCCTCATGCAGAATTCTATCCTTACCTACAACAAAGTTGTCTTCTAAAAATCAGGTAACCATGTAATTTATTGACCCATTCAAATCACAACTTAGCAAGAAAGGGGAAGCTATTACACGTGGTCAACCCATCTGAAATGGAAGTCAGATCATGTCCTTCTTTTGCTCAAAACCTGCCAATGGCTTCTGAGCTCGAGTAAAAGCCAAGGTCTTCTGATGGCTCCCAAGACCTGCCAGATCTGTGAAGGCATACCTACCTCACCTCTTGTCACTTTCCCCTTAGTGGGTCTGTCTCAGCTCTTCTATACTTGCTATGCTCTCTTCTTGGAATGCTCAAGCCCCAGACAGCTGCATTGCCCCTTCAATTCCTTCACAGATGGCTCAAGTATCATCACATTGAAACCTACCCTGAACAGCTTATTCGAAATAAAACAGTAAGCCCATCCATCCCTCATCTTGCTTTTTTCCATAGGACCTACCATACATTACTTGTTGTCTATTTTTTTTTTCTACTAGGATGTAAGCTCCATAACAGTGGGATGTTTGGTTCACTGCTGTATCCCTGGCACCTAAAAAAATGACTGGTACATAAGAGTTGCTCAATGAATGTTTGTTGGGTGAATAAATTGACCAGGGGCCATTTATAACTAAGAAAGTGTCCAAAAAATCAGACTTTCTTACTTGACAAGAGAGGTACCATATTTACCTGGCTGGCGAGCTCCCTGAAGGGCCTCTTGATCATCCCTCCTCACACGCTCCAGATGCTAATCAGTGCAAAGGAGACAGAATGGCTTTGTAACCACTAAGCTTGCTCCAGAGATCTGGAAACTGGTAGTCTATAACGGAGGAGTCTTTGCAGTAGTTGGAGCTTAGGGTTGCCCATGGTTCCATTTCTTTGGGTGGGAAGGGCTGATTTGGTCTGTTACAGTCAGATCTCTCTCCTGGTTAAGGACTATCAATGACCCTGGACAGTTTGGAGGGGGGTTCTATGGTCTTCTGGTGTAGCAGCAGACTTTGGTACTTCTCATCCTGGTTTAAACACACTAAACTGGATGACAGTTTTGCTCTTAGCACCTGGCAGGTATCAAATGTCTTCATTCTTAAATATGCATGTGACAGACATAATCCACTATAACTCTATATGCTACAAGTTAAGACTTTTTGACAGAAAGCAGGTCAGTCTTTGAGGTTCAAGTGGCAGATGAAACTCAAGGATTCCATTAAAGTGATGGTTCTTTGCATGAACAGGGAATCTTCTACTTTGGCCCACTCATCATATTGATATGAATGTTATGTTCTGATGAAGAAAACTTTGGCTTTTTGGGAAGCAGGGGGGAATATATTTTTTTTTTTTTCAAATAAGAAAATGAAGTATAAAATGGTATTCAATGAGAACAAATCTTTTAAATCAAATTAAAATCTACCTAATTGCTAACTAAGGGAGTAGAAGAGAAGGAGAGAGTCATGGGGTAAAGGAAGTACCAGAACATAACCTGTAACATAACCAGGAGCAGGTACAGAGGTTAGTGGCAGGGAGGGGGAGAGAGAGAGAGATTTTGTGGGAGAGTTTAAGCTAGCGTCTGAGCACCAGAACTTCAACCATAGCTGAGTGTTCTTTTTTGTCTGGGAGGGTGTCATTTCAGTTCTAATTTCTCAAAGCAACAGAAATATTAGAAATTTTCATAATTATTAAATAGTATATGCAACTGTATTGAAAAATGTGTATTGTTGCTTTTTAAAAATTTTTGTTTTTTAGACCAAGTCTTGTTCTGTCTCCCAGGCTGGAGTGCACTGGCACAATCTCGGCTAACTGCAACCTCTGTCTCCTGGCTTCAAGCAATTCTCCTGCCTCAGCCTCCCGAGTAGCTGGGACTACAGGCATGTGCCACCATACATGGCTACTTTTTTTGTATTTTTACTAGAGATGGGGTTTCACCATTTTGGTCAGGTTGGCCTCGAACTCCTGACCTCTAATGATCCACCCACCTCGGCCTCCCAGAAGACCAGGGTTCTGTGGTCTTCTGGTGTAGCAGCAGACTTTGGTACTTCTCATCCTGGTTTAAACACACTAAACTGGATGACAGTTTTGCTCTTAGCACCTGGCAGGTATCAAATGTCTTCATTCTTAAATATGCACGTGACAGACATAATCCACTATAACTCTATATGCTACAAGTTAAGACTTTTTGACAGAAAGCAGGTCAGTCTTTGAGGTTCAAGTGGCAGATGAAACTCAAGGATTCCATTAAAGTGATGGTTCTTTGCATGAACAGGGAATCTTCTACTTTGGCCCACGGTGGCCAGGCATGAGCCACCGGGCCTGGCCATACTGTTGCTTTTTAAAGTTCCTGCATCTGTGGCTGAATATGTCTTATTACTAGAAGAAGGGTTGATCATCAATTCTATTCCTATTTCTAATTTTTATAGTCATGCGCCCTGAGAAACCTTGTTCATATAAACAAGTACTGTGCCTCGGAATGGAAGAGTTTTGTTGTAACAATATCATTCAATTCTTGACCTCAAAAAAGAGGCTAAGAACATTAAAATAGGTTCTTATTCCATGGTTCCTGAACTCACTGAAACTGTATATGTTATTAGATTGATTCTCATGAAATTGCCTATAGTTGACCATTCTGAAGTAGAAAAACAGCGTTTTAATGTGTTACTTGCGCATTTTTCTTGAGAGAAGGTCCTAACTTTCATTAGATGATCAGAGATACTGTGCTTCCCTCCTTCCCTCCAAAAAAGGTTTTAATCCTTTACTTTGAAGGGTCTGGCAGGGATATTATAGACACATACCAATAACATTTTGTGGGAATAGGATAATAAAAAAGTTGAGCCTCAGACATTGCAGCAGTACATTACAATTTTTAATTTGTATACATAATGATTCATGGGTTTCTGAGAACACACAGATTCATGGGTTTCTGAGAACAGCAAAGTAAAAATTCCACTTGTTGAATACGAATAACTAACTTTATTTGATAACATTTACCTGGCCATGTCTAACCTTTTCCCATTAAATAACAACAAAAATAATAAAGGCAATAGAAATTATTTCTAAAAGGTAGCAGTGCATATTCCTGAAGACAAAAGTAAAAAAAACTATACTTCCTAAATAGATGAACACTCCCAAGTGAATTGAATTCTCTGTGGTGCAAAACCTCCAATATCCCGAAAAACCACGTTTTACATAGTGGGCCCAGTATGAGTCCTTATAAAGGAAGATGTACCAGGATATTCAAGAGTTTCCCCAGAAGACATAGTGGAACTGTGTGCAGTTCACCTGAAAGCTTTAGAAGAAACTGTGGATGTTGTAAACATGCATTTCTCAAAGATACAAAGCTCCTCAGAACAACTAAACATACTATGAGAAAACCCTCGACCGGGCGCGGTGGCTCATGCCTACTGGGCGAATCACGAGGTCAGGAGATCGAGACCATCCTGGCCAACACGGTGAAACCTTGTGTCTACTAAAAATACAAAAATTAGCAGGGCGTGGTGGCACGCGCTTGTAATCCCAGCTACTTGGGAGGCTGAGACAGGAGAGTCGCTTGAACCCGGGAGGCGGAGGTTGCAGTGAGCCGAGATCACGCCATTGCATTCCAGCCTGGCGACAGGGCGAGACTCTGTCTCAAAAAAAAAAAAAAAAAAAAAAAAGGAAACCCTCATTTCATCAAAACTCCAATCCAATGGACCCAACCAGATTTAACAAGCAGACAAAAACAACCCCTACAAACCAGTTAATTTTCCAACATGCTTTCTGCTTCCAGAATTCTAGACTGTACTGTGGTTTTCCATCCATCTCACTGACTGCTCTTTCCTGGTGTCTTTGGCTAATTCTTTGCCAATCCAGCTAAGTTTACTTGTTCCTGCTAATGTCCCTTTCACTCTGACATTTGGTACAAAATCCCTTCCCCTTTCCAGCCTCTCTTTCTGGACAGGGAACCTTGTTGCTGTCCTTTCCCTTCTCTACATTACTCTCCTGAATCTGCTCTCTTTCCTGTCCTTTCTCCACTTCAGTATCTGCTGTCACCTCTCCTGCATCTTTTCTCCACTGAATGACTCGGTTCTCTCTACCCCACCTTCCTGTCCCTTCTTACCTTAGAATGGTGACATGGCCTAAGTTACCTAAATCAGGCAATCACTGCTAGAAACAATACTAAAGTCCTGTCTCAGGTTTGCCTCCTTATCTTTGCGCTCCCACCCCCACGATGTCCAGCAAAGCATATTACACATAACTTGATTCAATTACCATTTAGTCATTTCTCCAAAGGATAAAGGCCCTTACCGCCCAGAAACCTTCAAGAAAGAAGGCAAACATAACTTCGATACAAAGTAAAATCATCAGATATGAGAATGAATACAAAACTGGCTACTGTTAGCGCCACTGTTTCCAAACCAGTTCCTGTAAGAACAATGCCTTAGTCTTGCTCATCAGACCGGGGTAATCACTGTGCCGAAACCATGACTGGCACGTAGTAGGTACTTAAACACTAGTCGGTAAAACGAACCAAAGGACACGCTAAGGAATGAACACTCTGTGCTTTGCACAGTCCGTGGCACACAGCTGCAGCTCCAAGAGGAAGCCACTGCAAAAGAAGCGCGCCCTTGGGTCCTCCCCTTCCCTCGCAGACCCCCAAACCCGGCGCGCTCCTAACCTTGGTGTCCACGTCGGCCAGGCAGTCTCTGCGGAACTGGTCGAAGAGCCCCTGGCTCTTGAGGTGGTTCACGATCATGGCCACGAGCTGCGGGTCCCCGGCGCCCGCACCCGCGCCGCCCGCCCCGCCCGCGCCGGGGCCAGCCCCGGGGCCCGGCGGCGGCGGCGGTGGCTGCGGCTGCGGCTGCGGCGGGGGAGGCGGCGGCGCCGGAGGAGGCGGCTGCGGCTGTGGGTTGGTGGCCATGGTGGCCTGTGCCGGGGAGGGCAAGGGCCCTGACCGGCGGACGATCCTGGGAGGCGGCGGCTGCACTGGTCCCGCCGCCTGAGGGAAGCCAACGGGATGTTGTTACGGAACCAGCGGATCCAGAGCAACCCCGGAAGTGAAAGGGAACTGGGGGAAAGGAGGAAAAGACGGTGACAACATTGACGAAAGTCCGGCGACGGAGGCCGCGAAGAGCCAGTTTCGACCGTCGCCGGGCGCAAGCGCCCTCGCGAGGCCGAGCTGCGCCGGAAGTGGCGGCGACTGTGGCGACGGAGACGACAAGACTGTGCTGGTCGCGGGTTGTGGGGTTTAGGTCACCGGCAGGGGTCTGGAGTCCCTGGAGGTTAGGGCTTCGACCCGCGCGACACCTGGGGCCCTAGGTCTGAGCGGGGGCAGTGCGTTTCTGGCCCCGCTTCATCCGCGACGGCATTTTAGGCCTGCCTCTCTTGCTCCAGTTTCCCGGAGCAGTGCATAGAGATCCATAGACATTTGTAATGCGAACCCTACGTGGATCTGCTCATTCTAACTTCGCCCAACCCTCTTCGTTCTTAGCCTGTGATCCTGCACTATTCTTGTCCCAGCAGGTAGCTCCAAGTTCCTTCTGTCTCTCTTCTGCCTGCACATACCATTTCCCCGTGGGGGTCCCTTGTTTCTGGCAGTGTGCCTGTGGATTAGATCCGATCCCTCCAGCCCGTTCTTCCTATCTGTGAAGACAAATCGACAGGCTTTTATTTTTAGGAGATTTGCTATTGATTACTATGATTATAGCAGGTAAAACATCTATAGCACATATTATGTACCAAGCGTGGCGTTAAGTGCTTTTACATGTATTAACGCATTTAATCTTTGGACAAACACTAAGAGCTAGGTCTGATTACTGTCCCCAGTTTGCAAATCAGGGAACCAAGGCTCAGATAAATTAAGTATGTTGAGTAAGATTACACAGCTAGCAAATCACCTGCTTTTGGACTGCATCATCTTTGAAATTATTATTAGTACGTGGTCAAAGCAACATAAATATTAGAAAATTTCATAATTACTAAATAGTGTGTGTAACTTTATTGAAAAATGCATATTGTTGCTTTTTAAAGTTCCTACATCTGTGGCTGAATATATCTTATTAGTAGGAAAAGAAGGGTTGAGCATCAATTCTATTCCTATTTGTAATTTTTATAGCTGTGTGCCCTGAGAAACCTTGTTCATATAAACAAGTACTGTGCCTAGGAATGGAAGAGTTTTGTTGTAGCAATATCATTCAATTCTTGACCTCAAAAAATTAGATTTGATTATCTATGAGCTGACTTCAATTAGGCCCTCCTTCTATTTTATGGAAAGCAAAGAGCTGAAAACCACCTGGCTTGCCAAAGGATTTGTTTACTTAATCCTTATTTTTTCACTCTTTCAGATTCTGGGAAATATACCAGATAGGTTTTACCAAGATACCAAATGACTATGAATTAGACCTGATTTTTTCAATGAGGTGTACCTTTCACCTGATATACTGAAAGTTTGGAGAATATCTAAACATTTTTCATTTTCATAAATAGTTTTGGATAAGATTTATTTTTGTTATCAGGTGGTTAAATTATGTTTTTGTCAAAATTTGCAACTGCAGATTTAGCTCATTCAAGTTCAAAATCTTTGTCACTGGGCACAGTGTCTCACGCCTGTAATCCTAGCACTTTGGGAGGCTGAGGCGGGAGGATCGGTTGAGTCCAGAGTTCAAGACCAGCCTGGGCAACATGGCAAGACCCCACCTCTACAAAAAAATAAAAGAAATTAGGCGGTGTAGTGGCGTGCACCTGTAGTCCTACCTACTTGGGAGGATTAGGTGGGAGGATCACCCGAGCCCAAGAAGTCAAGTCTGCAGTGAGCCATGATGGGGCCAGTACACTCCAGGTTGAGCAACAGAGTGAGACCCTTCTCAAAAACAAGAAAAAAAAAGGTTTGTTAAGAATGTTAAATGTTTACCTTATAACCTAATTAACAGAGCCCATTTTCATTGTCAAACTAGACAAATCAGATTTACTTTAAATCAGAAACAATTTGACTTCATTGTTTCAATTCAGAGTATCCTGTGTGTTTTGAGGAGTTTGATGAAGATAGCAGAGAGGAGAAAGTCATGGATATGAATCTTAAAAGATTAATTACTATATGCAGTCAAGGCTGGGCGTGGCAGCAAACCCCTGTAATCCTAGAGCTTTGTGAGGCTGGGGCAGGTGGGTGGCTTGAAGCCACAAGTTCAAGACCAGTAACAAAACAAAACAAAAAAGTAACCAGGTGTGATGTTGCAGACCTTGAGAAACTGAGGTGGGAGGATTGCTTGAGCCCAGGAGGTTAAGACTGCAATAAGCTATGGTGGTGCCACTTCATTCCAGCCTTGGTGACAGAGTGACACCCTGTCTCAAAAAAAAAAAAAAAAAAAAAAGCAGTCAAGATTACAAGACTAAAATAGCGTAAAATATAAATGTTTTATTCATTTTAAAAATTAGTTATGAGCCGGGCGCGGTGGCTCACGCCTGTAATCCCAGCACTTTGGGAGGCCGACATGGGCGGATCATGAGGTCAGGAGATCGAGACCATCCTGGTTAATACGGTGAAACCCCGTCTCTACTAAAAATACAAAAAATTAGCCAGGCGTGGTGGTGGGCGCCTGTAGTCCCAGCTACTTGGGAGGCTGAGGCAGGAGAATGGCAGGAACCCGGGAGGCGGAGCTTGCAGTGAGCCGAGATCGCACCGCTGCACTGTAGCCTGGGCGACAGAGTGAGACTCTGGGTCTCAAAAAAAAAATAAAAAAAAATAAAAATTAGTTATGAAAAGGTGAGACTATAACATTTACTTAATTACCAACAATACAATATAATATATGTTGCTATATTCTAAGTTTATAAGTTTTTAAGTGTGTGGTATGATAAAAAGACATGGTATTTCTTTGGTATATTTGGATGTGTGAATCAAATTTATTCAGCTTTTTGGGAATAACTAAGTAGAAATCATCCATAAAAGTTCTGAAAAACTTTACAAATTTAATTAGGCATAATGTCCAAGTTTAAAAAAGTAATGAGACAATAAAGTATTTACTGCTAAAAATGAATTGGGTCAGTGGCTAATAAATAATTTGTTTTGTGAACAGTATATAGAAAATCTTAAATATTTTCTACAATGCAAGAAGATGAGAACTTTATAATGGTTCACAATCCATTTTCTCAAATGTGCCCTAATTGCCTTATTGAATAACACACACTGAATCTAAAAGATACATCTTTGTATCTCTGAGTTCAAGTTACACTGGGTAGACACATTATACTGGTTGCAATGTAACTTGAACAATTTTGTAGCCTTGAAAAACATTCTAGATACATTGAAAAGAATCTGGGTCACCGATCTGCACTGCCTTGGCTGTTCCAAGGTGATTTTCTTTTCGTATGAATACAGGTCCTAGGGATGAGTGTTTTAAATACCCAAAAAACAACAACAAAAAGCATACATTTAAATCTTTTTAAAAGACTGCTTTAAGCAGTCAGCATTTCCTACCAATGACGTCTTTGCTGTGTTTCCTCCTGATTGTCTCTCTAGAAAAGAGTATATAATTTCTTTTTTTTGGTAAATTATTTTATTTCTTCCATGATGATTTAGAGGGACTATATTCAAACCAGTACAAATATTTCATAAATAATATCTTGCCATTTTCTAACCAATTGAGTAATTTGTTCCACAATAAGCTACCTCACATTTTTCAGCAAGAAATACGTTAAATTTGAACAGTAAAGACATTACATAATGAATTAGGACACAATTAAAATGTGCTTTAAATATTTCTTTAAGGGAGAAGACACCACACTTCTACTCAATGAAGATAAACTTTTTTTTTTTTTTTTGTGACGGAGTCTTGCTCTGTCGCCGAGGCTGGAGTGCAGTAGTGCGATCTTGGCTCACTGCAAGCTCTGCCTCCCAGGTTCACACCATTCTCCTGCCTCAGCCTCCTGAGTAGCTGGGACTACAAGTGCCCGCCACCATGCCCGGCTAATTTTTTTTGTAGTTTTAGTAGAGACGGGGCTTCACTGTGTTAGCCAGGATGGTCTCGATCTCCTGACCTCATGATCTGCCTGCCTGGGCCTCCCAAAGTGCTGGGATTACAGGCATGAGCCACCTCGCCCAGCCGAAGAGAAACATTTTTGCAGTCCAGAGGTCTTTTATTTTTTTAACACTTATTTTGCCATGAATTCATAGGGAATAGATTCCAGCAGCTCAGTCTCCTTCCCATTGGTTCTCACAAACTGTGCTTCCCTGGGTGGAGCAGGCTGGCACTTCAGTTGAACCCAGGTACCTTTCTCTTTGTTTTCTTTTTCTGGTCATTTTCCTTCATGTGTTTCAGGAAGCTATCTCGGCTCTTAGTGAGCTTAATGTGCTCGATACGCACATTAATTCTCTTGGCAAGAATCAGGCCCTTGTTGGTATACAACAATGCCAGCAGCGTGCTGGGTAACATTGTAGACTCTTCTAGTTGTGCCATGGTAACACTTGTGGGGCATTCCTTTTTGAACAGTAGCCATTCTCTTGATGTCTACAATATCACCTTTTTTTTTTTTTGAGACAGGAGAGAGAGTCTCACTCTGTCGTCCAGGCCATAGTGCCGTGGCGCTATCTTGGCTCACTGCAACTTCCGCCTCCTGGGTTCAAGCAATTCTCCTGCCTCAGCCTCCTGAGTAGCTGGGACTACAGGCATGCCCTGCCATGCCTGGCTAATTTTTTGTATTTTTAGTCAAGATGGGGTTTCACTGTGTTGCCCATGCTGGTTTTGAACTTGTGAGCCCAGGCAATCCGCCCACCTCGGCCTCCCAAAGTGCTAGAATTACAGGTGTGAGCCACCAAGCCTGGCCTCACCTTTCTTATAGATTCATATATACATGGCCAAAGGAACAACTCCATGTTTTCTAAAAGGCCTAGAGGACATCTGTCGGGTGCCTCTCCTCTTTCCCTTTGTGTTCGTCATTTTGGCGAATTACTGGAAGACAGCGGTTCCGGCTGAAAGGAAAAGAGTATATAATTTCTAGCAGTAGTTAGGGCATAGAAGAGGTGAGATCTTCACAAAAGAAACTGCCATCATTCTCCTACTCTATGCCTGTCTGAGTTCAGAACATTCCAACAAAGGTCAGGTACTTTCTCCCTTAACAGGATTGACTCTCATTCTGTTCCCCAAGTCTGATGTCAAGGTGACAGAGTTTATAGTTTGCGAATTAGGGAAGCAACAATAGGTGATGATGGCCCCTGTTACTGGTAGCCATGTGCATGGTTAGGCACCAGATTCCTGACAAATGGTTTTTGTCAGGAATTTCTTTTCCTTTCTACAGTCCAGCCTGTCCCCCACCCCTACCCAATCCTCCAGACTGCTTCTGTGAGCTTGTCCAGTGAAAGTCAAACATTGATCTCCTAACACCAGGGATCCCATCTGATTATTCGTCAGAGTTGTTTCCTTATTTTCTTCCCCTTGTACCCCCATGGGATCCCCACTCTTTGGCATCTCCATTCCCGACTAGGCTTTTCATAATCAAAGGGAAATCAATATTTCCTAAATCTCCATCAACCCAAAGCTTAGTAGAAACTTTGAAAGTTCGTTTTTCAGTGATAACGGAAAACATCGGAGGAGGGGGAGAGGACATGTGTTAATATTATTTGTCTTTCCAATGCAAGCTGCATGGTCACACATATTCTATTTTTGTTGCAGTATAGTAGTGCCCTGTTATCCATGGGGGATATGTTCCAAGACCCCTAGAGGATGCTTGAAACCATGGAGGAACAAACTATACCATGGGCTGGGCTCAGTGGCTCACACCTGTAATCCCAGCACTTTGGGAGGGTGAGGCAGGTGGATCACCTGAAGGCAGGAGTTCAAGACCAGCCTGGGCAACATGGTGAAACTCCATCTCTACTAAAAATACAAAGTTAACCGGGTATGGTGTCACGTGCCTATAATCCCAGCTACTTGGGAGGCTAAGGCAGGAGAATTGCTTGAATCCGGAAGCCGGCGGTTGCAGTGAGCTGAGATCGTGCCACTGCACTCCAGCCTGGGTGATAGAGTCAGACTCCATCTCAAAAACAAAAACAACAACAAAAACCCCAAAAGTCTATACTGTGTATATTATATTTTTTTCTGATCTGATAACCAAGATGGCTGCTAAGTGACTTAACAGGCAGCTAACATACACAGAGTGGATATGCTGGACAAAGGGATGGCATGGTATGGTGCAAGATTTCAGCATGTTTGTCAGAATGGTGCAACACTTAAAATGTATTCATTGTTTCTGGAATTTTCCATTTAATATTTTCAGACCACAGTTGACCATGAGTAACTGAAACTGCAGAAAGCAAAACCTCAAATAAGGCAGGACTACCATGATGGTGGGGCTGCAGAGTGTTATACAATGTTAATGTGAAAAGCGGGTACTGATTTTTCCCTTGAAAGAATTGTCACTTGCCCTAGGGTCAGGGCATGGAAGTGGAGTGGTACAGGGGGACAGTAAGGCAGAGAGGACGAAGGGTGATTCTGGGACATTTGGCATAGACTGGAAACTTCAGCTCCCTGCCAGTCTGGGAGTGTTGTAGGGTAGGGGTGCTTTGGAAATGGTGGCTTTGTGAGAATATATTACCTTGAGGAGCTGCAGAATTCAAGAGAGTGGCCAAGTTCTAGTTGGTGGGAAAAAGGAGGATGTGTCTGGGGCAGCAAGACAGGAGTAATGTCAACTGAGACGAGGATTGGGATACATAAGCCCCTGGGATATTGGAGTAGGAACTTCAGAAGAGGAGGGAAATAGAGTGGTGGGGGGTATTTGGTGAAGTTGGACCTATCAGTCACATTAGTTATTAATACTTTATGGGATGGGAGATTCCTCTGTGGGTAATCTGGAAGACTAATAGTGGTTCTCAAATTTTAGCCTACACCAAAATCTCCTAGAGGACTTGTTAAAATAGAGTACTAGGCACGCCATCCTGAGTCCCTGATTTGATAGGTCTGGGACAGAGCCTGAGAGTTTCCATTGTTAACAAATGCATTTAACAAATGCTGATAGAACACTATATGAGAAACACTGGACTAGACAAATCACGGCCCACAGGCCTAATCCAGTCTACCTGTTTTTATAAACAAAGTTTTACTGAAACCGTACTTTCTAGTTTGAACATTTTTTTTTGTAAGATGATACTCCTTTTATGCAAGTACCATTAATTTTTATACATTTCTTTGCTCATAAGGTTTAAACTCCTGGTAGTGATAGCAATCAGATTTATAAAAGTAAGATTTATTATGAAGTTAGGTAGCCTGTGCCTATTAATGCTACTGAATTGCTGGCTATTTTGAAAATTGAGATGTCAATATTGCAGATGGCTTGAAATGCAAGGTATCTTTTATATGCTTATAAAGATGGAAAGAAGCTTTGCATTTAGCATTTTCCATTTAGGCTTTGTGAAAATTGTTCTTATTTTAAAAATAGCCCTAACATGTGTGTGTCTGTGTGTGTGTGTGTTTCCTGAGTATTCTAGATGGTACATGGTATTCTGAAAACTGAAAGTCACACCTCCAGGAATAAAATTAGGAAAAGCAGAAATTGGAGGGAGGTCTCTAGAAATGATGTAGTATTATCTGAATACCTCAAATCTAATCCAGGTCATCTGGGTAGAAATTCTGGGAGGGATTTATTTAAATATAAATAAAAATTTGTATACCTAAATAAAGATTGTATTCTACATTTGAAGAAAGAGTTGTTTTTTTTTTTGTTTTGTTTTGTGTTTTAAGAGTAAGAGGTGGTTGGCATGCATGTATGAAAGGAAGGAATTCAAAGTGTCTAGAATTGGCACTGTCTCTGGAGAGCATGCATTTGCTATTGGGTGCCAGCCATTAAGATGATCTCATTCATTTCTCCTCTGATTCTGTGATTGTTAAGTAACTTTTGGATCACATTTGGCTTCACATTTGGATTTGCCTATAGGAAGAAAAAGTGCTGAGTAGTAAATATAGGAAGCTGTCTACTTGGTAGTTATATCTCTCCCCATGAATGATTTTTATGCATAAAACCCTAAGAGCTTGGCGAATTTTGAAACCACCCAGGATTCAGATCTATTCTTTTTGTACTGATAGTCACCTCTTACCTTGCAAGACTGCAGGCTGGACCCCACACTATGGTCAACAAATTGAAGTGTTGCTGTGGGGGTCCAGTCAGGGTGACCAGCTTACCTAACATCTAATTTTATTGGCCATATTTTAAATATAAGTTGTCTTGATTACCACTTAAATTGTAGAGAACGAGTAGACTACTAGTAAACTAGGAAAAGAAAGTTTTTCTTGTAGAAAACTAGGAAAAGACAAAGAAGTCTATTGACAACAGGGAATAGGCTGGAGATGAGGACCTGACCCAAGATGGACAAATTAGAACCCTTCCTTGGGATTTTTGAAGGTAATTGGTATCCCTCTCAGCTACATTGTAAGCAGGTGTCTGGAGTCGGTAATAACCAGATCCTCTGTCATGTGTATCAAGCCAATCTGCCAAGAAAAAAAAAATCCACTAATCCACAGAGTGAAGCACAGATGAGGATGGACAACGAACACCCTGCCTGTGGTCCACATATTCCTGAGGGCCAGGTATGCTTGTTTCTACCGTCATTTGATTATGTGAAACAAATTCACAACTAATAAAAGTCCTATTTTTAATAGGAAATGTGCATTATTATGGTAATGGGTGGAAACTAACACAGGAAGGGATTGTGAGGAATTGTGCAGTGTGGATAGGCATCTAGTGAATGTCAACATTTACCAGCATCATTTACCCCTTTATAAGCAAACTGAACATTGGCTTGACACACCAGTACTGGCGTGCATCAAAACATCAATAGAAGTCTGATATTCTTCAAGCCAGATGGATTGTTCTTTTCATATTGGTGCCTCAGTTGCTCTAGAGAGGCCATGGGGATTGGATGGGGAGAAGTCTTTTAAAACAAGAACTGTCTTGGTAGAAAGATTTGATTCAGGAATGATTTCTATGGAGTTTAACCATATGCCTCAAAAGTTGGAATTAGGCTGTTCATTTTTTAAGATAATAAATAAATAATAAAAGAAAAGAAGATATGCCTATTTCTTGAAAGAAAAGTGAATAAAAATACTCATCAATGATTATTTTAGATAATGAATACTAAATTGACAATTGTACATTTTTATATTTAAGTGAAATGATTGTGATTAAATGAATCCCTTTTTCTGTGACAAGAATAAGAGACGATGATTGAAAGGTGAGATTCAAATAATCATTACAAAAAGACTGAGTGACAGCTATGATTCTTGACTGGACACAAATTTAAATTTCTACCCTTTTAAGTTATTAGAAATGCACTTTGATGTGGCAAATATGTTGAACAAATTATAATGGTGGTTAAACAATTTTTCATTAAAGCATTTCAACAGAGAAGGGAGAAGGAGATGTACTTTATTTATATATTCACATTTTCTGTTTTTAGGCAACTGTACAGGGATTCTTACCATCTTGTTGGTGCCCATGTACATGTGCTTAGGATAGGAAGCCCAGTGGGCATGTGCCCCAGTCTCTGGGAGCCAATGTGCTAATTGTAAGTATAAAACATGCTTCTTATATACACAATACATATAAAAAATACAACAGGAGTAGTTGGTTAAGTAGAAATGAGGACAAAGTGGTAGAAAATGATGTGCATTTATGTATTGGTGAGAAAGTAATTGTGTTTTTTTGCCATTACTTTCAATGGAAAAAAACCGCAATAACTTTTGCACCAACCTAATAGAAGGGTGGCTGAGATGGGGTAAGCTAACCAATGAAGCACTCTGGAGAAAATGGCCTTGAACCACATATGGGGAGAAGACAGGAACAAGTCATAAGCAGCTTAATTTTCAAGATCAGTCATAAGAAAATATATATTCAGACATTCATAGGTATATTCCGTTTTCTTAATTTACAGAAAACATTAGCTCTTTGATTAATGAATGGTAGAGGAACTAATTTAAATGAAATCTAAAGCAAAGGCAGACGTATTTCATTTCTTAGACTAAATGTGAAATATATTAATATAAAACAGGAAGAATCGGTGAAGAAGTTTATTTTTACAGGCGTAAGGATGAAGAGGTGAAGCCTGGGGTCTTTGAATTTCAGCTTTGCATTTCAGCTTTGTTATTTTCTAGCTTATGACCATGAGCAAATTGCTCAACCTCTCTGTGCCGTTTTTCTTGTGAAATTGTAACAATAACAGACCTTGCCATAGGGTTTTAGGGACTGTTGATTGAGACCACTTTTTCATTCAACAAATATGTTTTGGGCTCCTATTATGTGCCAGGTGTTGTACTAGGAATGGGAGAGGAAGCAGTTGAGCAGAACAGACAAAGCCCTTTCCCTAAAGGTGCTTCCATTCTACTGGAATTGCTAGTCAGAAAAGAAATGCACAACTGAAATATCAGATAGAGATAAGTACTCTGTAGAAGATTAAGTGGAGTGATATGATAAAGGGTGACTGGATAGCAACTTACAGGTTAGGGTAGGCCTTTCTCACCTCCGAACGTCACATTGAAATCAGCCATGAGAAAATAAGGAGGGGCAGCCCTGGCAGGGAGAAGAGCTTGTGCTGAGGTCCTGGGGCAGGAATCAGCTTAATGTATTTGAAGAACATAAATAAGGTCATTGCAGCTGAGGTTAATGGGCAAGAGGCAGAGTGGTAGTGGATGAAATTAGATCATGTAGGGCTTTGAAAACAAGGATAAGGAAGTGTGTTTTCTACTAAGTGCAATGCAAAGCCCCTAAAAAATTTTAAAGTGGGGAGTGGCATGACTTCATAACAGAATTAAGGAGCTCATTGCCAGTCTTGGCACAAGAGAAACACCCAAGTGTATGTTAGCTGTTGCCATTTCATTTAATCCTCACACCAGCCCTATGTAATGGCTACTATGAAAGGAAATTATCCCAAACCTGAGCTGGAGCAGAACTTTGTAGGCTAATAGGATTTTCAGCCTCTTTGGGAAGGATCTAGCATTCCTGATAAAGCACTGTAGTATTTTTCTGATAGTTTTTTTTTTTTTTGAGTTGGAGTCTCGTGCTGTCACCTGGGCTGGAGCACAGTGGCGCGAGCTCGGCTCACTGCAACCTCTGCCTCCCAGGTTCAAGCGATTCTCCTGCCTCAGCCTCCCGAGTAGCTGGGATTACAGGCGCCCACCACCATGCCCAGCTAATTTTTTGTATTTTTAGTAGAGAAGGGGTTTTGCTATGTTGGCCAGGCTGGTCTCGAACTCCTGACCTCATGATTCGCCCACCTTGGCCTCCCAAAGTTGTAGGATTACAGGCGTGAACCACCATGCCTTCCTTGCCTTTCTGATAGATTTTAATGAGATTTAGAGTCCTTCTGGGCAGCTAGATTGGCACCACTGTGCTGTTATTTTTTAGATGTGTTCAGTAACCTTTAATCAGACATTTAAGGACACAACACTCTTTAAGCCTTATGCTGTCCTAATAACCTTTAAACCAGATATTCCTCTTTTCAAACGCCAGTTGAATAGTATTTATTAAGTCATTTTTTCTCCCAAAAGTAAATTTTTGAACTAGTTTTTTTTGAAGTCTCTTCCCTTCCACCAAGTTTGAAATAAAATGTTTGTCAATATTCCATTGAATTTATCTGAGAAACTGCTTTGACAGTATTATTAATATCACTATTTTACAGACAAGAAAACCATAGCCTGTGCATTTAAGCACTCCATCGTACTTTCCCCCAGGAAGAGCAAATTAACCCAGCATTCTAGGAAGCAACAAAGCAAATCTGAACCCGAGAGGTCTCAGTATCCAGTAAAAAAAAAGAAGCACTCATTTCTTTTACTGGAATCCCATTATTATCTGTTTTATTTCATATTGATTTGTAAAGACTGGTAGTCTGTGATTCATTGGGGCCTTCTTTTTGCCCCCAAGACGTATGTGTGCAGTTCATTCTCACTCTGCTTTCTAACTTTTAAAAGTTCTAATTTGCTCTTTCAGTAACTGAACCCAATCTTGACTTGGGTGAAACTTTTCTCCAGTTTATCAAGAGCCATTTAATCTATTTTTATGGTCTAGAGTGCCACTTCCTTGAATCTTCAGCCCATCAAGGCTGGAGCTTTAATTCATTAGTGTATATGGCTTATGGCAATCAACTCAACCAGATTGTGTGGGTCTGCTGAGCTGAAGTAAATTACTCATTGGTTCTTGTGAGAAGAACCTTGAATGAGATCACTGAGGGATGCTAAAACAATCTGGATGCTTTTGGACTGGAGGATGGGGGATCCCTTTTCTAACTAACAAGCATTATATTCTTAGAATGAAATCAATTCCATGGTGTACTGGAGTCAGTTCAATCAACTCCTGTTACATTTTCAGGAAATTTGTGAAATAGTTCATGACGACTTTGTAGCTTTAAAATGGCCATGGTGGCTGTATTTATGCCACAAAAACTGGCAAATGCCACAGATCAGGGCTTTCTTTCCCCATAGAGTCTGTTTTTAAACACTTAGCAATGTTACCCAAACAAAACTAGGGTTAATTTTCCTGGCAAGCAACCAACAACTCTCCACGAGAACACAGGTTTCGATCCATAGGAGTGTTATTACTCATCACAAGTAAGGAGAGCACTGGGAGTGTTCTCCAAAGCAGTGTCTCCCTGAGGGAAAGTGACAGGAGAGTTTTATGGGGCGATGGAGGGGGAGAGAGTGCGTCATCTCATGCAGGGAAGGGGTCCCAGTGGCGCAGATGCAGTGAGTCATCATGCCAGCACATAGGTCCTCTGCTTTATAGCTCCTTCTGGGCGGGAGACATTAGCATGGTAATGAGGAAAGTTCACTTGGGTTCATCTGTAAGTTGCTAGGGTCTGTCAGAAACTGGTTTCAACTGACTAGGGGACTGCATTCCACACAGGGCCTGAAACAAACAGGCTGTTAAGAGAGGGAGCTGTAAAGCAGGTGCTTTGGTAAAGCCGGTTGAGTTCCTATAGTCTCTGGAGACCTTCTCAATCTGCTTATAGCAGTACACCAGTGCAAGTGCCTTGCAGGTTCTCCTTGTTTTTTTCCTAGTTATAGGACAAGGAGAAGATAGGGAAAGAGGGGAGGCTGCCAATAGGCTTTTTTTTTTGGCTTCTTGCCTGCATTTTTACTGCCATCAGAAACTGCCAGAAGTTCTGTAGTCAAATCGACCCCACACTCCTAGTAACAAATGAGGTTTGCTATCATTTTTCCCCCTAGGGTTGAATACCAGCTCCATAACTACTTGCTTTGGGACTTGGGCTGATCAGTTTACTTACATCTCTAGGGCTCAGTTTCATCATCATTACAATAAGAATAATACCACCAACCTCATTGTGTGTAGATGTATCTGTGTGTGGGCTGTGGGGTGGGGGGTGTTGGGGATGGGATGGGGTGGTAAATGATATGGTTCCCATTAAAGTCTTTGCTGAAGACTTGGTGCATTGGCTGTCAATAAATAATAGCTCTAATTATATTATTCAGTAAGTTCTCACACATGCTCAGAGGTAATAAAAGAAAAACTTCATCCAAATTAAATTTAAAAGAGTTTAATTGAGCAATGAACAACTTGCGAATCGGGCAGCCTTCCCAGCCAGAGTAGGCTCGGAGACTCCAGCACAGCCACGTGGTGGAAAAAGATTTATGGACAGAAAAAGGAAAGTGATGCCCAGAAAATGGAAGTGAGGTGCAGAAAACAGAAGTGAGTTACAGAATTGGTTTGGCTACAGCTTGGTGTTTGCTTTATTTGAACATGGTTTGAACAGTTGTACATTTGCTTGACCAAAACTCGTGACTGGCACAAGTGTAGGTTATGGTCGTTTACACCTCCACTTGTTATAGTTCATGATGTACAGAGAAATCCTTAGGCTGAACTTAAAATATGTAAGGAGGCAGCTTTATGCTAAACTTGATTTAACAGAAGTCACTTGTAAACGACTATTTCATAAAGGCCTTTCTGGTAATGTCTGATGCCTCTGAACCAGTCTGATCTGCAGCATTTTCCCACTGAGGTCTCTCTCTCTCTCTCAATATCTCGCTCTCTCTCTCCCTCTGCTCTATGTGGGCTGGGAGCCCCATTACAGGTGTGATTCCAGTACATTCCAAGTCACACCGGGCACATACTTTCTCCATTCCTTTCAGTGCCTGCCTTCCAGTGATACCCCAAGTGTATTGAGCTTGACAACTTTTTCAGCTATAAATAAGTGGTGGTGGGAGGAAGGGGTGGGTGTGAGAAGAGACTTTTCTTGAAATATGTTGATTTAGGCTGGATGGCTTTTCATTGACATGCAGAAGTAGTATTTTGTGTCTGTATGCAAGATTCCCCCTTTATTTACTGCAAGGATGTTTTTTTCAGGTCAAGGAGAAAGCTGAGGTTGGAGAAGGTGTGCTTTTCTCCTCCCTTTTGTCTGTCAGTTTCTCTCCTCATTCTCCAGAATCCCCAAGAGACCATGTTAGAGTTAAATCAATATGTGGTCAGCAATCAGACAGACCTGAATATGACATGTGATTCTGCTACTTATCAGCTGAATGACCTTGTGATGGTCATCTGAATGTCTAATCTTTAGCTTCCTGGTCTACAAAATGCATCTCTCTTTTTTTCTCTTTCTCTGTCTCTCTCTTTATCTGTCTTGGGTTAGCTCTGTACTTCACAACCTGGCTACACATTATATTTACTTGGGGAGCTTTTCAAAAATAGTTAATTCCTGGGCTCTGCTCCAAAAGACTGATTCAATTGGACTAGGTTTCAGCACAAACATCCATCTATTTTAGAAACTCTCTGTGAAATACTATGTGTAGTGAGTGTTAAGAACTGCTGAGCTTCTCTTATTAAGCCTCTCTGGACCCCATCTGGCCCCCATGCTCATTACCTGGATGTCCCTGGACCACAACAGCTTATGTAAATACAAAATACAAAACAATTCACTGCTAACCACTGCTAACAGTCACTTTGTAACTCCAACCCTCCACCTGCTCAGATTGGCAGGCAGTGCAGTCATCTCTAACTTCTTGTCTTCAGGAGCCCTTTCATGGAATGCCCAAGAACCCCTGTTGGTGCTCTGCAGATGAGAAAAATAGCTACTGAGATCCTTGTTCCCTTGCTGAAGCTGGAAGGCCTCGTGGTCTGGAGAAATGCCAGCTTTTGCTGTGGTTCATCTGAGAACAGTGGATGCTGGTCTTTCTCTGGGTAATCCTTGGTCGAGAATACTCTCCCCAATTGGCCTGGGTTGCCAGGGAAGAGAGTATTAGAAACTGCTTTGACAGTATCATTAATATCATCATTTTACAGACAAGGAAACAGAAGCTTAGAAATGGTAAGTTGATCAATGTCATAAGAGGTAACCTGACCTGACCATAAGACCTGACCATAAGAGATCAGGTCTTCCACTTCACCCAAGTGAAGCCAGGCTTCCCAAGGCACAGCTCAGCACCTGCGGAGCCACATTGCAGTGAGTTACAGCACCATCCACTTACTGCCTAGAACCAGCATTTTGTTCCAGAAACATAGGTCTGGGTTGCCCAGACCACACTCCCTCTTCCTCTTGGTGATTTTCTTTCATTTCTTCCCACCACCTGGCCCCAGGTGGGTCCACTCGTGTCCATCAGATGTGTTCTAATAAATAGTTAAATACTAAACTCTCTTCTTCCGGAAGCGTCCTTGGTTCCTTCTACATATATGTGTAGATTCATATATGTAAAAAAAGTATGAAAAAGGATCTTTCATCAATTTACTTATCAGCTTCTTCTAAACCCATGCTGTTTCCAAGCTGCATATCCAATAATAAAAAGTCCCTATTCCAAAACCAGTGGGTAGGAATGAAATTACTTTACCCGGGTGTAACTCAAAGGGATCACTAAGTGATTATTTCCAGAACAATGGGACGACTCCAAAGGTAAGTTCAAGTTTTCACCATGAACATATAAAACACCCAGGTTTTCTTAGTTTCAACCAGTTTTAGGATTCATTCTCCGCTAGTCAACTCATTATATATAAATGCCGTTGATATGAATGTTGATCTCCCGGGGTTGTTGAGAATAATACATGAGATAAGATGTAGATAGATCAATTTGCAATATTTTATTACTGACACTGTTGCTAATTGGTTAAGCTAATCAGCATCTCATTAGAATTGCCCCTGTGGGCAGTGAACGTCCCTCCTCCTGCTCCTCCTGCCCCCTTCTTGTAGTCAGTGTAGTGGCCCTGACCTCTGGTCAATACAATCCAGTGGATTCCAGGTTCTCACCACATCACCACTAAGATTATGGTCACAGTAACCAGGGTGATGGGGCCTCTGCATTGAAATGCAGGGTTGTGGGATCAGTGGTACTTGCTCTCTTGCTGTCTCCTGCTTTGGTTATGAGAGAAATTCAAGAAAGCGGCTCTTGCTCAGGTAAACTTCGGGTTGGTTCCTGAGCATTGGTTTTCCTCTGGATTGGCCTAAAGGTCTTCAGGGGTTGAGGAGAATACTGGAGAAGGTCTGTATTCATCCATGTTCTCCAACAGAGTAAAGCCAAAACACTAAGTACTGGAATTATTCTGTACTTGCCTTCCCTAATGGAAGTGTAGTACTGTCTCTTGATTTTCATGGAGCTCCTTGCCTCTGCCCTCTATTAGTTAGGAATCTGGAAGGGAGGAGGGTTGTACTTAGCATTACTAAATAGACAATAGTTCTCCTGATTGAAAGACTAAAACACTTCCAACCTGGAGTTTTACTGACCATTGATTTTTTTTTTTTTTTTTTTGGAGACAGGGCATCACTGTGTCACTCATGCTGGAGTGCACTGGTGGTGCCATCTTGGCTTACTACAACCTCTGCTTTCCAGGCTCAAGCTATCCTCCTAACTTAGCCTCCTAAGTTGCTGGGACTATAGGCATGTGTCACCACACCCAGCTAATTTTTGTATTTTTCATACAGACAGGGTTTTGCCAAGTTGCCCAGGCTGGATCATTGACATTTTAAGAAATGTGTGCATGTCTGTAAAAGGGGAGGTCAGTTTGGGATCCTCCCTCATGGATGATGTGGGTTTGATTACCTAAGGAAACTGGCTTATCTCTCTTATGGGTGGTCGCATAATATTCAGGAGGTGGTACTGACTAGGCTCACTCAATGATTGACTGGGTGAAGCAGGAAGGAAGAGGGGAGCTATCCAGGTAGACAGGTTTCCTCCAGAGCAAGAGTTGGCCGACCTCAGCCAACAGGTCAAATCTCACCTGCTGTCAGCATTTATTAACTTTTTATTTTGAAATGATTTAAGACGCAGCTGCCACTTGTGTTATAAATAAAGTTTTATTGGAATATTACAACTCTTACTTGTTTACATATTGTCCATGGCTGCTTTCATGCTACAATGACAGAATTGAATAATTGCAATAAGAACTTATTTGTACCCTCTGGCTCTTTATGAAAAAGGTTTCCTGATTCCTGTTCCAGAGTCAAAGATGCTTCTCAATCAAAAATACTCCCCCAAATTGCCGTATATTTCATAATCTCCCTCACTGTGACCCAAAGGCCACAAAACCCTTGTAGAACCAGAGAACACAGGGTTGGAAGGGGATATTAGTGGTCATTCAGTGCAATTCCTCATATGAGGCCAGAATCTCCCAATGGTGCCCCTTCAAGCAATCCCCTAGTGGTGGAGGCACATCATTGTGTGTAGTGGTCAACTCAGCTTTTTGGGGGAAGTTCTGGTTGTTGGAAAATGATTTCTTATATTGAACTAGGCTGTGGTGGATGAGAAAAACTATTAAAGTGTTATTATTTATGACCCCCTCTCCAGCCTTTGAAGGAGGAAGACTTCATCACCAGCAGAATGGGCTGCACTGCTTGTGTTGTATGGATCAGCACGATGGATGGGTAGGAGACCTGAAGATGCTTCAATGGCAAATTTGCTCTACATGGAGATGCTGGATGTCCCTAGACATAAAGACCCCACAAAGATGCTAGAGGGGCATGGCTGGACAGCGGTGGGTGAGGGAGGAGCTGCAGGTGAGAAAGGAATCAAGGTGTAGAATTTGTATCAAATTATTCTTCAAAGCTTCTCAGGTAGGATTTGGACATTTGGGTGCATTTCTAGATGCTTCAGCCAGTTGAAGAAAACTGGGGAAACAAAGGTGTCCACATGGTGCAGGTGCATTTGGGTTGTGTCTGTCAGCTTGACGCTCCCATGCATTGGTCTTCTATTCTCAGTCCAAACAACTTTCAGCCCGAGTAGCACCCTAGCAATTAATTGTCCAAATTCTACCTCATTGCCTTTCTACCTAGCCACAGATTGCCTCTCCTCTCAGCTCAAATGTTTCTTCAAACCAGTAGGTGTGGAGGGAGAGAGGTGGAGGAAGATTATGTGCCATCTTTTTGGCCCATGTTGAAGATTTTCCAGGGTACAGGGTAGTGCCGTGATCTCTAGATGTGCATTAAGGACTTTGGCTTCCAGATCTATTATGCAGTAACTTTCTGTGCAACCTCTTGTCATCATTTCTCTTCTTCATGCTTTAATTTACTTTTCTGTAAAACAAAAGCTGGAGCTGGAACAGAGTTTCAAATTTTTTTTTTTTTTTTGAGACAGAGTCTTGCTGTTTTGCCAGGCTGGAGTACAGTGGCACATTCTCAGCTCCCTGCAACTTCTGCCTCCTGGATTCAAGTGATTCTCCTGCCTCAGCCTCCTGAGTAGCTGGGACTACAGGCACATGCCACCACACCCGGCTAATTTTTTGTATTTTTAGTAGGGACAGGGTTTCGCCATGTTGGCCAGGCTGGTCTCGAACTCCTGACCTCAGTCAATCTGCCCACCTTGGCCTCCTAAAGTGCAGGGATTACAGGTGTGAGCCACTGTGCCTAGCCTCAAATGCTTCTTCTTGAGCCTTGAGCCAAGTGACCTCTGGGGTCTTGAGCAAGGTGGTCAGCAATGTAGATGCTAAGAGGCCAGATTTCCCAGCCGCCCTGGCCTGCTTTCTTCAGAGCAGTTATCTATTGGACAGATTGGGGTCCATTAAAACCCCAAAGTATTTCCACTGCTAAAAAACAAGCCTAGAATCCAATGGATTATCAGTCTTTCTCAAGGTGTGGGACAGGTCCCATTAGGGAGATACAAGCTTATATGTGATACATGGATGAACATTTTAAGTTTTCATAGTTATATTTATTTTAAAGTCTATTAGGAAAAAAATATAAACATCACATCAAATATGTGATTTCTTTGATATTATTGATTAAGATGAGGCTACATTTAATTGAATAAGTGAGCTTACTTGAAGGAAGAGAATAAGTAAGTAATAGTACAGGTGGTATAGGATTATGGCCAACATGATTGACATTTGGGAAAATGGGCAAAGTGACCTCCACAGGCCCTCCTGGCTCTGACATTCTAGCATTCCTTCTCCTCCCCATCTTTTCTCTTGTTTCCTCTCTGTGGTCATGTCCTCCTCAGCGGAGAGGGCATTACAATGTGTACTTTCAGATTCAAAACAGTGGCCTTGACATGCGTGAGGTCTGTGCTCGGTGTGTCCCCTTGGCCCTCCCTACGAGAGCTTTACTTTGGTCAGGGAGCAGCTCTGTTTTCCCACCTTCAGTTTCTGATGAGGTACATGAAACCCACAGGAAGCAAACCAAAGTGAAAGCAAGAAAAACAAGGCTTGGCAGAGAGCGGCTATCCGCACTTCACTTGGAATTAGAGAAGGTGCTTTTGGCTCCATTAGCAGAATCCCTAATGTGCTTGTATTTGAAAAGCCAGTCTGCAGAATTAGCAGCCAGTGAATTGTTAGTCTTGCAGGCTGTTGATTCTGTCTTGCTCTTTTTTAACCATCAGAACTCACTTATTTTTATTTACTTTTTGGCATGAAATAATTTCCTATATCCTCTTTTTAACTCACTTCTAATAGGATAACACATCTATTTTTCTCATTCTGAATTCTGGATGATTTTATTGTTGAGGGAAGACAGTAGATATTGCATATCTACTTTCTTTTTTCTGTTTTGTGTGTGTGTGTGTGTGTGTGTGTGTGTGTGTGTGTTTACAGTTTTATTTAAACACAAAACATGCGCATGAGCTGCTTACTCATTTTCTTCACTGCACAGCCTGGCATTGGGGTTGGTGACTCTGATGGCCAGCGGGGTGGCCCTTTCCATGATGGCTTTGCGGTTCAATTAAATGTAGCCTCATCTTAATCAATAATATCAATGAAATCACATATCTGATGTGATGGTTATATATTTTTTCCTAATAGACTTTAAAATAAATATAACTATGAAAACTTAAAATGTTCATGCATGTATCACATATAAGCTCGTATCTCCCTAGTGGGACCTGCATCACACATTGAGAAAGACTGATAGTTCATTGGATTCTAGGCTTGTTTTTTTATCAGTGGAAATACTTTAGAATTTTAATGGACCTGAATCTGTCCAACAGATAACTGCTCCAAAGAAAGCTGGCCAGGGTTGTTGGAGGAAACATTGTGAGCAATCTCAGCACAGTAAGATTTGTTGCACATCAGCAGCACTTCCTGCTCCTTGACCTTGTGGGCCAGGAACTTCTGGAAGCCACTGGGCAGCATATGCTTTGTTTTTTTGTTGCTCCCATAAGTAATGTTGGGCATCAAGATCTGGAGCTTGAACCTTCTATGAACCCTGTTGTCACTACCTCTGGGTTTCTGCCAGTCACGCTTAATTTTGACATATCAGTCTGACCGGTGCCCGATGAATTTCTTGGTTCTCTTTTTGACTATTTTGGGCTTCACAAGGGGTATGAAGGTGGCCATGATGCTGAGGAGGAGATGGCTGCCGCCTCCATAGGCAGTGCCAAGGAAGAGAGAACATATTTACTTTCTTAATGTTGGACTTGCACTGGGTGTCCACAGTTGATGAAGTGTGGCATGCCATGGTGGACAGACCTTGGGCATCTGGGGCAGGCAAACCTGGATTTAAACTTGGCTTAACCGTCCGTCATCTGTGGACAGGCATTTCTTATTTAAATAAGCTTGATTTTTTTATTTCTTAACAAGAATTATGCTTTTTTTCCCCCCACATAATTTTTTTTTTTTTTTTTTTTTGAGATGGAGTCTCTCTCTGTTGCCCAGGCTGGAGGGCAGTGCTGCGATCTCGGCTCACTACAAGCTCCACCTCTCGGGTTCATGCCATTCTCCTGCCTCAGCCTCCTGAGTAGCTGGGACTACAGGCACCCGCCACCACGCCTGGCTAATTTTTTTTGTATTTTTAGTAGAGACGCGGTTTCACCGTGTTAGCCAGGATGGTCTCGATCTCCTGACCTTGTGATCTGCCTGCCTGGGCCTCCCAAAGTGCTGGGATTACAGGCATGAGCCCCCACAGAATTTTTTGTGTGTGGATTTAAGAGACGACGTGTAAAAAAATCTCCAGCTTCAGTGTGTTGAGTTTAGATGTGAAATAAATATCAGCTCTTTTTTCATTTCTCACAAGCTTGACAAGTGCTTGTACCAGATACTACAGCCAAAGCAAAGATGAATATGACATAGGCCAGGATGGCAAATAAGTTTTCTTTCATGCCCAGCTCTCATGAAGTGGTGCAGCCTCAGGGAGTACTGTGTTGAGATGGATTTTAAGGGTCAGCAGGGAAGAGTGACATAGTAGATTAGCCATATCCTTCAAGGCTCAGGAGGGGGCATTGAGGAACACAAATGTCACAAATTTGCCATCACTGACACAGCTTTGTTTTGGGAAGTCAGAGCTAATGGAGTGTGAAATTTGTCTAGAAGAAACAAATAGCTATTGAAAATAAGGAGAGTGGTAGACACTTTTACACGTGTTATGTCTACACGTGTTATGTCTTGAATGCACTCAACAAACCAGAGAGGGATGAATTACTCTTTGCAGGACAGTGCTCCAGGTGGCCTTGGACCAACCCAGATTTTACTCCTTTTCCACTTGTAGTTCTTGAGAATAACTGTAGAATGTGCCAGGAATGTAGCATCTGAGATAAAGAGGGAGATGGCTGGAACAACCTGAGTTCTGTTCCAGTCCTGCCCCGACCTCCTAAAGAAAAAGGGTGTCCTCTGCATGTTCTCACTCATAAGTGGGAGTTGGAGTTGAACAATGAGAACATGGACACAGGGAGGAGAACATCACACACCGGGGCCTGTCGGGGGTGGGAGACTAGGGGAGGGATAGCATTAGGAGAAATACCTAATGTAAATGATAGGTTGATTGGTACAGCAAACCACCATGGCATGTGTATACCTATGTTACAAACCTGCATGTTCTGCACATGTACCCCAGAACTTAAAAGTATAAAAAAAAGAGAAAGAAACAGGGTGTCCTTCAGTGCTTTAGCCCAGCATGTCATGTGACCATAGGGAATACAACCCAGGGTGGGCTGCTTTCTCTGGTTCGTTAGCTGCGGTGCAACTAGAGCACAGGCAGACGAAGCATCATCTGCCTTAGGAAGCTTTTCTGAGCCTTGGGGGCCCACTTACAATGAATCCCAGGCTTCTGTTATCCTTGCTTCCTATGTATAAGTAATAAATCGGCTTCATTTAACTTGTGTGTGAATGTGTTCTGTCTCACTGCACCCAGACAAGTTGGCAACCAGTGCATAGTGATCTGCTTCCCATTATTCTCATGCTGTATGAAAGAAAATGAAATCATAGACAAGGTAAGTCATTTTCTCAAGATCTTACAAAGTAAGAAGTGGTAAGAAGAATCTGAGATTTGGACCCAGATGCCTGATTCCAGAAGCCTTTTGTTTGTGACTATTTAAACTCGGGTGTTCAAATGGAGTCTTAAAAAAAACAAACAGGTAAAATGTCGGTACTTTAAGGTGTGTCCAAGTGCACTGATCTTAAGTGCTCAGCTTGATGAACTCTTTCTTTTTCTTTGAGATGGAGTTTTGCTCTTATTGCCCAGGCTGGAGTGCAATTGCATGATCTTGGCTCACTGCAACCTCTGCCTCCTGGGTTCAAGCAATTCCCCTGCCTCCACTTCCCGAGTAGCTGAGACTACAGGTGTGCACCACCACACACAGCTAATTTTTTGTACTTTTAGTAGAGATGGAGTTTCACTATGTTGGCCAGGCAGGTCTTGAACTCCTGATCTCAGATGATCTACGCACCTCGGCCTCCCAAAGTGCTGGGATTACAGGCGTGAGCCACTATGCCCAGTCTAGCTTGATGAACTTTTAATTAGTTGTATATACTTGTGTAACCATCACTCATACCATGACATAGAACTTTCTTACCTTTCCAGAAGCTTCTCTTGGGTACCTTCCTGGTCAAAAATGTCTCCAGGAGGTGTGCTACTATTCTGATACTTACCACCATCAATTAATTTTGACTTTTCTTCAATTTCATACAAGTGGAATTATATAGTATTTTCATTTTTGTGTCTGATTTCTTTCTTCAACATAATGTCTATGAGATTCATCCATGTTGTCATGTTAGTAGTTGTTTTTTAAAATTACTTTGTAGTACTCCATTTTATGAATACACCATGATTTATTTATCCCTTCTCCTCTTGAGTGACATTTGGGTTGTGCAGTTTTTGGTTATTATGAACAAAGCTTCTATGAACTTGCTTATAATGTCTTTGGGTGGGCATGTGACCTTATTTCTCTTTAGCATATACCTAGTAGTGAAACTGCCATAGTTTAGGTGGATATTTAACTTTAGTAGATATGAGCTACTATGGTCTAAATGTTGGTGTCCTAATGAAATTCATATACTGAAACTTAATCATCAGTGTGATAGTATTAAGAGGTGGGGCCTTTTTAAGGTGGTAAGGTTATAAGATAAGGGTGGAGCCCTCACAAATGGGATTAATGCCCTTAGTAAAGAGATTTGAGGGAGTCCTTTTGCCTATTTGAGTGTGTGAGGACACACAGAAGGTGCCATCTATAAGGAACGGGCCCTCACCAGACACCAAATCTGCTGGTGCTTTATCTTGGACCTCTCAGCCTCCAGAGCTACGATCACTACATTTCTGTTGTTATAAATGAACAAATCTATGGTATTTTGTTATAACACAAGCAAGAGACTAAGACATAGACATTTGCTTTTTACCGGGAATGCTTCACAAGGTCAGAGACTCAGGTCGTCTTATTCTCTGCTGTGTCCCCAGAATCCACAGCAGTACCTGGCTCAAAGTCAGTGCTAATAAGTCATTCTTGATTAAATTAATATATCTGTATCTTGGGCATCCTGATTCTTGGCTTTGTATTAGGACTTTTGTTTCAGTGAATAGAGAAGTTAGAACCTTTCTCCTTGCACCCAGAATTCCTCCTTGCACCCAGAATTCCTCTTTTGAAACAAGTATCTTTTAATACCTCCTTAAATATCTTGAAGTGAAGTTCACAGATAATACAACCTGTTTACACATGTATTTTATTTTTAATCAATATGGTATCCTAACCATTCTACAAAAGAAAACTCTAAAGAAAATAATTTATAATAAGGTAATGAGTGTTTCAATATACAAATAACTGGGGAATACTACACTCAAAGGCCTCATGAAATACACAGACATTTGTGACTATATCGATAATCAGTACAAATGCAAAGTGAGAGGCGATGTTCTGCTAATGCATATCATGTTTTGCACTGTTGTTGGTGATATGATTTACCAAATAGTGACCAACTCCTGGTAAAATTTATCATAAAATAAAGTACAATCTTTCTTCAATTGACTCTGGAAAATTCATTGGATATTAAAATGGTATAAGAATGTTTTGTTTTTAGATGTAAAATGGAGCAAGGTTCTACATTCACATAACTTTTTCAACTACACAGATATTTTCTGGGACATGTAGGGCATTTACTCACCTTGGTCCTCAACCATGAAATACCATTGAGTGCCCTCTCATCATAGCACCAACTATCCCCACACTTTTCCAAAATATCCTTGGGTGTGGTGCCACCCCTACAAAAACCCTGATTCTAACTCAGCTCTCTCATTTTACAGTTGAAGGAATCATCCCTTTGGGGAGGGAAGAATTACTCTCTGGAAAACATAGGGATTTAAACATAAAGACTGGACCAGGACCGCAGACTTCTGACTTCTTAGGCTAAATCCCAGTTGTATCCACCATAGCAATTGAAGCCAAGGATTAGAGTCAAGTAGGCTTGGGATCAAATCCTGGCTCTGACCTTGGGAAAACTGCTTCATCTTTTCGAGCCTCTGTTTCATCATTTGCATAAATGAGATTAAAAATAGCATTTACCTTAAAGAATTGTTATGAGGACTAAGAGAGGTTATGACTTTGAATTCTTGGCACATAGTGAACTCTTAATTAATGGTAGCAATTATCACACTGCTATTCCTCCCTTTAAAGCTCATTCATTTAAGTGCCAACAGAAATTGTCATATCCTAGAGAACTTCTATACTGGAACTTTTTCCTCTGTAGAGAAATACTTGTTTATCATTTGTTTCCAATACTTCAAATCATTCCTTTTCAGGTCAAGGCCTCCTTCTAATCTCTCCATTTTCCTCCAAGATGGCCTGGGCCAAATTTAAGGGAAAAATGTCTTGAGCAGAGTAGCTTGGAGCATTCTCATACCTTGACTCTTACTTAAAGAAAGGAAGAAGAAACTTTGGGGCTTTGATTTGGTTTGAAAAGGAGGAAGGGAGGTGATATTGAGCACTTATTTTGAGCACTTATTTTGTACCAAGTGCATAGCAGGTGGTCTATTTTGTTTCATTCTCTCAAGAATAGTCCCTGTGAGGTGGACTGTTTATTATCACCTCCATCTTGCAGATGAGAAAGTGGAGACTCTAAGCTGATAAAACCCTTTCTTGAGGTCATACAGAGCCAAGATTAAAATATTAACAAAAAATAAAATTCTAGAGCCCCTCCAAGCATCTGAATGGACCCCTTCTTGGCCAGGGCACTCCAAAGTTAACCTGAAAAACTGGTTCAGGCCATGACGGGAAGGGGTGTCAGACATGTCTCGTTATACCCTACTCTCTTTAGGAATTCAGGAAACGTGGCCAGCATTTAACATCAACACAGACCTTAAGTCTGATAAGAAACATTTACATTCTATTCTCTCTGAAGCCTGCTACCTGGAGGCTTCATCTGCGTGATAAAACCTTGGTTTCCACAACTTCTTATTGTAACCGAGACATTTCTTTCTAGAGATAGTAACTCTTTCAACCAATTGACAAATCAGACAAATTTTAAATCTACCTACAACTGGAAGCAGACCTCCCCACTTTCCCTTTTCTGGACTGAAACAATGTATGTCTTAAATGTATTTAATTGAAGTCTCACGTCTCCCTAAAATGTATACATCTAGGTGACGCCCCAATCACCTTGGGGTCATGTTCTCAGGATCTCCTGAAGGTTATGTCATGGGCCATTAGTGACTCATATTTGGCTCAGAATAAATCTCTTTAAATATTTTAGAGTCTGACTCTTTTTGTCAACAAAAATCACATCTCTGTCTGACATTGTCGTGATTTGGGTTCTTTCAAAAGCAGATCCTGAGACAAGGGTTTGAGTGCAAGTGGGACTTTGGAGGTGTATTTATCTTTTTAAAAAATTTTTTTTTGTGCCTCTCAGCTCTGAATGGACCCTTTATTAATTTATGCTCTGGGACTAACGAAGGCGTGCCTTTGAGCCCGTCTCCTTTAAGTGCGCGCGATGCTAGGCTTCCTCAGTAGAGGGCGCCGGAGGACACCGCAGCTGGAGGAGGGTTTCCGCCGGTTGTGCGGGGACCGCGGCTCAGTAGTGTGGGTGGACGAGGACAGCGGGTGGAACTGGTCCTTCTGTGACTTTGCAGCCCCGGCTTGGTGATAATTTTTGTGCAGGCTTCTTGACATGGAAAGCAGAGCTCCCCAGCACAGAGTGAGCCTCCGAAGGGCTCCTGCCCTTACCGGTGCCCTACCCTCCCTTTCCCTGCTTGCTACACTTGGGTCCGGGACTCAGCCTCCCTTTGCAAGCTTCTGCTCGGCCTGTGTGCAGCTGCACTTAGCTGGCAGGGTCAGGCGTTGAGTAGCCGCTCCGCTCCTTCTGCAGCCTCCTGCAGCCCCCGCCAGCTCCCGGGCTCCATCCCTCACCATCAGTTGCTGATTGGCGCCCCCTGCGTGCACAACGGAGGCTGGCTGCACCTGGAGGTTCCCAGCAATTCCAGGCCGGCTCCAGCCTAGCCAAAGCAGCTAACTTCTCTGCTGTCTCGTGGGCTGAACCTCACCGTTTCCCAAGAGGTCTGAATCCTTCTCAAGTTCGTCTTTTCCTAAGTTCTCCCTCGTAGCTCTAGGTTGCTTTGTAGAGTTTCCTTATATCTATACTCTTCATTGTAGTTAATGACTCTGTGTTACACTTGTCCTGTTGAACTTACTGTGTAGTTTCTGTCTCTTGACTGGATCAAGGCTCTCACAGGAGTCAATCCCAGAAAAATGATGAGACAGTAGGGAAGAGAGAAAAGCCAATAAACAGCATGTTAATGAGTAGGTCCCACCTGGGGCTCAGTCGCACTGGTGTCCCTCTGAGAGTATGGGCACCACACACTTTGGCATTGCCCCAGCAAGGCAAGGGGCAAGCAAGGGAGCTGGGTGTTTATCTCCCAGGCATTGCTTGAGGCTTGCTCTTGGGAATGGTAGCTCCCTGGAACTTCTGTCCAGCCTGCATATCTGGACTGTGCAGGGGATACTTCTATGGCCAGAAAAAGCCCTTGGGCAGAGAGAAGCAGGTTCTTGATGCTGAGATGTCTGCGTGCTTGGGAGTTGACCACTGCAGCTGCAGGTGACCTCTGGGGTGGGCCAAGGGGATGTAGGTGGGCAGTGATACATCTGCTACAGACATGTTGCAGGATGCAGGGCAGCAGAAGGAAACTGATCAGCTGGCTGCCAATGAATGGCCCAGACTGATTCAAGGGTAAATTTGCTGGAAGAAGTCCGTTGCAGAAGATCAGATGCTTTCCTGACTGGTGTAATTTAATTGTATGGTCAGTGTTTGCTATGGATAATTGGATTTTTCTTTGACCTTCACAATCTTGCTGGCTCTCTGTCCACACTGAAAGACACTTTTCTAACTCTCTCAAATGCAATAAGACTAACCTTGGCTTCCATCAGGAACTCATGGGCTTGCCATTTCCAGGAGGTGCCGATGGCTGTGGTATCCAACCAGCAAACGGCAGTGGTGTTTGTATTTTCCATTTTGCCCTTTACAAGAACATTTCAGCTGAAGCAAAAGGCTTTTTCCTTTACCCTGGGTTTTTTAATAGAAATCTTGGTGGCATTAAGCACTTTTAATTCTGAGCACTAGCCTGTAAAGTTCAAAGCTCTGTTCTGCTCTTGAACACAGCGGATACCAAGGCGAGAGATTCTAATCACAAGGAATACCAGAAAAAAAAAAATAAGCAGGAGACAAGTTTATTACGAAGGGTTGTGAACAGTATTTGTGATTAATGTGGAATGAAAAAGGTTATTTCTACATTAAAATCATTCACATTTGCAATAATTTAAACAATTTATCTGGTTTCCCCAAGTGGGGATGTGTTCTTTCCACATATAACATGCTCAGTGAAGGAAGAACAAGGAAGGTTACGCTGCCCTGAAACATATCTGGGAGAGCTTTTCGGCTCTGGGAGGATCACCAAGTTATGTTGTTAAGTGACAAAAACAATATCCGGAAGAGTGTCAAACAGCTAATTATTGTGTAAGAAGGAAAAAAAGAAGACTACATTAGTCACATTTACTTATATTTATATGAAAAGCTAATAAAAGTAGCTAGGTATACGTAAGGCAGTCAGAAACAAGACTTTTCAATTATAACTTTTATATCATTTTAATTTAAAAGTTACGCTAATATATTTCCTGTTCAAGAAACAAATAACAACATGCCCAGTGGAAAGCATCATCATTGTAATAATGTCCTAAGATCATTTTTTATGACCTTTGAAGGTAACTTAGGATAGGAAAATGCATTCCATAAAATTCAGCTGCCTGCACATAGTGAATCCTTTGCAAACCCTCGGAATAGGCTGAGGGTTTTTATATGACCATGGAATTTTTTTTTTTTTTTTTGCATCTTTGCTGCTATTCGCCATCCAGGCAGCAGGGGGAGGTGTTTCTCTGTTTTTCTTTGCGCCGCCCACGCCTTCTCCCCAACTTCATATGCAAAACTGACCAAGAATTCTCTAATTCAAATCTATGCACGAAAGGCACCACATTTTCTAGATTCATGTTGTTACTCTCTCATATCCCAAATCTGGGAGACTTGGAGCTTCCAGCAGGCTGCTAATGATTTTTCAAAAGGGGCCGATTGTTGGATTTGCTGGTGTAAAGTTTGTCCTCCCTCTTCTCTGTGCCCCTCCTTGTCACTCCACTCAGCCTTTATACATCACTTGCCATAATCGAGTCATAGAAAACGAAACTTACATTATGGAAATTCACAGCCTTTTTTTTTTTTCCACTTTGTAGATGAGACTCAGGATTTAGAAGGCAAAACAAACAAACAACCAAACAAATAAAAAAGGGATTTATTTTGGACCTTCATAAATGGTGCCAAAGTAAAAACAAACAAACAAAAGGTAAAAGAGGAAGGGACTGTTAGATGAATGTTTATCTCGGCGCCTGGTACCATACCTGCCTTACACACTCACAACGCAAGGAAGGGTGTGTCACCAGAGCCATTTTGCTAAGGAGGAGATTAAAGCTCAGAGGGGCTGAGCAACTTGCCCAAATTTATGTTGCTAGAAAATGATAGAACTGGAATTGGAAGCCAGACTGTATCTAAAGTAGAAACGTTTAAATATTTTCTTCCTATACCACACAAAATAAGCAGAAGGCAGTGTCTCTCTCTCTTTTGTCCCTGTCTGCCCCCCACAGTCTCTGTACCTGTTTTCCCACAAGGGTGTACCACCTGCTCCCTACTCCACATCGCGTCTATAAAGAGAGAGAAGGAAAAAAGGAAGTCGCTTCAAGAGCTCCCCAAATGCTCAATGGAAGTTGCTCTTTGTTGTACATGGGCAGCGATTTCTTTAGAAAAAGTAGTGACGTAGACCTGCCCGAGGTCAGCGATTCCTAGAGCAGTGGACTTGGGGAAGTGCCAGGGAAGCATTATGTTGTTTAAAAAATTGTTTTGGAGCATGTGCTTGTGCGTGTGTGTGTTTCTGAGCATATCTGTTTTCTCACAGGAGCTGCCTGGCAATGGTAGCAGGTGAAGGTCATGGTGAAGAAGATGCAGATATTGGCAATTTGGAGCATTAGATGAACTAATTACAACGTTAACCTAAGGAACAGTGGTGAGACCATTTTATCCAAAGTGAAGTTCTTGAGAGAGATCTTGGGTGGCACCTAGCCTCTGTATTAGATAAAATGGACATCCCTTGGGAGAGAATGTGGCTCTTTTCTATTCTGATTAGGGCAAAAAGAGTCTCCTTTGATGCCAACATGACCTTAGTGCCTTTAAACATATACTATGCTGCCATTTCCACAGAGAGGGACAAGCAGCAGCTTGGGGTCCTTGGGCAGGCAGTGGGGCCCAGCCAAAATTTTCTTAGATTGCTTTATTTTCCTTTAATTATGATTACATGTATAGCAAATGATTATGGTTTTCTATTTGTGATAGTGATAAGGGATGCCTTTTAAATATATGTATTTAAGTAAAAAGGTTAATTTACCCAGCACTTTGGGAGGCCGAGGTGGGCAGATCACGAGGTCAGGAGATCGAGACCATCCTGGCTAACACGGTGAAACCCCATCTCTACTAAAAATAGAAAAAATTAGCCAGGCGTGGTGGCGAGCACTTGTAGTCCCAGATACTTGGGAGGCTGAGGCAGGAGAATGGCGTGAACCCAGGAGGCAGAGCTTGCAGTGAGCTGAGATCATGCCACTGCACTCCAGCCTGGGCGGCAGAGCGAGACTCTGTCTAAAAAAAAAAAAAAGTCAATTTAAAGAAAAACCAGTTAAGTGAATGATAGTAATGTGGAGATGTGAAAAAAAGGATGAAAGTGTCACTAAAATAATTCAAATATGTGGGCTGGGTGCAGCAGTTCACACCTGTAGGCCCAGCCCTTTGGGAGGCCGAGGTGGGTGAATCACTTGAGCCCAGAAGTTCGAGACCAGCCTGGGCAACAAAGTGAGACCTTCTCTGTACAAAAAAAATGAACAAAATTAGCCTAGTGTAGTGGTGAGCACATGTAGTCCCAGGTACTTGGGAGGCTGAGATGGGAAGAGCATTTGAGCCCAGGAGGTTGAGGCTTCAGTGAGCCAAGATTGTGTCACTGCACTCCAGCCTGGGAGACAGAGTGAGACGCTGTCTCAAAAAATAAGGAAGAATTGAAATATGGGGATATTATTTCATTAGTGGATTAGTTTTCAGCATGTCTTCCATTTCAGACATTTTATAATTCTAATTCCATCATTTGAGAATGATGGGAAGATTAGAATCATACAATATTAGAAAAGAAAGGGATAACTGAGTCTGCCCTCCTCATTTTACAGCTGATGAAATGGAAGCTTAGAAAGATGTGACTGGTTCAAGGTCACACAGTGTTCTGTTGGCTCACATCCCATTTGTGTGTGTGCATGGGTGTGTGCACACAGGTGTATGTGTGCATGTGTGTTGATGGGAATGGGGTAAGGGAGAGAGGAGGAAAGCAGCCTAAATATCGAGCCGCCTGGGCTTTAATGTAATTCAGGTTGTCTTGGCACCACGGAGGGAAAGCGGGAAGACAGAGGGGACATTCTTTGAACAAAATGAGAACTCCTAGATAACACGGGGGTGGGGGAATATCCTGAAAATCTAAGTTTCCTGTGCGTGCTACAGCAACAAGGGTAAGAGCTAGCTGATTTCCCCCAGTAAACACAGCAGTGGCTTTTTGCTGCAGAATGTGGCGTTAAATTCAATAGGTCAGCATTAAGCTTGAACAAAATGTGATGACTGATTAGGAAATGAATGGTAAGTCATGGACAGCAGATCCTGATTATGATGATGCTTATCAACACCTCCCTTCCCCACACTGGAACAAACAAAGCTGCACAATGTCCTTGCAGGCTGACAAAACTGGACCCACATGTGCTGGTCCTGGGACAATTGAATTATGGCTATGACAGTCATCTATGAGGAAATCAGATGTCAAAGGGAGAAAGGACCCAACGACGCTTCAGGGCCTGTGCTTCTGGGGAGGGGGTACCCCTGCCTCCTCCTCACCGTGAGGTCTGCTCTGAGACCTGCTTTCCTATTGAGATTACAAAAATGAGATGTAATCCAGGATTAAAGCTCCTCTTTTCAGATGGGTCTAGGGGCCAAATGCATGGCCCAGAGTGGAAACTTAATATGTTTTTGTGGAATGAATGACCAGAAGCCTGGATAAATCAGTGGGTCTCTCACAGTGCTTGGTGTAGAGCCAGAATTTGATAAGGGTTCATCTCCTGCTCATCCTCATCCTGTATGAATAAGTCACTCGATGTTTTCAGTGTCATTATTTCTTCATGCCTAAAATTCAGATAAGAAAGTGTTTCTTACAAATAGGTTATTGGGATATGGGACAAAATGAGTCTGCTGAGTGTGATAGTTGCCTATTCATTCACTCATTAAATCATTCATCCAACCAACTGCTATTTGTTAAGTACTTAGTAGGGATGTAACATAGACACCTCCATATAGAGGTCAGTAGTGGGGAAGTCAGATAACAATTATGTGAATAAATAGATAACCGAAATAAAACTTTTAGAATATCATACATGCTAGAATGAAATAGTAATTAGATAAAAATACTAATGGTAATAATAATGATAAAAGCTAACATTTATTAAATACTATAAGCCACACACTGTTTTAAACCTTTACCTGTATTACGCATTTAATCCTTATCAACACCCTATTCTTTCAAAAAATAATAAAGTTATTATTACATTTTATAAAGAGCTGGAAAGCAATGGGGAGCAGTTGGCATTTTTGACAGTGTGGCCAAGAAAGACTTCCGTGGGAGGTGACAGATAAGCAGGGCTGGAAGTGTTCATTTCTCATGTATCTCTAAGATCCATGTTCCTCTTTCCACTCACCCCACCCCTGCACCACGATTGTTTGGTGAAAACCACCATATTGCTCATTGTCATTGCAACTACCTTCTAACTGGATGCCCTTCTAGCAGCCAGAATGGTGTGAGAGTGACTGGAGGTGCAGACAGGTTGGCTATATGCATTTGGTCCATTTACTTCTCTGCTGACCTTTCTAGGATGTGGCTTATTGATGTTCCCTGAATTTGAAGACTACATGGTTCAGACTCTGGGATAACATGACATGGAGTAATGACTCACTACCATGTATTCACCCAAGGGGAAGCTGGGAGTTTGTCTTTTAAACATTAAGTTATGCCATTTACTGTGGGAATGGGGCAGAAAATGACCCAGTGGTGGAGGCAGAAGCAAGAATAACATCAACAAAGGATAAGTTCCACAGCTTTTCACCTCCAATATCCCACCTGGGTCTCCCAACAACCTTGTAAAACTGATTGCTATGCATGTTGCATGTTTGGGAGATCAGAGAAACAAAGGCTGAGATGCTTCATAAGTTTAGCCAAAGCCATACGGCTAGTGCTTGAGCTTTTTCATAAATAAAGAACCTGTTCATTCACCTGACCATAGCCTATGAAGACAGTGTCTTTCTTTTTATTATTATTATTATTATTATTATTATACTTTAAGTTTTAGGGTACATGTGCACATAGTGCAGGTTAGTTACATATGTATACATGTGCCATGCTGGTGCGCTGCACCCACTAACTCGTCATCTAGCATTAGGTATATCTCCCAATGCTATCCCTCCCCCCTCCCCCCACCCCACAACAGTCCCCAGAGTGTGATGTTCCCCTTCCTGTGTCCATGTGTTCTCATTGTTCAATTCCCACCTATGAGTGAGAATATGCGGTGTTTGGTTTTTTGTTCTTGCGATCGTTTACTGAGAATGATGATTTCCAATTTCATCCATGTCCCTACAAAGGACATGAACTCATCATTTTTTATGGCTGCATAGTATTCCATGGTGTATATGTGCCACATTTTCTTAATCCAGTCTATCATTGTTGGACATTTGGGTTGGTTCTAAGTCTTTGCTATTGTGAATAGTACCGCAATAAACATATGTGTGCATGTGTCTTTATAACAGCATGATTTATAGTCCTTTGGGTATATACCCAATAATGGGGTGGCTGGGTCAAATGGTATTTCTAGTTCTAGATCCCTGAGGAATCGCCACACTGACTTCCACAATGGTTGAACTAGTTTACAGTTCCACCAACAGTGGAAAAGTGTTCCTATTTTTCCACATCCTCTCCAGCACCTGTTGTTTCCTGACTTTTTAATGATTGCCATTCTAACTGGTGTGAGATGGTTATCTCATTGTGGTTTTGATTTGCATTTCTCTGATGGCCAGTGATGATGAGCAATTTTTTCATGTTTTTTTGGCTGCATAAATGTCTTCTTTTGAGAAGTGTCTGTTCATGTCCTTTGCCCACTTTTTGATGGGGTTGTTTGTTTTTTTCTTGTAAATTTGTTTGAGTTCATTGTAGATTCTGGATATTAGCCCTTTGTCAGATGAGTAGGTTGCAAAAATTTTCTCCCATTTTGTAGGTTGCCTGTTCACTCTGATGGTACTTTCTTTTGCTGTGCAGAAGCTCTTTAGTTTAATTAGATCCCATTTGTCAATTTTGTCTTTTGTTGCCATTGCTTTTGGTGTTTTAGCCATGAAGTCCTTGCCCATGCCTATATCCTGAATGGTAATGCCTAGGTTTTCTTCTAGGGTTTTTATGGTTTTAGGTCTAACGTTTAAGTCTTTAATCCATCTTGAATTGATTTTTGTATAAGGTGTAAGGAAGGGATCCAGTTTCAGCTTTCTCCATATGGCTAGCCAGTTTTCCCAGCACCATTTATTAAATAGGGAATCCTTTCTCCATTGCTTGTTTTTCTCAGGTTTGTCAAAGATCAGATAGTTGTAGATATGCGGCGTTATTTCTGAGGGCTCTGTTCTGTTCCATTGATCTATATCTCTGTTTTGGTACCAGGACCATGCTGTTTTGGTTACTGTAGCCTTGTAGTATAGTTTGAAGTCAGGTAGTGTGATGCCTCCAGCTTTGTTCTTTTGGCTTAGGATTGACTTGGCGATGCGGGCTCTTTTGTGGTTCCATATGAACTTTAAAGTAGTTTTTTCCAATTCTGTGAAGAAAAGCATTGATAGCTTGATGGGGATGGCATTGAATCTGTAAATTACCTTGGGCAGTATGGCCATTTTCACGATATTGAATCTTCCTACCCATGAGCATGGAATGTTCTTCCATTTGTTTGTATCCTCTTTTATTTCCTTGAGCAGTGGTTTGTAGTTCTCCTTGAAGAGGTCCTTCACATCCCTTGTAAGTTGGATTCCTAGGTATTTTATTCTCTTTGAAGCAATTGTGAATGGGAGTTCACCCATGATTTGACTCTCTGTTTGTCTGTTGTTGGTGTATAAGAATGCTTGTGATTTTTGTACATTGATTTTGTATCCTGAGACTTTGCTGAAGTTGCTTATCAGCTTAAGGAGATTTTGGGCTGAGACAATGGGGTTTTCTAGATATACAATCATGTCGTCTGCAAACAGGGACAATTTGAGTTCCTCTTTTCCTAATTGAATACCCTTTATTTCCTTCTCCTGCCTAATTGCCCTGGCCAGAACTTCCAACACTATGTTGAATAGGAGTGGTGAGAGAGGGCATCCCTGTCTTGTGCCAGTTTTCAAAGGGAATGCTTCCAGTTTTTGCCCATTCAGTATGATATTGGCTGTGGGTTTGTCATAGATAGCTCTTATTATTTTGAAATACATCCCATCAATACCTAATTTATTGAGAGTTTTTAGCATGAAGGGTTGTTGAATTTTGTCAAAGGCCTTTTCTGCATCTATTGAGATAATCATGTGGTTTTTGTCTTTGGTTCTGTTTATATGCTGGATTACATTTATTGATTTGCGTATGTTGAATCAGCCTTGCATCCCAGGGATGAAGCCCACTTCATCATGGTGGATAAGCTTTTTGATGTGCTGCTGGATTCGTTTTGCCAGTATTTTATTGAGGATTTTTGCATCAGTGTTTATCAAGGATATTGGTCTAAAATTCTGTTTTTTCGTTGTGTCTCTGCCCGGCTTTGGTATCAGAATGATGCTGGCCTCATAAAATGAGTTAGGGAGGATTCCCTCTTTTTCTATTGGTTGGAATAGTTTCAGAAGGAATGGTACCAGTTCCTCCTTGTACCTCTGGTAGAATTCGGCTGTGAATCCATCTGGTCCTGGACTCTTTTTGGTTGGTAAGCTATTGATTATTGCCACAATTTCAGATCCTGTTATTGGTCTATTCAGAGATTCAACTTCTTCCTGGTTTAGTCTTGGGAGAGTGTATGTGTCGAGGAATTTATCCATTTCTTCTAGATTTTCTAGTTTACTTGCATAGAGGTGTTTGTAGTATTCTCTGATGGTAGTTTGTATTTCTGTGGGATTGGTGGTGATATCCCCTTTATCATTTTTTATTGCGTCTATTTGATTCTTCTTTTTTTCTTTATTAGTCTTGCTAGCAGTCTATCTATTTTGTTGATCCTTTCAAAAAACCAGCTCCTGGATTCATTAATTTTTTGAAGGGTTTTTTGTGTCTCTATTTCCTTCAGTTCTGCTCTGATTTTAGTTATTTCTTGCCTTCTGCTGGCTTTTGAATGTGTTTGCTCTTGCTTTTCTAGTTCTTTTAATTGTGATGTTAAGGTGTCAATTTTGGATCTTTCCTGCTTTCTCTTGTGGGCATTTAGTGCTATAAATTTCCCTCTACACACTGCTTTGAATGTGTCCCAGAGATTCTGGTATGTTGTGTCTTTGTTCTCGTTGGTTTCAAAGAACATCTTTGAATGTTGGAGTACCCTGCTGTGTGAGGTGTCAGTGTGCCACTGCTGTGGGGTGCCTCCCAGTTTGGCTGCTCAGGGGTCAGGGGTCAGGGACCCACTTGAGGAAGCAGTCTGCCCATTCTCAGATCTCCCACTGGGTACTGGGAGAACCACTGCTCTCTTCAAAGCTGTCAGACAGGGACATTTAAGTCTGCAGAGGTTACTGCTGTCTTTTTGTTTGTCTGTGCCCTGCCCCCAGAGGTGGAGCCTACAGAGGCAGGCAGGCCTCCTTGAGCTGTGGTGGGCTCCACCCAGTTCGAGCTTCTGGGCTGCTTTGTTTACCTAAGCAAGCCTGGGCAATGGTGGGCGCCCCTCCCCCAGCCTCGCTGCCGCCCTGCAGTTTGATCTCACACTGCTGTGCTAGCAATCAGCGAGACTCCCTGTGCATAGGACCCTCTGAGCCAGGTGCGGGATATAATCTCGTGGTGCGCCGTTTTTTAAGCCCGTCGGAAAAGCGCAGTATTTGGGTGGGAGTGACCCGATTTTCCAGGTGCTGTCTGTCACCCCTTTCTTTGACTAGGAAAGGGAACTCCCTGACTCCTTGCGCTTCCCGAGTGAGGCAATGCCTCACCCTGCTTCGGCTCGCGCACAGTGCGCGCACCCACTGACCTGCGCCCACTGTCTGGCACTCCCTAGAGAGATGAACCCGGTACCTCAGATGGAAATGCAGAAATCACCCGTCTTCTGCATCACTCACGCTGGGAGCTGTAGACCGGAGCTGTTCCTATTCGGCCATCTTGGCTCCCCCCACCCCATAGTGTCTTTCTTAAAAACAAAGCCAACTACGACCACCACCACAATTACTACTACTTGTTGCTATACATATTTACCCTGTGCCAGTGTCTTAATTCTTGCTGCTATAACAAAATATTATAGACTGGGTGGCTTATAAACAATAGAAATTTATTTCTCACTGTTCTGGAGGCTGAGAAATCCAAGATCAAGGTGTTGGCAGATTCAATGTCTGGTGAGGGCCTGTTCTCTGGTTCATAGATGGCACCTTCTCACCATGCCCTCACATGATAGAAGGAGTGAGAGGTCCCTCTGGGACCTTTTTCATAAGGGCACTAATCCCCACTCATAAGGGCTTTAAACCCATCATCTAATCACCTCCCAAAGGCTCCACCTTTAAATACCATTACCTTGGGAGGCTAGAATTTCCACTTATGAATTCTGGGGAGACATAAATATTCAGTCCATAGCATTGTATTCTGGCTTCCCCCAAAATTCATGTCTTTCCTACATGCAAAATACATTTATTCCATTCCAATAGCTTCAAAAGTCTTAACTTGTGCCAGCACTGACTTTAAAGTCTAAGTCCAATGTCTCATCTAAATATGATATTTAGATATCAGATGTGGGTGAGACTGAAGATATGATTCATTATGAGACAGATTCTCTTCTAGCTGTGAGACTATGAAACCAAACAAGTTATATGCTTCCAAAATGCAATGGTGGAACAGGCACAGCAAGACATTCCCATTCCAAAAGAGAGAAATAGAAAAGAAAAAACGAGTGACAGGTCCTGGGCTAGTCTAAAACCTCAAGGCTTGAGAATGATTTTCTTTGACTCCAGGCCCTGTTCTCTAGTCTTACTGGGATGGTGACCCTGATCCCATGGCTCTATTGAGCATTGCTCTAGTCGGGGCTCCCTGTGGTGGCTGTACCCTATGGCCCCTCTCATGAGTCATGAGCCTGAGGCTCTGAGCAGCTCCATCTTTCTAAATCTGGGTAGAGGCGGCCATACACCCATGGCTCATGCACTTTGTTATTGGCAGATATGGTACCTTGTGGATGCTGCCAAGATTTATTATTTATGCCTTCCGGAAGGACAGCCACAGTGACCTGCACCACACCTTGTTGGAGGCTTAAAGAGTGAGGGTCGTGATCAACTCAGTATACCACTGGAGACTATATGAGTAAGCAGCAAACTGTTGCTCATAAATGCAGAATTTTGGCAAACTGACAAACTGCATCTGCCACCCAGAAGGACTGCTGAAGGCAGTCATGACCCAGGCACAAGTGTTTCTTATGATTAGGCATAATTGAAGCCTGTTAGTAACAATATGAACCTGTGATCAATTAAGCAGCTGACCAGTCATTACCTCCTCCTTCCTGCTCATTCTACCCAATAAATAAGAAGGGCTGTGGAAGCTTGCGCAGCTGCCTTTGCTCTCTAGAAGCAGGGAGCCCTTATCCTCTTCTCTTCTTCTCTCTTCCTCTTCCCCATGCTAGCCTTTCCTTAAAATAGTTACTTTTGTTTTTTGTTATCATTTCTACGTTCGTCCCTTCGTGAAGTCATAATGACAGTCTCAAGCAGTAACAGTAGTAAGTGCTGTAATGATGGTCTCAAGTAGTAACCATGGCAGTCATCACACACTTGGCCTCACTGGAGCCACACCTGGGTGGCTGAGAATTGCCACCCAGGAATTGCCACTGGAAAGTAGGGAGTAGAGCCTAAGATAGTGCCAGGCAGCCAGTGCTGAGGGCCCACAGGTGTCTGAGGCTCTTTCTTTAAAATTGTTCTGTCCTCCAGGCTCTGAACTCTGGGCCTGAGAAGATAAAGGCAGCCTTGATGATCTTTGAAATGCTTTTGGGGTTACTTTTCCCTTGTCTCAGACAATAGGTCCTGGATGATCCATACTAGTCTTATCAAAAGGTTGCTTGGCCACACCCTATTCCTGAATATACTTTCTGATACTTTTAATATGGGTAGGCTGTGAAATTTCTTAACCTTTAAATTCTGTTTCCCTTTTGATTAAAAATTCTGTCTTTAAATCATTTTTCTTTTCTTATATTTGACTATAAATATTCAAGAGGAGCCAAGCCATACCTTCAACACTTTGCTTAGAAATTTCCTCAAATATCCTATTCTTTGTGTGCAAATTCTACCTTTCACAAAACACTAAGACACAGCAATTCAGCCAAGTTCTATGCCACTTTGTAACAAGGATAACCTTTCTTCCAGTTTCCAATGACGTGTTCCTTATTTCTATCTGAAACCTTACCAGGATGGCCTTTACCATCCATATTTCTACAAACATTCTGTTCATGACCACTTAAGTATTTCCTTAGAAGGTTGAGGCTCTTTATACAGCTTTCTTCTTTTCATCCTGACCCTCACAAGGGTCACCCTTAACAGTCCACCTGGCAATGTAGGCTATGTTTTAGCCTACCCCTCAAAACTTTTCTAGCGTCTACCCATGATCCCATTTCAAATCTGCTTCCATATTTTTAGATCTTTGTTACAGTAGCACCCCCAATTCTTGATTCCAATCTTCTTTGTGAATTTGAGCTGTTATAACAAAATACTACAAGTTGGGTAGCTTTGTAAAGCAGATTAATCTATTTGTTACAGTTCAGGAGTCTGGTAAGTCCAAGGTCAAGGTGCTGGCAGACTTGATGTCTGGTAAAGGCTTGCTCTCTGGTTCATAGTGCTTTCTTGCTGTGTCTCCACATGGTGGAAGGAGTGAGGGGTCTCTCTCAGGTCTCTTTTTTTCATAAGGACACGGACACCAACCCCACTTATAAGGGCTATGTTCTTGTGATCTAATTACCTCCCAAAGGCCCCACCACTTAATACCATAACCTTAGGGGTTTAAAATTTCAACATATGAAATTTGAGGGGACAAAAACGTTCAGACCATAGCAGCCTGATTCTGAATCAAGAGATTCATATATATTAACCCATTTAATCCTGTTGCATGCTGTGTAGAAATAATTTGGCAGTATCTAGCATATGGTAATAATTTAATTAATGTTAATTTAAATGACTCTATTTTTGGATAAGGAAAAACTGAGGCCCACAAAGGTTAAGTATCCTGTACAAAGTTGCACAGTTGGTAAACAATGGCCCTAAGATCTGAATACAGGCCATGTGGTTATGTGGTTTAGCTCTTATCCATGATGTACTTTGCCTACCTGTGTAATGGTTGGGTTGTCTCAGTGTGTGTTTGTGGGCAGTACATGCTGAGTTTTAGTCTTTTGCGACTTGTTTCTGGCAATACTTAGAGGTTCTTTCTTTTTTATTCAAATTTCTATTTTAAGTCATTTTAGCTTTGGATTTCCAGTTGTGATTCCTCCCTAGAACCAATTCATGTCTTTCTCATTTAGGAAGGTCTGAGGATCTGGGATCTTGGAGGAGGAGGATTTTTTACTCGTGGTGCCTGAGTGATGGATGATTTTTCAAAGAGTTTCTAGAATTCCATACTCATGAGCACAACTGGATTTGAAATTTAAATCATAGGGGTTTTCTATTTTGCATTTTGTGAAAATTTCAAATGTAAAGCTATTCCCTAAGTAGATAATGTCTTGGCATTCCCTCTTCTCTAGTCCAGGCTGCAACTTTTTGTTCACTTTGCTTTATTCCACAAAGATTTTATCTGTTAGGCTCTGTGCCCAGTAACATAGAGAAAGCAAACTGAAGGGGATTCAGACTCTATATTCAAGTCTCTGGGATATGGCAGATAATTCTTTCATGAATGAGGTAATATTTTACCCATGACTTGAAAGATGCTTGGATTTTGATAGAAGGAGAAGGAAGTATAGCTCAGAAATCCAGAACCACCTGAGCCTAGGCATGGAGGTCAGAAAGGTCAAGATGAGCTGAAGGAGGCAGAGGACATTTCAGATAAGCTTAATATTTCTGTTTGCAGCAGAGGAAAATGTGACTCTTTAAATTTTTGGATGCTCTTCTCTGAAGATAGGGTAGCCTCAGCAGGGGCTTTCCACTCAATCTCACCGTTGGAAACCTTATTTTATTTTATTTTTTTTTTGAGACGGAGTCTCACTCTGTTACCCAGGCTGGAGTGCAGTGGTGCGATCTCGGCTCACTGCAAGCTCTGCCTCCCGGGTTCACCCCATTCTCCTGCCTCAGCCTCCTGAGTAGCTGGGACTACAGGTCCCTGCCACCATGCCCTGCTAATTTTTTTTGTATTTTCAGTAGAGACGGGGTTTCACCGTGTTAGCCAGGATAGTCTCGATCTCCTGCCCTCGTGACCCACCCGCCTTGGCCTCCCAAAGTGCTGGGATTACAGGCGTGAGCCACCATGCCCGGCTCGTTGGAAACCTTTACCTGTCACATCTCCTCAGAGAATGAAGAGACCCTTCATGTCTCACGAAGTTAACAGTAAAAGCCAACGTTTATTGTTCACTGTCTTAGCCCATTTAGGCTTCTATAACAAAAACACCATGGTCTGGGTGGCTAATAAACAACAGAAATTTATTTCTCACAGCTGTGGGGGCTGGGAAGTCCAAGCTAAAGCACCAGCAGATTTGGAGTCTGGAAAAGGCCCACTCCCTGGTTCACAGATGGTACCATTTTATGTAACCTCATGTGACAGAAGGGACAAGGGAGCTCTCCAGGGCTTTTTATAAGGGCAGTGAGCTCATTTTTAAAGGCCTTGCCTCATGACTTAATCATCTCCCAAATGCCCCACCTCCAAGTACCATCAGATTGGGGTGAGAATTTCAACATATGATTTTGGGGACACAAATATTCAGTTTATAGCATGCACTTTCTGTGTGCTAGGGACAACGGTAAGCACTTTATATGTGTATTGCCTTTGAGCTAGTGTTGATTATTCCCATTTTGCAGGGGAGAAGCCAGTAGGTTCAGAGAAGTTCCAGGTCACAGGCCAAGTAAGGGGTGAAGTAGGCTTTCAACTCCAGGTGTGTTGGACTCTAAACCTTCTGCTTCTTTCACTACACTTTGGTACTAGAAGGAGATTTTCTAGGAATTGGCAGTGGAAAGAACACTGCTGTTGGCCTTAGAAGGCAAGCTTGGAGCTGTGGTGGTCAGTTCCCATTGAAGGCTTTAGAGCAGCACTGCTCTAAAATATGATTCCAGCCACATAGGCAATTTTAAATTTACTATTAGCTCCATTAAAAAAGGAAGAAGAAACATGTGGAGTTTGCTTTAATCATATATTTGATTTAACTCAATATATGTAAAATATCATTTTAACAGCAATCAATACTAAAAAAGTTATTAGTGGAAATATTTATATTTTTATAGCAAATCTTTGAAATCCTATGTTCATTTTACGCATAAAGTACATCACAGTTTGGCCTAACCATGTTTTGAGTACTCAATACACACATGTGAGCAGTTGTTGCCTTCCTGGATGTCACAGGTTTACAGGAAGCTTTAGTCATCATCGCCATGATAACAACAATTGCTAACTGTGATCAAACATTTATTAGGTGTTGGAACTTTTATTAGTTTGCTAGTGCTGCCATAACAAAAGACCACAGAGGAGGTGGTTTCAACAACAGAAATTCATTTGCTCAAAGCTCTGGAGGTGACAAAACCAAAATGAAGGTGTTGTCAGGTTTGATTTTTCCTGAGGCTTCTCTTCTTGGCTTGCAGATGGCTACTTGAGTCTCATTGTGTCCTCATATGGTCTGCCCTCTGTGTAAGCACATCCCTGGTTTCTTTCTGTGTGTCCAAGTTTCTTTTTATAAGGACACCAATCAGATTGGATTAGAGTCCAGTCTGACAGCCGTGTTTTAACTTAGCCACTTCTTTAAAGGCTGTCTGCAAATACAGTCACATTCTGAGGTACTGGGGCTAAGCTGTCAACATATGAATTTGATGGAGAGGCACAATCCAGCCTATAAAGACATCAAGCTATATATTTTATATAACGAGTTTAAATTTTCATAATTTAATGATTAGTACTATCAGTAAATGTATTTTACAGATATAAAATTTGTGGCAAAAAGAGATCAGGTATTTTCTTTAAGGTCATACAACTGGTAATGCAGAGCCAGAATTTATTTATACACAGTTTTGTCTGATAAGAGTCTTCATTCCTTTGCAAAATTCACTGCAGAAAATTTAAAATATAATTGGAAGCCTTGATAACAGACTAGACAAAGCAGAGGAATGAATTTCAGAGCCTGAAGACTGGTCTTTCGAATCAACCTAGTCAGGCAACAATAAAGAAAAAAGAATTTAGAAAAATGAATAAAACCATGAGAAATACGGAATTATGCAAAGTGACCAAACCTATGATTCATTGGCACTTTTTAGAAAGAAGAGAAAGTATGCATCTTGGAAAACATATTCGAGGGTATAATCTAGGAAAATGTCTCCAATCTCACTAGATGGGTTGACATGCAGATACAGGAAATGCAGAGAACTCCTGAAAGATACAAGACGACCATTCCAAAGGCTTGTACTCATCAGATTTTCCAAAGTCAACACCAAAGAAAAAATCTTAAGGGCAACTACAGAAAAAGGCCATATTACCTATAAAAGATATTACATCAGACTAACAGTGGACTTCTTAGCAGACACCTTATAAGCCAGAAGAAATTGGGGGCCTATTTTTAGCATTTTAAAAGAAAAAGAATTCCAACCAATAATTTCATATTCTGCCAAACTAAACTTCATAAACAAAAGAGAAATTATAGTCTTTCCCAGACAAGCAATCTCTAAGGGAATTTGTCACCACCAGACTGGCTTTACAAGAGATGTTTAAGGGAGTTCTAAACATAGAAACAAAAAACTGATACTTCCTACCACAAAAATACATGTAAGTGCATTACCCACAGACCTCATAAAGCAACTACACAATCAAGACTACACAGCAATTAGCTAACAACACCATGTCAGGAACAAAACTTCACATATCAACGTTAACTTTGAATGTAAGTAGCCTGAATGCTCCACTTAAAAGACATAGAGTGAAAAATTGGATGAAAACCAGGGCTCAACCATCTGCTATCTTTAAGAGACCCAGCTCACATGTAATGACGGCCATAGGCTCAAAGTCAAGGGGTGGAGAGAGATGTATTATGCAAGTAAAAAACAGAAAAGAGCAGGGGTTGCTATTCTTGTATCAGACAAAACAGACTTTAAACCAATAACAGTAAAGATGAAAAAAAGAAGGAAATTTCACAATGATAAAAGGTCCAATTCAACAATGTTTAATCATCCTAAATATATATGCACCAATACTGGAGCAACTGGATTTATAAAGCAATTACTACTAGACCTAAAAAAAAAGACTTAGCCACACAATAATAGTGGAGGACTTCAATACACCACTGACAGCATTAGATAGATCATCCATGAAGAGTCTTCATTCTTGCCACCCAAACTGGCCAAATGAAACATGGCTGCCTTCATGATAGGTATATTTGGGTGCAGCTAAGAGCCTGTTGCACTTTATTATCAGCTCCTCCTAATAGTATATGGAAAAGCAGCGCCATCAGGGAAAGGGATCCAGAAGGCTAGAGAAGTTGAGAGCACACGTGGGTTTTTATTTTTATTTTTCTGACAGGAACTTTGATCTTGGAATGGAGATACAGGTCTGGCAGGAGAAGGGCTGGCTGCGCCGATGGGGTTGAACAATAGGATTTGACATCCTGAGCAAAGGAGGAGATGGTGATGGCTTCTTGGGCTGGCTACATCACTGAAGATGAAGAATACACTTTTCCCCCTGAAGTCTAGCTGACCAAACACTCAAGGATATGAAATAAATATGGATGGTATTGTAGGAGGAATTGTGTCCCCCAAGATAATATGTTGTAGTCCTAACCCTGGAACCTGTGAATGTGACTTTATTTGGAAATAGGGTCTTCGTAGATGTAATTAGTTAAGAAGAGATTATACAGCGTTAGTGAAGCTGTAAGTCCAATAACTTGTGTCTTTATAAAAAGGCCATGTAAAAACAGAGACACACAGGGAGAGCACTATATGAAGATGGAGGCAAAAATTGGGGTGATGCATCTATTAGTTTGATACAAAAGTAATTGCATTTTTTGCCATTACTTTCAATGGTAATACATGCCAAGGAACACCAAGGATTACCAGCAAACACCAGAAGCCAGGAGAGAGGCATGGAACAGATTGTCCCTCAGAGCCTGCATAAGGAAACAAGCTTGCTGATATCTTGATTTTGTACTTCTGGCTTTCAGAACTGTGAAATAATACATTTTTGTAATTTTAAGTCACCAAGTTTGTGGAACTTTGTTACAACAGCCTTGGGAAACTAGTACAGATGGGAAGGGAGAAGCATTGATGGAAATAATTGCTTTGGATGATAATAAATATGACTCAGAGCGAAGAATAGAGGTGCAGGATGTGTCTGGGAACTTACAGGAAAGAACACATTTAGAGGAAGATAGAAATTCTGGTCTTAGAATCTTCACACAATTGGCTGGGGCATAATATATAAAATAAAGTAATGAAAAAAGGCGGTAGGTGTGATATTTCAAAGTCACCAAAAAGTGGGCTGGAAATTACTATTTGGTATAAACGGAAACAAGAATATACCTATTACATCGGGAGGAAATTGTGTTAACAAGAACAAAAGACAGATTTATGGAAATCAGAGGGCCTGAGAGGGGAATCAGGCCAGCAAAGCTTAGGGTGAGGATATAAATAAAGATGCATTGAAGTGATGTTCTTAAAGGTATAATAAAAAGCCATGTGAACCTTGGAATGAACAGATGTCTTTGTTTCCTGTATCACAAGCTGGCTCAAAAGTAAGATTTTGTAGTAATGGAAACCATGTTAACTGTCCAGATATCTGCTACACGTTTTATCTGACCGAAAGTGGGAAAGTGTGACACGACTTTTTTTCTTTCTTTACTGATAATTTCATTTCACAATGGCCAATGGCAAAATAAATTTCTACTCTGGACTTAATTATGAGCTGTTAATTGGTTGGTGAAGTGGAGGTGACAGGAATCTTAAGAGAGCCAGATGGGATTTCATTTGGGGTGATATGACCTTACTGAATTTTTGAGCACTAATGAGAAGATAAGATAAACTTAGTCAGGATTGCACCCTAGACTTTGGAAAGAAAGGTTTAAAAAATTTTCAGAGAGCATCCTTATCTTTACTTCTTATTGGTGGATAATGTCAGATTCCATAGGCTTTCTTTCCCTCACTCCCTTCCTCTGACATACTTCTACTTTCAAGTGAATCATCAAGGAATATTAAACTTTAGCATTTAAAAGTTGAGATTTGCCAGGACTGGCATTTGAGGAAAAATGAAATTGGTGCTCAGCCAAAAGTCAGGCAGCCTCATGAAGCTTCTGTGCATGGCTGCATCCAGGTGGTGGCACTCCCACTGGATGAACTCTTATTTGCTGTATATCAAAGGTAGATGGTTGTGCTTGTCACATGCTGCTATCATGCTTGTTAGAGATAAATGGCAGCTTGTTTGTTTCATCAATGTTAATTTAGATTGTTGTACATTGTTAGCAAAATTTTATAGTGGTTTGTTACTTTTATTATGGGAAATGAAAAGATTTTTGTCATTTATATTTTGAAACTATAGTCCTCCAATAACTATACATTATTATATATATTACCATAAATTAGAATGTGAAGTAGCAAGCTGCTATGGTTAAAGCAAAGGAATACATCAACTTCACCATCCTTAAATATTGTACTGTACACATTTTGTTGCTAACACTAGAAGCAGATTAACAAGTGTGAATGTTGATCCTACCTAAGCTATTTAAACCTCACCTCTTTTATCACTAAAATGGGAATAATAGGACCTATTTTAGTGAGGGTTAAATGACATCATGCATATGCAGTGTAGAAAATGTTCAATAAATAGCTAATAATTACTACTAGTTAAAGAGTGCTTATAATTGTCTAGGCACTATATGAAGTGTTTTGCATACGTTGACTAATCCTCAGAAAGCCACATAAGGTAAGTACTACTGTTATCTCTAATGGTAGTTAATAGTTGTAGATAATGGTAATTTTATAAATAAGAAAAGCCCAAGGCACAGGGCATTTAGGTTAACTCTCAAAATCACAGTTAGTAAGTGGCAGATTGGGTATTTGGACCCAGGAAGCCTGCTTGTAGGCATCTTACTGGTAACTAGTATACTGCCTCTGATAATAACAACAGCACACACCTTTCTTTTCCAAAGGCATCATACAATAAGTTGAAAGTGATGGCCAAGTGAATGGTCTCTATTCATTTGCAAACCATTTCTCTCCCTACTTTCTGTGGGCATCTGGAGGGGATGTGTCTTACCCCAGTTTTCAACACTAACCTCAACCCTTGCTCAATGAATGAATGGCTGTCAATCTCATCCCCTTATTTACCTTTTTGATCATGGTATTTTTGTTAATGATGCTAATAAAGCATTGTTCCATCTGGGAACACCACCTGGTTGGAAGTCTTTCTAGATTCCACTTTGAATCCAATGCTTCTTGCTTGAAGTATACTTTGTTGAAATTCCAGGACCTTAGGCTGCCTCTAGAACAGAAGCCATCCAGCTGAGCACCTGGAAAATACCATTTTCCACTTGTGTTTATCAGGAGCTCCCTGGTCATAGACTTTTTAAAAATGTAGGAGGTACAAGGGAAGGTTTCATGTATGCATGTATTTTGCAGTGGTGAAATCTGAGCTTTTTGTGAACCCATCACCCAAAGAGTGAACTTTGGACCCAATAGGTAATTTTTCAACCCTCACCTTCTTCCCACCCTCTCACCTTTTTGTAGTCTCCAATGTGTATTATTTCACTCTGTATATCCATGTGCACCCATTACTTAGCTTCCATTTATAAGTGAGAACATGCAGTATTTGACTTTCTGTTTCTGAGTTATCTCAGGATAATGGTCTCCAGTTCCATCCATGTTGCTGCAAAATACATAAGTTTATTCTTTTTAATGGCTGAGTAGTATTCCATGGTGTGTGTGTGTATATATATATATGTATATATGAACATGCTATAAATATCCTTATGTATGTCCTAAAAATGTTCATTGTTAAAATAACCTTTTAAAAGTACAGTTTCCACTTGTTAACAAAGCAACAGATGAGTATTTGTTTAGATTTTTCAGCTTTAATTCAAATATATGACATATTGGTAAAGCCCACATTGTAAAATTCATAATATTCTGTTTTTTTCTATATGCAAGCTGAAAAGGACATGTACAGTGTACATGTATATATGTGTATGTACACATATATACACACTGCACATATTTACACACATATATGTACATACCATACATATGTGCACACATATGTACACACTGCATATATGACATGGTACATATGCACACACATGTACACACATATACACACTGTATGTATATACACACATATATGCACATACTGAACTTGCATATATATACACACACATATATATATACTGTATACATACAGACACACACACACACACACAAACACACCCTGTATTTTCTTTATCTAATCCTCATTGATGGAAATTTAGGTTGATTCCATATCTTTGCTATTGTGAATGGTGCTGTGATGAATATATAAGTGCAGATCTGATCATAGATTTTTAGTCTTGAAATGAAACTTAGTGATAGGCCACAAGAGAAGAAATAGAGATCCAAAGATGTGAGGTTACTTTCTGGAGCTTACACAGTCAGGGGAAGATTACAGACTAGAAGCCAGGATGCCCAACACTGTACGTGTCTTTTTCAACTTGCATATAGAAAGAAAACTTGGAATATTATGAACAAGATGAGCTTTACTAATACATCACAGAACATTTGAATAAAGCTGAAAAATCGAAACAAATATTTGTCTACTGCATTGTTAACAAATGGAAATCTGTAGTTTTAAGAGGGTATTTTAACAATGAACATTTTTAGGGCTTGTATAAGGACATTTATAGAATGCTTATGAACAATAAAGCTGAGACATTACAATTTAATGGCACTTGATGGGACCTCAAGTGAAAGTTCTGTACAATTAGCTTTGTTTTGCACATCATAAATCACGTAAGTGTTCTATGAAAGATCAAAGGAATTCAAAACATTTAAACTGTATCATTTGTTGAAGTCTGCAACCATCTACGAACCAAACTAGACAGTACTTTAGGCAAACTAAAATTATTCCACTAAAGGAAACCATAGAAAAGACAGTTTGAGTCAAGGACTCTGTTTGAATCAGGACCCATTAAAATATTTCTTTAACAAATGAGCCATTTGTGAAATTAGATTTCAAGCAAAATGGCTAGTCCACATTTTAAAATAAGTGGCTTAAGATTTTCCTTAGAAAAGAAGAGATTTGTGAATTTAGGGGAAAGATATCTTCTTGATGAATATATTAATAGCGGTCAAAGATAATAATTGATTAATCAATGCCAGGCATTCACTAGATAAATGACCCAGATACAATCTGTCATTCTTTCCTTAGAGCTGCCTCTGTCCTTTGCATATACTTCAGGTATGGCCGTAATCTCACCCTGAAAGTGTATATGGCCAATGAGCAACTTACGGGCAGGGATACTACATGTTTAATTTTTTGTTTTAACAGAAGGTGAATTATTCATGTCACATATGGAATCTGTGGCAGACCCAGGATTAGGACTCAGATCCTTTGACTCAAAGTTCTGTGGAAATAAATGAAGACCCCCCAAATGAGAATAAGCAAAGGCTATTTATTCAGAGCTCGCAATAGCAAGGGAGTCAACAACCATTGTCACTTGTTAAAGACAGGCAGAGTAATGAGAAAGTTTAATAGTGGAAAAAAGGGAAGACTTCAGATATGCCCTGGCTGGAGACTGTTGGCCCAGAAAAGCTGGAAGTGGCTAACCAGAAGTGAGCATCCTATGAGATTGGTTAGGGGTATGTATTTGACTTCTTTGGTTGGTCCTAAGTTGGAAGCAGGAATAAAAATTAGAGAAGCTGTCAGTTATTAATCAAGTCCTAGTTGTTTTGGGCCAATTGTTACAGGGGTTATTATTTGGCTTCCAGGACTGGTTGGTAGAGATATTAGGTTGGTGCAAAAGTAATCACGGTTTTTGCTATTGAAAGTACTGGCAAAAAACCGCAGTTACTTTTGTACCAATCTAATAACTGTCTGACTTCCTGTAGGTGTGACTCATAGACAGCAGGCTGGCTTCCTGGGCTGGTTACTAGAGATAATGTGTGATTTCCTGAGCTGGTTGCTGCAGATTGTGGGTCAGAGTTCATATGGGCTCTTAGGACTCATTTATCTACAGTCTGGCCATTGATTGCATATTCTGTCAGTTCAATTCTCTTCCTTCTAGATCAGGAGCCAGCAAACTTTCTGTAAAGAGCTAGATTAAAAAAAAGTATTTTCAGCTTTGCGAGCCTTACAATCTCAGCTGCAATTACTAAACTCTGTCACTTAAGCACAAAAGCAGCAGTAGACAATAGGTAAACAAATGGATTTGGCCATCTTTCAATAAAACTTTATTTTCAAAAACAAGCAGCAGGCTTGATTTGACCCTAGGGCCCCAGTTCACTGACCCCTGTTCTGGACTGAAGAATTTGCACAAAATCAACAAATGTGCAAATAGCAACTCTCTCCTCCTATGTTGTGATTCATTCCCTTTTGGTCTGTCTTAATGCTATTGAAGCTGTGATCATTGTAGTCTAGTTTCAAAGTGGCATCATATTAAAAAAACATAGTTCAACAACCAAAAATTTTTTAAAATATTATTTTTCCCCTCCTCTCAAAAGGTATTAGCACTCATTTAATTACTAAAGCAATACTTCTCATCATAGTTTCCTTCTGTCTCATTTCTCTATAGCCCATACTCCCATTTATAGCCCATATTCCCATTTAAGATCCTCTTAGTTGCTAAAACCCCCAAAGAAAGCCTCTGCCACGCACAAGGAATCATCATTCCCTCAACACATCACATGGCAGGCAAGAGTAACCTTGTCAAATTGGCAAAGGTGGTCTGTCCTTAGCCTTGAACCCTTGTGTGTACAATATGGCTGCCATAGTTCCAGGCATCACAAGGAGAAAAAATAGTATCCAGAGAAAGTAGAGGCCATTTCTTGCCTGTATCTCCTTAAGAGTGAAGAGCTCTCTCCCAGAAGCTTCGCAACAGACTCATCCTCATGTCTCATTTAGCCAATTGCATTACCTACTCATACCTATGTCAACACTGCCAAGGGCAATGGAATCGCCGTGATTGGCTGAGATCAAGCAGAAGTCACCTGCTGAGGCTGGGGATGCATCCTGTCTTCTCTGATGTACATAGTTTTACAGGGGAGGGTAGATGTGAATGAATGAATTTAGATTCTTTAGGAAGGTTGAGGAAGAGAGGGTTGATATTGAGAAGCCAACCAGTGATATCTTCACCAACAGGCAAAGGGGTAGGGAGAGAAAAGGGAGCAGGAGAAAGAAGAGGATTTATGAAGAGTCTGTCTTCAGGCTTTTAAACATTTTTCAAAGTAAAAACAATTAAGGATATCCTTTCTGTGGCAGATGGAAGGCCTGGCTCTGTTGATAGAGTTGACTCCCGCCTTCCTCTCAACACATTATGTCATGCAAGAGCAGGTAAGAGCAACATTGTCAAATTGGCAAATATTGTCTTTCTTCTCTCCAGCCCAAATTTGATGTCTACTTTTACTCTTTCCATAAATCTCACCCTATTGTGCATTGAGTACCTTGTACACCCCACTGTGAATGTTTTGAGTGGAGGGAGCTCTGGATATGGAGATGGAAAGGCCATGGGCATGAATCCTGGCTCTGACACTTACTAGGTTATGACCTTGGACAAGTTACTTGACCACAATGAATATTAGTTACCCTGCATATACAGAGAAAAGATGTCTGCCTTTCTAGCTCATGCAGTTGTTATGAAGATTAATGAATGAAATCATTTTTCTTAAAGCACCTGGTACATATGCACTAAATAATATTTTCATTTTTCCTGTGGGTTAACCAAAGCTGTCTACTCATTTTTCCCTGAACTCACTCATTTTGTGATTTTCTATCTTCACATGTAGCTTATATCATTTTTTTTCTTTCTAGTCTGCGACTCTCTCCACCTGCAATGCCTTTCCCCCTCTTCTTCATCTTGGATCTGAACCAGTTCAGAACACAACACAAAACAGGAGTGATGATAAGGCCTGGTGTACTAATTTATGATTAAAGATTAAGAACCAAGTATGATCTGAAATGTGAACAAAGAACTATAGGCAGACATCTTAGTCACCTATAATGTAACTGTTGGAAGTCTGGCTTGATTCAGGATTATTTATAAACCCCCTTTCCCTATTTCATACCAGGAGGACCATTCTCTGAAGGAGCTGCAGGACCTGGGGAATGGGGGGCATCATTGGAGAGACCTCATAGTACCATGTAAAGCCCCCAAAAGTTAATATTGTCCAAAAGATACCAGAGTAGTGCAATCCAGAAGCTGTCAGTCTGAGATCAGGGGCCACATGAGACAATGGAATAGGAGCTCAGGATAACTAAGTGGAAGAGAGAAATTACAGTGGGAGCTTTTGGCTGCAGTATTGATCCCTGCAAGTGTCATTTTTCTTCATGGGTGACTTACGTGTTATTTGAGCATGAATTTTCTCATCTTCAAAAGGGAGTCCATACCTAACTCTTATTTCTTATCTTTCATGAGAACGTAAACCCCAGAGAGGTAGAGTCAATATTTATTTTATTTATTAATTTACCAATTATATCTAACTCATAGTATACTACTGACATGTAATAAACACAATAAATACCTGTTGAAAAATGAAAGAGTGTAAAATAAGAGGACATAGATGCAAATCTTTGTAAACTTAGGGTATGATACAAATGAAATATATTCTGTTCTGCTCACCTCCAAGAGCTTAGCATAAATCTCTATATAGAACAGGTATGAAGCTGATGTTCACTGATAGGTCCTATGTCTTGTAAGGAATGTAGAGCATACTGTAAGGTTGCTTTCATCAAAATCTGAAATCTTTTAGAGCAGGAGAAGGCCTGTCCTGTGTAAGACCATCATCAATGTCTTGCCTTCAAGTTGTTTACTGGCAAATGGCTTCCTCCAAATGCAGGGCAAACATTATTAATTGATTGTGATACTTTCCTTTACATGGCCTTCATGTTATTTTAAAACCATTTTTTATAGGCAGCTAATACCAATTGTTCAAAATTGGCACTTACATTGAAGATTATTTGCCATCTATAGTCTTAATTCAAGAGTACTCTTTTTTATTTTGCATGTTTGTTTATTTTCCTGAGGATCTCCATTAATAGAAACTCCACAGTCTCATTTGCTGATTAATTTTTTGTTCCCATTTTTTTGGCCATCAGAAAGTTTTAGTATCCAAGTATAAGCTCTCTTGCTGTAAAAATGGGGCCGTCCTTGTCCTTCAACTCAAACAAGTATTGCAAAGAAATATGATGTGCTTTGCTTCTAAGAAATAAGGGAGATATCAATGGGGAAATGAATCAATCCACCTCAGTGAGATTACTGAGAAGTTTCTGAGAAACAAGCCTCCATGCATACAAGGGCCACACCTAGAACACCAGATTCACTTTTAAGTGCACTTTTCTGTTTCCATAACCTGCTACGCTTATCCACAGTTTTCATCTTCTAAAGCACTTTACAAACATTTACTAATTGATTTATTATTCTGGAACCAGTTCAGAACACAACACACAAGAGTGATGAAGAGGCCTGACATACTAATTTATGATGAAAGATTAAGAACTGAATATGGTCTGAAATTTGAACAAAGAACTACAGGCAGACATCTTAGCCATCTATAATGACTTAGGAGTCTGTGAACTCCAAAGCAAGAGATAGATTATTTCACTTGGCCATCAGAGGTTTCAAAAGAGAAAGTTTATTTATTTCTTAAATGAAGAAAAATTTAGTCAGGCAGATTGATTCATTAGGGCTATGAGCTGTCCCAGGAAGCTGCAGATTCAAGGTGGCTGCAGAACCAAGGTTGAGAACAGAGAATGAAGCTCATTTACATTCAGAAATAAAACCAAAGCCTCTTTATACTCTGCTCTTCCCATTCTCGCTACACTGACCCATCTGTTGTTAATATATAATTTTGAGAAACTTTACCATCCTTATGTCTCTGGAAATAAACTGAGAATATGCAACGCTAAACCTAAGAAAGACTGCAATTTAATACACTGTTAAGAATACTCCATGTTGGGGAACATCACACACCGGGGCCTGTCCAGGGGTGTGGGGGGCTAGAGGAGGGATAGCATTAGGAGAAATACCTAATATAGATGACGGGTTGATGGGTGCAGCAAACCACCATGGCACATGTATACCTATGTAACAAACCTGCACGTTCTGCACATGTATCCCAGAACTTAAAGTATAATTAAAAAGAAAAAAAAAAAGAATAAAAAGGAATACCCCCTGTCAAAAAGATTGTGTCTATTGATTACAGGCTTTAAAATGGGCATTTATATGACTAGTTCTTCCAGGGTTTTTGTTAGCAACTCTGATCTCAGGCCTACAGAAAATGTGTAATAATAGTATCAACAAAACTAGCTCATAGATTCTTTTTAACATTTTTATTTTAATTTATTATGTTATTTTCAATTGGCAAATCATAAATGTATACATTTCTGGGGCACAATGTGAAGTTTTGATATATGTATACAATGTGGAATGATTACGTCAAGCTAGTTAAGATATGTATTACCTCCCTGTCTTTTTTATGGTGAGACATTTAAAATTTGCTCTTAGTTAGTCTGAAATATACAATACATTATTATTATTGATCTGTTACCCTACTGTGTAATAGGTCTCAAAACATATTCCTTCTGTTTACTTTAAACTTTGTGCTTATTGATCAACAGCTCCTCATTCCCTCCCTCTCTTGTCCTCTAACCCCTGGTAACTCTCATTCTACTCTCTACTTCTATGAGTTGAACTTTATTACATTTCACATATAAGTGAGATCATGTGATATTTTTCTTTCTCTTCTTGACTTATTTCACTTAGCATACTGTCCTCCACATTCATCCATGATGTTAGAAATGGCAGACTTTCCCCCCTCCCCATTTAATGCTAAATAGAATTCCATTCTGTATATATACTGCATTTTAAAAAGTCTGTTCAATTGTTGGATACTTAGGTTTATGCCATATATTGGCTACTGCAAATATTGCTGCAATGAACATGGGAGTGCAGATATACCTTGCACATATTGATTTCATTTTTTTGGCTATATACCTAGAAGTAGGATGACTAGAACATAATTTAGTTCTATTTTTAGTTTTTTGAAGAACTTCCATACTGTTTTTCATGATGGCTATACTAATTTACATTTGCACCAACAACGTAAAATAGCACCTTTTCTTTGCATCTTCTCAAACACGTATCTTTTATCTTTTTATAAAAGCCGTTCTAAAAGGTGTAAAGTGACATCTTACTGTGGTTTTAGTTTGCATTTCCCTAATTATTAGTGATGCTGAGCATTTTTTCATGTACTTATTGGCCACTTGTATGTCTTCTTTTGAGAAATGTCTATTCAAGTCCTTTGCCCATTTTTCAATCAGGTTTTTTTTTTTTTCTTACTACTGAGTTGTTTGAATTCTATTACGGTTTGGCTGTGTCCCCACCCAGATCTGATCTTGAATTGTAGCTCCCATAATTCCCACATGTTTTGGGAGGGACCTGACAAAAGATAATTGAATCATAGGGGCTGTTCCCCTATATTCTTCTCATGGTAGAAAGTCTCATGAGATCTAATAGTTTTATAAGGGGTTTCTGCTTTCACTTGGCTCTCATTCCCTCTTTTGCCTGCTGCCATGTAAGATGTGCCTTTTGCCTTCTGCCATGATTGTGAGGCCTCCCCAGCCACGTGGAACTGTGAATCTACTAAACCTCTTTTTCTTTATTAATTACCCAGTCTTGGGTATGTCTTTATCAGCAGCATGACAATGAACTAATACAAGTTCCTTACATATTTTAAATATTAACCCCTTATCAGATGTATGGTTGTAAATATTTTCCATGATTCTTTGGGTTGTCTTCACTTTGTTAATTGTTTTCTTTGCTTTCTAGAAGCTTTTTAGTTTGATGCCATACCATTTGTCTATTTTTGCTTTTGCTGCTTGCACTTTTGGGGTGATACCAAAAAAAGCATTGCCCAGAGCAATGCCATGGAGCTTATTCCTATATTTTCTTCTAGTAGTTTTAGAATTTCAGATTTTATATTTAAGTGTTTAATACATTTTGAATTGATTTCTCTATATGGTGTAAAGGTCAAAAATTGTTTCCCCATTGTATGTTCAAAGGTTGAAAAGAGTGTGCATGGCCTTTATAAATTTGGAAAATCAATGTTTTTCCATCAATTCCAAGGTTATATATAATTTTAAACTCTTTTTTTCCAGGTTGGTCTAGCAAAGGATTTGTCATTTTTGTTTATGTCTTCAAAAAACCAATCTTTAGTTTTGTTGACTTTTCTATTTTTTTCTAGTTTCTTTATTTCTGCTCTGATCTTTGTTACTTCCTTTCTTCTGTTAACTTTGGGCTTAGTTTATTCTTCCTCTTTTAGTTCCTTAAGTGTAATGTTATCTGTAATTTTCTTGTTTGATACAGGCATTTATTACTGCAAATTTCCCTCATGGGACGGCTTTTGTGGCGTCACAAGTTTTGGTATGTTGTGTTCCAATTTTTGTTTGTTTTAAGGTTTTTTTTTTTTTTTGAGATGGAGTTTTGCTCTTGTTGCCCAGGCTGGAGTGCAATGGTGCAATCTCGGCTCACTGCAACCTCCTCCTCCTGGGTTCAAGCGACTCTCCTGCCTCAGCCTCCCGAGTAGCTGGGATTACAGGCATGCACCACCATGCTTGGCTAATTTTGTATTTTTTAAATAGAGACAGGGTTTCTCCATGTTGGTCAGGCTGGACTTGAACTCCCAACCTCAGGTGATCCGCCTGCCTCAGCCTTCCAAAGTGCTGGGATTACACGCTAAGTTTTTTTTTTTTTTAATTTTCTTTTTGCTTTCTTCTGTTGCCTGTTGGTTGTTTAGGATCATGTTTAAGTTTTACGTATTTGTGTATTTTCTAAGATTCCTTCTGTTACTGATTTCTACTTTCATGCCACTGTGATCCAAAAATGTACTTGATATGATTTCAATCCTCCTAAATTTGTTAAGATTTGTTTTGGGGCCTAAGAGAAGATCTATTCTAAAAAATGTTCCATTTATACTTGAGAAGCATGTGTATTCTACTACTACTGGACGGAATGTCCTATATATGTCTGTCAGGTCTATTTGGTCTAATTCAAGTCCAATGTTTCTGTATTGATTTTCTGTCTTATGATATATCCATTGCTGAAAATGGGGTATTGAAGGTGTCTGCTATTATAGTAATGCAGTCTATCTCTCCCTTTAAATTATTTAATAATGGCTTTAGATGCTCTGGTGTTGGGTGCATATGTATTTATAATTGTTATATCTTCTTAGTGAATTAACCCCTTTATTATTACATAATGACATTATTTGTCTTTCATTATGGTTTTTGACTTAAGGTGTATTTTTGTATGATGTAAGTATAGCCACCTCTGCTCTCTTGTGGTTTCCATTTGCATGGAATGCCTTGTTTCATCCCTTTACATTCAGTCTGTGTGTGTCCATACAAGTAAAGAGGGTGTCTTGTGGGCAGCATACATTGAATTTTGTTTGTTTGTTTCATTTATTCACTGTATATAATTTTATTAGATAATTAAATCTATTTACATTCAAGGTAAATATTAGTAGCTAAGGATGTGCTACTGCTACTTTGTAATTTGTTTTCTGATTGTTTTGTAGGTTTCTTGCTTCTTCCTCTCTTGCTGACTTCCTCTGTAGTTTCATGATTTTTATGATGATATCCTTTTAATCCTTTCTTTTTATATTATGCAACTACGATAATTTTTTGCTCTGTGGTTACCCTGAGGCTTACATGAAATACCTTATCCTTATAACAGGCTACTTTAAGCTGATAATAACTTGCCTTTAATCACATACAAAAGTGATATTTTCCCTCCCTTCCCCTCCACCATTTATGATTTTGATGTCAAATTTACATTTGCTTTTATAATTTATATTCTTTAACAATTTATGTAGCAATAGTTGTTTTTAATATTTTAATCTTTTAACTCTACTACTAGGGATAAAATTGCTTTCCACACCACATTTATAGTATTAGAGAATTCTGAGGATGACGATGTGCTACTTATACCATTAAGTCTTTTTACCTTCATTTTCTTTGTTATTAATTAGCAGCCTTTTTTTTTCAGCCTAAAGAACTCCCTTTAGCAATTCCTGTAAAACAGGCTTAGTAGTAATAAACTCCCTTAAGTTTTGTTTTTCTAAGAAAATTTTTATTTTTCTTTTATTTCTGAAGGACAGATCTGCCCAATAAAATATTCTTGGTTGGCAGTATTTTTTCCTTTAGCACTTTGAATTTATTATTCCACTCTCTATTCTCCTAAAGAATTTCGGCTGAGAAATCCACTAAAAGACGGATTGAGATCCCCCTAAAGGTAATGTTTCTTATCTCTTGCTGCTTTTAGAATTCTCTTTTTTTTTGTCTTTGATTTTTGCTAATTTGATTATGATGTATCTTGGTAAACTCTGAACTGAATTTGATTGGCAACATCTGAGCTTCCTGTACCTGGATATTGTCATATTTCCTAAGATTTGGAAAATTTTCAATCATTATTTCCTTAAATGTGCTTTCTAGGCTTTTTTCTTTTTTACTTCAGAAACCTGTAAATATTTGTTCACCTGATATTCTATAATTCCTATAGACTTCTTTCATTCTATTTTTTTTTGCTCTTCAGATTGAATAATTTCAAATAGCTTATTTTTAAGCTCACTGATTCTTCCTTCTGCTTGATCAATTCTACTATTGAAGCTTCCAATGAATTTTTAAATTTAGTTATTGTATTCTTTATTTCTAGGATTTCTATTTGTTTTATTGTTATTTCTATTTCCTTGTCAAGCTTCTCATGAATAATTTTCCAAATTTTATTTAATTTTCTATCCATATTTTCTTGGCATTTTCTGAACTTCCTTAAAATAATTATTCTGAATTCTTTGTTAATCATTTCCTAGATCTCCATATTCTCTGCAGATTTATGTTTCTTCTGGTGGCGTTATATTTCTCTGATTTTTTCATAATCTTTGTGTACATTCATTGATGTCTGGTCATTTGAAGAGGTGACCACAACTTTTGGCCTTTGCAGGTATTATTTGGTGGTAATAGACCTTTACTGTTTAGCCTAGCCTGAAATTCTGGATGGGCCACTAGTAGGAATCTAAGGAAAGCAGACCTTGGTGTCAAGCTCTCTAGTTGGGCTTGGTTGCTTTCTGTGTTCTAAAGTTGATTGGTACTGTTTATTGTGTTCCATGGTCTGGTGAGAACACTGGCCGGACTCTGTAGTGAGGTGGAACTATTGCCTGGGCTTTGTAATAATCTCTGCTGGGACAGGGTTGCATATTGGGCAGGTTGTCTTCCTGGCTGGGCAGTGCTGTTATTTGGAATCTGTAGTTGGACAGGGTTATGTGCTTGGCTGTAAGGCTGGGTGAGGTCTCTGGGATTGATGCTCAACCACACAGAGTGGGCAGGGCCAAAGGCTATGCTCCACAGTTTATATGTAGACTTGGACTTGCCTCCCAGCCTAGGGTAGGCATAAGCAGGCACCATGGATTGCTGGTCATTACTTAGCAACTTGGGTTGGGTGAGACCAGATGCTCCCTCTGTGGGTAATCACTAACCTGTTGTTGCCTCCTAGTCTGGGGAAGACTTTGTTTATTAGCTGATACATAATATGGGTACATTTTTATGAGGGTATATGTGATACTTTGATACATGCATACAACGTGTAATTTTCAAACCATAGTATTAATTTACCTACCCACCATATCAAACATTCATCCTTTTTTTGTGTTGAGAACATTTCTTCTCTGCTAGCTATTTTGAAATATGCAATCTATTATTGTTAATGATAATCACCCTATTGTGTTTTGAACACTAGAACTTATTCTTTCTACCTAACTATGTGCTTGTACTCATTATTGACCTCTTTTTGTCACCACCTCACATCATTCCTAGCCTCTGGTAACTTTCAGTCTACTCTCTACCTCTATGAGGTCAACATTTTTAGCTCCTACATATGAGTGAAAACTTGGTATTTGTTTTTTGGTGCCTGGATTATTTGACATAATACAATGACCCCCAGTTCTAACCATGTTGCTGCAAATGACAGAATTTCATTCTCTTTTATATCTTAACAGTACTTCATTGTGTATATATATATACACCACACTTTCTTTATCCATACACTCATTGATAGATACTTAAGTTGATTCTATATCTTGACTATTGTGAATAGTGCTGCAATAAACATGGGGGTGCAAGTATCCCTTTGATATACTTATTTCCTTTCTTTTGGATAAATACCCAGTAGTGGCATTGTTGGATCAGGTAGTTGCTCTATTTTTAGTTATTTGAGGAGCCTCCATATTATTTTATTTAATGGCTATACTAATTTACATTCCCACCAACAGTGTAGAAGAGTTTCCATTTCTCTGCATTATTACCAGCATTTGTTACTTTTTGTCTTTTTAATAATAGTGATTATTTTTATGTAACATTTATTTTAAGTTCAGGGTACATGTGCAGGTTTGTTACAAAGGTAAACTCATGTTATGGGGGTTTGTTTTATAGATTATTACTTAACACTTAGGTATTAAGCCAGTACTCATTAGTTATTTTTCCTGATTCTCTCCCTCTTCCTACCCTCCACCGTCTAATAGGCCCTAGTGTGTGTTGATCCCCTCTATGTGTCCATGTTCTCATCATTAAGCTCCTGCTTATAAGTGAGAACATGTAGTATTTGCTTTTCTGTTCCTGTGTTGCTTTGCTAAGGATAATGGCCTCCAGCTCCATCCATGTCCCTGCAAAGAACATGACCTTATTCTTTTTTATGGCTGCATAGTATTCTGTGTTGTGTAAGAATCACATTTTCTTTATCCAGTCTATTACTGATGGGAATTTAGGTTGATTCCATGCCTTTGCCATTGCAAATAGTGCTGCAATGAACTTACACGTTCCTGTATCTTTATAATAGAACACTTTATATTACTTTGGTTATATACTGAGTAATGGGATTGCTGAGCCGAATGGTATTTGTGTCTTTAGATCCTTGCATAATCAGCACACTGTCTTCCACAATGGCAGAACTAACTTAAACTCCAACCAACAGTGTATAAGCATTCCTTTTTCTTCACAACCTCACCAGCATCTGTTATTTTCTGACTTTTTAATAATTGACAGATAATAGCCATTCTAACTGGGGATATCGCATCATGGCTTTGATTTGCATTTCCCTTATGATTATTGAAGTTAAGCATTTTAAAATGTGAGTTGCCCATTTGTATGTCTTCTTTTGAGAAATGTCTATTCAGACCCTTTGCTCACATTTTAATGAGATTATTTTTATTTTTTCTTGTTGAGTTGAGTTTCGAGTTTCATATTCCGGAAAGTAGTCCCTTGTCAGATACATAGTTTGGAAATATTTTCTCCTATTCAAAAGGTTATCCCTTTATTCTGTTGATTGTTTCCTTTGCTGTGCAGAAATTAGTTTAATATAGCCCCATTTGTCTATTTTTGTTTTTTATTTCTTGCACTTTTGAGGTCTTAGCCATAAAATTTTTGCCCTGATCAATGTCCTAGAGCAGCAGTCTCAACCTTTTTGGCACCAGGGACCAGTTTCATGGAAGGCAATTTTTCCACGGACCGGCAGTGGCAGGGGGTGGGAGGGTGCATTAGATTATCATAAGGAGTGTGCAATCTAGATACCTCACATGCACAGTTCACAATAGGGTTCATGCTGTTATGAGAACCTAACGCTGCAGCTGCTCTGATGGGAAGTGGAGCTCCGGCAGTAATGCTCACTTGCCTGCTGCCCACCTGGTTTGTGACAGTTGAAGGACTGGTATTGATTCATGGCCTATGGGTTGGGAACTCCTGTCCTAGAGCATTGTTGCTACGCTTTCTTTTAGTAATTTTATAGTTTTAGGCTTTATGCTTAAGCCATTAATCAATTTTGAGTTGATTTTTTTTTTTTTTTTTTTTTTTGAGATGGAGTTTCGCTTTTGTCACCCAGGCTGGAGTGCACTGGCAGGATCTCGGCTCACTGCAACCTCCGCCTCCTGGGCTTAAGCGATTCTCCTGCCTCAGCCTCCTGAGTAGCTGGGATTACAGGTGCCCACCACCATGCCCAGTTAATTTTTTGTATTTTTATTAGAGACGGGGTTTCACCATGTTGGCCAGGCTGGTCTTGAACTGGTGACCTCAGGTCAGTTGATTTTTTTGTATGTGGTGAGAGATAGGCATCTAGTTTCATTCTTTTGCATATGGATATCCATTTTTCTCAGCAGCATTTATTGAAAAGGATGTTATTTTGCCAATGCATGTTCTTGGTGCCTCTGCTGAAAATCAGTTGGCTGTACATCTGTAGATTTATTTCTGGATTCTCTAATGTGTTCCATTGGTTTTGTGTCTGCTTTTAAGCCAGTGCCATGCTGTTTTTGGTTAGTATAGTTTTGTAGTTTATTTCGAAGTCAGGTAGTGCAATGTCTCCAGCTTTGTTATTTTTGCTTAGGATTGCTTTGACTATTTGGGCTCTTTTATGGTTTGATACACACTTTAGAATTATTATTATTTTTTAAATTTCTGTGAAGAATGTCATTGGTATTGTGATAGGGATTACATTGAATCTGTTGATTGCTTTTGGTAGTTTGCACATTTTAACAATATTAATTCATCTGTTCTGTGAGCATGGGATGTCTTTTCATTTGTTGGGTCTTCAATTTCATTCAGTAGTGTTTCATAGCTTTCCTTGTAGAGGTCTTTCACCTCTTTGGTTACCTTTATTCCTAGGTATTTTTTGTTGTTGTTGTTGTTACTGTAAATGAATTGCTCTTTAAATTTCTTTTTCAGCTAGTTCATTATGAGTGTAGGGAAAGACTACTGATTTTTTATGTTGATTCTGTATCCTGCAACTTTTCTGAATTCTTTTATCAGTTCTAAGAGTTTTTATGTTGGAATTTTTAGGTTTCTCTCTCTATAACATCATGTCATCCACAAATAGGGACACATTGACTTCCTTTTTTTTTCCAATTTATATTTCTTTCTCTTGTCTGATTGCTTTGGCTAGGACTTCTAGTGCAACATTAAATAGGAGTGGTGAAAATAAGTATCTTTGTCTTGTTCCAGTTCTTCAAGGAAAGGCTTTCAGCTTTTCCCCATTCAGTATGATGTTACCTGTGGGTTTGTCATACACGGCCTTCATTATATCGAGGTATGTTCCTTTAATACCTAATTTGTCAATAATTTTGTCATGAAAGGATATTGAATTTATCAAATATTTTTTCTGCATCTATTGATACCATCTTATTGGTTTTCTACTTCATTCTTTTGATATGATGTATCACATTTGTTAATTTGCATATGTTGAACCATCCTTGCATCTCTGGGATAAATCCCACTTGATCATGGCCTATTTTCTTTTTGATGTATGTGGGGTTTGATTTGCTAGTATTTTGCTGAAATTTTAGAACCTATGTTCATCAGAGATATTGGCCTGTAGTTTTCTCTTTTTCTTGTGTCCTTGTCTGATTTTGGTATCAGGGTAATGCTGGTCTCACAGAATGATTTAGAAAGAATTCCCTCCTCTTCAATTTTTTGGAATAATTTGATAATTGGTGTTAATTCTTCTTTGTAAGTTTGGTAGAATTCAGTAGTAAAGCTATCTTGGGCTTTTCTTTTTCGGGAAACATTTTATTCAGTCTTATTACTCATTGTTGGTTTGTTCAGATTTTTGACTTTTTCATGGTTAAATCTTGGTAGTTTGTATGTCACCCATTTCCTCTAGGTTTTCCAATTTGTTAGTGTATAGTTGTTTATAGTAGTTATAATGATCCTTTGTATTTCTGTGGTATCAGTTGCAATGCATCTTTTTTTCCATTTCTGATTTTATTTTGGTCTTCTCTCTTTTCTTGGTTAGTCTAGCTAGCAGTTTATTGATTTTGTTTATCTTTACAAAAAAACCAACTTTTATTTTGTTGATCCTTTGTATTTTTTTAGTGTCTATTTTGTTTTGTTCTACTGTGACCTTTATTATTGTTTTCTTTTAAATTTTGAGTTTGACTTGTTCTTTCTTTTCTAGTTCATTGACGTGCACCATTAGTTTGTTTGAAATCTTTCTGCTTTTTTGATGTGGGTGTTTATTGCTTTAAACTTCCATCTAAGCATGGCTTTTGCCCTTTCCCATAGGTTTTGGTATGCTGTCTTTTAATATTTTTTTCAAGAAATTTAAAATTCTACTTTTTAATTTCTTCACTGACCCAATAGTCATTTAGGAACAAATTGTTTAATTTCCATGTGTTTATGTGATTTCTAGGTTCTTCTTGTTATTGATTTTTAGTTTTATTTCACTGTCGTCTGAGAAGATATTTGATATAATTTCAATTTTTTAAATTTGTTGAGACTCATTTTGTGGCCTAACATACGGTCTGTCTTGGAGAATGTTCTATGTGTTGATGAGAAGAATGTGTATCCTGCAGCTGTTGTTTAAAACATTCTGTAAATGTCTGTTAGGTCCATTTGGTCTAAATCGCACTTTAAATCTAGTGTTTCTTTGTTGATCTTCTGTCTAGATAATCTGTCTAATGCTGACAGTGGGGTATTAAGGTTCCCAAATATTATTGCATTGGAGTGTATCTCTCCCTTTAGATCTAATAATGTTTGCTATATATATCTGGGTGCTCAAGTGTTGGGTGCATATATATTGAGAATTGTTATATTGTATTGCTTAATTGAACCCTTTATCATTATAATATGACCTTCCTTGTCTTTTTTTTTTTAACTGCTTTTGACTTAATTCAATTTTACCTGATATAAGTATAGCTACTTCTGCTAGCTTTTGGTTTCTACTTGTGTGATATCTTTTTCCATTCCTTTATTATCAGTCTGTATCTGTCTTTACAGGTGAAGTAAGTTTCTTGTAGTCAGCACATACTTGGATAATTTTTTAAATTCATTTAGTTTACATCTCTTAAATGGGATTGTAATTCATTTACATTCAAGGTTATTATTGGTAGGTGATGACTTATTTCTGTCATTTTGTGAATTGTTTTCTGGTTGTTTTGATTATCATTTGTTCCTTTCTTTCTCTGTTATAATCTACCACCACAGTTTGGTGACTTTCTTGTTGTTTTGAATACGCTTTGTTCCTTTACTTCTCTCTTATTAGGTTTCATTGCAGTTTGGTGGTTTTCTGTAGTACTAACATTTGGCTTCTTTCTCTTTCTAAATTGTGTGTCCGACCTACTAGCGTGTTTTATATTTTCCTTTGTTTTTGTGATGATAGGTTTTATCATTTTTCTTCCAGACGTAGATAGACCTCCCTTAATGAGGAAGACTTAATGCAAACACCAGGAGTTAATTGGATCACCTCTCCACTGCTAGGATTGGGAAGGGACAGATGCTTCCTCTGTGGGTAGTTGCTGACCAGCGGTTGCCTCTTGACAGGGGAAAAGTTAAAAAGAGCACCCCAGGCTTTGTGGGGAAGCTGGCTAGGACAAACCTGGAAGACATGTGGACCATGTTTCTTGCAGCGTTATAGCGTTGGTTAGTATCTCTGGTATGGTGCCTTTGTTGGCCAGAATGCAAAGCAACTACTTAGGTCTGCATTCTCGTCTTTTGAACCCCATCTCTGTTTTTGGTTTCTAACTGACCCCATGTAATCTGGACCTGCTGGTCTTGGGCATGTTCTGAAGAATGACAAGAGGAAGCACTTGGGTATATTATTAGAAGTGACAAAGAGGTAGGTGCTGCTCCATGGAGAGCCTTTAACAGCATGTGGAGTGTGGCCATCATTCTGCAGACATGGGGAAGCCATTGCAGAATTACAAAGGAAGTTCTTTGATCAGAGAATAATTTAGAAAGATCACATTGTCAGTGGTATGAAGGATAGAGGTAGGGGGAGATCAGTGGCAGGGGAGTAGGTAGAAGTCAATTGAAATAATCCAGGTGAGAAGTAATGAGGGTCCAAACAAAGCCACTGCATTGAGACTGGAGAAATGGCAGGGACAGGTTTTCATAACTATTTCCTTCACACTCTTGCCTATGTGTGTCTCCTTCTGGATGAGTCAAGTTAGATATCTTTCACATTTATGCTGTCAAGGTCACTGCTGGCTAGCACATGAGAATACGTGGAGATGATTTATTTTTAACTTGCTTTGGCACAGAGATTGATGAACAGAACCTGGCACATTCTACATCATCTGGTGAAATGTAGCAAAGAATTATGAACTGCCTCCCACTATTAATAAGTGGGAGGCAGTTCATAATTCTTTGCCACATTTAATTTTTTCATTAATATTTTGCTATATTGTCATAAAATATATATATATTTATGGATACATATATATTTAACAGAGTTGAGAATATACTGCAAAAACTATTTTGCATTCTATTTTTCCCCTTAAACCTTCTATTATATTTTTCATTCCACAAAGAATATTTAGTAATGTAATTTTTAATGATTTCAGTTTTTTTGTATTACTGTATACTGCTTTAACTAATCCCTTATTGCTGAATATTCAAGTCATTTCTTGTTTTTAGCTATTATAAATAATATTATAATGCACAGTTTTACAAAATTGTTATAGCAGTTTTATTAATAATAGTTCAAACTGGAAAACAGCCTAAATATCCTTCCACAGATGAATAAACACATTGCTGTAGATTCTGTATCGCTGAATCCTACTCAGCAATATAAAGGAACAAAATACTGATAAACAAAACAACATAGGTGAATCTCAAAAACATGAAGTTCATGGAAAGATACTAGACAGAAAAAAGGACATGCTATATGATTCCGTTTATGCATAGTTCTAGAGTGGGCTAACAAGCTATGGTAGTAGAGATTAGGACAATGGTTGCTTCTTTAGGGTGTGACTGGAGTGGGAGAGGTGGAGTTTTCTGGAATGGTACAATGATCTATGCCCTTACTGGAATGGTGGCGACATAGGTGTATACATTTACCAAAGTTCATTGAACCATACATTTAAAATCCATGTACTTTATTATATGTTAATTTTACCTTAATTTTAAAAATTCATAATAAACACTTCTCCTTTCTCTGGGCTGATGAAGTTGATACAAATTTGGAGTAGTAAAAAATGGTTATGTGGAGTGTATCACACATCTTTTAAGTTGACAAGAATGGATTTTAAGTCATAGACTCTAATAATGTATAATATTATGGAGAACAAGACACAAGAAAAATATTACAGCAGCCACAAGACTATATCTAACACAATCTCCTGAGTTTACAGCCCTCCCACAAGATACCTAATATACAAGATTGCTGTGCAATGCTATAAAAGGTCTTACACAGTCTATTCTGAAAAACTGGTACTTCAATAAATAAGATGAGTGGAGGAGCCAGGATATAAGAAAACATATAAAAACTTTTAGAAGGTCAACAAAGCCTGGGGAGATAAAACTCAATAGTTCAGGAGCAGAAGTGGAATGGAGTTTTCTTTGTTTTAGACAGAAAATTACAAGGTGATGTTTGAGATTATAGCTGGAGTTGGAGTAGTCCCTTGCAGGAGTGAAATTTAACAAGCATCTAGGAATCTGAACCCATCCACATAAAGGAAATGGAAGGATAACTTTTCGTTGGCTTTTCACTGTGATAAGAAATGTTCCACCAGCAATGGAAATTCTGAGGGGATGAAAAATGTTCTGTCTTGTTTTGGGTGGTAGTTACATGACAGTGTACAATTGTCAAAACTCATCCAACTGAACACCTAAGATCAGTGCATATTATTGATATCAGTACCTCAATAAAAATAATATTAATAGTAAAAAAACAAAGAAGAAGAGGAAGATTATTCTTCTCTTTGCCACTATTTCAATGACAAATTAACATCCACTAGGTAGTAGAGCAGATCAGATCTGGAGTTGTCAGGACCAGACCTACTGCTTGGAGGAATGGCCAAATTCATTTAGTGCAGCTGGGTGGGGGGTGTCCAGGTCATCTCTGAGTAGCAGATAGACTGGCTAGAGTAGAGGTATCATCTATGCCTTTGGCATAAAACCAAGAAAATCACTGTAAATTTGCAACCCAGTGTGGTGATAACAAATAGGTCTCATCTTCTCTCATTCATGAATCACACAGGAAGCCTTGCGTATATGAGGATAAAGACCTCAACCCATGCTCAAATGGAAGAGTCAGCATTGATTAGTGGTGCCTGTTAGGGGTGGCAGGTGGATTGGAGACATGTATGCCAAGTATTTACTAAGCACTCCTGGCCCAATTTTTTGAAGGAAGGAGGAGGATGGGGGCTGGATGCTCAAGACCACAAGGAAATTTATTTAGTGACTATGGTGGTGCTGGTCATATTTACATATACTGGATTTGGAGATCATATTCCATTTCTTCCAGAGCTTCCAGGAGTGAAGCCAGCTTAAAGGAACCAAACAGCTTGACTGAAGCATCAGTCTGAAGGGGCTTGGCAGAGGTGGAAGCCAGGCCTGTGAAAAGATGACTGAAGCCAGAGAAAATGGGGGCAGAGGAAGTGAGTTTTGGCTAGTATAGGAGGTGGCCCTGGATTCCCTGACTGGATGGGGTTTAGCTCCAGAGGCTTTGTGGGTGGGGTGCTGCTGTCAGGGTGCACAACTGGATTGGACCACGAATCCAAGGCCATGGATTGCTGAATTCCAGATCCTTTAACTAGTCTTCCTTCCTTGAGAACAGGTCTGGTGCCAGATACTGGAGTATCTGACCACTGGGTCAGATGTGAGAGAAAGTCAGAGAAGGCAGAGATGAAAGGATCCACTGACAGCCTGAGAAAATGCCCCTTTGTGGTGCCCATTTCCTCCACTGTTGTCTCTCTCATTCCTGCAACTGCTCACCCTTTTAAGGCCCAGGTCCTTTCTTATTTTTAAATGAGCAGTATCATACATACTGTAAAGTGAGTAAAGTGCTGTAATCTTTGATGAGCACTTTTATCCACGATGAATTTGACACATGTATACAGCATGCAAACCACCTCCTAAATCAAATTCTACATTTCTAACCACACCACTGTCCACCAGAAGTTTCCCCTGTGATCCTTCTCAGTCTCTAACCTCCACTTCTGGGGAAATACTAGGGGGAACAGATATCACAGTTTGCCTGAGACACGAGTTGCCTAGGATTGAGGGGTTTCCTGGAATGTGGGACTTTCAGTGCTAAAACTGGGGAAGTTCTGGGCAAAACAGAACATTGGGACATCCCAGTCCTCACAATTCTGACCTTAATCATCATTGGTTAATCTTGCCTGGTTTTGAACTTCATTTAACGGAGTCAGACTTTATGTACTCTTTTGCATCTGGCTTCTGTTATGTAACACTGTATTTCTGTGTGTTCAGCCCTACTGTTATATATAGCAGCAGTATTCTTTTCAATTGCTGAATAATATTCCACTGTATGAATATACTTTAATTTGTCTGTTGCCCTGTTGAAAGGCATTTTGGTTCCGCTACCTTCTGATATGAATAATAATCACACTGACCAGCCTGCTAAGTATACCTGCCTTTATTGTAAGTCTTCTCAAATTTTTAGGATCTAGGTGGAGGGATAAATTACAAGCATGT